>NC_000012.12:12709650-13334650 GCF_000001405.40 Homo sapiens | reverse complement strand
TTCCCAAGCTAAGCAGATTGGCCCTGTATCCCTAGAGTGCATCCTCACCCTGTAATGTGCTCGTACTTTGGCATAAATAACTCCATGCTAAAATAGAAGAGTTGATTGGAATTTAAATTACATTTACATAAAATAGACACACTTGCCTTGAGTACTAATTAATGAACAACCAAAAGCTCCTCTTTATCAATGAGTGGAATTGTCAATAGCCATCTATGTGCTAAGTGGCCTGAAGCTTGGTGGAAAGACACCACTATGAGCTGGGCAACCTTAGAGGCATGAGTATTTGCATACAGAATGTCAACCAACATACACAAATGCCATGGTATCGTTTGTGCTGCTATAACAAAATATCTGAGCCTGGGTAATTACAGAGAATAGAAAATTATTTTCCCATAGTTCTGAGGGCTGGGAAGTCGAAGATCAAGGATCCAGGGTCTGGTGAGGGCCTTCTTGTTGTGTTGTCCCATGGTGGAAGATGAGAGGGTGAGAAAAGGTAAGAAAGAGAGAAAGAAAAGGGGGCCAAACTCACCCTTTTATAAAGAAACCACTCCTGCTATAATGAATCCACTTCCATGATAATGGCATTAATCCATTCATAAGAGGAAAGCCCCCATGGCCTAATCACCTTTTAAAAGTTCTACCTCTTAATACTATTACAATGGCAAGTGAATTTCAACATGAGGACAAACATTCAAGCCATAGCATCAAGTATTAAGATATGCTATATAATATATTGTAGGGCAGTGTGGTATGTAATATATTGCAATATGCTGTATAATTTGTAAAGTAATTAGATCTAGATAATGTTAGCTATTTAGGCATGTAATCCAGATATACACATGTTCTCCAGGCTTCATAGATTCCCTTTTTAATTCTCAAATAACAAGGTACTATTCTAGGTGCCATTCTGAGTGCCACGATCCTGAACACCACAGAAATTCACTCTTCAACTGGTTTTCCTCTCCATATCATTTCCAAGCTGCCTTAAAGAATGTTCACATGTAAGAGGATACACTGCATAAAGAATTTTTTAAAAAGAATGTTCACATGGTCCCCAAATCTACCTTTTTTTGGTCCCTGATCCCTTTGCCAGACATCCCTGCTCAATAGCTTGGCAAATGACTTCTTATTTCCAGATACTTGATTTCTTCATAGTCCCAATACTTCCTCTGAATTTCTACCCAAGGTCCATGAGGGGGCACGGACCTTCTGCCTACAGCTATGCATGGTCTAAACATTTTAAAGAATTTTGAATCAAGTGTTCACGTTCTTTCCACTTTGGCCAGGTGCGGTGGCTCACAACTGTAATCCCAGTACTTTGGGAGGTCGAGACAGGAGGATTGCTTGAGCCCAGGAGTCCAAGATCAGCCTGGGCAACACAGCAAGACCCCATTTCATTTTAAAAAAAATAAATAAAAATTTAAATAAATAAAAAGAATTTTGTTTTAGCAGTTATATCTGCACATCATTTAAAGAACCAAATAATATCATAAAGCAGGTTATTAAAATTAGTAACCCTTACCCTCCCCACCTCCTCTCATCAATTTCTCCCTGCCCATAGGCAGCTATTCTTTTACACATACACACAATACACACACACACACACACACACGCACACACAATTGACTCTTGAACAATACAGGAGTTAGGGGCACTGACCCCCCTGCACAGTCAAAAATCTGAGTATTACTTTTGCTTACCCAAGAGCTTAATTATTAATAACCTACTGATAACCAGAAAGAAGCTTTATCGATAACAGAAAACAGCCAATTAACACATATTTTGTATGGTATATGTATTATATACTGTATCCTTACCGCAAAGTAAGCTAGAGAAAAAAACATATTATTAGGAAAATCATAAGGAAGAGAAAATAAATTTACTATTTATGAAGGGGAAGTGGATTATCAGAAAGGTTTTCATCTTCATGGTCTTCACATTGAGTAGGCTGAGGAGGAGGAAGAAGAGGACGGGTTGGTATTGCTGTCTCAGGGGTGGCAGAGGTAGAAGAAAATCTGTGTATAAGTGGACCCTCACAGTTCAAATCCATGTTGTTCAAAGTTCAACTGTATAATACATATACACGTATATAATACACATATTTACATTGTATATATTATAGTCATATATTATATAATACATATATAATAGACATTGCTTATATTAATATATATTGATTTACATATAATATATTCAAGTGTATTTGTTAACTTATCATAATAGATGATGAATATTTTGCTCCTTTAAACCCCCGCCTTTACTCCCACCTTTCATCCCTTACACTTTTACCATCTTGCTATCCACCCAAAATATTTAATTTTGGTTTTATCAATACTCAATTGTTAGACTGTTGTGGTTATACAAATGCTATTCACAGCTGAGATATAGAATGTATTATGATTGCTGCCACAGACTGAATGTTCATGTCCTCCCAAAATTTTTATGTTAAATCCCAACCTCCAATACAATGGTATGAGGAGGTGGGGACTTATGGGAGGTGATTAGGTCATGAGGGCTGAGCCTTCATGAATGGGATTAGTGCCATTATAAGAAAGGCTCCAGAGAGTAACTGTGTGAGATTACAGCAAAAAGACAACCATCAGTGAATCAGGGAGTGAGCCCTCACCAAACACCAAATCTGCTGGCACCTTGATCTTGGACTTCCCAGCCTCCAGAAACGTGAGAAATAAACTTCTATTGTTTATAAGCCACCCAGGCTATGGTAGTTTGTTATGGCAGCCTGAATTGACTAAGTGACTGAGAGAATTGCTTTCACTTTTAAACACAATTTTTACTTCCTCAGAGTCCACAATTGTTTATTTTGTTTAGTTTTCCATGTAATTATCACTAATCCAGCTGACTTCAAGCCCTCCACCAATTGTCTAAATCCTCTTATCAGGTGTTCTATCAATTCTAGCTTAAAGAAATCTTTCCTAGAGTCTTCTGATGTGCTCCAATTAGGGCCTGTAACTCTCTGTACCCGGTGCACAGTTGTCATCTTGAGATCTCCTTTCACCATTGCTGCTGCAATCAGAATGTTTGTGTCCCTTCAAAATCCATATGTTGAAATCCTAACCCCCAATGCAGTGGTCTTACAAGGTGGGACCTTTTAGGTGGTGATTATTCATGAGAGGCTCTGCTCTCATGAATGGGATTGTGCCCTAAAAAAGAAGCCCAAGAAAGCTCATTTGTCCCTTTGAATCAAAAAATGTGTTCTCACCAGACACTGAATCTTCTAGTACCTACATCTTGGACTTTCCAGCCTCTAGAACTGTATGAAATAAATTTCTGTTGTTTATTAACTACCCCGTTTATGGTATTTTTGTCATAGCAGTCTGAATAGACTAAGACAATTGCTCTAGGAATTCTCTTTTTTTCTATCCTTTGATAGATTGTCACTTTCCTGAGTCCAGTGTCTTCCTCTTTCTGGATTTAATCACTTGTTTAATTGTTACTTTCTAGGAGAAAGTATGTAAAAGATAATCTTTTTGAGACTTGTGTCTGAAATGTCTTTTATTCTACCTTTACCCTAAATTTACAATTTGGCATGCATGGTATAGTATTCCATGCAGGGAGTCATTTTCCTTCAGAAATTTTAAGGCATTTCTCCATTGTCTTCTAGCTTCCAGTATTCCTATGGAGATGTTCAATGCCATCTCAATTCCACGTACTTTGTGTATGAAATTTTACTCTCCACTCCGGAGGCATGTAGGATATTTACTTTGTTGCCAATATTCTAAAATTTCACAATGTGCCTTGGTGTGCGCCACTTTAGTCTGGAAACCCATTCCCTTCCATTCTGTGAAATTTGTTTTAATTATTTTTGTGATAATGTCTTCTCCAGAATTTCCCTGTTCTTTTTTTCTACAGCTCCTATATTTTGGGTGCAGACATTCTGCACTGATATATTTTTTTCCCTTTTTTCTATTTATCATCTCTTTGCCTTCTTTCTTTTCTGGAAAATTTCTCAATCTTATATCTCGGTTCTTCCAAGTTTTTCATTTCTGCCATCATTTTTAACTTCCAAGAGCTTTTTTATTTGTTTTCTGAATGTTCTCTTGTAGACAATATTGTATCCTTGCTCTACAGATATATTATCCTCTCTTACATCTCTGAAAATATCAACTATTTTAAGTGTTCTTGCACCTGTTTAATTTTTGTTTCCTCAAAGTGGTTTTAATTTTGTGTATTTCTTCTTATCTATAGATGTCATGCTATGGGCTTCCCTCTGGCATGCATGGTAAACTTGGTAGTCTGTTTATATGTCTAAGTGGGGTGAGAGGGTGAAAAGGCCAACTGATGGCTCTGGGCAAGTGTGCAGGCTGTTAGCAAAGGGGTTTACTATAGAGAGAATTAGCTTGGCCAACCTTTCATTTTCACTGTGATACCTCCATTCTCAACTATGCCTAGTGTCTCCTCACTTTAGTGACTTTCTGATTTACCTTCTTCAATCATCTTCCAGGATGGGAGAGAGGGAGGATTCCAGCTTCATTGTGTGGGAGCAGGGATTTGGGGCCCTAACTGCTTCCCAGACTTTCAACAAATCTTTCTGTTGTTAGCCCCCACTTTTACAGCCACTTCTGTAGTGACACCAACTTTTGAAGCTCATCAATTTAACTCCAATTACTTTCAGTCTTTTCCACTCATTTCCCATACATTCTCAGACCTGCTGAATCAGTTATCACTCATCCAGCTGGTGTCCAACCTCCAAAATTTAATTGTCATTGTCTCCCCTTCTATCATCTTTGTCTTTATGAATAAAGATTTTAAAAATCCTTTTCTATTACTTCAGAGGAATTTCAGAAGGAACTGAAAGTAAATACATGTGGTCAACTCACTGCTTTACCTAGAAGCTGATCCGTAATGATCAGGGAAGATGTACTGAAGTCCTGTTGTAAAAGATATACAACTCCAAGAGGAAATTCTCAAAATGCTACACTAACAGCCCACCTTCTGCAAGTAGCCAGCTGAATTCAATCCTACAGGGATATCCAGACGGACTTCTCCCCTACTTAAATGCTGGCTCTGAATTCACTTTCAAGCTCCAGAGAGATTCCCCCTCTCTTGGTCCAAAGCCCTCCTCTTTCCCTGTCTCACAATGACCAATACTATAAATACGCATTATCTTCATAGAAAGTTCCCACCCTTATCCATGGGATGTAATCTTGCCTTTGGGATCCAGGCAAGGCAGTCATGATACTTTGTATACATTTTCCCCCTTGGTCAGCTCTCCAATTTTATATCATGCCATGTGAACATCAAGATTCCAATCTAGGTGATGCTAGGCCAGTTCCGTCCTAGAACAAATTCAATCTCTCTTTTCCAAAATAACTAAGGAGAAGCTCAAACCAGCATCCTCCCTGTCATTGTCTGATCTCCCAGGATCCTGTGAGCAAATACTTTGACCTACCCCACCAAAATACCATAATTTTCATAAATAGTTCAATCTAATTAGCATTTTAAAAAATCTCAATTTTGCTAAAGACACACACTTAACATTACTAAATGTAATGATTATTCAGTATCTCAGTCTGCACTTGAATTTAGGTTCATTATAGATTCACAGTTTTTTATAAGATAATGAGTGAATATTACACACAAAATACCATATCAAGACAGACCCCAGTTTAAGGATGGTGCTAACTAATAGAGCTTGCCTCCTATGCGTGAGCTATGGCCGAACCATTGTGTAACTATCTCCCCAACCCCCTAGAGCAGAGTTCTGCCAATTCTGGTTCGAATGAAACAGGCAATTTAGGACTCTTTTCTGATCCTCTGCATGGTATAAGGGAACACTGTTCCTAAATGGTGCTAATCAGAGCCTAAGCTACTACTCAATAGTTCTGCTCTCTTGAATTTCAATAGTTCTTTGTACAGATGTGTTCTATCAGGTTAAACCATATGAAATTGCTGACATTTGATTTTTTTTGACCTACAAAAATAGCAATTTCATATGATTCAACATAATAGTGAGAAAAGCACTTAGAATCAGGAGGCTTGGTTTTGAATCCTGGCTGTCCTGCTCTATGGCTATTAAGCTCTAGCAAGTCACCCGATGTCTCGCTGGGCTCAAGTTGTCAAAGGGATCAAGCTATGCCTGCTGCATAGAACTATTGTGGAGATTAAAGGAGAGATGGCACCCTCAATACCAAGCCACTGCTAATTAATTGTAAGTTAATTGTCAAAACATTTGCTCATTTATTAATTTGTTTGATCTTTACAACAATCCTGTAAGATACACAGGGAAAACACAGTCTATTACTGAATTTTAAAAAGGAAGAAACTGTTGTAGACTCTAAATGATTTAAACAGGATTACCCCACTGGCAGGTAGCAGGGCTAGAATTAGAACCTGATCTCTTGATTCTTAGTCTGGTAAATTTTTTTTTCTTTTTTTTTTTTCCTTTTTTTTTTTTCCCTTTCATATTGTCCTTCTTTCTGGTCAGCAGAGCACTGCGAAAAGAAAACCTGCAGGAGTTAACTAAATTCCAAGAATCCTTAATGCAGTAATACACATAGCACCAAAACTAAACATTCTTTTTGGTGTGGGGTTTTTCGTTGTTGTTGTTGTTGTTTTGGTTTTTGGCTTTTTGGTTTTTTTTTTTCTTTTTTGAGATGGAGCCTCGCTATGTGGCCCAGGCTGAAGTGCAGTGGTGCAGTCTCAGCTCACTGCAACCTCCGCCTCCTGGCTTCAGGTGATTCTCCTGCCTCAGCTCCTCAGTAGCTGTGAATACAGGCGTGCACCACCACCCCCTGACTAATTTTTGTATTTTTAGTAGAGAGTGGGTTTCACCATATTGGCCAGGCCAGTCTCGAACTCCTGACCTCGAGTGATCTGCCCGCCTCAGCCTCCCAAAGTGCAGGGATTACAGGCATGAGCCACTGCACCCGGCCCCTAACTGAACATTCTTGAATCTTTTTGTTTGTTTGTTTGTTTTCTGATGGTGCGAGGACCTATTATGTACCTGATGCTCTACCTATGTTTTCATTTATTCAATCTGAGCAATAATTTCTTAAGGGGGATGCTCAGTCTCCATTTTCTGCATAAAAAGAATGGAATTCAGAGTGGCTTGGCAAGTTGCTCAAGGATGCATATCTTCACTCATTTGTACATATCCTCACTGTAATTGTTTTAAGAATCAATTTCCACCTCATAGAAGATGGACTGGAATTTGCTTCAGACAAATCAGATGGGAACATAAAAAGCTTGACATGGATTTGGCATGACCCCTGAAGACTATGTAGATATGATTTAATAGATGGGAATTCAGGAGATATGGGTTCCCAGGTTCTGATACTGTGACCTTGGGCTGATCACTTAATTCCAAGCTTGTTTTTCTATTTGTAATATATAAAAATGTCTCTTTTTAGCTTTCATGTTGTAGAGTCTGTAATTTCACAGGCCCCATTTCACAAGCACCTATACTTAGCTGTCTACCCCAGAATTACTCTGGGGCAAGCTTGGGGTCTTCTGGAAGCACATGTGAGCCTGGCTCCTGCTGCCCATAGCTGCTAATAATATAACCAGCTGTGGGGAAGATCATAATCAGAATTGATCAGTGTCAGAGATCACGACAGAAAGAGCAGATCATGACAGAAAGAGCTTCAAGAGGCTTTCTGTCTACTACGTAAACTCTCAGTTCCCACAGCCTCTTGGAGTAATCAGACACAAGTCAAAGAAAGAGAATCCCCTTGCAATGTATTGGTCAGCTTAATGCTCCAGAGAGGGTCCTTTTCCAAACAACTGTGTGCACCTGTGTTGGGAAAATGACTCAGCCTGGAGAATCTCTTCTACATGATCACACCAGCTTCCTGCCACCAGCTTTCAGAGAGCACCCCTCTCCCAACTATCTAGAACAGCAGACGTGAAACTGAGTTTCACTGGAGTCAGAGGGCATATAAATGCAGCTGGGGCTGGAATAGCAAGCTCCCTTGGCATCTGGGTCCTTTCCTGGATGCTGAGATCATGCAGCTATTTTCTGGGGTAAAAACTCCAGAATTCTCCATGTTGACAACCCATCTTGCCTTGTTTCTTCAACTTCTGCAGATTTCAGAGGTGTTGACTCTCTGCCTGGGCTGGTCTCCTATGTTTTTCTGGCACCTAATTCTCCTTGACTGATTTCTAATAGCTTATTTGGCAGCTGCACCATTGCTACCTTGATCATATCCCTTCATAGCCCCCTACTTCCCTTTTTCTTTCTTCCTCAGCCTCCTTCACCTGATCCTGCTCACAGCATGGCTTGCCATCATGAACATGGCCCTCTCACCTTTGTTTGTTAACTGGCCTCTTTCCTCTTTTTCTCTGCAAGTAAATGATTCTTCTTGGATGTTTGCCAGCCCTACAGGCATGGCTCTATGGGCAGTGACAGTGCCAGCTCTGAAATAAATGCCATGTCCTGCAGCCCTTGGGGCAAGGAGCCACAGTAAAATTGCAATCGCAGTGTGGCTGTGGCAACAATTGAGGGGGAAATTGCCTCGCTTCTGTCTAGTCCCTGGTCAGTGCTCAGACGGTACTCTCCCTTGGTACAGCTGTGTTTCCTAAAGTCACAATCTGAAGGAGAGGGCGTGGGTGGGTTGTATTAACATGGAGGTTCTGATCACACTCCAACGTGACTAATTAGACTCTCTTAGGCAAAATTACTCCAAGTCTGGACGGATTTAATTTTCTCCTAATTCTCTGTGCCATTTACTGTGTTTTATGTGAGGTCAATGAACACTTGTATTTTTCCCTCAGGTTCTGTCAGTCCCCTGGTTGCTAAATGCACTTGCTCTCAGTTTTGTTCAGAAATCGAAACCAGAAAATTCATATATCCAGACTTATTTGCAGCCCCTCTAATGATAGTTGATGCTAATCATAATAAATCAAAAGCACTGTGAGATCCTGAAGTGCTCTATGAATCATCCAAGAAAGAGAAAAGCACATTCTGTCCCATTTTGGTGATAAAATTATGGTTCTTTGGTTCATCCATTTAATGCACGCCTACTGTGTGCAACGCATGTGGTGCTACCTAGGGGACTAACAGAGATGTGTCTGTCACAAATAATACACTCAAGGAAATTGTGACTAGTAGGTTAAGATAAAATTCATGTAAATGATGATAGCTTATAGGAAACAGTCATTTCCCAAGAGATGAGACAGAGATCAGGAATATGGGATTTCAGGGGCCAGGTGTGGTGGCTCACACCTGTAATCCCAGCACTTTGGGAGGCCAAGGCAAGAGGATTGCTTGAGTCCAGGAGTTCAAGACCAGCCTGGGAAACATAATGAGACCCTTGTCTCTACAAAAGATAAAAATACTTAAACAAATTTACAAGAAAAAAATCAAACAACCCCATCAACAAGTGGGCGAAGGATATGAACAGACACTTCTCAAAAGCAGACATTTATGCAGCCCACAGACACATGAAAAAATGCTCATCATCACTGGCCATCAGAGAAATGCAAATCAAAACCACAATGAGATACCATCTCACACCAGTTAGAATGGCGATCATTAAAAAGTCAGAAAACAACAGGTGCTGGAGAGGATGTGGAGAAATAGGAACACTTTTACACTGTTGGTGGGACTGCAAACTAGTTCAACCATTGTGGAAGACAGTGTGGCGATTCCTCAAGGATCTAGAACTAGAAATACCATTTGACCCAGCCATCCCATTACTGGGTATATACCAAAAGTATTATAAATCATGCTGCTATAAAGACACATGCACACTTATATTTATTGTGGCCCTATTCACAATAGCAAAGACTTGGAACCAACCCAAATGTACATCAATGATAGACTGGATTAAGAAAATGTGGCACATACACATCATGGAATACTATGCAGCCATAAAAAAGGATGAGTTCATGTCCTTTGTAGGGACATGGATGAAGCTGGAAACCAACATTCTGAGCAAACTATTGCAAGGACAGAAAACCAAACACTGCATTTTCTCACTCATAGGTGGGAATTGAACAATGAGAACACTTGGACACAGGATGGGGAACATCACACACCAGGGCCTGTTGTGAGGTGGGGGGAGTGGGGAGGGATAGCTTTAGGAGATATACCTAATGTAAATGACGAGTTAATGGGTGCAGCACACAAACATGGCACATGTATACATACGTAACAAACCTGCATGTTGTGCACATGTACCCTAGAACTTAAAGTACAATAATAAAATTTAAAAAATAATAATAATAAATAAATTAGTCAGTGTGGTGACATAAGCTTGTAGTCCCAGCTATTCAGTTACTTGAGAAGCTAAAGTGGGAAGATCACTTGAACCCAGGAGGCTAAAGCTGCAGTAAACCTTTATAGCACAACTCTACTCCAGCCTGGGCAACAGAATGAGACCCTGTCTTAAAAGGAAAAAAAAGAGATTATGGAATTTCAGAGGAGGAAGATATAAAAAGTGGACCTGGAGGAAGGAAGAGGTGAAAAGAGGTCTCATCAAGAAGAGAGAATTGGTCTGAGTCTTTAAGGGTGGGTAGATTTGAAATACACAGAAACAGAGTAGAAAAGCATCCTCTGTAGAGAGAACATCAGGCATGGAGAAAGGTCAGGGTATTTATGAGGAGGAGGGTGAGAGCACAAACGGTAAATAAATGGGGATTAAAGTAGACATGCTGGGAACAATGAATGCCCTTGAATGATAGCTTATTCAATCAAGTTATTGAAGGTTTTGAGTTGGGGAGAAATGAGTTCCTCTCTAAGAAGATTAACCCAAAGAAAGACTAGAAGAAACAGAAAGGTCAAAAAGCTATGACCATCATCCAGAGAAAATGAATTTTCATTCTCTGAAAATGGGATGATATGTCAATCCCCAGTTAATCAGAATACTGGAAAGTAAAAACCACCTATCTCCAGCTACTCTGGATAAAGGGAAATTTGCTATAATTGGTGAAGTATGAGATAGTAAAAGGTTACGTGTCCTGCAAGATGACATCCTTTAGTTAGCTTGAGACGTGAGTCGAAGTATCACAATGAATTATGTTTCAGGTAATAAACACCTTCACCTTTCACATGCTGATTCACTTTAAACAATTATTTGGTCACCAGCTATGAAAAGATGACATTTCATTAAGTAGCTGAGACTTAAAATGCTAAGTAAGGTAGATAAACCCAGGAAAGAGCCCTGTGACAATTACAATTCAGAGACGTGTTTAGCTATTGCTGCTGTCATCAAGCATCGCATCCCATGCAGTGCACAGATATGAGGAAGGTAGCTGCAGCCAGCACCAGTTTAACTCTTGGGTTTCTCTATCTGGCCCATGTGCTGGAAGAGTTTTGAGGAATGAGAGCATTTTTAATAGATGTAATAGATGGCTGAATAAAGATGTCATAGCAATACTGTCGCTGTTATTTAAAAGAGTTTAGCACTTTGTATTTATTATATTTTGATTAGCACTTCCTGATTATGAATTTTTTTCTTTCTGCATTCCCCATCCCATTCCTCTTCTGCTCATCATACAGCTGCCTGTGTTGGAACAAGTTTCAACATTAGGCCCTGAGGTGCCAATTCCCTTCTTTTAGTAGATTCCCCAACTAACTAGTTAATCTCCTGCTCCCTCATTACTTTCTCCCTTAATGACCATAGATAGTAACATTCTCCAGAGACTATCCTACCAGCATTTATATTTCTTTCAAATTAGAAGAGTAGGCATCTCTCCAGATCATAAAGAATACATTTATTTTAAGGTACAGTGGAGAAAACACACAGAAATTAAAGTTTGTTTAATGAGTCTTACTAGTTTGCAGAAATTCTGGCCGTGCAGAAGTCCTTGCCTCATGCTAATGCCAGCTCTGGTCTTTCTAGCCTGGTGCAGGATTTCCATATTCTCTCCGGCCCTTCAATGTTAGATTACAAAACAACTTAGGAGTTCAGAATCAGAGAATGCTCAAAAGACACACTTTATTTCTAGCTGTGAGTTTCTGTCTCTCAACTGCTCTAAGTCCTTTTTCTCTTCCTCATTCTCTCTCTCTTTCTTTCTCTCTCTCTCCCCCACTCCCTTCTTCTCTGGTCAGAAGCTTTGACCACAGTGGCTCTGGTGAAGCATTCACATTTCTAAGGATTATGAAATCCCTAGTCTGGATTCACTATGGACCCTGCTAAATACATTTTCCCAAGCCCACATGTTTGGCACTTCCACTCCAATAGGGTTATGTGGAGGCTCATCCCATTATGTGCCGGGGGCACTGTGGCCCCTTATGTACATGAGCTCAACCACCTTGTTCTCAAAGCTGTGAACCAGGTATCAAGCCATGTCAAATAAAAAGGAAACTGTTAATAAATTATGCACTAACTAGCAATGTGCTACTTAGTAGCAGAGTGAGAGGTCACCTCTCCCATCATGTTGCTGTCTTTCCCGGTCTGATCCATATGTTTATTGGTGGAGGTCTACATCTCAGTCAGCTCAGGGTGCTGTAACAAAATACCATAAACTGGGTGACCTAAGCAACAAACACTTATTTCTCACAGTTGTGGAGTTTGGAAATCTGAGATCCAGGTGCCAGCATAGTAGGGTTTTTGGTGATTTTGGTTTTGGTTTTCTTGGTTTATAGACAATTGTCTTCTTGCTGTGTCCTCACATGGCAGAAAGACAGCTGTGTATCTCTCTGGTCTCATCTTATAAGGGCATTAATCTCATTCATGAGGGCTTCAGTCTCATGACCTAATCAGATCTCAAAGGCCCCACCTCCAAATACCACCACTTTGGGATTAGAGTTTTAACATACAATTTGGTGGGGGAACAAACATTCAGCTCACTGCTGTTTATAAACCTTCTGTAGCCTAACAGGGTAGAATGAATGGCTCATTCAAGGCTTTGAGAGAGTCCAGGGCTTGTTAGAGGCATCATTAGACCGAGGTGATCTCAATCTATTTCAGGTTTAGCAAGTATTTATAACTGGAGAAGCTAGAGATTCAAAAGATCTGATGGAGAAAGCCAATGGTTTGATAGCAAGGTTGAGCATCTATTGTTTGTTTCAAGGTCTTTTGACTAAAAGCAACAGAAACAGATTCTTCCTATCCTAAGTAAAAAAAAAAGAGATAGAGCAAACATACCAGAAAAATGGGCAGAACTCCCAAACTGGCAGAAATGTATGAAAGTGTCAAACAGATTCAAGAAGGGCAGAAGCCAGGACATCCCTGGGAATCGAAGTAACAGGCAATAATTGGTGGTCTCCTTAGGGTACAGCCATGGGATAAATTAGATCCAACTTTTTTCTTTACATCCATTAATGATTCCAAGTTCCAAGAGAGAGTCCAGTTAGAACATCATGACCAATAGCCCCACCAACAAAAGTAATTACAAAGTGCCTTGAAAACATCAAACCATGGGGCCGGGCACGGTGGCTCACACCTGCAGTCGCAACATTTTGGGAGGCCAAGGCGGGTGGGTCACAAGGTCAGGAGATCGAGACCATCCTGGCTAACATGGTGAAACCCCATCTCTACTAAAAATACAAAAAATTGGCCGGGTGTTATGGCAGGTGCCTTTAGTCCCAGCTACTCGGGAGGCTGAGGCAGGAGAATGGTGTGAACCCAGGAGGCGGAGCCAGCAGTGAGCCAATAAAGGACCACTGCACTCCAGCCTGGGCAACAGAGCGAGACTCTGTCTCAAAAAAAAAAAAAAAGAAAGAAAGAAAATATCAAGCCGGTTATCTCCTTTCTTTTTCCAGCTGACTAAAATGCAGTCGTTTTGTATTCTGTACTCACCTTCACCACCCTACTCTGGAAGATTTCTTCTTTTCCACTATCTCTTGGAAGAGCAACACCTTCCTACCTTTATGTTAACACATGAAATTTTCCCTCCCACTTACTCCTCCTCTACCCCCTAACCTTGATGACACCTAATTTTCTTTTTCTTTTCCTTTCTTCCTTTTTTTTTTTGAAACAGGGTCCCACTCTGCTGCCGAGGCTGGAGTGCAGTGGCACAATTACAACTCACTGCAACTTCTGCCTCCCGGGCTCAAGTGCTCTCCCACCTCAGGCCTCCCGAGCAGCTGGGACCACAGGCATGCACCACCATGCCTGGCTAATTTTTTTTTTTTTTTTTGTAGTTTTTGTAGAGATGAGGTTTTGCCATGTTGCCCAGTCTGGTCTCGAGCTTTTGGACTAAAGCAATCTGCCCACCTCGGCCTCTCAAAGTGCTGGGATTACAGGGGCACCTAATTTTCAACCAAGTACTGACCACAACAACTAAAAAAATATATATGAATGCATCTTTGTGTGTATTTCTAAATTGGTGTCACTGTGACTGCATCTGAACAAATAGGAAAGGGAAGAATTAAAGGTTAGCAAGTGCTTACTGAGCACCTGGTATGCGCAATGCGCAAGAGCCCGTTCACCTCAGAGTATTAAGACAGCTCTCCTCTCTTCCTCCTGCTCCCTCCTTCCCCATTCTCACCTTCTATTCCACTGAAGAACTTAATATGTTAGTCCCCGCATCTGCAAACTGGACTGACCTAGTCTTTGGAGCACTCTGATTTCTTTGCAGCCACAGAAATGTGGCCTGAGTCTGATTATCTCACACAGATAAAAATAATTAACCTTCATGCTGCTGACCACTCCAACCCCCAAAAAAGTGTCCTATTTTCATTAAATGCACTTCTGCCTGACACACGGCCCCCTTTTTAAATTCCTATTTTCCCATGGCCACTTTGATCCTATGGGAGCATTTTCTTTCATTTCCTTCCTTCCTTTGTTCTCTGTCTCCCTTACATCCTTCCTCCTCCTTTCTTTCCATCTTTATCCTCTTGGCTTCTTTGCTTTTCTCTCCTCCCCTATTGAGATAGAAACTGAACTTCAGAAACCAGTGTCCTGAAGCTGGTGAGAAGCCTTCAGCAATCGGCCCTCTACCAAGGACGGAGGCTTGCCTCCTTTTCTTGACCACACCCTCTGTGGGCTCCCATGGGCCCGGAGTCTGAAGATTTTCATACTTCTGGAAAGTTGGTGTCTTCACTGAACCAATTTCTTCATGTATCACCAGGGAAATAAAACCTACAGTGAAAATGAGAGTATTGGTTTTCCATTTTACTTTACTAGTAAGAAAGTTGCAGAACTTCTTCTCACAAAAAGAGCCCATGCCTGCTTGAATCGCAAACAATGGGGAGAAGGAAAGCAACACAACCCCTCCCTCTAATAGTGCAAGTCACAGGCCAGTTTGAACCTGAGCTCAATTAACATATTCTGAAATTCAGAATAATTTGTATCAGGTGAGGTGAAGGCAGCAGGGAAGGAAAAAAAATCTGCTGAATGTGATCTGCAGCAGAAACCCAGAAGGCTATCTAAACTGATCTTCAACACCGAGATATTCTGAAGTCGTAGGAGGAGAACTGTTTAAATATTTTCACAAGAATGTATTAAGACGGTGAATCAATATGGAGCTGAAGTGAAGTTGGCTCAGGCAGATGAAAAAGGGTTGTTTTAAAATCAGTTCACATCACTAACTCGTTATGTGATCTTGATCGTGTCACTTAACCCCCCTGGACCTGATTTTTGCTGTTTCTAAAATGAAGGAGAATAAAATGTTGAGATTGAGGATTTCTAACAACATTTCTAGTTCTCCACTTCTATAAGTCTAATCAAGACTAAAAGATAGTGGCTAAATGGTAAAGCTATTCAGGGAGATTTTCCTGTAACCCGGGGGAGGAGCGCTGGGTCTGATGGTGATAACCAATGTGAGACCTCTGCAGTCAATCAGCTTTTCCTTCTCAGAATTATCTGGCTTCTCTATGATTCAAAGAGAGTTAATGGGACTGACTTCTTATGTGACCTGTTGATTCCAGCTCTGCCTTTCTAACTTCTGCATCCAACCAAGCCCCTGAGGCAAAGGCTGGCTAGATAATTGTAGGTGTCAAGGAGAATGAGTAGAATAACACAGATTGATGGTCCCAGGTAGAAACTGCCAGGAACTCCTGGCAGGGACACAATAGGCCTTGAAAAAAGA
The DNA here is from genome assembly GCF_000001405.40 of Homo sapiens. Lineage (NCBI taxonomy): Eukaryota > Metazoa > Chordata > Mammalia > Primates > Hominidae > Homo > Homo sapiens. Next base: position 13,318,708 of record NC_000012.12, on the reverse strand, counting down.
ATGCTGTGATAAAGAATTTGAAAACATATAGTCAGGCCTCCAGACAAGAATTCGGCCTCAGGAATAAGAGGAAAGTTATAGGCAACCTTCTTCCACTTAGTGGGAACACTTTCTAAGAGTGAGTGGAGATTCTGTGCTGGTCATTTTCCTATCCTCTCTCAAGCTCATTCCCTAATTTTCTCTGGCAAATATGCAATTGACTTCTCACTAGGTTCTGCTCCTGGAAGGCACTAGCAGGAAACTGGAGACAAGAGGAAAGGAGAGGACAGGAAATATCTCCCTCCCTCTGCCTCAGGCATGGCATGCAGCCTCATCAGTGGGCTGGGCCTCCTCTGTGATCCAGCAGGTCTGTCTCTTGGACTCTAATAGAACTACCTCCACCCCTTTGCCTCTAATGCTAGGGATGGTAGCAGGTTGTTGATGTTGCTAATTTCTGACTTGTCTCATTATCCTCAAATTGACTTTTCAGCTCTTCCAACACTTTAAGATGAGCTCCCCATACTCTATGTTTTCTATCAAACTCCCTGGCCTGGACTTTCTTTTCCTGACCTCACCCTGGCTAATACAGATGCCTGACTCTGACCGTGTGCTGACATTGGCATACCATCTACATGCAGGAATACTTTGGGTACAATTTTTTTTTTTTTTTTGGTTCAGTCTTGCTCTGTTGCCCAGGCTAGAGTGCAGTGGTGCGATCTCAGCTCACTTAAACCTCTGCCTCCCAGGTTCAAGTGATCACCATCTTGGCCAGGCTGGTCTCGAACTCCTGATTTTGTGGTCCACTCACCTCGGCCTCCCAAAGTGCTGGGATTATAGGCATGAGTGGTACAACGCTTATAGCTCTGGCATACTTCCCAGGGATGTCATCTTAAAAGGCCCTCCCAAAGCTGGTGAAAGCAAGATTGTCAGCTCAGTGGCTCAACAGTAATGAAGTCAACACTGACAGTAACAATGACAGGCAGGCCAACATTGGTGCCTCCATCCATAAGCAGCATGCCAAGCCCATCACCTGGTAGAGCAGAGAAACTGCACTGACAGCTGTTGCAGGAGAATTTTATAGGTTGCCTTTAATTGCTTGTGACCCAGACAAATCCACCTGGAAAAGGGAAGGGATTGAGAGCTTCTGAAGGTCCAGAGACAAATATTATAATTACCACTAAAATTATTCCCGCAGCCTTTGATTGTTCTCACAGTGCTCTTTCCTGGGGAAGAAAGATGTGAACAGTAATTTAAAGAGCACTTTCAAACGTTTATATCATTGGATACTCACTTTACATTCCAAATGAAGGTTTTGGTATTCAGAAAAGCTACACACTAATAAGTAACATAGATTAAACCAAAATCCAGGTTTTCAGACTCCAATTTCTGTGCTTTGTGGGGAGCATATGGCAAGTGGCAGTGAGGGATCCCCCTTAGTGTCTGAGAACACACACAGGGCAGGCAGGGCTGCTGAGGCAGGCTCAACCTGTACATATGTTTATAGCAATGCCTGCCATGCTGACCATGTAGCTGGCTGTTTACACCTCCGTATGAATTATGAGACAGAGTACAGGGACCAGACCAAGTATCAGCCTGTTGCGGTCTTCCTGCTCCTTAACTCAGCTAGGTCCAAGTTCTTGTCCCACAACAAGGAAGAATTAGGCACACAGGCACTGGAGAGTGAGTAGGCAGAGTAGAATTTATTAAGCAAAAGGAAAGCTCTCAGCAAAGAGAGGGTTCCTGAAAGCAGGTTGTCATTTTACAATTGAATACAAGGGCTTTTATAGAAAAGCTGATGGGGCTGGGTTCCTTATTTGCACAAGGTGCAAATTCCTGGTGGCTCCACCCCATCTTTCCAGTGCGTATGCAGGCTCTTAGCCTGAGTTACTACATATTGATTTATTTCCCTTACTGCACATGTGTCAAGAGGCGGAATTTAGGCAAGTCCCCGTGCATGTTCCTTTATCTGCACAAAACATCTGGTGTAAGCCCTCGTGTGGTATGTGTGGATTGGGCAATGACCTGGGTGGGTCAGAGTTTCTCTGGGGACCCTTCCCTTACTCTCTGCCTAAAGTGAGCTGGCTAACCTCTCTCATGTGCACACTAACTCCGTGTCTATCACAACCAGAGATCTAGTAAGTGCCAATAAACATTTGTCAGCTAAACAGATTAATGAGGGCAGAGAAAGCCACTACCTGGGCCAAAGCAAATATTGATGGACTTGGAAATCAAAATCTGATACTACAGTCAATCATATTAGCAGATCCTGTCACAATAAGTGACTTCTATATGTCTTAATTTGTCTTAAAAACCCACCTAATACAGCCTCCCAAAACTGGAATCCAACCATAAGAGACCCATTCCTTTGGTCTTTGAGAGTCTCTGTGACAAAACAAATCTCCCTGAAACTGGGCATAATGATAAGCTTGCTTTGAAAAGAAAAAGTGAGGGAACAGGTCTCAGAGTAGCTGCACTTGGGTATTTGGCCTACAGACACACTTGAACACATATAAAATCATGTATGTAAAGGTTTGTGCAACAATATTTTTAATAGCAGACAATTGGAAGCACTTCAAGTGTCCACCTACAGGGGATTGGTTAAAGAAATCAGAAGACTTTCTATGCATTTTTACAAAAGAATGAAGGAACTCTTTATTTGTTAATGTGGAATCATCTCTGGGATTTATCATAAAGGAATAAAAGCAAGATGGAGACTCCATGTATAATATCATAAATTTTGTGTAAGAAAAGGGATGGAATAAAAATACCTATTCTTATCTGCTTTGTTTACATAAAGTAGCCCTGGAAGAATATGCAAGAAATTGATAGAAATGCATGCAGGAGTGGAGGGAATGGAGTGGAATAGGAGTGGAGGCAACAGGAGGAGGAGTGGAGGAAATGGTCTGAATGGGAACGTGGTGACAGCAAGGCTTCTTAATGTATGTCTGATGAAATTATTTCGGGTTTTGAACATTAGAATGTATTAACTAATCAAAAAATTAAATTAAATTTCATTTTATTTAAAAGAGAGACTCTCCCCCAAGAAAGTGAGAAGACACCAAGGACAAGCTACAGCACTCCAGGACTCCTCATTTCCTCAGTCTTCCAGAAATATATAACCACTGAACCCCACAGGTTCTGCCCTTTCCCCACGATAGCACTTGCTAAATCTGTCTGGAACTAGAACTACTGCGCCTACCTCAATTATTATTGGGTCTCCTCCAGTCACTAGATTGTTAATCCCTAGAGAGCAGAGTCCATGACTGACTCCTCTTTTTCATCCCTGTGGTTCCAGGCATGTAAAAGTACTTTAAAAATAAATAAATCTCTGTTAAATGGAATTGAATTTTTCTTACTGCCAAGTCTAATTCTGCTTTCAAAATCTTGAGCATGAGCCAGAGATTTCTCCTTCCTTCTCCTCAAAAAGCATTTTTAGAATCCATTTAGGAAGGGTACACTTGTTGGTTTTTGAAATGGCCTTCACAGTCCCCATAAGTGGACAGAGACTGTCTTTCTACTCACTGTCAAGCAGTGGAGGTAGGGAGCATGGGCAGCATGTTTGGCAAAGGGGAGAGAGAATGGGAGATCCCTGTAAGGTACATACCTGCCCATGAGTCCAGAAGTGGGAATACTGAATTAGCTGCACATGGGCCCCATGGGGGCAGGTGGAGAACACAAGACTCATCATCTAAAAGGATGATGTAATTCAGGTTTTGTCCAGACAGCTGTCCTATCTAAAAAAGCTCTCTCCCCTGAATGGACACAGGAATCCAATGTTTGTTTCTTCACTCACTTATTCATTGACTCTCTACTATGCTCCAGGTAGAATGTAAGGCATGGAGGTTCCAGCAGTAAGCACTGGAGGTCACGTGTAAAGTCAGTTAGGCAGTGGTAATCGCATGAGCAGTGATCAACCCATTCATGTTCTCAACCAGTACCTGAGTCTACAGAAAGCAAAACCCAGCCACTCCATCAGGGGATGAGCTAGTAGGGCCTAGTTGCAGCATCAGGATCCCAGACAAATGGTCTGATATTCAGGATGGGGCTCCAAATAGAAACTCAGTCATATGAACCCACTGCTGCAGGGGTCAAAAGAGGGCAAGGACTTCATGGGGTATATGGCTGCTCATAGCTCATATCAGACACCTGATCCATGACAGCAAATTCTAGACCTCACCATTGGGAAGAACAATGTGGCTGACACTCTGGGCAGTATTGGCTCCAGTACTCCACAGGACTAAGCTCCTGTTGGAGGCAGCCTGAGAAAGACAGGGTTGGCAAAGGCAGCGCTAGAACATTATCACACATATTCCTGTCTTATATATACTATCGAGCAAAGCTTTCTCCCCTCACACACATTTCCCTCATATTTCACACCACCCTTCTGTGCCCACCCTATCCCATTAAAACTGTCCTGGCTTCATTTTCGTAAGTATCGCAATGGGCAGGGAAAAGAGGACCTAACGTAGATCACCCCAGTCTCGTAGACTTGCCTAGGACACTTTTTTATTCCTTTTAAGTTTACTTTTTTAAGCTTACTGATATGTTTTCAAATCTGGAAAGTTAACATTTAACTTTTGAAATTTGCACAGCACAGAAGGCTGGAGATTTTGCACTGACTTACTCACTAGTTAGCCAAGTGACTTCAGGATGTCATCTGACCCCTCTGTGCCTGGCTTTTCCCATGTCTAATGGGAATGGACATGCCCATTTAGCCTTATAAGGAAAAATATGTGATGTAAAAGTGCTCTGAAAAAGGACAAACACTATACAAATATGTGAGATTTTAAAAATTATTTTATTTCTAAATTATCTAAAAGTAGGCTATTTGGGATGAAATTAATTATAACATTCTCATTGTAGAATCAAGGTGGGTGACTGGAGCGATAGGTTAGAGAACATTGGGTGTTTTTAAAAGCTGCCTTCTTCATTATCTGTAACAGTAATAGATTTCTTTTGGACTAGAATATCTTCCCATGTTAAAGATTTTTGTTTTGATACCAGATGTAAGGATAAGACAAAAAAAGCAGTCAGTATGCAAGGTTGAATCCAGTCTGACTGCTTAGCTACTTCTGAATATTTTTAGCTCAATTCCACCACTTTCAAAGTATCTGCAGACAAGAGGTACGGATATATTACAGGCTCAGAGAATGGCTTCAGAAATAATCAAAACATCACATGCATTATCAAGAAATATTTAGAGATTCTCTTACAGGAGCACAGACAGGGTTTTATGAGCAAATTAAAAAACCCCAAATGCAGAATTTGTTGATGTTGTGTCAAAAACAGCTTTGCCCTGAATAAATGCATGTTGCAGGATAATACCACATGATTCAGGGACAAACTTCTCTCCTCCAGCTGCTCCTCTGACACAGTCTTAGACCTCTCTTATCATTGGTCTACCATTTATTTAGCAATTTTTATTGAAAGCCTTCTAGGCTCTCCTTCTAGTGTTGAGAATTCAGCCATGAACAAGACAAAGTCTCTACCCTCACAAAGCTTATATTCTTGTAGGAGAGACAGAAGAAACAAGCAAATAAATATTTACTGTAATGTAGAGAGAAATGCTATGTTAAAATACAGCAGCATAGGGAGATAAAGAGCGAGGTATGCTATGCTAAAGACAGTTGTCAGAGAAAATCACTCTGAAGGGGTGATATTTGAACAAAAAAAGTAACAGAGGGAGCCATGGGAGGGGGTTCTAACTGACAAACATAAACATTTCATCTCAAGACAAGAATGGGACAATAAACACATCGTAAAAAAAATGTTGATCGTAGACATGCTATCATTACTAGAGAAGGCTGAAGATGTCTTCAAAGTGTGCAGAGTGGGCTTGTCTGGCACCTCCACCATCACATGGGAGGGGCTTTCCCTGGGTAGCTGCTTCTTCTTCTGCTTGGGGCCCAGAATGACATCACAGAGCCCACCAGAGCCTTTCCTGCAGACAGGAGGCCAGGCCAGAGGCACCTGCAGCTGGAAGCAGAGTAGGAAGCCGAACCCAGCCTGGGTTGCCTAATCCTCAACCAACTTCCAGATGATTTAGTGGGAAAATAAATGACTCTTGTTTTAAGCCACTGGTTTGGGGGTAGTTTGTTACTCAGCAATAGCCCGCCTTTGCAGTATGCCAGGTGATGGTAAGTCCCAAGAGGAGAATACAAAATGGAAAGGCAGAATGAGAACTATTCTGTGGGGGCACAATTTAGTTAGGATGATGACAGAAGGCCTTGCTGATGAGGAAATAACCTTCTAGTAAGATCTGAAGGAAATGAGGGAGCAAAACACTCAGATTCCTGGAGGAAGAGCATTCTGATAAGAGGGAAAAGCAAATGAGAGGCATTGAGGCATTGAGGAAAGCATCCTGCATGTTTGCACACAGCAAAGAAGTCAGAGAGGCTGGAGTGAGGCCAGCAAGGGGCGCAGTGGTAGGAGGTAATGTCAGGGAGACAAAGGACAACTTACATAGGGCCTTTTAGGTCCCACAGGTAGATTTTAAGCAGAGGAGGGTCACAGTCTGACTTAATTTGGAAAGGATCACTCTATCTGCTTTGCTGTGAATAGGATGTAGGGTGGAAGCAGGAGAATTGGGTGGGAGCCTATTACAATAACCCAAGCTATAAAGGATGGTGGCTTGAATGAGGATGGCAGCAACAGAGGCAGGGGGAAATGTCAGAGTTTGGATATGATTTGAATGTAGAGCTAATAAGATTTGCAGTTGTAGCCAATGTTGAACGCAAGAGAAAGAGAAACTTCAGGAAGTCATCAGGTTTTAGTCCTCAGCAACCAGCAGGTTGGAGTTAGCATTTACTAAACAGTATTTTTAAAAAATTGGCATTTAAAAGCAACAAGTATGGGGGCTCTCAGCATCTTAGTGTTGATCATGTTAAATTTGAGCTACTCATCAGTCATCCAACGGGAATGTCATGAGGCAGTTCGAGGTCTGGAATGCAGACAGCAATTGGAGAATCATCAGCATATAGATTAGGTTTTTCCCCGTGCCAATAAAGAGCTGAGAAAACCTTTGCAAGGGAGGAGACACCAAAATGGAAAACTGAAATTTTAAAGAGCAGGATGGTTAATATTTCTGTGGGATCTTCTCCAGGCCATGTGGCAAATAGTTAAAACAGTGCTCGGTTTAGCTCTTTCTTTCCCTGCTGCTCTGCCACACACCAAGTCTTCAACATGTCAACTCAGGCAAAGCCCAAAACTCAGAGCACTTTATGTGCTGGTGAGAGCCACAAAGTGTCTGACTCCCACTGTCTTATTACTTAGGGTTCATGTATTGGGGGTGCGGTGTTCTACGGAGAGGAAGGAAAACACTGCCCCAGCCATGTTTGGGGGCAGGGAAAGAGAAGGGGCCTCTCTGTCTTTTCGGACCTCCCTGAACTGATGCTACCTCCTCAGTCTCTGAGTGTGGCACATTTTAGCTTTATCTGTTAAAAATTTATAAGCAATAGAGGGCAGGAAATGGATACACTACACAATATTGCTCTACTTTAAAGATTGCCACTGTTGTGCTGAGCTGAGACCCAGACCTTAGAAGAGAAATCGATTGAGAAAATGTAAGTGGCCAACCTATGGCATCAAATAATAACTTCAAAATAAATGCCCTCATAGTTGTAAAATCACTACAGATACAATTGTTCAAGACCTCAAAGCAACTTTCAAAACTTGATTCCATTTTTGCTGCTGCTGTCACCAATCTATAGCCAAGAAACTTCAGCCTCATAAACTTGAAAATGTTTGATTTCATTTTAAAAACCTTTGTGACCTAGTAAACTAACAAGGGCTGCTAGGAGCAAAAACTGACATTTAGACGATCAGAAACGGGCTAAGAGCTTGGGTTTAGAACTAGGACAGTGGACATAAACTCTACTAAGGGAATATAAGGCCACAGTGGAGATGGGGAAGAGAAAGGTCTTGTCACATTGAAGAGCCTGAGAGGAAGATGCTCAGGCCTGACTTAGAAATCCAGCCGAGAGTCCCCGTCACAAACCTTTCACTCTGCTATCAGCTAGACAGCTTGCCCCTTTCCCTTTTTACTTTGGGACAAATAGAGATGGTCTTTAAGTTTCATGGCTGCTCTCATTCATTGTGAAATTTTACTGTTCCTAAATATGGCAGAATTCTTAAAGGCCTAGCATAGCAAAGAGAGAAGACTACACTTAGCATTTTGGGTGCACGTGGGAGTAAAGGACTGCACTTTCCACAGAAGATACATTGCAATTGGCATGTAGGATTGCAGGGGTAATGTGCGTGGGCCATGGTGCAGAAGCAGCCAGTTAGGGGCATCTAAGCTGTGTTTTTCTTTGAACCTTTGCCTCTAGAAAATAATACCCCAATAAAGGGGATTGGCAAAGGCAGCCAAGCAGAACCCACACTTTCACTCCCCAGAGCATCTTGCAGAGATTATTTTGGTTGCTTCCCTGGCTAACAGAGGAAGGGAAATATGGGAGGAGAGAGGCAAATAAAGGTGATACTTGAGATGGCTCTCAAAGATGAAAAGAATTTTGAGAGGAAGAGAGGGCAGCCCAGGGGCCAGCGGACAAAAACACAGGGACGCAAGATTCAGTTCAATGAGGGAAGAAAGAGTTTCCTAATAGAATTATTCAATTTTGTTTTCAAGGCTTCCTCAAAAAGCAGAGTGAGCAAACTCACTGAGAATGTATTTCTTTCTTCCTTCCTTTATTTTTTAGACACAAATATATTGAGTAAACTCTATCATGTGCCAGGTGCTGTGCTTTGATCAATATTCCGCTATGTCTACATGGCTGTTCCCCACACTAGACATATGAGCCACTTGAATTTCTGTCCCTCCTTGTTGTTCTGCCCTGAGCACATATATTCAACATGTCTATTGGAGGGGAAGGAGGAAGGGAGAAATAAAGTATAGACAGGATTTCTGTACTGGTCATCTGGTTCGACTCCTTGACACACTATTAATTTAAATCACATCAGCCAAAGAGATATGGAATCTGCAGTTTAAAATTAAAAAAAGAAACCTTGAACCAATACTTTTTAAACCTTGAAAAAATGTAGGTGGAATACTCTGCTCCCATTCTACAGACCTTGGCTATAGGGTTTCTCCTTTGTCTGCCCAAAGAACAGGGAAGGGTGTTGGCTTGGCTCACACTTGAGAAACTTGGGCAGAGAAAGACCTTGTTCTTTCCATGCATTTATCAGAATAGAACCAGGTGCAGCCCCCAGGAAGCCAGTCAGGCTTTACTGTGTCTGGTTTCCTCTTCAAACTATGATCCAAGTCTCTCTGGGCAGAAAAGGGCCTCACTCGAAGCCACGGTGCTATTCTCACCTCCTCTGCAAGCCATGGAGAATGAACCCCAGTGAGGTCAGAGATCCCCAGAATCACACACACATGCATTAGAAGGGGCCATAAGACCTTCTGTTCCAAGCTGCATATTTCACAGGCCATGGGGCTGAGACCAGAGCAAGGGTACCTACCCTTGTGCCTTGGCAAGGCCTTATTTCCACACAACATGGGCAAAAATAAATGGACCCCTTGCTCTCCCTTAATCCTCTGTATTTTGCCAGCATTTCCAGTTTTAACCTCTCTCCATGTGCCTTTTGGGAGTGTTCCCTCCCCACAGCTACCTCTACCTATACTGCGAGAAGTGTCAGCTGCAGAGCTGCCTGTTAGTAAGTAGACTCAGGCAATGAAGAGGATGTTGAAGTGAGGTATGCCCTCTTGACCTCACCACCATTAGCAGCACTGGCAAGCAGGAGAGGTAGGGAGAAGCCCAGCCTAATTGGCCAGAACTGCTGTGAGGCCGGCAAGCAGCAGTAGGGATGAGCGTGACCTCCGTTGCCCTGGCTTACTCCTTCTTATCCTATCTGTGTGGAACCCCCCACCTCAAACTAAAGAGGCTCCTCTAGGCCCATCACAGCTTCCCCAGAACATACTGGCCTAACTAGGCCATGCCTAGGCTCTTCCACCTGCCTTTAGCAATACTTTTTACTTGCAATCATCTCTGCTTTCTAACCTGGTTAATAGCCATCACTGCTGACAGCAGGCTAGAGGCTAAATTAGTTGATACTCACTTTTCCTGTACTCCTTATTTCTCTCTTCCTATCACAGAGGACTCATCAAAGTGAGTGAGCATGCAGTGACAAACAGGATAGTCACAAAGTCAAGACTGCAGATCCACCACCTTCCTTCTTTTCCATAGCTGAACGATCTTGGGTGTGAACATGAAAATGTTTTTCTGTGCAAGTAGTATTAAAAATTAACGATAAACAACCTCCATGGTTAGACAGCCTCTCTCTGCATTTTCAGGGTCATCCAAATGATATCCTCAAAACCAGAAAAATCTCAGAATGCATGATTTTATATAATCTGCTTTTCGTAGATAAGAGATATTGATAATAGATCTCTTTAAAGATTTTGACCATTCAAGCTGGAAAAATTCCTATTTTTATACCCCCACACCCAGTTTAGGCAACTGATCTGGAAAATAGAGTAGAAGGATCTCAGATTCTGTGTTGGGTGCTACCCACCATAAAGTAGGGAAGGGGTATATATCCAGCATGCAACAAGCTGTCCCAGGGCAGATCTTATGAAAATGAGGCACAGAAGGGATTTCCTTCCCCTCTCCCAGGAAAGCAGAAGTTTTGCACCCTCTTTGGATACAAAGGTGGTGTCCATTCATTGTGATCTTCCAAAGACTAGGTCAGAGCATCTCATTCTCCAGCTCAAAAATTCAATAGCTCAACCCTAAATCCCAATTCACTTCCAGATTCGTTGGTTTTCACAATCTGGCTTTACCTACGTTCCCATCTTTTAGGGCTTTGTCTATAAAATGAACAAGTCAAGATGAACTATTCTTACTGCCCTTTAAGTCCCACACTCACCCAACTTTAGACTTTTTTCAAACTGCCTGTCATGTCTTCCTCACCTCTTCACCCATCTCTGCAGGTCCACATCCCACTGTCCAAGGATAATAAGAGGCAGAAATTGACCCAAAAGGAACTGATTGGAAAGACAGAAGAATATCTCATGAAGACCAAAAGCACCAAGTACACCCAGACCTTAGAAGAGACCAGAAAAAGAAACTGGGAAGCCCTAGGGAGCAATGATTCATTTCTCTCCCTCTCTCCTCCTCCCTTCCTTCCTCACTAATCAAATATGCTATCTCTACTTTCTCCCCTGAGGATGCTCTGTTGTTTTCAGTCTCCACTTTCTCATGGCCACCTCAGGCTCCTACGTGTTTTCCCAGCTTCAAGCCCACTAACCAACTGACTAGCACCCACAGTGTATCTCAATTCCCAGTGTATGGTAAAGCAGGTCAACTTGCCCACTGCACTGCCTCTCAGCTGTTTAACTCCCCTCCAGCCAGTCATGGCCAAGGAGTGGGAGCCTCTAGTACAACTTGGCAGTGCTTCTGTGCATTGCTGAGAGGCCAACGTTCTCATAGAAGCAGGACGTGATCTAGGCAGACTCCCCAAAAGCTTCCTACTTCAAAAATCCAGCCTAAATTCCAGCTGTCTCTTGAAGCTTCCTCTGATTCCACCATCTAGATATAACCTTCCGTCTTTGAGTATCTTTCAATAGCAGGTGACAGCTTGATGTCCTTTTCTGCTGAGTACCTTCCCTCCAACTTTTCTCCTTCTAACAGATTCCCCCTCCACCCTCAGGCCAAGAAGCAGCACTGATCCAGGCTAAGCCAAGCATTGTAGTTTGCACAGATTGTCTTGATACCAACACTAGAAAGTGACTGCTCCTAAAATGTGAGATAGTCTGAGCTGATGAGATGAGCTACCTTCCTCTAGGATCCTAGAGTTTCTTGGCTACTTCTGGAAGCCTCCAGTAGGATACTATAAGAAAGAGACAGGGATTGGTGCAAGCTGGCCTAAATGGAACAGAAAGGAGAGCAAGATGAAATGTGATTGGAGCTTCAGGCAGCATCCAAAAAATTAAGTCAATATCTGGGGTTCCCAGGCATTGTCCTTATTTCTGTCTTTCTGAAGCTCTTAGTCTTTGAGTTATCTCAGGATCCTAATAAATCTCTTTTTGCTTAGGGTAGCCATAGTTTGATTGTAGCCAATGAGATGTGGCATGCACAGCCCTTTAAACCTTTGTTATGATGCTCATTACCTTTTATATTGAATTACCCTTATTTGTCTACATATCTTCTTTCCCCTGTGACTCTGTGAGATTCCTAAAGAAAGCAATCATGTATCGCTGCTTTTTGAATGCCCCCAAAGCATGGAACATAAGCTCTTATAGTATGTTCAATACCTGACTGACTGAATGAATAAATGAAATATTAGAAAATGTACATTGTCTGCCAGGTACAGTGGCTTGCACCTGTAGTCCTGGCTACTTGGGAGACTGAGGAAGGAAGGTTTCTTGAGGCCAGGAGTTTGAGACAAGCCTGGAGTTTGAAACATAGCAAGATGCAGTCTCCATAAATTTTTTTTTAATTAGCTGGGCATGGTGGCACATGTCTGTAGTTCTAGCTGCTAAGGAGGGTGAAGCAGGAAGATCCCTTGAACCCAGGATTTTGAGGCTGCAGTGAGCTATGATCATGCCACTTCAGTCCAGCCTCAGCAATAAAGCAAGACCCCATCTCAAAAAAAATTTTAAAAAAAAAGGCCAGCCCTATTCCCATGATCAGGCACTTCATGAAATTGGGAAATGTGTATGAATAAAAGGGAATAATCACTGCCTAAATCAGTGTTTTGGAAGATGAATGGTATAGTCTTCTACATGGCACCTGAGTTTCCTGAGGCTGTTTCCTTCAACAGCCCAGGAAAGGACGCAGCCTTGGGTTGTGTCCGTGCCCAACTAGGACGCAGGGATACGGATGGATGTGGCCTTTGTTTAATAAGCCTTCTATTTGACATGCTGCTTGGAGAAAGAGATAGGAGATGACCCTTTACTACCCATCTTAGTAGTCTTATAATCACCCCTAAAGTATGGTATACAGAGAAAAAGCCTTCTTGTCACCCCCTGTAAAAGGCATGAGCATTGCTTCTTATGGAATCCAATCTGTTGCATTCTTTGGTTTCAATACGACCCAGAAAATGTCTGAAACAACCAATCCCCACCCAAAAACCACAGACACTGTGGTTTCGCAAAAGTACCTATGGTTGGGTCCATTTGCTCCTGGAAATTTGTAAGGTCTTGGAAAAACCAAACTGACCATTCCAAAGTGGAACTGGAAAAGGAGTCCTGAAAATTTCATGTAACTAACTTACACCTTCTCTTCAACTTCTGCTCCTCCTACCGAGTCAGCTCAAAAGCCCTTTGGAGGATTCAAATTTGTCATTTCTCATTGAGAAGCTACCCTCTCTAGACCCATGAAAGGCTGCAGATTCTCTCAGCCTAAACTCACATGTCAGTCTCCCTCATTATCCCCAGAGTCCAGGGCAGCCAGGGCTGAATTTTAAAAAAAAGCCTCACCCCACCCTTTCCTAATGATGGCTGCCTGCCTTTAGCTTGCTCTGAAACAAGCACTAAGGCTGTTTGAGAGACACCAGTGGTGGCAGCCCCTAGCTTACACTTGCTTAGTCACTCCAGAGCCCAGAGAACCTTTGTCCTTCCCACATGCTTGGCATTTCACAAAGCTATCTCCCTTAGGACCACTCAGCTATAACATTTTCCCAGCATGTCTTCTCCTTGTCAACATGACACAGGACTGGCAGCCCTTCAAAGTGAGAGAAAGACACTAGAGCAGGCAGGCGTGCACGCACACACACAAGGAGGAGGGACAAGAGAGGGAGAAGAGAAAGACCTCACTAAAGGGGCAGCACTGATTTTAGCTTAAACATAAAAGTGCCCCTAAGTAGCAAAAGCTTAGCAGTGGACATCTTATTTTGATAAGAAGCTATGGGAGGGTTCAGTTTTTTCATGCACTCTTCCCAAAAGCCCTTAACAGATTCTTTAGACAGGACTCCATTTTGGTGTGGCCAAAATGCAACCACTTCTAGGGACTAAAGTCTCCACTGGCCTTAATGTTGCCTACCAAAGATGCCGTCCCCTGCTGGTCCTTTTAATGCCAGCACCTGTGCCTCATCTGGCATGGATGGAGCTGGCAATGCCAAAGGGCTCTTGACTATGTGAATGCACTGAACTTGGGTCTCCATTGGACGGGTACTGCTATGTTGTGCTTCTCTGCCTTTGCAAATTGTTCTCTTTGCCTAGAAGGCACCCTTGACCTTTCTCTACTTATTTACCAGAAAACTTCACCTACTTAAAAGTTGGCTCGAGTTGTTCCTCATCTGGGACTCCCTAGACACCACTAGCTGCATCCATTGCAACGTGCATAGGCCTCCATATTGCAAACGTCACACTGTCTCGCATTTGTCTTTTGATGTCTCCACCCAGCTAAAAGTTTGTGTAGACCTTAAAGGCATAAAAATGGCTTTTCATGTCTGTATCCCTAGCACCTAGCACAGCTCCTGCCATATAGAAATCTATAAGAAGCATAAATGCCATGAAAAGCTAGGGAAATGGTTGGTACTGAAAGATTCTTCCTTTTCTTGCCACTTTCATTTAACAGAAATAAATTTCAGTACATGCTTGAAAATACTGCTTCACTTTCCTACTGAAGAACTACCCATCCTCCACACAAAGTGGCCCATCCATGGCAGTAACCCTGACCTCCTCCCTCAATTGTCACAGGCTAGGCGTATGACCCAGGCTGACCAGTTAGAGCATTCCATTTCCAAGACCACAGTAACAGGTTCAAGGATGAGCATATCACACAAAGAAGTCCAATCAAAGCCTTCTCTGAAATGTAATATCATGTGAATGCAGAGAAAATGATCTCTCCTCCTAGATTGTAAATTGTCATAATATAGATTTAGAGCTGCTAGTTGCCTCCTTTCTTCCTCACCAAAATTAAGCCAAAACTCAGAGGGAAGCACACATAAAGATGTAGAGAGACGCAGAGGCAGAGCCCTAATTAATATGTTGTTTTGATACCTAGATCCAGCTGTGCCTGAAAGCAGATCCATCTCATCCTTCCTAGTTATTAGGGTTTAGAACCAGGTCAATTTCCATCTGTCTCATTGTTTTTTCACCTCTTAAGCTACTTGGAGTCAAACTTTTAACATTTAAAACCAAAAGGGGCTTAATATACGTCTTTTTTACTCAATTATAAAGTGAGAGTTTCTCCTGTACCCATGAAACTCTTGCTTAATTACTGTATTTCAAACACTAAAAATTGTTTGGGGAAAGCCCACTGGCCTTAAATGATCTCAACTATTGCTAGTATTTGGTGCTCTGATGCAGTCTGACATAAATCTGACATGATCTATTTAAAAGAGGACAAAACATTTTAACATAGATTTAGTAATTATTCTCAGAGGAATTGAAACTGTTTATTATCATAATTGAAACATTTAAAGATCACTTTCAGAAGCAATGCCCTGGCAAAAATAATACAGCTTTTGGAAGGAAACAGAGAAGAATATCTTCCTGACCTTGGAGTAGGGAAAGAGTTCTTAAATAGAATTCTGAAAGCCCTAACATTAAAGAGAAGAAAATCAATAAATTGGACCATGTTAAATTAAGAACTTTCATTCAAAGATATTATAAGACAGTGAAAACATAAGCTACAGAGTAGGAGATGATATTTCCAATAGTTATCTATCAAAGGACTTGTATCCAAAATATATAAAGAACTTGTACAAAGCAATAAGGAAAGTGCAGAAATTCAATAGAAAAGAAGTAGATAAAAGAGAATATCAAATGGTCAATTTGATGTTAAAAGGTTCCCAGCATTACTAATTATCAGAGAAATTCAAATTAAAACCACAATGAGACAACACCACAAATCCAATAGAATGGCTAAGATGAACACAAGAGTAGTACCAGGTTAAACCTGGTACTATCTTGTCGGTAGAAGTATAAACTGGCACACCACTTTGGGAAATGGTTTCAAATATTTGTTGACACTGAAATTCTTCATATAGGGTGCTGGTAAGGTTCTGTATCTTGATGGGTGTTGGGTGTAAGGGTGTGTTTACTCTGTGTCAATTCATTGAGCTGTATTTATGTTTATGCACTTTTCTGAATACGTGTTTGACTTCAGTGCTATCAGGATCAACAGCAGTGTTCAAGGTCTGGGATCTCCAGCAACAGCAGTGCAAGCCTGGTCAGCAGCACCCTCATGACGTGAAGTTGGGGAGCTGTGCGAGGGTCGAGCTCTGTTCTGTCTCCTGGTTCTCCTGTCCCTCATTACCCCTTACATTAGCCAGAGTCTATTTCTGTTCCTTGCAACTCAGAACCCTAACTGGCACAACTCTGCATAATTTTTACATAAATAATTAACTTAAGATTACAAGTTGATATTTGATTAAAAGTTTATACATCCAAAGTTATCAAACTATTTATTTTGCCATTTTTCTGATTGAGAAATGGGGTAGCTTATATTTAAGTTATCTTTTATCCAGGCATAAACACAATAACATACAGTTCATGCTTCTTCAAGTGTCTACTCAAAGGCCGCTGGTGTAGTGGTTAGGTACTTGGACTCTGATGCTAAACAGACTAGGGTTGGATTCCCAGCTCCAGTGTTTGCTGGCTGTGTGATCTTGGACAAGCTCCCCAACTTCTCTGTGTCTCAGTCTCCTCAGTTGTAAAATAGGGATAATACCTTCTTCATAAATGTATTATGACAAAACACATGTAAGGCATTTTAAATATTAGCTATTATTATAATTATTAACATGAAAGAGACTTGGGCTCTGTGATTTCTTGAGTAGCATACCCTGCCCAGGACTGAGGCAGCTGGAAACAGAACAGAAGGAGTTTCTGGAAACAAATGAGAGTATTTCCCATTTGGGCTGGACCTATGTCTCTTTTTTCTATAGGGTTTTGGGGAACAGGTGGTATTTGGTTACATGAGTAAGTTCTTTAATGGTGATTTGTGAGATTTTGGTGCACCCACCACCTGAGCAGTATACACTGAATCCAATTTGTAGTTTTTTATCCCTCATACCCCTCCCACCCTTTCCCCCTAAGTCTCCAAAGTCCATGATATCATTCTTATGCCTTTGCATCTTCATAGCTTAGCTCCCACTTTTAAGTGAGAACATATAATGTTTGGTTTTCCATTCCTGAGTTACTTCACTTAGAATAATAGTCTCCAGTTTCATTCAGGTTGCTACGAATGCCATTAATTCATTCCTTTTTATGGCTAACAGTCCATCACATATATATACAACAATTTCTTTATCCACTTGTTGATTGATGGGCATTTGGGCTGGTTCCATATTTTTGCAATTGTGAAACGTGCTGCTATAAATATACATGTGCAAGGATGTTTTTGTATAATGACTTCCTTTCTCTGGGTAGAGATGCAGTAGTGGGATTGCTGGATCAAATGGTAGTTCTACTTTTAGTTCTTTAAGGAATCTCCACACGGTTTTCCACAGTGGTTGTACTAGTTTACATTCCCACCAGCAGTGAAGAAGTGTTTCCTTTTCACCACATCCACGTCAACATCTATTATTTTTTGATTTTTTGATTATGGCCATTCTTGAATGGGTAAAGTGGTATTGCATGGTGGTTTTGATTTGCATTTCCCTGATCAGTAGTGATGTTGAGCATTTTTTCATGTTTGTGGCTATTTGTATATCTTCTTTTGGGAATTGTCTATTAATGTCCTTAGCCCACTTTTTGATGGGATTGTTTGTTTTTCCTTGCTAATTTGTTTGAGTTCCTTGTAGATTCTGAATATTAGTCCTTTGTCAGGTGTATAGATTGTGAACATTTCCCCCCACTCTGTGGGATGTCTGTTTACTCTGCTGACTGTTCCTTTTGATGTGCAGAAGCTCTTTAGTTCCACCTATTTATCTTTGTTTTTGTTGCATTTGCTTTTAGGTTCTTGGTCAGGAAGTCTTTGCCTAAGCCAATGTCTAGAAGAGTTTTTCCAATGTTATCTTCTAGAATTTTTATAGTTTCAGGTCTTAGATTTAAGTCTCTGATTGATCTTGCATTGATTTTTGTATAAGGTGAGAGATGAGGATCCAGTTTCATTCTCCTACTCATGTCTTGGAAGGAAGCAATAAAGACCCTGAATGGTCATGACCCTCCTCTGAATACCCACCACAACCCATCCTCTCATACCCCACCTCCTATTCACACTGCTGCAGCCAACCCCTGGCCATGTTCACAAAATCTCTGTGCTCCATTTAGGCCTCCAAATCCCAGAACTCTTTGATGTGCCTCCCAAGGTCCTGTTTAATGGTAATTGGCAGTCAGTCTCTGGCAGCTGCAGCCACAGCTGTAAGGGTGGGACTCCAGTCCACTGGTTCAATGAATCCTCTCCTCCCTTCCCAATCTCCATCTGACATACTCCCCATCTCAGGGGCTTCAGCTACTCCACCCCTCACCCCACTCCCAACCCCAAAATCCTGGCCTTATGTGCCGTACCACCAGCACCCACTTCAGACACTACCTTTAATCTGGGCTTTGCCTTTTCCTTGGTTCTGTGGTTTTCAGGTGTCTCCAAGATTTCTACCCTCATCTGCCTAGAGTGACCATGGACATTCCTCTCTTCCTGGTCTTCCTCTGAGCTTTTATCCTTCTCTAAAAGAATCTCGTACATTAAAATAACTTAAAAAGAAAAATTAAGAAAATGTTTTAAAAAATGAGCCATATATATTTATACACACACATACACACAGATGACACTAGATAAAGTTTATTTAGGGAAGAGAACTGCCTTTAGTTAGGAAAATACCCTGCTATGCCAACCAAGTGCAAAAGATGGGCCCCAAGGGCTTAGTCTGAAAGGAGACCATCAAAGACATAGCTAGATTTCTTTTGCTCAGAAAAGCATTAGAACTTAGAGACAGATGAGAGAGAAGAGGGGAGAGAGAGGCCTGTGTCACATAGCTTAGGGTTGTCTCTTGCGGGGAACAGCAGCCAGCAGGAAATGCCCAAGAACATTGAAGAACAAGGTGTCTATTATATAGTAAAGTTGTGATGCTGCAATGGAAACCCCCTCCATGGCCCTAAGCCTTCACTTAGAGATAGCTGTACACTAGCCTTGTGATGATGCCACTTGGTGGGAGTGAAGGAGTCACATCCAGCCAGAAGTAACAGTGAGGATAAGACCAGGCATGCACAGGTTGTCCAGGAGATCCACAAATTGAACTGACTCAGCAGAAGCAGGAATTTAAGCCTGAGCTGACCAGTGCAAGCCATCAGAGTGGATGATGGAAATGACAGAGAAACAAGAGCTCTGACTTAGACATCTAAAGATGTGGATCTGAGTCCTGGCTTGGTCACTGATCTTGGATGAACTGCTGAGCTTATCTGGTCCTCAAGGGCCTCACCTGTAAACTATGCACCTGCAGCACCAGACAAAAGCTATGGTCCCTACCAGCTCCAACTTTTCAGAGCACTCATGCTGCCTTCCCACTTTTCCCTAACCATTTGAGTTCACCTTCCCTTGATTAGCTGCCTCTCTCTGCCCTTTTACAAAGTTGGGGAGCAAAGTTAAGATTTCTCAATGCACATCCATGGGAAGCTATGCGTCCACCACTCCTCCCTCTTTAAGCACAGAGATGGAGAAGCCCTTCTCTTCCTGGCCTGGAGAGCAACAGTACAGAGGCACAAGCCAAGCTTAGAGGTGAAGCACATGCAAGTTGAATAACTTGCTAGTTGTCTCATAGGTTATTAACAAAACCAACCCTAGATCCAGGCTTGCTCCTTGAGTTTCCACCCCCTCAACAGCATACTATTAGTTATCTTCCTTCTGTCATTGAGCATGTGTTTAATAATTGCTAGTACTTAGGAAGAAGGAATAAGGGAGATAAAATTTGGGGGAATAAAATAATTTAAGATGAAGTGCTTGGCCTCAGAACTTGAAGTAGAATTGGAAATGCACCACTTCCCAATCTCTTCGGTAATATCTTCCTTAGCATATCAGTGCAATTTTACCAGAAAGCTATTAATTCAATAAATTCTTATCAAGTACCAACCCTATTCCACCACTATGCTATCCTATGAGGATAAAGAGGTGAACAAGATAAGTTTCCTATGAAGTTTATAGTCTAAAGAGGAAAGACTGACCTTAAAATAGTAATCACATCACTACAGATAATTAATTAGTTAATTACAGTTTTGATGTGTTTTATGAGACTGTATAGCAAGGGAACCTAACCTAGCCTAGGGTGTCTGGAAAGCCCTCCATGAAGAAGTGACTTTAAGCAGAGACCTGCAGTGTGCCGTGAGTTGGCTAGATGGAAGAATAGGAAAGGGAATGGAGGAAAATGGTCCATGGAAAGGAAGAGGCAAGAGCACAGGGCATGGCCACTTTGAAGAACTGAAAGATGACTAGCTTGGCTGGGCTGTTGAGAGCCAGGAAAATGTTGGTGAGAGAGGCAGAGGCCAGATCATGCAAGGTTTGTTAAGGTTCTGGAACTTTATCCTAAGAGCAGTAGGAAGTCATTTGAGATCTCTAACCAGCTCTCAATGAGTTACAGGCATCCACCATGTTTGTTTATTTCATCACGGAATCTAGGCCAGCCTTAGTCTGAAGCACTGCCAGATGTGCTGTTCCTGACAAGTGCCCCTGGGCTTCTCGAAAATGTCTTTGCCTTTCCCCCTCACAGTCTGTCTTTCCACCACTGAACCCAGTTACCGTGTGACAGATTGGGGGTGGCAGAAAGGAAAGCTGCGGGTTCCCAAGGGAAGCCTGAGCAAGAAGCCAGCAGTATCCTTTCTTGGCCTCTCAAGCCCCCTTTGGGGATTGTGGAAAAGTCCAAGATCCCCTGTGTCTCCATCTTTGCATCTGGCATCTGAGTCTGCCTCACCTCCCTAGGATGTTGGAGGAATAATTAAATTAAAGATATGAGGTGTGACATTTCCCAGGTGCTGGGGTAACAGCTGTACATGTACATAGGAAAAAGTGCCTTGGAGAAGTACCCAAGGACAACAACACTGGGGGAGCGGGGAGCGGCTGCCTGCCAGCCAGGACCACATGTACATTGCTGCAGCCTCGGCCACTCCCGCAGAGACGGGTATGAAAGGCGGCATAGCTTTCCAGAAAAGTTCATCTGGTTGCTGTTACAGTCAACAACCTATTCAGTAAACATCAATTATGTGCTGGAAACATGAAGATAAGTAAGACCTGAGGCATACCGTGAACTGGAGGTGACAGACATAAATACCAGGATTCATAAAATGTTCTTGGAAATGTGAGGAGATATACATACATGACACATGGGTACATACATTATACATGAGTCAAATATACATATATGATATGTGAGTCAGATATACATACATGATACATGAGTCAATTCCAGCATTTTCAGAGAAAGTAGTGTGTGTGGAGAAATACACACACACACACACACACACACACACACATATATACACACACATATATATACACATATATATATGTATATATATAATATCAAGTAGTATTATGTAGAATAATCCCTGGAACCTGTAAATATGTTACCTTACATGGCCAAAGGGACTTTGCAGATGTGATTAAGGTTGAAGACCTTGAGATGGGAGATTATCCTGGATTATCCAGGTAGGTCCAGTCTAATCACAGGAGTCCTTACAAGCAGAAAACCTTTTCCAGCTTCAGTCAGCCAGAGAGAGAGCGGAGGACAAAAGAAGCAGCAGGAGAAGTCTGAAGCGTGAAATATACCTGCCCTACTGTTGCCAGCTTTGAAGGTGGGGGATGAGCGCCCTGAGCCAAGAGAAGTGTGTGGCCTCTAGAAACTGGAAAGGGATGGGAAAGAGATGCTCTCCTGGAGCTTCCAGAAAGGAGTGCATCCCAGCCGACACCCTGATTTTAGCCTGGTGAGACCTGTGTCAGATTTTTGACCTACAGAACTGTAGGGTAATAAACGTATGTTCTTTTAAGCCAGTCAGTGTGTGGTCATTTGTAACAGCAGCAATAGAAGACTAATACAATAGAGAGAGAAATATAGATTCTGTGAGTGAGTGTGTGTATGTTTGTGTGTGTTTTCATTGATTATCTTTCAATCAGGAGTTCTCAGGTACAAATGACACCATCCACTCTAGCTAGTTTAAGCAACAAAGAAATGTATTAAAGGGTATTAGGTAGTTCAGAAACTTCCCAGGAGGGCCAGAGAGGCTAACTCTGAAAGTTCACAGCCAGAAGTGAGCCCAGTTGCATCCCAGAAGTTCCTCCAGCACAGCATGCCGCAGTTACTGCCTGGCACCCGTGATGCTGAAGCACACCCATCCACAAAACCCAATGCCCTCACTGCCAGGCTGGCCAGAACATTCGTGCCCTGGCACAGCCCACACTCATACCACTCATGTCCATATAACGTTTCATGAGGGCACTTCTCATCGGTGAAACTGGGGTCTCATATCTGCACCCCTTGGTTTTCTGGCAGTGCTTTCACTGTGTGGAAATGATAGAAATATAGAAAAGGTCCTCAAATGTGGTGTGGAACAAAATGAGCAACGTCCACTACAAAGGCCTTTAGTTGGTCCAAACACTCTTCAGGTTGCCACAGCTTCAGTTGTGGTGACTTAGCCCGATCACTCATTGATGTTACCTTCCCAGACCCTGAGGCACCCAAATCGGCCAAACATCCAGTGCTTCCTAGAAGGTGCCTTAGGATTGGGGTCATAAGATTTTGAGTTGACCCTTGTGGATAGGTACAGTAAGGATATTCCAGGCAGAATGAAGGTATTCAAGTATAGGAAGTTGCAGAAGAGCTTGGCACATGGAGAGAACTGAGTGTGACTGGGGCCCAGGAAGTGATGGGGAAATCCTGGGGCACAAGGGAAGGGGTAGTTAGAAGCGGACCGTAAAGGCTGTAATAAACTATGCCAAGAAGCTTAGAATTCATCTTATAGGCAACAGGGATCCATGGAAATGTTTTAATTAAGGAATTGACATTAGGTAATTTTTAGAAAGATAATTCTGGCAGTGAGTGGTATGAGAGACACATTGGAGAGAAATAAAATGGTTAGGATTTCTAGTTACTAGGAAATAAAGGTGATGGGAACAAAAGCAGTGGCAATGGATATTGTGGAGAGGGGGTTGATTCAAGAACTATTTGGGAAGAAAAATTGATATGATGCTGTAACTGAATGGATATGGTTGATAGAGAAGACTCAAAATTATTAGAACATCTCAGACTTAGACAACTGGAAAGAAGCTCTTGATATTCGCTAAATTGGGAAATTTAGAGGTTGGTAAATATAAGAAGAGGCTTTGGGTAAGATACAAATTTGATTTGCACCTGTGGATTTCAGATGCCTGTGGGACATACAGATGAGATGTCTTAAGAGGGAAGTGAATACAATAGTCCAGAGCTTGGAGAACAGATGAGCTGGAGACATCGATTTTAGGGTCATCATGGGGATGACCGAGTCTTGGGCTTGGGTAACGATTTCTCAGGGACAGTCTGTGGAAGAGATGAGGGGTGAGGACCCAGCACTGAACAGGTGCCGTACGTAACGGCAGTGGAAGACACCACGGGCATGGGAAGTCCTGTCCCTCACCACTGAAATGGACCTGAGATTGACTTTTTTCTTTTAATTTTACATGGCACCAAATCAGCTGGGAGGCAAAGTTAAAGCATGCCTGGCGAGTATGTGACTGAAGTTACAGCTGAATTCTTACCCTGTGTGGGCCAGTATTTCCTTCCCCTGACACAGTCAACTGGAGCAGCCAACTACTAAACACCTGCCTTGCCTGTTGTCCCAGTCTTAAGAGACACTTCCTGCATAGGGGGCCATGGCGCCTAACACACGTCTCCACTCCAGCTTGGCAATACTATTGGACCAAGGGTTATTGTAGTCCATTCAGGCCGCTATAGCAAAATACCTTAGACTGCATAATTTATAAAGAAGGGAAATGTATTGCCCACAGTTCTGGAGGCTGGGATGTCCATGATCAAAGCTCTAGCAGATTCAGTATCTGGTGAGGGCCCGTTGCTTTCAGATGGTAACTTCTGTGTGTCCTCACCTGGCAGAAGGGAACTCTTTTATGAGGGCACTAATCCCACTGGTGAAGGTGGAGCCCTTATGACCTAATCACCTCCTAAAGGCCCCACCCCTTAACACTATCACATTGAGGATTCTGTTCCAACATATAAATTTAGTGGAGGGGCCGGGCACGGTGGCTCATGCCTGTAATCCCAACACATTGGGAGGCCAACGCGGGTGGATCACGGGTCAGGAGTTCAAGACCAGCCTGACCAACATGGTGAAACCCCATCTCTACTAAAAATACAAAAATTAGCTGGGCGTGGTGGTGTGCGCCTGTAGTCCTAGCTACTTAGGAGGCTGAGGCAAGAGAATTGCTTGAACCCGGGAGGCAGAGGTTGCAGTGAGCCAAGATTGCGCCACTGCACTCCAGCCTGGGTGACAGAGTGAGACTCTGTCTCAAAAAAAGAAATATTAGTGGGGGACATCAACATGCAGACCACAGCAGTCATCAATATTTGGACTGGCCAGCAACATATGGTCTGTAACTATGTGTTAGTCTACAGGCTAACACAGTTGGCCTGTAGGAGAGTTGGAATAGACAACACTGGGCAACTTGGCATTTGGCGTTTGGAGCCAGTAAGAACACAATGACCAGGTACAACATTAAGCTAATAGGCCCCAGAAACTATGAGCCTGCAGAGGAATTGGTTAGGAAGAAAAATGGAGCAAACATCAGGAAGAAGCAGAGGTGCCATCAGCAAGAGACCATGTAGTCATGGGAGAGAAGGAAGAGCCTGTGGTTTGACAGCTTTTTGGTTATTATCTTCATGCAACACTGCTATATCCACCCCACGCTCATTTTTTCTTGGACAACTCAAATACAAACTGGTAAAATACCCACAGAGGACACTCAGTTTGATGAAGCAATGTATATGTGTGTTAAATGTGCCCCCACTATAATTGTCCACATTCCTAATTCTTGCAGCAGAATCTTTTCCGTAGTTAATAAAGAGATCAGGCCGGGCACGGTGGCTCATGCCTGTAGTCCCAGCACTTTGGGAGGCCAAGGTAGGCAGATCACTTGAGGTCAGGAGTTTGAGACCAGCCTGGCCAACATGGTGAAATCCTGTCTCTACTAAAAATACAAAAATTAGCTGGGTGTGGTGGCAGGTGCCTGTAATCCAAGCTACTTGGGAGGCGGAGGCAAGAGAATGGCTTGAACCTGGGAGGCAGAGGTTGCAGTGAGCCAAGATCGAGCCACTGCACTCCAGCCTGGGCAATAGCACGAGACTCCATCTCAAAAAAAAAAAAACATTTCAGATCAATGCAAAGGATGACCCTCTCCATAAGAACCCAAATTCTAAATTAATGGAGCCTGAATGAAAGAGGTTTTACAATCTTTTCAGAGGCACGGGGATAATGTCTGTAAATAGCAATTGGCAATTTCATTAATCGGGATCAAGGTCTGGACTGCACTTCTCATGTCGAGTACAATCAGTTTGTGAAATAGGATCTCCTCCACTTATAATAAGCCTCTACTGCTTATTAGTCAGCAGCAGCGTGCTTGAGTCTCCCAGGAATGTTTGAAATGCAAAGTTTTACTTTTCCCAGGGGGACTCAGTCTCAGTGGCCTTTTCCTGGAATGACAGCTCCCACCAAAGCATAGGGACCCTCTTGGGCTAGGCCAGTGACCATCTTTCATAAGGGAGGATATATAGGCAGGTCTCTGAGAAATTGACTTATAACAGTTAGAGCCAATTTATGGAGATTAATCCAAAATCAAAGGCTAAAGCACAGAAGAAATGCTTCCAAAATGCTGGGGTTGGAGGAATAAAACTAACACCTCCCTAGGAAGCTATTAAATCAGACATTGGCAAAATGTGCCTGCTGTGTTCAGAGGGGACAGGATGTAACCTATAGTGTATGTGAATCTATAAGTGTAATTGT
The DNA here is from genome assembly GCF_000001405.40 of Homo sapiens. NCBI lineage: Eukaryota > Metazoa > Chordata > Mammalia > Primates > Hominidae > Homo > Homo sapiens. Next base: position 13,292,868 of record NC_000012.12, on the reverse strand, counting down.
ATTTAATAACTATGTGTACAATTTAGCCAGTTATGTTCAGGGACAGGTTTGAAGTTCACCTCATTAAACCTAGACATCTAAATAAGTCAGCATGAGATCCCTGACATGTACTTGCCATGGACAGATCTTTAAAAAAAAAAAAATCTCTGTTGGCATAAAAATAGATATACAGGTATACACTCTATTTAAAAGTATATTTCACACACATAATGGCCCACAGATAGTCCTCAGTAATTAAGACATACATATCATGCCAGAACTGAACACTTAGAATCCGAATGTGGGTAGAAATAGAATACCTTGTATTTGCAACTTATCTTATACTTTTCTGAGAATTTTCACAATTTTAGAAATTTTAAAATCACACATATAGTAGATAAGTTCTGCAGATGTCATTATCCAATTTCACTGATGAAGTACAAAGATATAAAATTAAAGCACAGGCCGGGCACAGTGGCTCAGACCTATAATCCCAGAACTCTGGGAGGCTGAGGCAGGTGGATCACTTGAGGTCAAGAGTTGACGACCAGCCTGGCCAACATGGCGAAACCCTGTCTCTACTAAAAGTACAAAAATTAGCTGGGCCTGGTGGTGGGCGCCTGTAATCCCAGCTACTCAGCAGTGTGAGGCACAAGAATCACTTGAACCCGGGAGACAGAGGTTGCAGTGAGCCAAGATTGTGCCACTGCACTCCAGCCTGGGCCACAGAGCGAGACTCTGTCTCAAAAAAATAAAAATTAAAATAAAACTGAAGCATAAAAATGCAGACATGCATTTTTCTCAGTTCACAGTAGTCTTTACCTGGTTGCCAATAATCAGAAACCTCCTTCCCCAACTCACAGTCTTAAGCATTTAAGCATTCCATTCAGGTTCCCCTGGACCAGAGTACCCAGGGTGAAGAAGGCCTATATCAAGCAGAACACCAGTAAAAAGATTTCCCCAAACAATTATTATCATGTTGGGGGACAAACCCCTAATTAGAAGCTGGAGTTGATATCTTCCAATTTTCAAGTTGCAAGAACTTCCTGAAGAAGTAGGGAAGTCTCTGGGAGCTAGTTTGGAAACGCAAGGGGGTGCTGTGAAAGACATGTTATAAATGAAGCCCACGTGAGCCGTGTCTAAGTGGAATAAGCCTGAGACCTTCTTTTCCATATTTGGAGAGCAGTTCTTTATTGGGCCCCACTGTGTACCCCCACAACACGGGGCTAGATATCACAATGGGAGGGAGACACTCGAAGTGCAGCAAGCTGCGGTCCTTGCCCTCGGGGGATGTTCAAACTGAGGAGATGATTCCATAAGTAACTGGAAAACAGTAGCGATTGCCAGAGACAGCAACTTCAGATCCCTCGGGCATGGAGGACTGCCTGGGCTGGGTCTGCAGGGACTGGCTGGGAGGAAGCAGGGGCAGAACCCGGAACTGAGCCGAGACACATGGAGTAGTTGTACAAGGGGAGGCCAGGGAGTTTTCTCAGCCAGTTGGGGTCCTCTACTATACTATGTGGGTGAAAACGAGAGCTCCACTATCAATGGAGGCCACAGCCACAGACCTGGGCACCCCCCAGCAGGAAAGTTCTTTGAGGAGAAGCAATGCTGTGCCCTAACTTTTGCGAACAGGGGTGGAAGAATGCTCTGAGTCCCCTGAGCTGAATTGACCCCACCAAGTGAAAAGACACCATACCTCTGCGTTTTCTGTAGTGGATCCTCCATAGTTCCTCCCACTGTAAAGCCCACAGCTGCCAGACCGCGGTGAACAAGGACCAGAGGGGTCAGAGGAAAGCCTGGGTGGAGAGTAGATGACGTGGGCCTTGCTGAGACAGATCACTCTCTATTAAGCAATGCTGGGTGGAAGATGCAAAGAAAGACAACTCAAGTGTGGTCCAGGAACAGACAGCAGCAGCATCACCTGGTAAATTGTTAGAAGTTCATGTTCTGGCTGGGCATGGTAGCCCCAGCCTGTAATTTCACCACTTTCGGAGGCAGAAGCAGAAGGATCATTTGAGGCCAGGAGTTTCAGACCAGTCTGAGAAAAATAGCAAGACTGTGTCTGTACAAAAAAAATAAATTAAATTAAATTAAATTAGCTGGGTGCAGTGACACACACCTGTAGTCCCAGCTACTTGGGAGGCTGAGAGAGAAGGATCACTTGAGCCCAGAAGTTTGGGGCTGAAGTAAGTTATAATCATGCCACTGCACTCCAGCCTGAGAGAGAGACTCTGTCTCCTGAAAAAAAAAAAAAAATAAAGAAGAAGAAGAAGAAGAAAATTCAGATTCCTCAAGCTGACTAAATCAGAAATTCTATGGCTGAGGCCCAGCAATCAAGTCTCTTCAGGTAATTCTGATCCACTCTAAAGCTTGAGAACTTTTACCCTACAGCATACTACATTAAATGATGGTCAGTTCTTTGGGCTGGGAAAGAACTGGCAGAAGCTAGCACAGGGAAGAATTGGTGCTCTGTGCCCCTGATTTGCCTGCAAACCAGCATGAGATGATGGTCACCTGGTACCCAGAGTGACCCCAAGGCACCTCAGAACCTAGTAGGCTATTCATCCAGAAGATGCCAGGTTTAGGGTTTTACAAAGTCTTGAAGAAAGATCCTTAAGAGACCCCTTCTGGGCTCAACTACAGAGGTTTTGAGGACCTGTAGAAAAAAAAAATATGCCCTGGATCCTCCTCCAAACCACTCTGCCAATCTGAACCCTGGATTGATCCAACCAGTAATTTTTGCAGCCTCTTTACATGAGATGATTCATCTTGCTCATGTAAATCCAAAACCAGGAAGCCTTGAGTGGAAGACACATACATTCTTCCTAACCTCAGTGGAGTACTCAACATCATTTTTATACATACCCATTCATTCATCAAACATGTTTTAGATGCTTAGAATGTGTCCAGCAATTAATGATTCCTTCTTCCCATTCCTAGTAGGTTCTATACATAATTCACCTCATCAACATAATTTGTTTGTTTATTCAACAGTTCTTTTGAGCATCTACTCTGCACTAGGTACTGTGCAACACACTAGGGAGATGGAAATATCCAGGCCCAGTGCCTGGTTGTGCAAGCCATGCACAGAGAAGGGATCCCAGCCAAAGAAAGGAAAGAGATGAAATTCACTCACCAGTCCTTGAATCTGGCCCAAGGCACTGTTTGCCTATGATTTTTTTTTTTTTTTAATTTCACAGAAGAGGAACATGGCAAGCAGATAGCACTTTTGTGCAGATTAGGAAAAGGTACCCCTTCCTCTGAGTTGCCTTCATCCAGAGAAGGTCCTTTTTCTAATTCACACTTAGAGCTAAGGGAAATCTGCTGCACCCCCCTAAGGTCTGTGACCTCACAGAGATGGCATTCAAGAAGTCGGATCAGATAGACAAATCACTACACTGAAATGTGACCGGCGCTGTAAAGGAGGTGTGCATTGGAGTATGCTGTTGGGGCACGGAGAAGAGAGGAACTCATTATGCCACTGAGATTTAGTTTTTGTAATTTCACGGAGGAGGAGCATCTAAATCATTCTGAAGCTTTCTTGATTCCCTTAATCCCCCAAACATGCTTTTGACCTTCATTCTTGGCAGCAGGTCCTGCCAGCTCCTTTATGGCAGTAAGCAGGGTCAGCAGATTCTAATTTTCTCCCCGCCAATGCCCCTCTGCATCCCCACCACCCTTTGCTCCTTCTCTGTTTCTGTTGTTGACGGACCCTGTCAGTTTCCATTCTCTCTCACACATGTGGCATCATTCCTGGCTCTGCGCCCTGAATCGATAAAGCCATTCATACTTCCTGTGTCCCGATACAGTCCCCACGTCCCTACTGATTTTCTATGAAACCACTACTGCATCCCTCTCCTTTCCCTCACTGTCAAACTTCTTCACACTTTTTCCCCAATTTTCTCATTCTTTCAGCAGGCCCTAACAAAAATAATGGGGAACACTTTTCTGTCTGTCTGGTATTATTCTAAGTGCTTACATATTATATACTAACTCATTTAATCTTCACAATAATATTGCCTGGTAAACACTATCATTGGCATCCTCATTTTTCAGTAGAGGAAACTGAGCACAGAGTGGTTAATTTATTAGCCCAAGATCACACAGCTGGCAGGTGATAGATTGGGGTTCTGATGCAAGCACTCTGGCTCTGGAGTCTGCATGCTTCATCATTAGAACAGCTGCAGAAAGCATACTTGGGAAGCCTGCCCAACCCCTCTTCCTTTCTTGGAAATTGCTAACCTGCCCAAGCTGATAAGAGTACAGTGGACATGTCCAGTGGTAGATTGGACTCACCCAGTCAGATTCTCATTGTAGAAAACAGGGAGTGGCTTTACTTGCTGACGTCCAGTTCCAATCCCAATGTGTTCTGCTCTTGGATAACCATCAGACTGTCTGTGGTATCTCTAAAATAACCAGCTGTCCTCTTTTGAGTGGTTTCTGTCCCTGCTACCCAACAATGCCTGTTTAAGTCATATCCTTCCAACTCTCCTGAAGCTGATCTTTTAAAGATTGCTGATCATCCCGTCTAATAATCTTTCTGCAGCATTCTACACAGGTGACCACTTACCTATGCTGTCTCCTCTGTTTCTGCCCCTGTACCTATACTAGGTACCCCACTGCCTGAGATTCCCTTCACTGCTTTCTTCGCTAGGCCAGCTACCTGTCATATTCTGTGACCTGGCTCAGGCATTGCCTTCCAGGAAAGCGTCCATGGCTCCCTAAGGCTGGACATACCCCACCCCTCCATGCTCCCATAGCCCTCTCTGTAAATGCATGCCATTACACATCTCACGCAAAACAGATATGGCTGGATATTACATACTCCTGTATGTAAAAGTAGCAAGCTACAGAATAGTATGGATAGTATGACCCCTTTTATGCAAAACTATATATGTGCATATAGAAGGATAAGTAGGTCATGTCACTCACCTGCCTAAATCCTCCAATGAATCTCCAATTGTACTTAACAAAACACAAAGGCCAGACCCAGCCTGCAGAGCCCTATAGAATAGGGCCCCACCCACTTCTCTGACTCCTCCTCTGTTTCTGCCTCACTCACTCCATCCACATTGAACCATTTTCCTGTTTCTTGAAAACACCTAGTGTCTATGGTCATACCACCCTGAACGCACCCGATCTCGTCTGATCTCGTGAAAACACATAGTTTGTTCCCATCTCACAAACCATTTGTGTCCCCAGATGTTTGTCTGGTGGGCATTACCTGTCATTGAAGATTCAGCTCGGGGCCCCAACAACCCAGTCCACACAGTCCCACCTCTGTCATTCTCTTTCATGACATTCTGTTTTAATTTCTTTAGGAACTTATCACACTCTGAAAGTATTAATAACTTTGCCGTTTATTTTGTTTTTTGTTTATCTATCACCTGCAGTTAGCCAAACTGCAGGGTTTAGGAAGTAATCCTTCAGGTTACTGAGTCTGCCCAATACTTGTGATAACAACTGCAAGTTGAAGTATTCCAAAAACCACTCTCAGATTCTGTAACTTACTAGAAAGAGTCACAGAACTCACTGAAATCAATTATACTCATTGTCACGTTTATTCCAGGGGAGGGACACAAGCTAGAACAGCCAAGGGAATCGACGCACAGGGAGAGTATGGGCAGAGCCCACCCTGGAGCTTGCGGCCATTCCCTTCCCATGGAGTCATGGCTGGTGTTGCCCCTCCCAGCCACAATATGTGACATCACATGTGGAGTACTGCTGCTCAAGGACGCCCACCCGAGCTTTGGTGTCCAGGGTTTTTATGGGGGCTTCCTTCTGTGGGCACGATCGACTGAGTCATTGTCCACATGGCAGAACTCAATCCACAGCTCCCCCACCCCACTCTCCCAGGAGTGAAGCTGATATCACATGGCCTGAGCAGCCCACCCTCATCACCCTGGTAAGCAAAACTACCAGGTGGGGTCTGGGGGGCCTGCCACAAATAACAAAAACATTCCTAACACCAGGGAAATGCCAAGGATCTACAGGCTACCTCCAAGAAGCCAAAACAAAGCCCAGACCTTTTTTTGGGTGAGGCCAAATTCCTTACCACACATTTATGTACTGTCCTACTAAAACATAAACTTCTGGGGTACAGAAAATAGACTGGCTGTCTTATTCTGTCTGTGGCCCTAGCAGTACAGACAAATGTACATATATACACATACATACACACACACACATACACACATACATACACACACACACACATGCACACACATGCATGCATGCATACATACACACATACGCATGCACATAGACATACATACATACATATACACATGTACACATACATGCATACATACACACACACACAAATACACACACACAGAGTTCTATTTTACCTTACCAATTTGAGGTAAATATCAAGTTACATTTCACTTTTTAAAATAAATTTTGTGTATATTTAAAGTATAAAACGTTATGAAATATATGTAAATGATTTTTTAAAATTAATACAGTGAAGCAAATGAATATATTCTTCAGTTCACATAGTTATCATATGTGTGCGACAAGAGCAGCTAGAACCTACTCACCTAGCAAGAATCCCAAAAAACATACAATTTTGTTACCAATAGTTCTCATGCTGTAAATCAAATCTCTAGACTTGTTCATTCCAGATCTTCTACTTTGTGTCCTCTGACTTCCATCTCCCCATTTACTCTCCCCACATACCCCAGTAGCCCAGTAACCACTGCTTTATTATCTATCTCCATATAAATATATATACATTTAGATTTCACATATAAATGAAATCATACAATATTTTTGTTTCTGTATCTGGCTTATTTCATTTACTATAAAGTCCTTCAGGCTCTTCCAGGTTATAGCAAGTAGCAATATCTTATTCCTTTTTAGGACTGAATAATATCCCATTGTGTGTATATGCCACAGTTTTTTTTATTCATTCATTCACTGACAGGCACTTTGGTTGTGTCCGATTCTGTGGATATTGTGAATAATGCTACAGTGAACAAAAGAGTGCAGATATCTTTATGAGGTGTTGATTTCATCTCGTTTGGATATTTACCCAGAAGAGGGTTGCTGGGTCATATGGTAGTTCTATTTTTAATTTCTTTATGAAACTCCATACTGTTTCCCATAATGGCTGCACCAATCTACATTCCCCCCAACAGTGTATATGAGTCCCTTTTCTCCACACCCTCACCAAATTTATTATTGTTTTACTTTTTGATAACAGCCATCCTAACAGATGTGAGGTAATATAGCGGTTTTGATTTGCATTTCCTTGAAAGTTAATGATGTTGACCACCTTTTTATATGTGTGTTGGCCATTTTCATGTCTTCTTTGAAGAAATGTCTATCCAGGTTTTTTGCTCATTTTTTAATCAGGTTATTTGTTTTTGTACTATTAGGCTGTATGAGCTCTTTATAAATTGTAGATATTAACCCCTTATCAGATACATGTTTTGTGAATATTTTTTCCTAATCTGTAGGCTACCATTTCATTTTGTTGATTCTGTCCTTAGCTGTGCAGAAGATTTTTAGTTTGATTTGTTCCATTCATTTATTTTTTGCTTTTGTGGCCTAAGCTTTTGGTGTAATATCCAAAAAATCATTGCCATGGCCGATGCCCAGATTTTCCATGATTTTCTTTTCTTCTAGGAGTTTTATAGTTTCTGGTCTTACAGTTAGGTATTTTCCACATTTTGAGCTGATTTTTGTGTATAAGAGTCCTAATTCCATTCACTTGCATGTATCAATCCAGTTTTCCCAGCACCATTTATTAAAGAGATTATTTTCCCCATTGTGCTCTCTTGGTGCCCCTGTCAAAAATTAGTTGACTGTATATGTTTGGATTTGTTTCTGGGCTCTCTATTCTGTTCCACTGGTCTACGTGGTCTGTACCAGTATCATACTGGTTTGATTACTATGGCTTTGTAATATAGTAAAAAATAAATGGCTTTAAACTCTCACTTCCTCAGTCTTAGCAATTCATCCTTCTTCCCAGGTGACTCCCTTCAAAAGTCCCAAAGGTAGGTTCTTACTGAGTGGTACCATTTTCCTGCCTAAGAAAGAGAAAAACGAAAATGGAAAGTTTGGTGAATGTGCCAAATGTCCAATCCTGCAGCTATAGCTTCTGTCACCATCGCTCCTCCTCCAGGAGGAGGTCCATGAATCCTTTCTCAGGGCCTGCACACTGCAGGAAGCACTCAGTAGCCAAATCCCTGCTCACCACAAGAAGCGCAGACGCAACCCAGGCTGACAGTTATTTTCATGCTGGCTGCAGTTTCTCTAGGATGCAAAGGAGGTGATAAGTCTTTCCCAGAGTTCTGTTCAGCTGCATACACTTCATACTAAGCAGACCTGGGCTCCAATGTCAAAGCTCTTTGGACACAACATTTCTAGTGTACAGTCTCATACAACCTTTGACCAACATGTGATTATAGTCCAGGGAACAGGAGTAGTGAGGGTTCCAGCCCTTCCTGAATGCCATCTGTGGGTCTGGCCAGGACACCTTTCTTCCTTCTTTCTCCGCTACCTGGGCTTCCATCAGGCTCTTAGACCTGTACTAATAACCTCAGACTTCAAGTGAAAGGAGTGTTTGTCCCCTTTTTCTGCAAGGCTCTTTGACTTCTTTGTAAGTTATTGGAGGCAAAAGGACACTGGGGGAGTTCACCATTTAATTTCACCAGCCCCAGTGTCTAAGCTTTAGGCTCCTTTGAAACCAAAACATGTTCTATTATGCTTTTCTCCTACAACAAAGGACAGGTGAATACTAGCCTTCTATCCATTATCTAAAAGGAGATGTGCAAGTTGCTCTTCTCAGAAAAAGAAGAGCTACTCCTATGTGGTTTGAAAGAAAAACCACTAGCCATTTTTAAATAACTGTAAGTGCCAAAAATATCCATGCATGTATACACACAGAAAGGACTGTCAGAAAGAATGATGGCAAAAATATTAGCATAGGTTATTTCTGGGAGGTAGGATCCCAAGTGATGTATGCTTTCTTACTTATACCTTCTCACCATTTGAAGATTTTACCATAAATATTTGGCACTTTATAGTAAAAATAAAACATTTTTGATATTAAAGAAAAAGCTGCAAGGATCTACCAGGGTGGGCAGATGGTTGAATCATCAGAAGCTTCCATTCATGGCACTATTACATTCTTGCTTGGTTGAGACCTCCATTTTGCTTTGTTTATATATTGATGTCTTTTTATCTCCATTTCCCACTCCTGTTCTGCCCAACAGGAAACTTTGTTAACACATTTGACATATTACCTTTATATCTGGATATACTCTTATAAAGTACATAGTGCTGTTTTGTGTGAATACATATTTTATTTACATAAATGTTTTCACATATCTATTTCTCCTAACAGACTATAATTCCTCCCCGCTCCCCCCAGAAAAGTTGAGAGCTTATTTATATTTGTAGTTCCGTAAAAAGTATGTAGACTGGAACAGAGGGACGGCACAAGAAGTATTTTTTGGACTGAACTGAATTTGTTCTACAGGTTAAGCATCCCATAATCCAAACATCATAAATCCAAATGCTCCAAAATCCATAACTTTTTGATCACCAACATGATGCTCAAAGGAAATACTCATGAGAGCATTTCAGATTTCAGATTTTTGTATTTGGTCTGATCAACTGGTAAATGTAATGCAGATATTCCAAAGTCCAAAAAAAAACTCAAAATCTGCAACACTTCTGGTCCCAAGCATTTCAGATAAGGGATACTCAACCTGCAGCACTTTTTCTTAAAATCTCACATTTTCTAAGCTTCAGTGACACTTCATCCTCCTGGTTCCCTGCTGCCTCAGTCTTCACAGGCCCCTCCCCTTTCCTGTTCTTCACTATAAGTCTTTCTTCTGCCCTCACGCTGCCTGACCCACCACAATCATCTCATCCAATGCTCTCCGGGTGCTTTCATTACTATTTTGGCAAAGGTGTTGTTATGGTCAAATGTTTGTCACCTCAAAGCTCATGTTGAGATTGAAATGCAGTACCAAGAGCTGGGGTCTTTAAGAAGTGATAAGGCCATGAGGGCTCTGTCCTCATGAGTAGGATTCATGGTGTTATCAAAAGGTGAATTTGGTCCCTTTTTGTCTCTTTATCCCCCGCCATGTGAAGGTGAAGCCTTCCTCCCCTTCGGAGGGCACAGTGTTTAAGGCGCTATCTTGGAATTGGAACCACCAATCCTGCCTGCACCTTCATATTAGACTTCCCAGTCCCTAGAACTGTGAGCTATTAAATGTCTGTTCCTTATAAATTACTCAGTCTGTAGTATTCTGCTATAGCAATACAAAATAGACTAAGCCAGTGTTTTCCAAATCTATATCTCTAGCCCTAACTTGTTTCCCAAGCTATAGGCTTACATCTCCATTTAACAGCTAAAAGTCCCATAGGCACCTCAAACCCATCATAAAATCAGCACCTTACCTACCTCACCAACCCAAAGCTTGTACTTTCTCCTTTGCCTCTTCTCACTGGAATTGTATTTGCATTCTTTGGGTTCTTCATTCTCATCCTTAATGAAACTCCTCCCTTCTCCATCACTCTGCTTTATATACAGGATAACTCACCAGATTCTGTCATTTCTACCCAATGTATAACACTGCTAATTCACAGCCAGGGGCTTTGCTTGGTGCTGAGAATATTGGGGTGAGCAAGACAGACAAGTTTCTTATTCTCAGGAGACAGACAATAGATGACAGATAAGTTTCTGTGTTGCAGAGTGTGAGCAATGTCATGAAGGAGGTAAGCAAGGTGATGTGGGATAGCTAGGAGCATGAGGATGAGCAGAAAAGGCATCTTTATAGGACGAGAAGGGAGTCTCTTATAAAAAGACCCAGGCAGAGAGCAAATAATCCAGGTCCATGGGTCAGGAGATGCAAAGGCCATATACAGAGAAAAAGCTTTCCATGTTCAAGGACCAGCAATGAAACCTTTGTATATAGAGCATATTGAGAAGGGAGTGATCATAACTAGGTGAGGATGAAGCGGGGCAAGACCACATTGTGGACAGTCTTGGAGGCCATTCAAAGCCTTTGGATTTTATTCTAAGTGTGATGGGAAATCAAAGAAGAGCATTTAAGCAGGGGAAGGATCTGACCTGATTTATGCTTTTGTAAGTTCATTTTCACTGATGCATGAAGAATGAATTATGGGGAGGAAGGGGCAAGAGGCAGAGCAGAGAGACAAGTTCAAAGCTTTTGCACCAGGCCAGGTAAGAGATCATGGCAGCTTAAACTCCAGGATGGCAGTGATCATGGTGAGAAATGGGCCAATTTGAGACCTATATTGGAAGTAAACCTGATAGAACTTGCTGATGGATGGGATATAGAGATGAGGAAAAGGGAGGAATCAAGGACGACTCAAGAGTTCTAGTGTAAGCAACTAGGTGGATGATAATGCCATTTCTTGAATTGGGGACATAGAGAGAGGGACAGAACCAGCTGGCAGTTGGGTACAGAAGAGAATTAAGAGTTTTGTTTTAGATATGCTAAATTTAAGATTCCAATGAGACACGCTGGTGGAGATGTCAATTTGACAGTTGGATGTAAGAGCCTGGGCCTCCATGGTGAGGGCTCTGAGATGGGGATCTATCTGGAGGCATCACTGGAGAGATGGTATTTATGCCATGGGAGTACATCGATGAAGAGAAGAGAGTAGATGAGACAGGAAGAGAAAGGAAGAAAAGGGATCCCGGGACAAGGTCCTGGGGCACTTCAGTATTTGTTCATCTTCTCCAAAAGCAGAAGCCACTAGAACTGTATGAGAAGCAGAGGTCACTGATATAGAAAAAATACAAGCAGCTATGATGTCATGAAACTAAGAAAAAGAGTGTTTCACAGAGGACAGTGGGGTCAAGTATGCCAAATATGAATGGAAGAGCCAATATAAGGCCAGAAAACTACCTGCTGGATTTAGAATGTTAGAGATTGAAGGGTAATTTTGGTAAAGTAATGTAATGAGCCAGATCAGAGCAAACTGAAGAGTAGTTTGTAGGTGAAGAGATAGAATCAGTGTGTGCAGACTTTGGAAAAGTTTTATTACAGATGAGGCTCTAGGTAGAGAGGGATGTAGCATTGGAGACTTTTGTGAAGCTGCAGAATGATAGAGCATATTTATGTGTTGGTGAGAATGAACATTAAAGAGGGAGGGACTGACGATGCAGGAGAAAAAGGGAGTAATGAGGAAGAAAAGTCCTTGAGAAAGGCAGAGTGGAGGAAAGCCAGTTTTGCTTTCTTATAATATAAACAGGAAGGAAGGGAATTTTTTTCCATACTAAGAGGAGGAAAAGAGAAAATGGGTACACTGGGTACACACAGGTTCATGTGTAGACCAGGTGGTTGGGAGAAAAGGGAGTTCTCCTCCAATCATTCCCATTTCTCAGTGAAGTGTGATAGGAGATCATCAGCTGTGATGGGGAGTGATGGAGGGGCAGAGGTGGGAAGAGGGTGTTGAGGAGCAAGTGTAAAGCCTCTCCTCATGGTGTCTCACACTCTCTGCTCCAGTGTGGCAGCCCAAAGTCAGGCCCTGACTGTCTCCATCTGTACTACCACAACAGCCCCCCAAACCTTCCATGCCCAGCTGCCAACCCCCAGCACCTCAATCCCTTATCTACCCATCCTTTGAAGAAATATCCCTAAACCACTGATATGATTTGCATCTGTGTCCCCACCCAAATCTTGTAATTAATCCTCAGTGTTGGAGGAAAGGGCTTGTGGGAGGTGGTTGGATCATGGAGGAGGACTTCTCTCTTGTTGTTCTTGTGATAGACTTCTCCCAAGTTCTGCTTGTTTAATGGTGTATAGCACCTCTCCCCCAGCTCCCCACCCCACTCTCTATTTCCTGCCAGCCATATGAAGATGTGCCTGCTTTCCCTTTGCCTTCTGCCATGATCGTAAGCTTCCTGAGGTCTCCCCAGAAGCAGAAGCCTGTACAACCTGCAGAACAGTGAGCCAATTAAACTTCTTTTCATTATAAATTATCCAGTCCCAGATATGTCTTTACAGCAGTGTGAGAATGAACTAATACAACCACAGATTTGTTGTGCCATGAAAACCTTTGATGGGCTTTGCAGTCCAAAGACCAATGCACTAACTCCTCATTTGGGCTCTAGGGTTCTCCATTTTCTGGTCTAACTTTTGCAGGCTTGTGCCCAAAACATCCTCTTCTCCTCTACCTTCTATGGAGCCACTGCAGCCTACTCATGGCTCTCTCCAACTGCTGTGGCATCTGTCACTTTTATGTCTTTGTTCAAGCTTTTCTCTGTCACTGGCCTGCCTTCCTCCTTCTTGCAGAAGTCCTACCCATTCTTCAAGATCCAACTCAAATCCCACTTATTTCACCAAACTGATCAGATCTCTCTCCCCCCCCCATAGTATCTTATCCCTTTAGAACTTATTATAAAAGATCCAAGCATGACTTGTATTATAAGCACATGCATAGGAATGTCTATATGTGTGCTTGTGTCTGTCTCTAAGGAAAGAAGAAAGGAAGGAAGGGAAGAAGGGATGAAAGGGAGAGGCAGATGGAGAAAGAGGAAGGAAAAGTGGAGGCGCATCGTGGGCCCCTGGTGTTTCACCTCAATGGTTTGAGTAAAAGGGCTCAACAGTGTTGCCCAGGAGTGGCAAGCGTCTCGGAGCCACAGCTTCTCCCGGGCGCACCTGCGGGTCTCAGGGCTGACAAGCCCTTTCCCCTCCCCTCTGTTCCCGCTCCCCCTTTCTTCCCCTAGTGCCTCCATCTTAGTTGCCCAGTAATTGCATCAAATCTGAAGAAGCAGATCCGTCTCTAAAAAGGGCAGTGGGAGGGAATTGCGCTGCTCTTTTCAGAGATGAGAATTGAGAGAAATAGGGCAGAGAGATGAAAATGTAATGTTGAAAAATTCATGCTAGAGGAAGCACGTGCTGGCCCTCCCCTGCTCTGCCTCCCATCTGATAAGCTTCTGGCAGAGGCCTGGCTTTCCAGGCACATGAGAAGACCATGGGAGGTTTGGCCAAATCTGTCTGAGGGTGACCTGAGAACTGGCAGGGGTCTGGGGAGTGCCCACGCGTGTGCAGGGACAGAGCTGCCACTTGGCTTCTAGGGGCCTGTGTTGTCGAGGGGCTGGGGTCAGTAAGAGGGCAGGGGAGGGAGAGGAGGTGTCCTCCCGATCTACATCAAGAGCTGCCCCTCTACGCCACCTCCCGCCACTCCTGATGAATTCAGGCCTGGCAGGCACTGCTGTCCACAGACTCACAGGTCCCGTATGTTTAGGAATCCTGGGAGGCAAGGCTCGACCCTGGGCCAGGCGAGCAGCTGGCCTCGCTGCACTTCGTTGAGCACTGTGTGCTCTGAGCCTAGGGCGGGAGAGTTGAGGTGGCCCGGCTCTAGTGGCCCGAAAAGGCCCGGTCTCATTCCCAGCCCTAGTCTCTGACTCCCCTCGGAAAGCACTGCAGAGGCTGCGGCCTGATTAATGCTGCGCGCTAATATGTACAGGAGACCGGCTTGCGATTCCCGGCCAGCGGCCCCTGCTCCCCTGCACAGAGGCGGCGCCAGCTGCTCGACTGCGACCCCTGGCGGCCGCTGGAGGCACTCTCTGCGGAGCTTCAAAATCGAATGGGCCGCTGGACACGAAGTCGAGGGAGTATTAAAAAAAAACAACAAAAAACGGGGTAAGAGCTATGCACCCCCAGATGGTGCAGGGTGGGAGGTGGAGAATGAAGGGGAAGCCAATTTTGCTTTCTTATAATATAAACAGGAAGGAAGGGAACAATCTGTTGGGGATGGTGGGGGCTGATGCAGGGTAATGGGAGGGGGAAGGTGGAAATGTGAAAATCTGTTTATAGTTGGAATGGAATATGTTTAATATGATGCTTACACAAAATAAGACTTATAAGTTTTTCTCTGTTCTGAACCGTTTCCCTCATCTTCATTTTAAGTAGCAAAAGAACTCTGACCTGTTTTTTCTCTTTCATATTCCCAAAGCAGGCTGTGTTTTCAAAGAGGCATTCATTCAAAGAAATAAAACATACTTTGGCTTCCTCCAGTGCCTTCAGTGAGCCTAAGTCCAAACAGTCAATATAATACCAGAGTTGACAGCCTGGACATTGGAGAGGGACAGTGTAAATTCAATACGTATCTATACGCTAACTATGTGACCTTGAGCAATTTGCTCAACCTCGCTGAACCTTCTTTTCCTTATTCAAAAAACAAAATATAAGCAAAACGCACTGCTAAGATTGTGGTGATAAGGAGAATCCTGCCTCATCTCTACTTCCAGGACAAAGAAGCCGTCTATTGTGGTTCTGCGTTCCCTTCCCTGGCAGGACCCCTTTGTGTTGTGACTGTGACAGACTCAGTTCATTAATAGTCAAGTGCCTATGAGTAGCAAGGGGATGAGTCCTCTGGGACTTTCCCTGACTCCTTCCCTTTCTTTCTCATCAGTTCACACAGCCCTCTAGCCCGTGTCTGCCATGCAAGACAACCAGGCATCACCCACAAAATGTTGCGTATGGTGTATGTGTGTTTAGTGTACAAGGGGTTTCTTGGCACAGAGCTGATCTTAGCTGAGGGTGGAGTCTGATGGCTTCAGCCAATTCTTAAAGGCTAGAGATCAGTGTCCTTCTCCTTGGTGTCAACATTGCAAATATGCAATTCTTTGATATGCGGCCTGCTAGTGGCTCCGGCTATGAAGAGGTTCTCCAAGTGGCTTCTCCCACTAGTGTAGTGGGAGAGGAGCAACATACACACAGGAAAAACTGAATAAGAAGTCATGATTCTAGACACCAATGTGTAAAGAAAGGGCCAGCTGAGGGGCTCACGGAGCACTATCAGCGATCAGAGGATAGGAAAACTCCCTCAGACAGAAGTTGAGGGCTCACCTGAGCCCCAAGAGCTACAGAAAGTGGTCCTGGTGCTGTGATGAAGTGGGCAAGCTCTTCCCTCTAATTCAGGGTGGAACACTGGAAGGGCATATCACAAGGTGTATCATCCATAAGGAGGAAGGAGAACATATGCAACACATCTGAATCTTCAAAGGTAATAGGCTCTTGAAGATGCCGGGCTGTCTTTAGCCCCAGATCTTGGGGCTTATTGCAGGGCATGACTCTTATCTAAAGGCTTCACCACGGAACCTCTGACTACTCAGTGACCTTCTTCTGGAGGACAAAACTGATTTGCAATTAAGTTCCTAGGGATGAGCAAGAGGAGAGAAGTCAGGGACCTGGTTATTCACAATTTTTTTGTCCATTTATTCATCAAGTCACTCACATAATCATCTATCCATCCATGTATCCATTCCATCTTTCATTCACTCACTATGTATTTTATATAGCAATTGTTATGTGCCCAGCCCAGTGTCCTGCGTTATGAGAAGTACAATTGTGTATCTCCTTTCCTTCTACCCTAAGGAAGATTCTACAATCCTCTACTCAGTGTTGAAGATTCTCCTCTTCTGTCCCACCCCATCTGGGGGAGCAGATGTCCTATGACATTCACACAGTTCATTCCGCCGCAGAAGCAGTGCCCTAACAGCGCTGATCCCACTGCTCTCAGCGAACCCTCTCATACTGGATCTAACTGTTTAGACATGACAGATCCACCCACCCACTTCCCAAAAGGACAAAGAAGATAGGACTCAGTGTGCTGGCCCCTTAGAATCAAATACCAGTATGTCAAGCTCTGCCTCATGTTTGCCTCTGACAACTGACCTGTGAGCTGGTTCCAGTCTCCACCTCACATGGGCCCCCTCCCTAGGTGTTCACCTAGAACCGTTCCAGTCGCCTTTTTTCCTCGCCTGCTGCCTCACTCCCACCCACTGCCTTTGTGGGATTTGTGACAATCTATGCTCTTTAAAATATTTTCTGGAGTGTATTTGTGTGTCTTTAGTGGTGGTGGAATGCTGTATAATTATCTCCCGATTCATCAGGCTCCTTAACAGGCAAATGCCTTTCTTTCCAATAAGTTTCTCTGGCTGAGGCACCAATAGGCCTTGTTGCTACGGAAACCAGAACGTTTCTTTCTCTATTTTAATGGTATGTTGAAAGTGCGGCGTGCATGTGCATGCACACATATGGTGGCTGCTGGTCTTTTCAGCTCTTTTTTCCTTCCCTACCTCTGCTGACCTGTCTGGCATTTTCCCGACCTCACATGTTTCAGGACGTCCCTCTCATCCACAGCCCTTTCTTGCCCCCTTCCTGCCTTTCACTGTGCCTCCACCTCCCCCTACCCTTCCATCTGGTGTTCTCAGCTGTTTAAAAAAATACCAGTTGGCTTTGCATGAAATCTAAGAGAGAGAGGCAAATAAAAGGTTATTGTGGAAACAAAGCACTGCAAAAGGCTTTGACCAGCCAGGTGTTTCCTGCTGGAAGGCTAGTGGCCTCACTTGGCCATCTTCCTAGCACATGGGGCTGCTTCGGAGAAGGAGGAGAGGGGATGGAGAGAGAGCAGCTCGGTGCAAGAGTAAAGAGAGAGCATATCCCCGCAGCACCATCTGCTGCTGCTGCTCCTGGGCACAGAGGAACTTCTCTCCACCCAAGTCCCTGGGTTTGGTTCAAGGACTATTGGAGGAGGGGAGGGCTCTGTTGAAATTTATTTGTTTATTCAGTTAGTCAACAAACACTCACTGAACACTTAGCATATACCAGGCACTGTTCTAGGCACTGGGAATATGCTGAGGGTTCCTGTCCTCGAGAAGCAAGCCTTGCTCACAGACAGTTGCCAAGGCGGCATGATAAGTGGTGAGGGGCACAGTGACATTTGGGCTCTGGAATGAGACAAGCTTAAGTTTGAGCCCCAGGCCACCATTTTTTAGCTGTGACCTTGGGTAAATGACTAAACCTCTAGAAAGCTCAGTTTCCTTATCCCTAAATGTAGCTTTATAATAAAGTTGTTTCAGAAGATAATAAAATAATGAGTCTTTATTAGCATAATCAATAAACGTCGGTTGCCAATGTTGTCTCTTTCATTATTATTACCATTATCAGGGTCTTAAGGGGCTCATGGTAACATGCAAGGTGCCCACAGACATAGGCAAGGCAACACCAAGAAGGGTTTGACCAGACATTTTCTGAGTAGGAAAGTATGAAGAGCATTCTAGTCAGAGGGCACAGCATGTGCAAAGACCTACAGCGTAGACAAGGGAGTGCGTATGTGGCTGGGGTGTCCTGTGTGCATGTCTGGGAGTGGGGGCACAGTGGACTCTGGCTAGGCTGTGAGGACACTGACGGCTAGTGGGTAGGGATTGAAACGGACCCTCCAGTTATGGAAGTACACAGGAGGTTTTTAGATTTAAGAGAAGCACAGGCAGATGCACTCTTTAGAGAGAAGAGTTTTTCCTCGTGACACACAAGATGCCAAAATTAAGGGGCTCCTGAACCCCCGCTGGCTTTAAGAGTCAGTGGTGCCAGGGGATCCTGGCCAGCTGCACGTAGCAAGTGATCTCTTGCTCCACTTTGCCCCATCCTCCCGGTGCATTCCAGGCCACACACAGCTGGGAGAAAGGATATCAGATTCAGGGCACTCGAGTAGTACCTACTCAAACTAGGCACTAATGCAACACTAGAGGTAGAAGACCCTGAAGTCTCTTCCAGCTCTCGATAGCATGACTATAATTTGAGGAATATAAAGGAGTGGTTGGTTGGCACTGATGGTGGAGTGGCTGGCAAGGAAAAAAAATATTGTGTGTGTGCAAAGTGATGTGACAACTGGAGGGGGAGCAGAGATGCTGGAGCAGACGTGTGAAGTAGAGAGACCAGGCACGGCTGGGCGACAGAGCCGGAGCTGGAGGGAAGAGGAGTGAGCGATAGTGCAGAGGCTCTGGGGCTTGCAGGCTAATTCTGTTGTGCTTGGAAGTCGGGAAAATCAGCAAGTCAAGAGTACGACTGGGTGCTCCGGGTTTGGCCTTATTAAAAAGGAAACAGCAGAACAGCAAGAGCCGCTTTGGATCACGTGGTACATCCACCCTCTGCTCTCAACACTGAGCAAGCATTCTTGAACGTTACAATCTAAAAGTATCCCAAATTTTTATTTTACCTAGTGTTTAAAATAAGACAACGGTATCTCTAAAAACAAGTAGAAAGGAAATCAGAGCTGACCAAAGGTAATAACGTAGTGAGCCTAACGCATGCCTGCAGTTTCCCATCTCCTATCCACAGCCACTTTCCCGTAACAGGGGTCTTTCCAGATTACAGTGAGCACTTACATGTTGGCTATGTTGGCGTGCTTGTTTTCTCTTAAGAACTCACGGGGAAGGAGATTCCTGCCCTCCCAATTGATTGATTTGTATTCTGCATTTTTCAAAATGATTAGAATGGATTACTTATGTAATTAGAAAAAAACACATTTATACACATTTTTAAATAAATTTAATGAAGCTTTAAAATATATATGTAAAATATTTTTTAAGTAAGAAAAAGTTAGAAAGGAATGGGGAGAAACATAAGTATTCTGGGCAAGGCAATTTCTTCATTTATATCATCCTGCCTGGACCTCACAACACCCTTGTGAGATAAAGATTCTTATGCCCTTTTACACATGAGGAAATTGAAGTTAAAGTCAGTTGAGAAATTTACCAAAGGTCAGACATCTAATCAGTAATGGGGCCCATAGTCCTGTCCGTGTGTGCCTGACTTCAAAGCTGCATATCCACCATTTACCCTAACGAACACAAGGAGAGGACCGTTCTTTGATCAGTAACGACGTGGACCTGTGACACAAATTCACTTAACGCTTTTATCTCTGGGTCCAGAACCTGGTTGGTTACCCAGTGGCTTTACCCTGTCCCCTCATTCTCCAAACTTTCCTAGGCTCCAAAATTACTTCTCTCTCTTTTCCTCCTCATCTGAATTCCAGTTCTGTCTACTTACAGCTCTGAATCCCAGTGGTTAAAAAGTAAGCAAACTCATTTAATTGGCACAAGAATGAGAGAATCTGTCGGGTGTATTTTTATTCTACCAGCCGTGTTTGCTTCATCAAAACTGATAGAACCAAATGACTGTGATTGATGAAGCCAAAGACAGCGAGACAAAACAAAATAATTACATTTCAGGTATGGGAAAGGGAGAGAATTTTGGATCCAGTGAGGTTTTTTAAAACAGCTTTATTGAGGTGTAATTGACACACAGTAAACCACCTATATTTAAAATGTGCAATGTGATAGGTTTTGGCATATGTAGACATCCATGAACCATCATTACACTCAAGATAATAATAAACTTACCTGTCATCCTCAGAAAGTAACTCTTGTAGGACAAGTAAGTTTTTGAAATTCCTCAAATTGGGCAAGTTTGTAAGCAATGTGACTTTGTGGATAAGGGTGGCTCCCATAACCATAGTGGGGCTCAATGACATTTTTGTGTACTAAATGCCGCACTAAAACCAAGTGATTTTTGAAACTTGTTCATAATGCTGAAAATAATTCTGGGAAAAAAAGACAGGCTGCAGACCTATTTGCAAACAAAAATCATGTGAGGATGTTAATCTCCAGAAAATCTGATAGCATATTCTACACAAGTCCTGATCAGGAAGATATGTTCGCAATTAAAATGGTGAAAATATACATTGGAAAATTCCAGCAGAAGTGACTTCTCCATCCAGGCCCATGAACCACACCAGCAGAGATCACAGCTCACATCCAATGGGGCCAGAAGGGCAAAGCCAAGGAGACTTGTCATTTCGGACAATTGCAAAGAGACAAAATGTGGCATTGGGATTGGGAAAGTTAAATTAAAGATTGGAGAAGGACCTCTTGCTAGGTCTTTCTTTATTTTGGTGTCCTTAATGCCTATATTTCCTAGTACACAGGCCTGGAAGTAAAATGTTGAATAATCAGTGGGGATATCTATTTGAAGTGAAATGCTCTCAGGTTTCTCATATGAATGGGAGTTCTTAATGCAGCTACCCATAGAAACTCCACCACTCTAGAGGTGAGCAGACAAGAGGCTGCATAGGAGGAAGGCTCTCACGAGGATCTCCTGGCATTCTGAGGACTCCATGCATGGATTGCCCACTGCATACTAGACAGTGTGTGAGATTATGCTTTGTTGGCAGAAATAGCTGAGCACATAGGCAGGAGATAGAGGCTACGAAGGAGAAGAATGCATAGCACAACAGCACCTAGGCAGAGTACCTGACCCTGGCCTGAGGAGTCAAGGAGGCTCTGCAGAGGCCATGACCTCCAAGCCCCTGCACAGCTTCATGAGGCAGTGCTATTTCCGGCTTGGTTGTTATGTATTTCGTACAACACCAAGCTCAATCCACTTAGCTTCCTCATCCATAATAACGGCCCACTTCAGGAACTAATAACTAATCTTGGAAAAATCAATCTTATCCTGGAGTGAAATACAACCTTAAATATATGCCTGTGGAATAACAACATGGGACATGAGCGTGCAAGCCACCGCTGAGCCTAAAGATTAACGGAGAGCTAAGGCTGTCTGGGTAAAATATTTCTGCGTTGAGTTCTTGTTTTTATCAAAGCACGGATAAAGTCTATCTTAACACACACTCAGCTTTCAGAGAGTGCTTTGTGGAGAAGAGACAGAGAGAAAGGGGTAAAAAGAGAAGACAAAAAGATGGAGATATTAGGATGGAAATCAGAGAGAGAGAATACAGAATTAAAATGGTGAGTAGAATACAGAGGAGAAGGAGAGCTTGAGAGAGGAAAGGGCAGATTGGAGGATGAAGATGAGAGGGAGAGACCAGAAAAGGCTGAAAACTGGAGAATGAAAAAGCTGATGGAGAAGTAAAGAAACAATGAACATAAGAGGGAGGGATCTATATTCATGAATACACTTTAGGGGGGAAAACAAGAAAAACAGCAAAAGAATTGGAGGTGTGAGTGAGCAAATGATGGAGAAATCAGTACCCAAGAGAGCCATCTACTGCCTCCAGAGAGAAGCGTAAAGCACTGGGGAAAAGGGAGGACTCGCGGAGGCAGGATCACATCGGGGCAACACAGAGCCAGTGCCCACTCTCCCATTTAAAACTCTGGGCAAATTAAAGACAGCCACTTGTGTCACAAGAGCCTCAGTGGACCATGCTCCTGAAGACATCTCTCTCTGTCCTTCACCAATTCCCAGCATGTCCTCTGGTACTTAAGACCAGATGGCCAAAAAAGAACAGGGACTTTGAGAAGGCTTCAGGGGCTGGCCCTCTGACACTGCAGTGAAATCTCTGCCCAGCAGCTTTTGTTCCGTAAGCCCCTACCAATCTCTGAAACAAGTGCCTAATGAAGACCTTTCAAGTGTCCCCATGGTAGGAGGACTAACTGGCTTTGTCATCAACTATCCTCCAGGTACTTAAATCTTGAGATAGCAAATGTTCCCTTTTAAGAATCTATTTAGCTTTTTTTCATTTATTATTTCCTTGGCCTATTTTCTTTTCAGTAGAAATCATGAAAGGTATTCCCTGAATGATGAGGTTTATTCAAGAATGCTTGTGCGGATGTGGACATCCTGCTCCCCATAGTGGAGAACTGGTATCCCTAAGTCACCAGTTCAGACACGAGACTAATAGCAAGAGGAGAGCCATATGGCAGTGTTTGAATGGAAGCTAATATGACCACTGCAATTAAATCGAGAACACTAACAGAATTAACCAAATTCACCAGCTATAATGATGTCATTGTTGATCACATCCAAGGGACTCAAGAGAAAGCTCAAGGTCCTTGATCCTCTTCGTTCTGTCTCCAGGGAGGATGGTAAACATCAAAGATAATATTAAGTTCTCAAGGTCACATTAGGTAGGTCAACATTTCAGAAGATGGAACTCTCAGTGGACAGAGAAAAAGGGGGATCATTTCTGTTATTTGCCCAGTTCATTCCTTTGGTTTAATCTCTTCCTAAGGTGATTAAGACAATACCTGAGGCTGTCCTCTCTCTAGGGTTGTCTACCCTTTGAAAGACCAGATGAGATCCAAGGGATCTCAGAGGAAAGGGGCAGCCCAGTTGATTAAGAATCAGAGCAGTGGCTGGCGTAGTTAGGGAGAAATAAGATGGCTTAGCGGGCTAATGGCCACCATAGGCCCTCACCCGGGTGCTGCTGCTTTTTATGGTACCTCAGTGGTCTCTTGGGAGACATTTTCTTCTGGTGGGATGAAAATAACTCATGGGGTTATGGAAAAACAAACTCCACCTGTTGGGTTGACTTCCTTTGTCTTGGTCCTGTTTGCTAAGCAGAGTCCATGAGAGGTCAGGACCAAGCAGATCAGGTTAGAGAACTCCAAGTTCCCTTCATGCTAAGAAGCTATGATTGGGCAGGAGGAGACTTAACCTCTTCCTTAGATCCCAAGGAACCCGTAAGTATCAAGTAAACGAAGAACAAAGAGTTGGGTTTTTTGGTTGTTGTTTGTTTGATTGATTGATTGTTCGTTTGTTTTTGAGAGACTGAGTCTCTCTGTTGCCCAGGCTGGAGCACAAGGGTGCAGTCATAGCTCACTGCAGCCTCAAACTCTTGAGCTCAAGTGATCCTCCCATCTCAGCCTCCTGAGTAGCTGGGACTACTTAGGTATGAGCCACCAAGCCCAGCTGAGCAAAGAGTATTAACTAGGAAAAAACAAGACACAAATTGAAGCCTAAATGCTATTATAATCTTCATGACAAAAGTTTATTTTTTAATTAATAGTCTATCGAGTGCCTCCTAGATATTTCCTCAAATTAATAGTCTATTGAGTGTCTGTTAGATACTTTATGGACATTATATCATTTAGTATTTACTAGAATTCCACAAGACAGGTATTGTTATGCTCCATTTACAGGTGAGAAAACTAAGGCTGGAGGAATTTGAATAGCCTGTCTCAGTTCTTACAGTTCGCAACAGGTTGAGCCGGGTCTGTCTGACTTCCAGCCTACGACTGCCACACTGCCTGTCTTGAAGAGATCCACATAGCCTGACTGAGCCTGTCACCTAGGTCCCAGGGCGTCTCCCCCACCGCCCCGTACAGCTGCACACACTTCTGACACTCACTGGGGGAGTTTTTCTCAGTCTGGTGTGCACCGCCTGGCAAAATGAGACAGGATTGGGAGTAACTGTGACATGACATGGTCTGGAATGAGGAGCAGATGGGGCTTGAGTGCTCCGCAACCCTTTGGGTTCCGATTCCCGGAGAAGGTGACATGGCCATCTGAATGATTTCCAGTGTGCGTTGGCAGAGAAGGCAGGGAGGCAGGGTGACAGCCATGGCTGATGTGGTTGGCAACAGCTGAAGCTGAAAATCACCCCTGCCTACAGTTTTAAGTTACATTCTCAACATGATGGGCCCTGATGCCTGGAATCAAGAGGAGTTACAAGGAAAGGGCAGAAAGACATGGTCACAGAGGCCGTCTCTAAGGAAAAAGAGTCCTAACCACGACCAACACAGGACCAACAGCATTCCAGACCTTTCAGTAGTGGTTGGACTGGAGGCAAACAAAGAGAGAGATTGAAGAACTGGGAGGTCTTCAGAAGGCCTGGCTCCTGGTCCAAATTCTACCCCTAACTAAATGTGTGACCCTAGGAAAATCACTGACTCTCTCAGAGCCTTGAGCAAGGGAGTTTAGTCCCTTGTAATCCTGAAATATTCTGATTCTAATCTGAGCTGTTAAATACTCTATCTCAAGATATTCTCTCCTTAGAAATAAAAAGCAAAGATACTCCTTGTAAGAAACAGAATACAGAGAGTACAACTCAAAGACAGGCACAGATTGATGTCTAGCTTGCCATCCCAAGGGCATTGATTTGGTTTGAGTTTGTGTCGCCATTCACATCTCATGTCGAATTGTAATCCCCAGTGTTGGAGGAGGGCCCTAGTGGGAGGTGACTGGATCATGGGGGCAGATCTCCCCCTTGCTGTTCTCGTGATAGTGAATGAGTTCTCATGAGATCTGGTTGTTTAAAAGTGTGTAGCACTTCCCCCTGCTCTCTCTTCCTCTTTCTCCAGCCATGTAAGATGTGGCTGCTTCCCCTTCACCTTCTGCCATGGTTGTAAGTTTCCTGAGGCCTCCCCAGCCATGCTTCTTGTGCAGCCTGCAGAACTGTGAGTCAATTAAACCTCTTTTCTTTATAAATGACCCAGTCTCTGGTAGTTCTTTATAGCAATGTGAGATCAGACTCATACAAGCATAAAGAAATGGGTAATGGGTCACTTTTCTCCTTCTCCTGCACATCAGTCAGGATTCCTTTAGCTGCAAGTTAAACAACACCCTGATTCGACTGGCTTAAACAATATGGAAAAGCACTTCATAAGAAGTCCAGAGTTGGTCAGTTCATTCCCGGTTCTTTCTGACTTTCCCCTCTGCCATCCTCCAGGTACAGCTTTGTCCTCAGATGTAGGTTCTCTATATGATTACAAAGATGGCTACTAGATTTCCAGGTGTTATTGCCAGACAATACAATGTCTAGTTGAAGAAGAAAGTCAGTCTCTTCCCAAGCATCTCTTTGTTAAAAGCAAAGAAGCCTCTCCCAGTAGCCCTTTCATATCTCATTATCCAAAACTAGTTTACATGCTAATCACCACCAAATCCCAGGTATGATGAGTGATACCACTGTGACTGACTTTGACTATTCAGGATTACCTGAGAGGCTAAGGAGAGGTAGAAATTTGATCAAAGCCAGGCTCCATCAGCAGAAAAGAGCTGAGGGTAGCTGTGGAATTGATTATTGTGGCAAAGACTGAGATTTGCTTCCCAATACCCACTCTCTCTTCTTCCTTAATAACATAAACCCTAGTGTTTAGCTGTAAAGTTTGCCACCCAGAATAAAGATTCCATTTCTCTGCTTTACATTTCACCACTATGTTGTGGCCATGTGACTAAAACTGACCAATGAGATATAAGCAGAGGAGCTGTGTGGAACTTCTGAAATGCTGCTTCAAGGGAGATAACCCAGCTTGGAGTCCCTGCCTACTGTATTCTTCTGCTTTCCTCCTGCAACCTAAATGTGATAGCTGCATCTCCATCAGCCATCTTGGACCATGAATCAGTCTTAAGAATGGAAATCACATCCAAGAACAGTGAAGCAGAAAGACGGAAGGAGACAGAGGCCCTAGTGGCTCCAGTGCCACCTCACCTGTCCTAGACTGCCGATCTCCACACTTTCATGTGAGAGAATAAGCTCATGTGTGCTTAAGCCTTTATTTATTTGGCCTGTTCCTTACCACTTGTGCAATTCCAAACTGATACAGCTACACCCCAGGAGCTAAATTCCTTAGGTTAGTTAACTTTACTCTCTCATTTGGGGAATGCATGAAAGACAGGATCAGGCAATGAGAAGTTTTAGAATCAAACTGATCTGAGTGTGAAACCTGACTTTGCCCCCTCCAAGTTGTGTGACCATTGGCAAGTGACTTAACTTCCTTGAGCTTTGTTTCAGCATCTGAAAAATGGAGCTGTCTATTCCTACCCCAAAGCGTTAGATGAGGGTTAAGAAGACCTTTGCAATGCACCTTGTGTTGCAATTGCATATAACATACGCACGATAAGTGGTTCTAAATATTTTAGAAAACTGTCTTAGAATTGTAAAGACAGAAATCGCATAGCCCAAAATATGCCCTCTTCTTTTTTGTCAAAGAAGAAACTGAGGCCCAGAGAGGTGAAATCAATTTCCCAAGGGATCTCTGAGGTGCCCTGTTGGAAGACACATTTGTCATGATTGCTCACCACAAAGGGTACTTTCATGATTCTGTGCCCTGCATCACATCTACATTGCTCACTGTCCTAGTGCTCCTGGACTTCTCTTCTTGACGCCCCATTCAGTCCCTGATGAGAGACAGATGCTCAGCCCTGAGCACCATGCACCGAGATGGTGTTCTTTTTCTGTACTGATATCATCAGTCACATCATGTGGTACTACTTTAATTGCTGTCCTATTTTTGGAAAAATAGATGGCTAAACATAAGCAATTTTTTTCTTAGCATTTTTTTGGGTACTGAAGCAAAGTACTCAGTAAATAAGAACTGATTTGCATGACATTTTGCATGAATAGCGATGTTGAATGAACAAGGTAACAGACTTTGAACTTTTGCAGACATTCTATTCAATTTTAAAATAATTTTTTGTTAATTCCCAGTAGATTTCCACTGACAGTGAAATCAACCACAATTTGGGAGGCCTCTGGTGGCTACAGTGGTAAAAGATAAAAGCAATTATAAGTCTGTGTGTGTTTGCTCAGCTAAATGAAATGCGCTTTTATTCATGCATGTGGGGCTATGCAGATTTTCCAAGAAACGGGGACCCTCGTTACGCTGTGAACCCCAGCAAGTGTCAGAGTTTGGGGCCTTATCAAGGTCTTGCTGGGAGCCACAGAGAACTCATGGTGCGCTTTTCTGGGTTGGAAGTGGTCAAAACAACACCCACAGAAATCCAAGGGCGAGAAAATCTCTGCAAAGGCCAAATAACTACAAGTCTTATATTCTAGAGGTAGTAATTGTCAGGCCTCTGAGCCCAAGCTAAGCCATCATATCCCCTGTGACCTGCATGTACACACCCAGATGGCTGGTTCCTGCCTTAACTGATGACATTCCACCACAAAAGAAGTGAAAACGGCCTGTTCCTGCCTTAACTGATGACATTGTCTTGTGAAATTCCTTCTCCTGGCTCATCCTGGCTCAAAAGCTCCCCTACTGAGCACCTTGTGACCCCCAATCCTGCCCACCAGAGAACAACCCCCCTTTTTCCTTTACCTACCCAAATTCTATAAAATGGCCCCACCCCTATCTCCCTTTGCTGACTCTCTTTTTGGACTCAGCCCACCTGCACCCAGGTGATTAAAAGCTTTATTGCTCACACAAAGCCTGTTTGGTGGTCTCTTTACACAGACGCGCATGAAATTTGGTGCCGTGACTCAGATCGGGGGACCTCCCTTGGGAGATCAATCCCCTGTCCTCCTGCTCTTTGCTCTGTGAGAAAGATCCACCTACGACCTCAGGTCCTCAGACCGACCAGCCCAAGAAACATCTCACCAATTTCAAATCTGGTAAGCGGCCTCTTTTTACTCTCTTCTCCAACCTCCCTCACTATCCCTCAACCTCTTTCTCCTTTCAATCTTGGCGCCACACTTCAATCTCTCCCTTCTCTTAATTTCAATTCCTTTCATTTTCTGGTAGAGACAAAGGAGACATGTTTTATCCGTGGACCCAAAACTCCGGCGCGGGTCACGGACTGGGAAGGCAGCCTTCCCTTGGTGTTTAGTCATTCCAGGGATGCCTCTCTGATTATTCACCCATGTTTCAGAGGTGTCAGACCACGCAGGGACGCCTGCCTTCGTCCTTCACCCTTAGCGGCAAGTCCCACTTTTCTAGGGGGCAAGAACCCCCAATCCCTTATTTCCACACCCCAACCTTTTATCTCTGCACCCTGATCCCTTATTTCCATGGCCTGACCTCTTATCTCTGCACCCCAACCCCTTATTTCCATGCCCCAACCCGTTTCCTGCTTTTCTGGAGGGTAAGAACTCCCGAACCCCTTCCCTCCATGTCTCTACCCTTCTCTTTAAACCTGCCTCCTTCACTATAGGCAACCTTCCACCTTCCATTCCTCCTTCTTCTCCCTTAGCCTGTGTTCTTAAGAACTTAAAACCTCTTCAACTCTCACCTGACCTAAAATCTAAGCTTCTTACTTTCTTCTGAAATGCTGTTTGACCCAATACAAACTCGACAGTAGTTCCAAATAGCCAGAAAACGGCACTTTCAATTTTTCCATCCTACAAGATCTAAATAATTCTTGTCGTGAAATGGGCAAATGGTCTGAGGTGCCTGACGTCCAGGCATTCTTTTACACATCAGGCCCTCCCTAGTCTCTGTTCCCAATGCAACTCATCCCAAATCTTCCTTCTTTCCCTCCCACCTGTCCCCTCAGTCCCAACCCCAAGTGTTGCTGAGTCTTTCTAATCTTCCTTTTCTACAGACCTATCTGACCTCTCCCCTCCTTGCCAGGCCAAGCTAAGTCCCATTTCTTCCTCAGCCTCCGCTCCACCACCCTATAATCCTTTTATCACCTCCCCTCCTCACACGCAGTCCGGCTTACAGTTTCATTCTGTGACTAGCCCTCCCCCACCTGCCCAGCAATTTCCTCTTAAAAACGTGGCTGGAGCTAAAGGCATAGTCAAGGTTAATGTTCCTTTTTCTTTATCCCAAATCAGATAGCGTTTAGGCTCTTTTTCATCAAATATAAAAACCCAGCCCAGTTCATGGCTCGTTTGGCAGCAACCCTGAGACGCTTTACAGCCCTAGACCCTAAGAGGTCAAAAGGCCGTCTTACACTCAATATACATTTTATTACCCAATCTGCTCCCGACATTAAATAAAACTCCAAAAATTAAATTCCGGCCCTCAAACTCCACAACAGGACTTAATTAACCTCACCTTCAAGGTGTACAATAATAGAAAAAAGTTGCAATTCCTTGCCTCCACTGTGAGACAAACCCCAGTCATATCTCCAGCACACAAGAACTTCCAAACACCTAAACTGCAGTGGCCAGGCATTCCTCCAGAACCTCCTCCCCCAGGAGCTTGCTACAAGTGCCAAAAATCTGGCCACCAAGCCAAGGAATGCCCGCAGCCTGGGATTCCTCCTAAATGTCCTATCTGTGCTGGACCCTACTGGAAATCGGACTATTCAACTCACCTGGCAGCCACTCCCAGAGCCCCTGGAACTCTGGCCCAAGGCTCTCTGGCTGACTACTTCCCAGATCTTCTTGGCTTAGCAGCTGAAGACTGACACTGCCCGATTGCCTCGGAAGCCCCCTAGACCATCACGGATGCCCAGCTTCGGTTAACTCTCACAGTGGAGGGTAAGTCCGTCCCCTTCTTAATCAATACAGAGGCTACCCACTCCGCATTACCTTCTTTTCAAGGGCCTGTTTCCCTTGCTTCCATAACTGTTGTGCGTATTGACAGCCAGGCTTCTAAACCTCTTAAAACTCCCCAACTCTGGTGCCAACTTAGACAATACTCCTTTAAGCACTCCTTTTTAGTTATCCCCACCTGCCCAGTTCCCTTATTAGGCCGAGACACTTTAGCTAAATTATCTGCTTCCCTGACTATTCCTGGACTACAGCTACATCTCATTGCCGCCCTTCTTCCCAATCCAAAGCCTCCTTTGCGTCCTCCTCTTGTATCCCCCCACCTTAACCCACAAGTATAAGATACCTCTACTCCCTCCCTGGTGACCGATCATGCACCCCTTACCATCTCATTAAAACCTAATCACCCTTACCCCACTCAATGCCAATATCCCATCCCACACCATGCTTTGAAAGGATTAAAGCCTGTTATCACTTGCCTGCTACACCATGGCCTTTTAAAGCCTATAAACTCAACTCTCCTTACAAATCCCCCATTTTACCTGTCCTAAAACCAGATAAGCCTTACAAGTTAGTTCAGGATCTATGCCTTATCAACCAAATTGTTTTGCCTATCCACCCTGCAGTGCCCAACCCGAACACTCTTTTGTCCTCAATAGCTTCCTCCACAACTCACTATTCTGTTCTTGATCTTAAAGATGCTTTTTTCACTATTCCCCTGTACCCCTAGTCCCAGCCTCTCTTTGCTTTCACCTGGACTGACCCTGACACCCATCAGTGCCAGCAGCTTGCCTGGGCTGTGCGGCCATAAGGCTTCAGGGACGGCCCTCATTACTTCAGCCAAGCTCTTTCTCATGATTTACTTTCTTTCCACCCCTCCGCTTCTCACCTTATTCAATATATTGATGACCTTCTTCTTTGTAGCCCCTCCTTTGAATCTTCTCAACGAGACACACTTCTGCTCCTTCAGCATCTATTCTCCAAAGGATATCGGGTATCTCCCTCCAAAGCTCAAATTTCTTCTCCATCCATTACCTACCTCGGCATAATTCTGCATAAAAACACACATGCCCTCCCTGCTGATCGTGTCCCACTAATCTCTCAAACCCCAACCCCTTCTACAAAACAACAACTCCTTTCCTTCCTGGGCATGGTTGGATACTTTCGCCTTTGGATACCTGGTTTTGCCATCCTAAAAAAACCATTATGTAAACTCACAAAAGGAAACCTAGCTGACCCCATAGATCCTAAATCCTTTCCTCACTCCTCTTTCCGTTCCTTGAAGACAGCTTTAGAGACTGCCCCCATCCTAGCTCTCCCTGACTCATCCCAACCCTCTTCATTACACACAGCCGAAGTGCAGGGCTGTGCAGTTGGAATTCTTACACAAGGACCAGGATCGCATCCTGTAGCCTTTTTGTCCAAACAACTTGAACTTACTGTTTTAGGCTGGCCATCATGTCTCCGTGCAGTGGCTGCTACCGCCCTAATACTTTTAGAGGCCCTTAAAATCACAAACTATCCTCAACTCACTCTCTACGGCTCTCATAATTTCCAAAATCTATTTTCTTCCTCACACCTGACACATATACTTTCTGCTCTCCGGCTCCTTCAGCTGTACTCACTCTTTGTTAAGTCCCATAATTACCATTGTTCCTGGCCTGGACTTCAATCCAGCCTCCCACATTATTCCTGATACCACACCTGACCCTCATGACTGCATCTCTCTGATCCAAATGACGTTCACCCCATTTCCCCACATTTCCTTCTTCCCTGTTCCTCACCCTTATCACGCTTAGTTTATTGATGGCAGTTCCACCAGGCCTAATCGCCACGCACCAGCAAAGGCAGGCTATGCTATAGTACAAGCCACTAGCCCGCCTCTTAGAACCTCTCATTTCCTTTCCATCGTGGAAATCTATCCTAAAAGAAATAACTTATCAGTGTTTCATCTGCTATTCTACTACTTCTCAGGGATTATTCAGGACCCCTCCCTTCCCTACACATTAAGCTCAGGGATTTGCCCCCACCCAGGACTGGCAAATTAGCTTTACTTAACATGCCCCAAGTCAGGAAACTAAAATACCTCTTGGTCTAGGTAGACACTTTCACTGGATAGGTAGAGGCCTTTCCCACAGGGTCTAAGAAGGCCAACATGGCCATTTCTTCCCTTCTGTCAGACATAATTCCTCGGTTTGGCCTTCCCACCTCTATACAGTCCGATAGCAGACCAGCCTTTATTAGTCAAATCAGCCAAGCATTTTTTCAGGCTCTTAGTATTCAGTGAAACCTTTATATCGCTTACAGTCCTCAGTCTTCAGGAAAGGTAGAACAGACTAATGGTCTTTTAAAAACACACCTCACCAAGCTCAGCCACCAACTTAAAAAGGACTGGACAATACTTTTACCACTTTCCCTTCTCAGAATTCAGACCTGTCCTCAGAATGCTACAAGGTACAGCCCATTTGGGCTCCTGTATAGACGCTCCTTTTTATTAGGCCCTGCTCTCATTCCAGACAGCAGACCAACTTGGACTGTGCCCCAAAAAACTTGTCATCCCTACTATCTTCTGTCTAGTCATACTCCTATTCACCGTTCTCAACTACTCATACATGCCCTGCTCTTGTTTACACTGCCGGTTTGCACTGTTTCTCTAAGCCATCACAGCTGATATCTCCTGGTGCTATCCCCAAACTGCCACTCTTAACTTTTAAAGTAAATAAATAATCTTTGCTGGCAAGGCTATGCTGAACCTCCTTAGGCACTCTCTAATTAAATGTCCTAGGTCCTCCAAATTCTTAGACCTTTAATACCTGTTTTTCTCCTTATCTTACTCCGTTTTTCAATTCATACAAAACCGTATCCAGGCCATCACCAATAATTCTAAATGACAAATGTTTCTTCTAACAACCCCACAATATCACCCCTTACCACAAAATCTTCCTTCAGCTTAATCTCTCCCACTCTAAGTTCCCACACCGCCCCTAATCCCACTCGAAGCAGCCCTGAGAAACATCGCCCATTATCTCTCCATACCACCCCCAAAAACTTTTCACTGTCCCAACACTTTACCACTATTTCATTTTATTTTTCTTATTAATATAAGAAGACAGGAATGTCAGGCCTCTGAGCCCAAGCTAAGCCATCATATCCCCGTGACCTGCACGTACACATCCAGATGGCCAGTTCCTGCCTTAACTGATGACATTCCACCACAAAAGAAGTGAAAATGGCCTGTTCTTACCTTAACTGATGACATTGTCTTGTGAAATTCCTTCTCCTGGCTCATCCTGCCTCAAAAGTTCCCCTACTGAGCACCTTGTGACCCCCACTCCTGCCCACCAAAGAACAACCCCCCTCCTTCCTTTACCTACCCAAATCCTATAAAACCCCATCTCCCTTCGCTGACTCTCTTTTTGGACTCAGCCCGCCTGCACCCAGGTGATTAAAAGCTTTATTGCTCACACAAAGCTTGTTTGGTGGTCTCTTCACACGGACGCGCATGAAAGTAATGTATTCCAGTTCTGGCTTATATACTAAATAGATAGCAAGTTGCACACTAAAATAACTAAATAAAAGAATTTTGGTGTCTTTCCCCCCAGCACGATCAGAATGCTCAGCCTCCCAAGAAACTTGCCAGGTGTGACTGTTTATTCACATAACTCACCCCAGGGCATAATTGTAGAGCAGAGCAATGATGAATGACTAGGAGAGAACAAATAGAATATAATAATAATTCTACCCTGGATTTAAATAATGCTTTTTCCTTCCCAGAGCGCTAAGTGCTTTCACATAGATTAGAAGGTAAGGGTGGATATTATTATCCCCGTTTGTAGATAAGGACATAGAGTCAGAGAGGTAAGCTGTTTGTCCAAAGACTTACAATAAAAGCCTATTAGAGGTGAATGATCACCTTTGACACTATGTATGCAACCCTCTCATTTTTCAGATGAAGAAGCTCAAGTCGGGATGGTGATGTGGCTTTCCCAAGACCGCATCATTAGCGGCCAAATAATAACATACCTAGCCCTTCCTGGAGTGGAAGACAAACCCCAAAGGCCCTGACAACTTGGGATATAAGCCGTTCCCATCTGCGAGTCCTGCTTTTCCAGGAACACAGCACCACTACTGAGACTTCCCACCCTGCGATTCAAAAGTCTTGCCTCCTCAGGACCAGCAAAGTCATGGCCAGAGATAACATCTGCTTATAGAATCCCAGGGAGTTTTATTGACTTCACAAGAAAGATAAGCAGCACAATGGCTCACACACTCACAGGAGAGTAAACTTTCTCACAATTCATAGAAATCCCCTCTCTATATTATAACAGTGCTCAAATTTCCTGCCCAACTCCCCCTCCTCATCTTCATCATAGTTGCCCACATCCCATAATAGTAAGAGGGGGTTTTACCAAGAGTATGGAAATAGCATTTGTGGGTGCTTGCCCTCAAGAATTCTCTCCCCTGAGGGTGTCACCCTCTTTCCTCGGCTTTGATATACGGTGATATGCAGCCCCAGGCAACCGGCCCCAGCAGGCTCTGGGACTCCCCATTTGGTTTGGCTCCAAGGGCATGTCTGGTGAGGTACCACGCAGCAGTGGTCAGGGCACTGCTCCTGGGCTCTTGGGCTGTAAGGCCAGAGCAACAGCTTTCAGAGGTGAGAAAGTCATAGGCCAAGGAAGAACAGGCGATGTGCTACAAGAGGAAGGAGGGAGGCTGTGGCGCCTTCTCTCTGGGCAGCTGCTGTCTGAACAGCAGACAGGGGTTTAAACATAGGCTATAGCCACACAGAGCCCATCCCTCCCCCTGCCTCTCATTCTCCTGGCCAGGCAGTCTTGGCTTCACTCTCTTTCTTAATCTCCCCCAGCTGCAGACTGCCTCTTCCTGCCCTGGAGCAACTGCCTCCATCTCTGGCAAGCCCCTACCATCAAGAAAGGTGGGAAACACTTGCCCTCCCTGTCCCCAGCCCCTTGCCCAGTCACCCTCACTTACAACCCCTTTATTTAGCCAAAACCCATTTCCCCTGCTTATAAGAAAAGGGAGGGGTGTTTCTGAGATTACACACCAGGCCCTTCCTCTCAGATATAAATGTTCTTCCCAAGATCCCAAATCTTTACATCAAGAATAGATCCAGCTTAGCAGAAATGGGGACGATAAAGGATTTCAGTTCTAAATCACAGTATGTTCTAAGACACAAGGGCATGCATGACATCACCAATAATTCAGATATTAGATAAATATTTGCCAGACAAGAGCCACTGTCCTGAGGAACAAAGGGGAAGAGGAATGATATGAGGCATGGAGTTTGTCACTGAATTTATTTCCCTCTTTCACTGGTGCTCAGTTCAGCCCACCCCAGTTGTATACCTATGTTCCCCCTTAAGCCCCCTCAATAGGCTGTTTTTCACACCTCCGAAGATATTCGGCTTTATGGGGTGCCCTTGAGGCTTTGAGGTTCAGTGACAGCTGCAACTGTTGTGCCCAGATCTCCCCCTCATATCCTGGTCCTCAGCTCTGGGTTTCTTAGGAAATTCACTTCCAGGCAGGGAGTTCCCCAGACCTCTGCTTTTCCTTCCTCTCCCTCCTGCGTCCACACTGAGGCTATTTCACTGCTTATCAGCACTTCAGATGGGGGATATGAAGGAGTCAGTGTGAAAATCTGATTAGTCATTTTGGCTATTTTTTCTGGAAGCTGTAGTAAAAGATGGGTTGCAAAAGAAAGAAAAGCTATTAGCTATTGAAATCTGTGTGTTTCAATTAACCTTATCCCTCACAGATAATTGAGAATTGACAATAATGTTAGTTTCTTTGCAACCTTCTTTAAAAAATTTTTTTTTCATTTCTGATACCATCTTCACGTGGCGTTGACCAAGGCCCATAAACAATTTGTGCCTTCTTGGTCAGCACCAAGAGCTCAAAGCTTGGCAAGTGAGCCCACGACGGAAGAACTCAAAGGCCTCAGGGGCCCCGGGGCAGTGAAGGTCACCTTCTCCTCCCTCCACTGTGTTCTCTTTGTGCCCAAGTGTGCCAACATGGGTGCCAGGTTATTCCAGCCTGCCAGTTCCCACTCCTCCTGCCCAGGTTCATGCTGCGCCCCCTCCACCAGCTCAGACTGGCCTCTCTTGCCTCTGAGCACACCTTACCCTCCACAGCTCTTAACTGCTTTCTTCCTTCTGGGTCCCTGCCTGATACCTGATGCGTTTCCAAAACCCAGATCCCCAAGGTTTATCTCAAGTCCAGGAGCACCTCAAAGACCTCATGGCAAAGCCAGGTAGAATTGCTCAGCACCCTCCACCACAACCTCACCCAGTCCTCTGGGTGAATAATATGGGCACGCCTGGTTGCTCCCAGAGCCTAAATAGGCACGGAAGGCAAGGAGGGCGGCAGCCATGTGTCCTGGGACCAGGCCCACTTGGCTTCCAACAACTGCTTAGCTCTGTCCACAAGTTAAGTCAGCCTCAGTTTCCTCTTCAGTAAAATTTTGAGACTGAAAATAGAATCTACTTCCTAGATTTATTTTGAAACCTAAATGAGTTGATGAAGGTAAAGTACTTGGCACAGGGCCAGGCAGGAAATCAGTTCTGGGTGTGCAATGATGACCACCACCGTTAGCAACGTCCCCACAGTCCCAGGCAGCCTGGGCCAGCTCTAGGAGGGCCTCTGGTGCTACACTCCGCTGGAAGAGCCCCAAGGCTGAGAGGCTTCTACCTAGGTGCTTTTTTGGGATTTTTAGTAAAACATCGCTTACAGTTTTTATACAGATTCCCCTCTCTCCCCTGCAAGATGCAGAGCTGTGTTCCAGGGGGTCATGAGCCACTTCCTGGCTATTCGCACAATGAGCACTCAGTGATCCAGGCCCCAGCTGCTCCTGGTCTAGCTCGGTAGCAGCTCCATCTTCCCATGGGATGAATTCCTCCCTGGAGGATCCTCCATTCTTATGCAAATAGCTACTGGGAGCTCTGGCTCCTCGAGTTTTTTGACGTTCCCAAACAAGTCTGAATGCACTTAAGACAGAAAGCGGGTGTCTCCTCCCACCTTAATTACAATTAGAATGAAATTATGTTCACTTCAAAATTAACATTTCACACTTTTGCAACCATCAGAACTCCGACCACTGCCACCGTTCGGGTCCTCCCTCCCCTTCTCCTCCCTGCCGCCTCCTCTCCCTTTGTCCCGTGACTCAGCTCCCTGCTTCCCTGCCCTGACTTCCCCTACCCTTCCAGGTTTTGCAGGCAGCGCCATCTGCTGGACGCAGGCTCAGCTGCACCTTCCTCCTCCCGGCGAGGCAAGGGGGTGCCAGGAGCTGGCCTAGGATAGATGGCTCCTCCCCCACTGGTAACACTGCACTTGCTGGGTAATTCTGCCGCAGTTCTGCAGTGGTTTATATTTTATATTCAAAAAAAAAAAAAACAACAAGGCGAACATTGTAAGAGAAGAGTGAAGGGCCGAAGATAAACAAGACCTATAAATTAGGGAAAATAAATTCAATCTTAGACAGTTTTTTGCCTTAGAAATGTGAAGTGTTAGCAGTGATGACTGCACGTTTACACTTCTTTTTTCATCTTTTTTTTCTTTTAAGTAACCTTTCGTGAGAAAGTGTCAGCTTTATAATTTTATATAATAGTAAACCTTTTGCCTTGGTATAAAAATAATTAGAGGCCCTTCCTAAGTAAAAGACACAAAAAGACAAAAACCCTGCTAGTGATGTCTAGAAGTAGACTTGGGTTCCTCTCCCAGTGAGAAGGTCTTGTTATTATAGAAAAGACATGTTATAGACAATGGATTCCTTTTTCACTGGCTCCCAGGAAAAAAAAAAAAAATCAAGACTGGTATCCCAGCTACCCTGTTAACTTAAAATCCCTACTGAAGAGTAAATCACCTAAGGGAAGTGCTTTTTTTCTGAAAAGACATTTCTAGTGAAATTTTTCTCTTAGTGGTGTTGAATTTATTATTTGTAGAATGCTGTCCTTTGTATCTAACTAATTATAGTACAAGTGATTTTAAGTCATCAAAATAAAATGCAAGCTAACAGTTACTGAACGCTTACTAAAATACATGATTTTAAAATCTGTATATGTCTTAGTTTATTTAATCCTTACAGCTCAAGATGGTGGAACTACTGTTATCCCCATTTTAAAGTTAGGGAAACTGAGATACAGACAGAATTAATAGTCCGGTCCAAGCTTGCACAGAATATGTGAAGCTGTCTAAATGGCCCCAGGAGGTGAGTTTACCCATTACTATACTCTGACTTATAATAGATTAACATCTCCAAGGTGACATATCTGTGAAAATAAACGAACCATTCTAACTCCACAGCTCTGTTAAATTAAGTTTGGCCTAAAGCTGTCTCTGTACATATTTTAAGTTTGGCCTAAATTTGCCTTTGACTTGTGTGGCAGCCCCTTGCTAATTGCCTGAACTTGGGCATGATTCTTACATTCTGAAAGCTTGTTTTCTTTTAAAATCAATCATGTGAAAGCAACAATAATAATTACAAAAGGAGCCATTCTTTGTACATAATGAACTGTAACCTAACTTGATGTGCATACGTAAACACACTGTAACCTACTCTTGTAAGAGGTAACTAAGTCTCAGCCAACCACAGGCAGCCAACTGTTCAAAGCAGGTTCAAATAAGGCAAATGCCCAGCTGTAGCCAATCCAGCTGTTTCTGTCCTCACTTCCGTTGTATGGCACTTTCCTTTTTCTGTGAATACCGGGAGTCGCTCTGAACCTATTCTGGTTCTGAGAGCTGCCCAATTCACGAATCTTTCTTTGCCCAATTAAACTCTGTTAAATTTGTCTAAAGTGTTTCTTTCCACAGCTCCTTCTGGTCCTCGACTTTTCTATCCATCCACCTAGCCATCCATAAGCTTTATCCTAATCCTAAACATGTGAGTTAAGCAGATGAATGAATATATAGATGTGGAAGAGAAACAGAAATAGAGAGAGATAGAGAAACATTGTGCGCATACAGAGAGAGAAACAGAGAGCATGTGTGTGTATCTATATATAGAGAGAGACAGAACATGTGAAGCAAGGGACAGGCAGCAAATGAGGAGATTTTGATTCAGGATTCTTAACCTTGAGTGTGTGGGGTCCATGAACATCTTAGGATTATATGCAAAGTGTCACATTTATATGCATTTTTCTGGGGAAAGAGTCCTTAGCTATCTTCAGATCCTCAAAAGTGCCTGTGTTCCTGACAAGATTAAGAATCACTGATTTCAATAAAGTATAAAATAGTGCACACACCAGTTATCTTCTCCTTCTTTCGTGTGGGACCACTGCCTACACAATCTATGTTCTTCCTTTTGGTCAAAAAGTGAAAGAAGACAAATAAGAAGGCCAGGTCATCAAGAGACATTAAGAGTATCTTTGGAACTCACTGACACGTTCTTTGTTACTTTCAATAGTTAATGCACGATATACTAGATGTTAACTCAAACATGGTCAAGGGGACCAGGCACGGTGGCTCATGCCTGTAATCTCAGCACTTCAGGAGTCCAAGGCGGGAGGATCACTTGAGGTCAGGAGTTCCAGAACAGCCTGACCAACATGGTGAAACCCTGTTTCTATTAAAAATACAAAAATTAGCCAGGTGTCATGGTGGGCACCTGTAATCCCAGCTGCTCAGGAGGCTGAGGCATGAGAATCATTTGAACCCGGTAGGTGGAGGTTGCAGTGAGATGAGATCACACCACTGCACTCCAGCCTTGGCAACAGAGCAAGACCCTGTCTCAAAAATAAAAACAAACATGGTTAAGGGAAGAGGATCAACTTTTACTAAGGACCCACTATATGATAGGCACTTAATTTTTCTAACAACACTGTGCTATAGGTATTATTATTGTTGTTCTCATATGATTGATTTTAAAAGAAAACAAGCTTTTGGAATGTAAGCATCATGCCCAAGTTCAGGTATTTAGCAAGAGGCTGACTTGGCAAATCATTTCATGGTCTGTCATAATGAATATGGGTATGTGTGTACATGTGTTCTTGGGACAGAGTGACCAGGTAGATCCGCTAGCTCTGTTGCATCTCCGAAGCAACAAATATTTGTCGGGGGGTGGAGAGGAGAAGAAGCTCATTATTTGGAGATCAAATAACTCAATGCTGCTATTATTTCTAGCTCCTGATTCCCCTCCATTAATTTATCACCTTCTTCTATGAATTGCATTGAACAACTCTGTATGCTAGGCATTGGGTAGAGTCTAGAATATCATCTTGCAATATTGTCTCCAGTAGACCCATGGTCCATGCCATTGGAAGCTCACTGTCTAGGAGAGACCACAGGCATGTGAGTAAATCATTACAGTACTGTGGGACAGGGATTCAAATATAAGAATGTCCTGAGGCCGAGCGGTGGAATGAAGAAGCAGCTTGATGTTGCCAAGATGTTTCAACTGAACCTTAAAGAATGGGGAGAAATTCCCAGCAAACAATAGGTGATGGTTAATTTTATGTGTCAGTGTGGCTGGGCCACAGTGCCCAGATATTCGGTCAAACAATCTTCTGGATGTTTCTGTAAGGGTGTTTTCAGATGAGATTGACATTTAAATAGATGGACTTTGAGTAAAGCAAATTGCCCTCCTTAATGTGGGTGGGCCTCACTCAATTATCTGAATAGAGCAAAAGACTGATCTCCCTGAGCCGGAAGGAATCCTGCCAGCAGATGGCCTTCAGAAATGAACTGCAACATTGGCTCTGCCCTGGGTGTCCAGCCTGCTGGCCCATCCTGCAGATTTTGGACTTGACATAATTGCATGAACCTATTCCTTAAAATAAATCTATTTCTGGATATATACATATCCCATTGGTCTGTTTTCCTGGAGAACCCTGACTAATACATAGTGAAAGTAGGACTCTTCTAGGCAGAGGGAACAGCATGTACAAAGGCACAGAGACTCCAGAAACAATGATTCAGTTGAATCATAGTCCAGTCAGTTTATTGAATCTTGCTCTGGTGCCTGGTCTTATTGCCTGGCCTGATCACTCTATGCTTGCTCCCATAAATAGATCCTAGGAATATGATCTTTCTAGTCTGTTTGACCACCCCAGTGGTTTTGAAAATGCATAAACTGCTTATAGTTCCCTAAAGTAATGAGTCTCCAGGACCAGTAGTAACAGTTATCAGTTGGAAGATGCACAAGTTTTATCTGTCACCATGGCCGAGGTGTGCACAACTGCTACTGTTAGAAAACAACATAGGCTCCCGGACAACATATTGTTTTTTGCCACAATTTTATCATCAGTACCCCAGGGGATAATCTGTGTCAGTTAAGGTTCTCCAGAAAAATGGAACCAACAGGATAGGTGTGGGGAGATAGAGAGAGAGAGAGATTTTAAGAAATTGGCTCACGTGATTGTGGAAGCTTGGAAAGTCCAAAGTCTGCAGAGTAGGCCAGCAGACTGGAAACCAGGAAGAGTTGGAGTTCAAGTCCAAAGGCAATCTGCTGGCTGGGCGCAGTGGCTCATGCTTGTAATCCCAGCACTTTGGGAGGCGGGCAGATCACTTGAGGCCAGGAGTTCAAGACCAGCCTGGCCAACATAGTGAAACCCCATATCTACTAAAAATACAAAAATCCAGGCTGGCACGGTGGTGCATGCCCGTAACCCCAGCTACTCAGGTGTTCTGCATCATGCCTGTTCCCATTTGGTGTGCAGTCCATTTGTACAGAATTTTAACCATTGGTTTGTTCATTCATTTTTTTCATCCCATTCAAAGCAACTGTGTGACAGTGTATCCTTTTTATTTATTTTGCAGAATAACAAACTGTATGTTTTAGACCAAAGGATTTAGCTGGAAGAAGGAGGGAGGAGCGAGGCTTGGGGAGGTATGTATTCTGTCACTGACTTTGTATGGTGACCACTTATCATGTGCAAGTTGGAACGCAATGCCCAGTTTGAAGCTCATTATTTCTGATAGACCGCCTCTGAACTCTTGTAGCGGGAAATGGAGTTGCCTCTCAACATCCATTCTGACCTGTCCGCTATTCCTGCTGTGTAACAGCCCAGGTGTTTAGGTTGAATAGACCCCACTCCTAGTCTAAGGGTAAACCTTAATTGGAACCATTCACAGTGAATGATTCAGTGCCTGGCAACGAATTGAGGCATTAAGTTCATCAGTACATGTTAATCCTTTGGCCATGTGGGTGGGCACAAGATGCTAAAAAAAAAGTGATTGTGGGGAGCCTTCTTCTCCCCAGCCCTAGAAGAAGCATTAGTCTCTATTGCTGCTGGTAATCATTCCTTCCTTCATTCTTCTCTCTAGCCATGTTTTATTGGTGGCCTCTGTTCCAAGCAAAGTTTAGTTCTAAGTGCTGGGGGTACCAAGTCATTGTTATCCTGGATCTTACAATTTAGTGGAAGAGGCAGAAAATAAACAAACATCTAAATACATTATACACTGTGATGGTTACTTTTAGATGTCAACTTGGCTAGATTAAGGAATGCCTGGAGAACTGGTCAAGCATTCCTTCTTGGTGTGTCTGTGAGGGTGTTTCCAGAGATTAGCAGGTGAGTCAGTGGACTGAGGAGGGAAGACCTGCTCAGTGTGGGCAGACACCATCCAGT
Source organism: Homo sapiens (assembly GCF_000001405.40). Classification (NCBI taxonomy): domain Eukaryota; kingdom Metazoa; phylum Chordata; class Mammalia; order Primates; family Hominidae; genus Homo; species Homo sapiens. The sequence goes on along the minus strand of NC_000012.12, from coordinate 13,250,569 downwards.
CAGCTGGAGGCCAGGATAGGACAAAGAATGAGAGAAAGGATTTCCTCTCTGTCTCTCCTGGAGCTGGGACACTCTCTTCCTCCTGCCTGAAGACAGCACAGCGCCAGACTCTTCAGCACTGGGACTCCATGACTTACACTAGCAGTCACCCAGGTTCTCAGGCCTTCAGCCTCAGACTGAGAGTGACATCACTGGCTTCCCTGGTTCTGAAGCTTTGGGACTTGGTTTGAACCATGCTACTGGCACCCCAGGGTCTCCAGCTTGCAGATAGCCTGTTATGACACTTCTAGGCTTCCATAATCACATGAGCCAATTCCCCTCGTAAATAACCTCTCATACCTATCTATCTATCTCCTATAGGTTCTGTGAATGGAAGAATCATGAGGTTCATGAATTTAGAGAGGAGAGCTTTATCTCTCATAAAAAGTGCAGCCTGCAGTTTACAATAGCAAAGACTTGGAGCCAACCCAAATGCCCATCAATGATAGGCTGGATAAAGAAAATGTGGCACATATACACCATGGAATACTATGCAGTCATAAAAAAGAATGAGTTCATATCCTTTGCAGGGACATGGATGTAGCAGGAAGCCATCATTCTCAGCACACTAACACAGGAACAGAAAACCAAACACCGCATGTTCTCACTAATAAGTGGGAGTTGAACAATGAGAACACAGGGACACAGGGAGCGGAACAACACACACCAGCACCTGTTGGGGTGGTGGTGGGGGCAAGTGGAGGGAGAGCATTAGGACAAATACCTAATGCATGTGGGGCTTAAAATCTAAATGATGGGTTGATAGATGCAGCAAACCACCATGGCACATGTATACCTATGTAACAAACCTGCATGTTCTGCACATGTATCCCAGAACTTAAAGTAAAATTTAAAAAAAAAAAAGGGGGCAGCCTAGCCATCCTGCAGTCTGGGAAGTGTAGACTTCAGCAGAAGCCCAGAGCAAATGCTCCAAGGGAGGGAAGGATAAGAAGGAATTTGTGCTAAATGAATTGGCTAAGTATACATATTCAATAAGCTATAGGAGTCACAAATATTGATGAAAGGAGAAACATGCACATGTGCAATTGAGCTTCATGCCTCTTCATGGGTTGCACATTCAAAAAATGTTAGCAATAGCATGGTCCAAGAGTGGAGTTTTCAGGCCTCTGATATCAAAAGGTGAAGCAGAGAACCCGAAAAAACCCCACTGTACATCCTCTTCAAATCAGCCAAAACCAGTCTGGAGCTGGTGGTCAGTTTTTAGGAAGGGACACATTGTGAAACTGGTCAGCTGTCACCTTAAAACTGCAAAGACGGAAGGGGAGTCCAGTCACAGCCTCAGACAATAGACTAAAGGAGATAAGAGAATGAGTTGTCTGTTTCTTATTTTTCATAGCTGGTTTCTTCTTACTCCTTAGGAAGCAATTCTGGCTAAAGATTAATAAGGGTCAGTGCAGTTGCTCACACCTATAATTACAGCAGTTTAGGAGGCTGAGGCAGGAGAATTGCTTGAGGCCAGGAGTTTGAGACCTGCCTGAGCAACATAGGGAGACCCCATCTCTATAAAAAAAAAAATGTTAATTAGCTGGGCATGATGATGCATGCCTGTAGTCCCAGCTACTCAGGAGGCTAAGGCAGTAAAGATTGCTTGAGCTCAGGAGTTTGAGACTGCAGTGAGCTATGATCATGACACTGGACTCCAGCCTGGGTGACAGAGTGAGGTGAAAAAAAAGTTAATAAAGAAGGAGTATACTGAGACATGTCCGACCTCCCATCCTGTCCTGGCCAGAACTCAGTTTTGAAGGTTTCTCTGGGTACTCTTGGCCAAAAGGGGGTCTGTTAGGTCAGTTGGGAGGCTTAGGATATTATTTGTCTGCCGTACTCTGATTAGTACAGATTTTGGTACCAGGAGTGGTTCTAGAGGAACAGAATTTTAAAAATGAGTTCCCCTAATTGGTTTTGGGGTTTCTAAAATTGTCTCTTTAATGTGACCACACCTAAAAATGCTCGGAACTCTACTTCTAACAGTACAGAGAGCACTGCTAATTCATGTCCTAAACTGTTTATAGAGATACACAAAATATCTGCATTTGATGCTCCAAATCTAAATCCAAATTAATGCAAGGAACTTGATGACTCTGTACATGACACCTTTAAACATTTGTGGAAAACTAAGGAAAATAATAACATTGATGGGCTGCTTCTAATGTCACTGGTCAAAGTGATGGAAAAATATAACAGAGATTCAAATTTCCAGCTCCAGTTCTGCATAAATAACCTACAAGCTTCTAAGTGTGCCCTGAGCCAGAATCTTCTCTTCTGTAACTGCAGGGCTGAAATTGCTGAAAATCAAACACAAGCCCTTATCATCTGATTGGCTGATTTACAACAAAAGTTGGACTCAGCCTCTCAGAGTGTCTGGTGTGAAATTAAGGGCAGTGATTGGGAGAGAATGGGATTCTGTAAATTGGGATGAGGATGTGTGGAAAGACTCTGATGAAACTGGGGACATTGAGCCCCTAAATTCTGATGAGACTTGTTTGCCAAGCAGAGGTGGTCTTACAACCCTCACCCCCAGGCAGCAGCCTTCCCACCCACAACAGTATCAATATCAGCCTTTCCACCTGTGTCTGAAGGGGTTAGCCCTTCCTTGCCCGAGGAAACAGTAATGGCGTCCCAAGGCAGTTTCCAAGACAAGGCTGATTCTCCTCAGGACCCACCCTCACCTCCCCTCTTTGTTTCTAGCCCTATAACCAGACTCAAGTCCCAGCAGGCCCCTAAAGGTGAGGTAGAAAACGTGACTCATGAGGAGGTATGCTACATTCCAAAAGAACTACTTGAGTTTTCTAATTTATACAAGCAGAAATCTGGGAAACATGTGTGAGATGGATATTAAGGGTGTGAGATAATGGTGGAAGGAACACAAAGTTGGATCAGGCTGAATTTATTCATATGGGACCACTAAGCAGAGATTCTGTGCTTAATGTTGCAGCTCCAGGAGTTAGGAAAGGTGCTAACCATCTGTTTGGTTGGTTGGCTGAAACATGGATCAAAAGGTGGCCCACTGTGAGGGAGCTGGAGATGCCTGCTCTCCCTTGGTTTATTGTAGAGGAAGGGATTAAAATGCCTAGAGAGAATGGAAGCCTGTACTGGATTTATCACTTAAAATCTGCTCACCTATAAAGGGAGGGTCTGAAGACATACCTTTCACCAATACTGTGAGAAACAGATTTGTGAGCAGAGCCCCAGCATGCCTGAAGAACTCCGTGATTGTTCTTCTCCAGAGGATGGACCTTGCAGTGGGAGGCACAGTTACTCAATTGGAAAACATAAATGCAATGGGAATCATTGGATCCTGGGTGGCTGGGGCCAAGCTGCAGCTCTCAATCACTAAAGCAATGTGGATGTGTTTACCATAATAAACAGCAGAGGCAAAGCAACAATCAGAATAGTCTGACTTACGTAGATCTGTGGCATTGGCTAGTTAATCATGGTGTTCCTAGAAGTGAAATAGATAGGAAGCCTACTACATTCTTACTTGATTTATATAAGCAGAACATTTCCAGGTCAAGTGAACAAAATTCTACCTTGAATCATAAAAACAGAAAATCATGGCCTCTCAATCAGTTCCCAGACTTGAGCCAGTTTACAGACCCAAAACCCCTCTAATGAAGGGGGGGCCAGGGCCCCTCCAGGAAGGAGCCTGGTATACTACCAAAAATATATACTGTTAATCTTTCTCTGATCTTTCCCCAAAGAGACCTCCGGCCTTTTACCAGGGTAACTGTGCACTTGGGAAAGGAAAATAATCAGACATTTTGGGGACTACTGGACATTGGCTCTGAACTGACATCGATTCCAGGAGACCCAAAACATCACTGTGGTTCACCAGTCAGAGTAGGAGCTTATGGAAGTTAGGGGATCAATAGAGTTTTAGCTCAGGTCCAACTCACCGCAGGCTCAGTGGGTCTCCGGACCCATCTTATGGTCATTTCCCCTGTTCCAGATGCATGATTGGAATAGACATATTCAGCAGCTAGCAGAATCCCATGTTGGTTCCCTGACCAGTAGGGTGAGGGTTATTATGGTGGGAAAGTCTAAATGGAAGTCCATTAGAGCTGCCCCTACCTAGGAAAACAGTAACTCAAAACCAGCATCACATCCCTGGAGGGATTACCAAGATGAGTGCCACCATCATGGCCTTGAAGGATGCAGGGGTGGTGAGTCCCACCATCAAGGACTTGAAGGATGCAGGGGTGATGAGTCCCACCGTATCCCCATTCAACTCTCCTTTATGGCCTGTGCGGAAGATAGATGGATCCTGGAGGATAACAGTAAATTATTAAGCTTAACCAAGTGGTAACTCCAATTGCTGCTGCCATACCAGATGTGTTTCCATTGCTTGAGCAAATTAACACATATCCTCATACCAGTATGCAGCTATTGATCTGGAAAATACCTTTTTCTCCATACCTGTCCACAAAGCCCACCAGAAGCAGTGTGCTTTCAGCTGATGAGGCCAGCAATACTCCCTCACTGTCCTATCTCAGGGGTAGATCCAGCCCCGTGTCACAATTTAGTTTGAAGGGATCTTGATCACCTTCCCCTTCCACAAGCTATCACACTGGTCCATTACATTGATGACATTATGCTGATTGGACCTAGTAAGCGTGAAGTAGCAATTACCCTGGACTTATTGGTAAGTCATTTGTATGTCAGAGGGTGAAAATCTAACTGAAATTCGGGGACTTCCGCCTCATTGAAATTTCTAGGGGTCCAGTGGGTATGTTACTAGCCTATCTACCAAGTGACTGGAACAGCTGCTAGTTTTGAGTGGGCCCCAGAATGGAAGAAGGCTCTACAGCAGGTACAGACTGCCGTGCAAGCTGCTCTGCCACTTGGGCCATATGATCCAGCAGATGCAATAAGGCTTGAGGTGTCAGCAGCAGACAGGGATTCTGTTTGGAGCCTTTGGCAAGCCCTTATAGGTGAATCACAGCAAAGGCCCTTAGGATTTTGAAGCAAGGCCCTGCCGTCATCTGTAGACAGCTACTCTCCTTTTGAGAGACAGTTTTGGCCTGCTACTGGGCCATAGTAGAAACTGAAGGCCTGACCATGGGCCACAAAGTTACCATGCAATCTGAAATTCCTGCCATAAACTGGGTGTTTTCAGGCTCACCAAGCCGTGAGGTTGGATGTGCACAGCAGCACTCCATCATCAAATGGAAGTGATATATATGTGACCAGGCCCATTGGGTCTTGAAGGCACAGGTAAGTTACATGAAGAACTGGCACAAATGGTTCCTACTCTTGCTACACTGCCTTCTCTCTCCCTGCCTGCACCTATGGCCTTTTGGGTAGTACTCTATAACCAGTTGACAGAAGAAGAGTAAGGTCTGGTTTACAGATATTTCTGCATGATATGCAAGCACCACTTGAAAGTGGACAATTGCAGCACTACAGCTCTTTTCTTGGACATTCTTGAAGGCAGTGGTGAAGGGAAGTCTTCTCAATGGGCAGAATTTGGGGCAGTGCACCTGGTCGTGCACTTCTCTTGGAAGGAAGTGTGATTGTATGCCGATTCATGGGCTGCGGCCAGTGGTTTGACCAGAGGGTCAGGGACTTGGACAGGACATGATTGAAACATTGGTGACAAAGAAATGTGGGAAAGAGTCACGTGGATAGACTTCTATGAGTGGGCAGAAGTTGTGAAGATATTTGTGTCCCATGTGAATGCTAACCAAAGGTGACCTCAGAGGAGAAGAAATTTAATAATCAAGTGGATAAGATGACCTGTTCTATGGATACCAGTCATCCTCTTTCCCCAGCCACTCTTGTAATTGCCCAATGGGCTCATGAATGAAGTGGCCATCGTGGCTGGGATGGAGTGATGCAGGGGCTCAGCAACATGGACTTCCACCCACTAATGCCAGCCTGGCTATGGCCACCTCTGAGTGCTCAATCTGCCAGCAGCAGAGACTAACACTGAGTCTCCGATATGGCCCCTTTCCCCAGGATGATCAGCCAGCTACCTGGTGTCAGGTTGATTACTTGGACCATTTCCATCATGGAAGGGGTAGCATTTTATCCTTACTGGAATAGACACTCTGCATATGGATTCACCTTCCCTGCACACAGTGCTTCTGCCAAAACTACCATTCATGGTGTCACAGAATGTTTTGTCCACCATCATGGTATTCCACATGTGAAAGTTGTCAGAATAAAAATTGAGTCACTTATGTTTAAATAACCTTGACAAACAGAGGCCGGGTGTGGTGGCTCATGCCTGTAATCCCAGCACTTTGGGAAGCCGAGGCAGGTAGATCGTTTGAGGCCAGGAATTTGAGACCAGCCTGAGCAACATGGCAAAACCCTGTCTCTACAAAAATATAAAAGTTAGCCAGGCATGGTGGTGTGCACCTGTAGTCCCAGCTACTCGGGAGGCTGAGGCAGGAGAATTGCTTGAACCCAGGAGGTAGAGGTTGCAGTGAGCCAAGATTGTGCCACTGCTCTCCAACCTGGATGACAGAGAAAGACTCTGTCTCAAAAAATAAAAATAAATAGATAGATAGATAATAAATTTTAAAAAAATATAACCTTAACAAATAGAGCTGAGAAAGGCCACAGAAGGAGTGTTCTTGTGCATGAATGCCTGATAACAAGAACTATCACAAAACACTCGGCAAAAACCACAGACTTGCACAAATGCCAACACAATCTTACACAAAACAATACTTCTGTGAGAACATCTGTACAGAAACTACCTTGCCAACCTCAACTGGCTTGTTATTGATTCTTGTAGCCAAGGATATTTATCCCAAAACAATTATGCAATCCTCCTCATTTTTCCTTTAAAAACATTTATGTTCCTTTACTTCCCTGGAAATGCACATCATTTACTAGGGTATGCATATTCCTATTGCAATGCCCTTTCTCAAATAAACAACATTTTCTTCTAGTGAGTCTCCCTCTCTATTATTTAGGTTGACATACACAGCTCTGCTTCTCATTATGGAACTCACTTCACAGCAGTGGGCTAATGCTCATGAAATTCAGTGGTCTTACCATGTTCTCCACTATCCTGAAGCAGCTAGCTTGACAGAACAGTGGAATGCCCTTTTGAGGATGTAATTACAGTGCCAGGTAGGTGACAGTACTTTGCAGGGCTGGGGCAAGTCTCCCCAGATGGCTATACATGCTCTAAATCAGGGTCCAATATATAGTGCTGTTCCTCCCATAGCCAAGATTCGTGGGCAGGAATCAAGAAGTGGAAAGAGGAGTGGCACCACTTAATATTATACCAAGTGACCCACTAGCAAAAGTTTTGTTTCCTGTTCCCATGACTTTATCTTCTGCTCGCCTAGAGATTTTTTTTCAGAAAGAGGAATGCTACCAGCAGGAGACACAATAATGATCGCATTTAACTGGAAGTCAAGACTGCCACCCAGCCACTTTGGGCTCCATGTGCCTCTGAGTCAACAGGCTAAGGAGAGAGTTACGGTGTTGACTAGGGTGATTGATTCAGACTAGGGGAAATTGGACTACTCCTCCACAATGGGGGTAAGAAAGAGTATCTGGAGAGCTCTTAGGGTATCTCTTAATATTATCATGCCCTGTGATTAAGGTAAATGGGAAATTACAACAACCCAATTTAGGCAGGACTACAAATGGCCCAGACACTTCAGGCATGAAGTTTTGGGTCACCCTACCAAGTAAAGAACCACAGCTAGCCAAGTATTTGCTGAATGGTGGTTATAAATACCCGCTATGGCCATGTGAACAGTTACAGAAACAAGGACTGTAATTGTCATGAATATTTCCTCCCTATTTTGTTATGTGTTTTTGCGTATATTTACATAGGTTAAGCAAATATCTTTGTTTTCATTTCTGTCTTATTCCTTTATCATGTAACATAAGATACATTGACTTTATATCATAATATTTAAGCATTGTTAATTTTTACATCACAGTATTTAATTATAGGATATCAGAGAAGAGTAAACATCACCCAGGGACTTTTCTTCCTCTTCTGAGGACAGGATTAGTCCATTTTCAGTGTATGCAGGATAATTATACCACATTAAGTGGAACTAATACCTTGTTAGTGTCCTTATTTGGAGGTCAGGTATGGCTTAAGGAGATGTATATGAGTGCCAAGTTGGCAAGGGGTAGACTTAATATTGGCTAATTTTAGGTGTCAACTTGACTGAATTAGGGAATGCCTAGAGAACCAGTAAGGCATTACTTCTGGGTGTGTCTGTGAGGGTGTTTCCCAGATGAGATTGGTGTATGAGCCTGTGGACTAAGTGGGAAAGATCTGCTGTCAATGTGGACAGGCACCATCCAGTCAGCTGGGGTGAGGATAGAACAAGAAAAAAAATAAACAGAGAGAAAAGGACTTCCTCACTCTCCCTCCTGGAGCTGGGACACACCCTTTCTCCTGCCCTTAGACGTGAGAACTCCAGGCTCTCCAGCCTTGGGACTCCAGGACTTAAACCAGCAATCACCCAGGTTCTCAAACCTACAGTCTCAGACTGAGAGTTACACCCAGGCTTTCCTAGTTCTGAGACCTTTGGACTTGGACTGAGTCATGCTACTGGTGTTTCAGGTCTCTGGTTTATAGATGTCTGGTCATGGGACTTCTCAGCCTCCAAAATCATGTGAGCCAATTCCCCTCATAAATCGCCTCTCATCTATCTACATCTATATCCACATCCACATATAAATATAGAAATATCTCATTTGTTCTGTCTCTCTGGAGAATCCTGACTAATATAATTGTCAAGTGACAAGACCTAAGAAGAAAAAATAAAGTAAGATAAGAAAACAGATTTATGGGGTGTGACATTTTCCGTGATTAAGTAATTTAAGAGAGACACAATCTGATAAATAGAGTTACTTAGAGGGGAGTAAAATTGCCTCTAGCTGAAGAAAGTGGAGAAGGCCTCCCAATAAAAGTAAACTTTTGAAAGCATCAGAGAGAAAATTTTAGAAAAAGATTGAATATACAAGACATTTTGAAAGTAAACTCACTACTGATTGGATTTGGGAGTTAAAAGAGAAAGATGAATGAAAAAGTATTTAAAAGCAGTATTTTTGGAACAGCAATTCGTATCTTTAGTGGGTCATGAAATTAATTTAATGGTTTACAACCAAATTCTTTAATGGAATGAAATAGATTGGAATAAAACAGATTACAGTATATCAAACATAATAAGGGTAAGTACTCTTGGGGGAAATTTTGTTTCACTTACATGTGTGTTTGCACATGTATATATATGTGTGTGTGGGTGTGTGTATGATGTAAAATGCATTTCTTATAGTGCATCATGATTTAAAAAAAAATTGGCTTAGAGATTTTAAATCTGTGTCAGTGAAAGACTGTGGTATTGTTAGTAAGAAAAAAAGACATTAACAAATGCCATTGATTTTAAAGATAAAGATTTTGAGATTAAAGTCTCAGCTGAATATCCAAAAACAAAGATGAGGCCAAGGCAGGTGGATCACGGGGTCAGGAGATCGAGACCATCCTGGCTAACACGGTGAAACCCCGTCTCTACTAAAACACAAAAAATTAGCCGGGCGTGGTGGCGGGCGCCTGTAGTCCCAGCTACTCGGGAGGCTGAGGCAGGAGAATGGCATGAACCTGGGAGGTGGAGGTCGCAGTGAGCCGAGATCATGCCACTGCACTCCAGCCTGGGCGACAGAGCGAGATTCCATCTCAAAAAAAAAAAAAAAAAAGATGAAATGGACAGGGGAAATGTCAAAGCTAGAGATATAAATTTGGGATTCATTTACAGAGAAATTATATGTGAAGCTATAGCAATGAATCAGGTTACTAAAGGAGAAAATGTAAGAAACAGAAAAAAAGTCCAGGACAAAACCTTGGCCATAAAAACACTTGAAGGAAAGGGGAAAGAAGAGAAGGCCAAAAAATATATATATATATATATTAAGAAGGAGCAACAGAGGTTCAAGGAAAATCAGGAGACTGAAGGACCAGGAGATCCAATAAAAACTGAATTTCAATAATCCCAAACATCCTAAAGAGTCAAGAAGGGAGATGTGGGTTAAGAAAAGCCACATGACACAGCATCTTGGAGAACACTGACAGTTTTCAAAAAAAACTATTTCTGCAAAGTGGTGGAAACACAAGCCAGGATGATTATGGCAGTATATTTTGTAGCGAGGGGAAGCATATATATATATAATCATTTACCTTATTTTCCAGCCTCATCAGATGTTTTCAAGGAACAGTTGCAGACTCATTGCCACAAAGTGTACGTCTTCACTAATTTAGTGCCTAGAATATTTTTGGAAGCACCTCAGGTTTTTCTTCAAGATGATGGCCATCAAGAACACCAAACATGCTTCAAGGGCTCAGAACAAGCCTGCCTTAGTCAAAGCATATGTTTTTAGTATGTTCAATGCTAATGACAAATCCTGAGCCTCTGGAGGGGTTCCCACCCCCCTACAACCCTATCCTTATCGTAGGAATGCCAGGAGAATTCATCTTTGGGGCGAAGACTGTCATTTTATTTGTGAAACACTTGAGTGGGACTTGTGGTTATGCAGATGTAAGACTCAGTGTCCAATCTAGGGGGAGGGATTAATACCATAAAGACCTCTGACTTCTAAACAGCAAAATGAAAGAGTTGTAGGCCTTGGGGGCAGAGACTGTCATGCTATTTACTTGTTTTTGGCTTCCTTGAGACTCTAGGAGTTGTGATTCAAGACGTGGGGAATAATGGGAGACAAGAATGCATGGACTATGGAAGAGTATGGCTCCAGCAAGATGGCAGAGACTAAGGAGGGAGACAACCCTGGGAGACTGCATTAGGGACTGGCCAATGGATTCTAGCAGCAGCAGAATCTGTTTTCCAATTTCACATTGTTTCTCCTCAAAGCTATACTTTTTTATAACCTAAGAAATGCATGTGTTCAGTAAAAAATTTCCTAACCCTTACAACCTGTCACTAATAACGAACTTTATTAAGTACTTACAACATAGCAAGCATTCTTCAAAGTGCTCTATGTATTTTAATGAATTAACTTCTCTGCTTTCTATTGCTTTTCCTTTATCTCTACCTCCCATTATTCATTCTCATTTATCTTTTCCATTGTCTTTCCCACTTTCTCCTCTCTCACTCCCTCCATTTTTTTCCCTCTACCTCTCTGTCACTCATTCTCACGGGCTCAATCTCACATAAAAATTAACTCGCAGAATGAGTTAACTTATTTAATCTTCATGGCAACCCAGGGAAAAAAGTATTATTATCAGCCTCATTTCACTGAGGTAAAAAAACTGAGTAAAAAACTGAGGTACAGGAGGTCATACAAGTAACTTAAGGTCATACAACTAGTAAGATTCAGAGCCTGGATTTGAACTCAAGAAGTTTGACTGCAAAGCTTATAATCTTAACCATTGCTACTCTCCATATCTTTGTGATTGCATTGGCTTTGGAAATAAAGGGAAGATCTACAATGACATCTTAAGATGGAGCGGACCAGAAATTGTGGTGCACTGTGGAGAGGCAAGGTGAGCCCAGCAGGAGAAACCTGGGATAATCTGCAGTAAGCCCTTGGCAATGATTTCAGGAGAATATACGCACTTCCTGGGGATGCCTAGAAGCCATCGAGAAGTAGCCTAGAGTTCCCACAGTATCATAGGACAGAGATTTTTAAGGAGAAATTTGCATATGAAAAAGAATGGGTTCTGCTTCTGTGAAATGTGATAATATATGCACGGTGATTTTCACTATGCTTGGATGCTCAGTAATTGGTCACTATATATGTTAAGTCTTCCTGCCCTTTTCTGATACTCTTTCTAACATCCCTTGAAGGGCAGTCCAAATTTTCACTCAATTACCATCATTCAGCTAACATTCACTGTCTGTTACTTGCAGGTCAGCAAGTTGACTCTATGGCACAAGCTTCCCCTTTTCTGGCAATGTTACTTCTGAGCCATGTTTGCAGCCTCCTAAGATGCTTTGCATACTGGAAAATAATTAAACTTACCCACAGATAAATAAACCAGAGTGAATCCATTTTTCTCTATTAATAAAGATTTATGTGAATATTTTTAATGAAGGTAACTGAAAGCAGGTGGAGGAATACGAAGTGTGTACGAAGCAGTTAGTAGTCAACTCGGCAGAGATCGAAGTGTGTCAGACTAAAACAAATATTAGTAAGAACAACATGTGGTCATTTTGCGCCTTTGTAGGAGGAAAGCCAATGAGAAACTTCAGTGTGGAAACATAACTGCTCTCCCACCAAACCCAAAAAGAAGCTAAACTGCTTATCAGGCATGGCGAGTATATGGTATGCGGTCAGCCTTATTAGCATATCTTAATTGAGAATTAGACCGTCATGGCAGAACACATTGTAAGTTTAAAACTTGGGAGACAAAATAATTCATTGAAATTCCCAAGGCACATCTTGTTTCCTACCTATTCCTTGAAATGTTTTCCTTTTTTTTCTCTCTTTGTTTTCCTGTTATTCATTTCTTCCTTCTTTCTTCTACCTTCAGCCATGCTCTCAACTTTCCTGTTCACTATCTAAATCCCTCCTTTTATACAATTATGTTTGTGATATATTTCCGCAATTATCAGAAGTTATTACTTCTTTTCTCTCCCCTCTCTGCTTTATATTGCTTTTCCTTTATCTTTGCCTCCCATTATTCATTCTCATTCATCTTTTTCATTGTCTTTCTCCCCTCTCATTCCCTCTGTCTTTTCCCCTCTACCTCTCTGTCACTCACTCTCACAAGCTCAATCTCACATACAAATTAAATTATTATAAAGAATTTCTTTGCTGGTTACAAATTCCATTCGTGCCCAGGGACTTAGGATTGCATAAGATTGGATGCATCTCACGCCCCGTTGCTCTAAACTGAAAATGTTTTCTTGACCCCCTCTCACTTCACACTACTGGAGGAATAGCATTATCCGTTATCTCCCCAGAGCAGCGATGGGAGGAACATACTGCTGAATATACATTTGGCCATGACTGCATCCATATTATGGAAGACATCATTTGCTCTTAGAACAGAGGACATCAGCACCGGCATTCACAGCCTCATCTGTTAAGTGTGTTTCCCTCATTCTGCAGTTGCTTAGCTCAGACCGGCGAGTACCTGGTGGGCAACCCTTCCTCTGAACTTGGTGGGGAATCATACAATCTGTTGAACTTGGCTCACATATAGCCTAGGAATGGGTACCCCAAATATTCCAGCACTGGTAGTAGTACTGGTAGGTGGTGTGTTTGAAACACAATCTCAAATAAAACAAAGCAACCATATCCCATGGAACTGGCTGTTTATCTCACATACTTGATCTGGTTGGGAGATGAATCAATGAGATCTGAAGTATTTTCCAGGGTACATACACAATGCTGTTGGTCTAGGCCTTGGTGTTATTCTCATGAGTGGTAGTCTAAATTGCAGAGCCATGCAGAGGGACTTATATTTGCCAGGAACGTATTAACTATATACTGCTTTCTGGGTAGTGGCTGGGACTTTGGAATAATTATTCTACAAGTTCACATGAGCATGAAAGATCTGACCCTGGGTGGGTCTTGGGGGCATTTTCTCTTCATGGCAAGCCTTGATAATGCCAAGCTCTAGCTGGCCCCTTAAGAAACCTCTGAGCCTTGGCCAGGGATGATTTTCAAGGTCTCTGACAGATCAGTAGTAAACAAAAAGTATCCCTGGACAGTCAAGAAGAAACCCCAGTTAATTGGTCTTCAAAATACCTAAGATCAGGCCAGGCACAGTGGCTCACACATGTAATCCCAGCACTCTGGGAGGCCTAGGCAGGTGGATTGCTTGAGCCCAGGAGTTCAAGACAAGCCTGAGCAACATGGCAAAACCCATCTCTACAAAAAATACAACAAATTAGCTGGGCATGATGGTGTACACCGGTAGTCCCAGCTACCCGGGAGGCTGAGGTGGGAGGATCGATAGAGCCAAGAAGGTCAAGGCTGCAGTGAGCCGTGATGGTGTCACTGAATTCCAGCCTGGGTGACAGAGTGAGCTGCTGTCTCAAAAAAAAAAAAAAGTAAAGAAAGTACTTAAGATCCAAGCTTGGCCTAGGATTATTCAGAAACCCTAGGGAATGTGGAAACCTGTCCCAATCCCACCAGACTCTAATTACTCTAGAAACTACACTCAGGTATTTAGTTTACACTGCTATAAGCCATAGAACTAACTGTTAACTTTATGACATGTCTTGCTTATTAAGCCACATGGTGCAAGTCAGGGATGTAATATGGTTAATCTCCTTTTTTTAAGTAGGATGTGCCCAAGAGAATATATATATATATATTCCTTCACCCAGAAATAGAGACACAGACCCAGAGACAGGCTCATGCTTAACGCCTACCATGAAACTCCTACCAGTCTCTATGGTGGTAGGATCTCTGACGGAGGTTGGGTCTCTGATGGAGGTTGGGTCTCTGATGAAGGTTGGGTTGTTGGGACCTGGTCTGATGTAGCTCTCTACATGGAATTGACAGTAGATATTCCAAGCTTAGCCACCTGCTGCTATCTTCTGAGCAAGAAGGGGCTCTAATGTATAAAATCTATCAAAGAACATAGAAAGGTTTCCTCTCTGAGCCAGGCAAGTAATCTCCCCAATAGCCAAGAAGAGTAACAGAAGATGTGCACCCTATAATGCTGGTCTTGGGGTGTAGGTGTATGAAACAGAAAAACAGGCCACAAATATGCAACTTCAAATTTAACTTCTTCTGAGGCATTTTTCTGGAAAACCTTCAGCTCTATGGGTATGACTCAATTAGTGTTCACTGAACATTTAACTTATTGGAAATATCGGAAATCAAATAATATTTCCAAATTTCAGGTGAAAAAACTGAGTCAAAAGATCACTAAGAGACACAACAAAGTGACTCAGAAAAAAAGATGAATTTATGTATCTGGTTTCTGAATCTCTAGGACTATTGTGTTCACTACAGAATACTAAATGCTTTGTCTCAAAATCCATTGAAAGATTGTATAGTTGCATAAGCTCCATTCATCTCAGCTACTAGTAACCCACAGTTATCTTGGGATACAAACCAAAGAAATATGAAATGCAACTAAATTTCAAAAAAGAAATAGTGTTGCAGGAATACAATTTCCCAAACACATGTTAGTTAATATTCCAGTATTAACTTTTACACTTTGCCTTTTATCTTGGCATGTCAAAGTACATAAACCATTATTCTAAGATCTTCGCCTTCATTCTCTCAAGATAAAAAAGGAGATTCAGAAATAATTGTGCCCAGTAATCCCCTAAGGAAACTAAAGCTCATAGAATTTCAGTGGAAGCTCTGCTTCCAGTTTAAAGTAACTCTGCACCCCAGGTTGCCCAAGGCCATGCCAATTTCAAAGATTCTGTCCCAATATCACCACATGTGGCCTCTCACTTCTCAGACTAGCCTGACTAGGCTCTGGGAAACATGGACTCTAGCTTCCAATACTCATTGACCCATTTAACAGATGTTAATGACCTACTGTGCACATGACAGGGTTAAAGTAAATAAAACTCCATCATGTCTTGGTGGAAATATGAACAATTATGCCCATTAGCATTGTTCGAGAGGCTAGTAGGCATAATTGCTATATTTCCACCAAGACATAATGGTGCAGGGGAGGGCGGGGCAGGAGGCAGTTCATGGAAGATGGAGCCTTGGAGCTGGCTCTGAGTGGGACAGGATTCAACTGTCAGGTAAAAGTGGGAGCAGAGCACTTCAGGTAGAGAGAACAGCATGAAGGCCGACAGGGCTTTGATGATGTAGAGGCGTAGTTTTGAGGAATGGTCCAGATGCCTTAGGCATGAGCATGCAATGATTGAGGAGGCGGGAGTGTAGAAGAGAGTGAAACTAGAAAGCCAGGTAGAACCCAGGCTTTGAAGTGTCCCGGATGCCAGGCTGAGGAGCTGGGACTTTATTCTTCATACAGTAGGGAGCCATTGCTTGTTTTTAAGCAGAGTGGTGGCCTGAGAAAATATGAACATCAGGAAAATGTATATGTGGAGAAGGAGAATGTGTGGAGGGGAGATCAATTACAAGCTGATATTTTTAGATGGGAGGAGGCAATAAGCCAGATAAGACGCTGGGGTTTGAACGAGGCCAGGCAGTAAGGTCACAGACGGGGATGCAGATTTCAGGAAAGGCTGGATATGGAGACCGTAATTTCTGTGGCCTAGACTTTTTATCTGAACTTGAGGCTGGTGTTTCTCCTCCTGAAACGACTTGAGAATGACCCACAAACAGGTTTCCAATAATGTCCTCCCAACTCCACAATGTGTCATATCAGAAGTGGCCACCAGGAGATGCAGTTACATTAACAACTGTAGTAGAAACCAGAAAAGGAAAAGGTCCTGTAGGGGTGCAGATGCAGAGAATTAGAGCAGAACATGGATGGGAAGGGTGAGGGGCAGTAGGGCTGTCCAGGTGGGAGAGACTTGGCCCAATGCATGGAATTTTTACAGTTTCAGGAAACGGGCCAGAGACGATGGAAAATTGCATTAATGTTGTTACTACTACACAGCATACCATGCACATGTGCTATGAGCATTTCTATTGTTTCTAATCTATATGTGAATTGTAAACAAGGACTAGGCATAATCTCATCTTATAGCCAACAAAACCAAGTCTGAGTTACACACATATTGCATCTCAGTGAATAAATTTCTCAGATACTATATATATGCCAAGCACTTGACATGCGGTGTGTGACCAAGACAACCCTGCCTCATGAAGCATATGTGACACAAGGGAGTGGGAGATAAACAAAGACCAAGTGAGCAAACCAATGAATAGGACAATTCACTAATGGTAACTGCTATGAAGGTAACAGCATGGTAGTATTGTAAAGTATAGCAGGAATAGTGGGCCTGGGAGGCCTTCATTTATTTCATAAACGAAAGCCTCTCTAAGCAGGTGCCACTGAGTTGGCATCTGAATGATGAGAATAAACCAATCAAGTGAAGACCTGCAGAAAGAGGACTGCAGGCAGGGAGAACAGCAGGTACAAAAACCCAGTGGAGAGAATAACCTTGACATTCTCCTGGGACAGTAAGGGCTGAGTGGGCTGGGCACTGTGGCTCATGCCAGTAATCCCAGCACTTTGGGAGGCCGAGGTGCACAGATCGCTTGAGCTTAGGAGTTCAAGACCAGCCTGGGCAACATGGCAAAACCCCATCTCTACTAAAAATACAGAAATCAACTGGGCATAATGACGTGTGCCCATAGTCCCTGCTACTCAGGAGGCTGAGGTGGAAGGATCAGTTGAGCCCAGGAGATTGAGGCTGCAGTGAACCATGATTGCGCCACTGCACTCCAGCCTGGGAGACAGAGTGAGACCCTGTCAGAAAGAAAGGGAAAGAAGGCGAGGGGAGGGGAGGGGAGAGGAGAGGAGGGGAGGGGAGGGGGAGGGGAGGGGAGGGGAGGGGAGGGGAGAAGGGAAGGCCAGGGTGGGCTGGGCACAGTGAGTGAGGAATGACTGGTAAAAGACGAATTGGAGGGGTGGGGCGGCCAGAGCCCAATTGGCCATGAAAGTGATTACAAGGAATTTAGATTTTTTTACAGGGAGTTATTCCAACTTAGGTCCAGACCCATACCTAACATGTTTGAGGCCCAAAACAAGAGTTTAAAGGGAAACCCTAGGCTATCTTATAAAGGTTCTTCATCCTCTGTGCCCACTATTCCAGTGTAAATGTCCCCAGAAAGACACACGAGAGCTCATGCCCATGAACACCTAGTGGGCTGCTGAATGCCAGTGAAGATTGGTTGAGCATACGAGGAGGCCAAGATATTTTCAGCTGGCAGCAGAAAGGTCAAGTGAAATGGATTGCAAGGGGGTATGTCCCCAGGACAAACTTCACCCACTGCACTTATGTCTGGAGCAGAATGTGCTGTGAGAGGTGGAGACAAGATAAGAGTCCAGCTTGACCTACTGGTGAAAGAATAGATGAGGGAAAGTATATTAGTTATCTATTGCTGTGTTACAAACTTCTCCAGACTTAGCGGTGTAAAGCAACAGTAAGTATTTCTTATCTCATACAGTTTCTATGGGTCAGGAATCCACAAGCGGCTTGGCTGAGCAGTTCATGTTTAGTATCTCTTATGAGGCTCCAGTCAAGATCTTGGCCAGGGCTGCCGTCATCTGAAGGCTTGACTGGGGCTAGAGGATCTGCTTCTAAAATGGTCCACTCACCTGGCTGGCAAGATGAATGAAGCAGGAGGCCTCTGTTACCAGAGTTCTCCACTGGGCTGCCTAGGAGTCCCCATGTGTATTAGCCTGTTTTCACGCTGCTGATAAATACATACCTGAGACTGGGAAGAAAAAGAGGTTTAATTCAACTTATAGTGCCACATGGCTGGGGAGGCCTCAGAATCATGGCAGGAGGTGAAAGGCACTTCTTACATGGAGGTGGCAAGAGAAAAATGAGAAAGAAGCACAAGCAGAAACCCCTGATAACACCATCAGATTTCGTAAGACTTATTCACTATCACAAGAATAACACGGGAAAGACCAGCCCCCATGATTCAGTTACCTCCCCCTGGGTCCCTCCCACAACAAGTGGGAATCCTGGGAGCTAAAATTCAAGTTGAGATTTGGGCGAGGACACAGACAAATCATATCACCATGGCATGGCAGCTGGCTTTCCCCAGATCAATGAGGGTGCAAGGCTGCTGTGTGTTTTATGCTCTAACCTCAGAAGTCCCTCTACAATATTCTACTGGTTACATAGGTCAGCCTTATCCAAGTGGGAAGAACTACACAAGGGCCTGATCACCAGGAAATGAGAATCCGTGTGGGTGATCGTAGAGCCTGGCTTCCACAGGAAGTAAGAACATTTATCAAGAGTACGTAATCTTACTACAATATCTCCTTTTATTCTTCCAACAACTATAGGAATTAGTTACCACCTTTCCTTATAAGAAAGACTAGGCTCAGAGAACTTCAGTAAAAGTTGCCCCAAAGTCAGTTATTACGTGGCAGAGCTAACTGTCAAACATAGATCTGACTGACTCCAAAATCACAAACTGTTAAACTACATAACGCTCTCTTCCTAGGTGAAAAGAAAAAGCATGTTGTTAGGTGAGCATTCAGGTTGAGCAGAAGAAAAGATAAGTGAAATGACCCCCAGGATTCTAGCTCTATCTGTGAATACTTGGGCAAGTTACTTAACCGTTTTGTGCTTCAATTTACTTATCTCCAACATGGGACTAATACTGGTACCTACTTAGAGAGTTGTAAGGATGAAAGGAGCTTACAGTTGCAAAGTGTTTAAAATGATGCCTGGCACATAGTATGTGTCATATGGGTATTTTTATAAATAAACCAGTCAAAATCTTGATCAATAAACCAGTAGTACTGACATCTCTCCATATTTTCATTCCCGCTCAAGTAATTCTCTAATCTGCCTTACACTTTGAAACTCTTTGTCCACATTAATCTTGATTTTTTTGTAAAGATGAGGCCTCACCACATTGCCTACGCTGGTCTTGAACTCCTGGACCCAAAGTGATCCTCCTGCCTCAGCCTCCCAAAGTGCTGGGATTACAGGCGTGAGCCACCATACCCCACATCAATCTTTATCTGAAAGTTCCAAGAAGATGGAGTTGTCTGGATTGCAGTAGGTAACAATGACCAACCATTGTAAATATCTATCATAAGCATTAGAATGGTTTTCCAGCATGTCTCTCTCCTGCCTCCATCGTGAGCCAGCAAAAAACTTGTCTTTTTCTTTTCAAGTCCCCTGTGACTTGCACAACATCCAGTTCACAAATAAATGAAGGACACACACATACGGTATTAATAATACTATTTTTGGTGATGATATAATGGCTCCCAGATGCACCAAGGGGGCTCCTGGAACATCTTTCCATAGGCGGGGCTGCTCCCCAGCATCTGGATGGGCCCTCCTCCCACTGTGGGCTCCTCCTACCAAGGAAGGGCTATTTTTAAACTTGGGTGGGTAGATGACTAGCCACCTTATTTCCAAAGGGTGGCTGAGAATACGACGGCCATGACCTTTTGGACTAGAGCAAAAATATATGCATGACAAGGGAAATCCTGTACCCTTTTCTGGCTTTGTCCTTTACCACCATCCTTCCCGGTTCCAGTTTGTTCACATTGCCTTCTTGCAAGCTAAAAAAAAAAAAAAAAAAAGGAAGAGAAGGAAGGAAGGAAGGAAAAAAGGAGGGAGGGAGGGAGGAAAGAAGGAAGGTAGGAAAGAAGGAAGGAAGGAAGGAGAAGGAAGGAAGGAAGAAGGAAAATTTTTGAATGTGTTATCCATACTTTTTATAAAAGCCCATCGTTTTTTGTTACATCAGGAAGCCTGTGAAGGGGCTGAGAGCCTTGGGAATCATAATAGCAACATAATGAAAGCAAGTCAGGATTTAGTTATTCTGCAGTAAAAACACATTTTTGCTTAATATCATTTAAAACAAAATGTCATTTTTGCAAAATGTAAGGAAGTACTACAGAGCATCAGAACAATCTTATGAGACTCCCATATAATTTTTAACTGGTTTACCTCCTTCCTAATTTACTAATGAAAAGGATTATAAAACACGACCATGTTATACCTTCTGTCCTTTTTTGAAAAGTAAAATTGAATCTCTTTTATAATAAAATCGAAAGGGTAAATTAATGACTTTCATTCCCCCTCCCCCCGCTCAAAAAAAAAAAAAAACTTTTTTGATGAAATGACCTTGATCTAACCTGTTCTGTCTATGGGCTTTAACAGCATCAAGAGTATGTCTAACAGGGCGTGAGCAGGATAGTGATATTTTGGCATAAGAGCCCTGGTGTCCCCAGTGGCTCACAGTGGGAAATCTGCCAGTCTTCAATACCTGATTTCTGTCTCAGGCAGCCTTCCTTCCTGCTGAAGAGATCTGAGACCTGCAAAGTAGAACGCTAAGTCTTTCCCTGACATCTAGTGTCAACGTGTGAAATGAAAGACTGGAAATCAGACACCCACTAGGACAAGGATTTTAATTTATTTGTTAACTGGGTTAACGAGTAGCATTCCTCAAGGTTGCCTCTTGGTCTAGTAACCCTGAGAGGTCCATCAGGGAATAGCCAGCAGATTCCCTACCTCACAGCCCCCAGACAGAAGGGGTGGAGAGGCACCTGGGAGATGAAAATGCATCACTTTTCTCATTGTACAAGATCCCTTATTGATCCAAGACTGATATCACATCCTCTGTGCTTATGTATCTCCTGGCTGAAAAAAGTCAGAAATCATTGCTTATATCTTAATAAACTGTCTTATCCCAGGTTCTCTTATTCAGAGTCCTCTCCAACCCACTCTTCTGCCTTCTCATGACCTTTTTACTCTTGATTTTTCTGGCATATGAAATTTACACAGAATGCACAATATAGGTCAACAGACGCCAATGCAAAAAAAAAAAAAAGTAGGAGACGCTTTTAACTTCTGTTTTTCAACACTTGCTAGCACCAAGACACAATGATGCACTTCCATTTTTTGGCAGAGGGGTCGTTGGGTCCTTCTCACATTTTAGTTTTTTAAGCATCTCAGCAGATGGCACCATTAATGTACAGACAGTGCTTGAATAACGTCGTCGTTTTGTTATAACATTGATGAGAAAAATAAAATATCTTCCCAGGTGGAGCCACTGTCTGTGTGGAGTTCACACACTTTCCCCATGTCTGTGTGGGTTTCCTCTGGGTACTCCACTTTCCTCCCCCATCCCAAAGCTGTGCACATTAGGTGAACTGGCTTGTCTACGTGGTGCCAGTGTGAGTGTGGGTGTGGGTGTGGGTGTGGGTGTGAGCGCATCCTGTGGTGGGATGGTGTCTTGTCCGAGTTCACCTTGTGTCCTGAGCTGCTGCAGGAGGCTCCAGCAATCCAAAACTGAACTGAACTGAAATAATTGGGTAATTAATTATCTTATTTTTATTAATCTTTCTTAATTGTCTGTATAGCTTATATTTATTTCAACGTTTAAGAAGTGTTTTGGTCTTTATTTAGAAGTTTGGTAGTGCTTTTGTGGCTTGAAATAGGCCACAGGACCTTAACTCTTATTTATCTCAATTAGCGTGTGATCAAATTGGCTTTGTTGTATGTGGTTACACTTGAAGTTGCAGTTTCCAAGAACCTATTGGTGACTGGGCACGGTGGGAACTCCAGGTACTCTGGAGGCTGAGGCAGGAGGATCCCTTGAGCCCAGGAGTTCAAGACCAGCCTGGGTAACATAGTGAGACTCTTTCTTAAATTAAAAAAGAGAAAAACCTCGATAACATTAAGTGAGGACTTCATGTAATCAATATTTAATAGTATTTGATAAAGTGTCTTTGCTCTGAAAAAGCATTGGTTTTTTCAGAGCATACCAATACCATACCAATACCATACTGTCAAAAATGTCCAGAATCAGTGGCTTCTGTACTGCAGGGACTGTAGGAAATTAGAATTTTCCAAGAAAATTGGGGGTGGGGTGGGTGTAGGGCACCTTCCTGAGAATGAGAATCATCAACATCAAGGGAAGGATGAAAGCCTACGGTGGTCAGTTCATGCCTTTCTCCAGGCAGCCCACTGAAATCATTCCAGAATGGTTGAAATTCTGCTGTGATGATGCGTCTCCTTAGATTACAGGGCACTTCATCAATAACCCATAACAGACCTATAATAATACAACAACGTTCCTTGCCAATAAATTCCCACTCTATACCCTCTCTTCCCAATATTTCAGTGTAAGCCCATTTCTCCTTCAGTAGAACCTAGGATTCTTTTATCCTTTCATTGGTCTAATGTAATGTTACTCAGTGTCTATGAACCAGGCAACGTGTCTGGTTCTGGGAAAACAGAGGAGACAAAAGTCCTAGAACAAGCACTCAAGTTACTTACAGTCAAAGGAGGTGTGCTTGGTGTTGATTGGATTATGTCTCAGAAGTCTGTGTGATCTGGCTCTAAGTCACAGCCCCTCAAACCATCAAACCATCATTTATTTGCCTGAAAGCCCTGAAGTCTTATAAGGTTCTCCTGGTTGCCCTCTTCCTCCCCTCTGCCTTTCAAAATAATCGTTATTACATCTGGCAGGAGGTTCTCCCCCCATCTGAGTGCTCCTCACAGGTTAGTCTGTAGGTTGGCCAGGTGAACCCGCAGTTAGCGAGCAGGGAGTAGAGAAGGGGCCGGAAGAGCCAGCTCCTCCCTCTGTGATTGCAATGCCCCTAGACCACTGGAGCAGTGTGGTGTGTATATTCTCTCTGCCATCATGACTCGAGACTCGCATCTGAACTTGTCCTAGAAAGTATCACATAGCTGTCTCAGGTAAGCAGCAACAGAAGTGCTGTCTATGTGTGTGTGATGGACAGGCTGCAAGAAGTCTCCTCCAATGCGTTTGTACATTTCTCCTGATTGCCAGCCTAATCAGCAGCTATAAAACAGGAGCACCATCTAAGAGCAGACTTCTTAGCTCAAGTTTTGGGAAATTAGTCTATTTTTTGTAACAGGGAGGGGTGGATATAAATAAGGAAAAGACTAAAAAATTAATAAACACTAAAGATCAACAACTGCCATAAAACAGCAAAAATATCCCAGAAGACTTTTTCCTTTATTATTTTTTCAGGAGTGAAATTTCAAGTTAGTATATGTAAATATCTTACTTGGTGGAACATGATGAATTTGTTTAAAAAAGAAATGACGAGAATTGTTGCTGACCTCATTGGAAGAAATGGCTTTTGTAAAATCTTTTTTATTTTTGTATTTCAAATTTGGTTGCTCTGGAATACATGTCTGTGAGCCAAATGGCACTGAGAAAGACTCTGCCCTTGAAATTTAGTATTAAGAGATTCTTAACGGTTTTTAAAGGCAGTTTAGCTCTTTTTTTTAAATTTTATTTTCATCCATTTTGTGGTCCAAAGGCTGTCCTTTGACAAAACAAACTATGTTAATCATCATTAGAAAAGTTAGAGAAAGTCAATGGTAGAGAAGAAAATTCAGACACTAATGGTGAATTACCTACCACCTTTTTAAGTGGCCTGATATTTATCACCATACATTTAGGGTATATATGGCAAAGACAGAAACTTAGACCCACAGGGAGAAAGAAAATTTATAAACAACTAAAGTTCAAACCATGCAATTGGAAAAACAGCATCTGTCCCTCTCATTGAAGGCTTCTCATAATTTACTGCAGAGTAACAGCAAGTATTGATTTCTGCCCTTCAGCTTCTTGAACTGTCATTTATCACTGTTTACCTCCCACAAACTTCGTGTCAGAAAACCACTGTTCATCAGGCTTTTTCATAACAACACATAAAGAGCTACAGAAAAAGCGGAGACTTCAACTAGCTTCATTCTGGCATCTCAATGCCTTCCTCGGCCAATCAGTGTTCAGGTTCCTCCTAGAGCCCAGTTTTCCTCTCCAGGGCCAAATAGTAGATTCTACACAGGAGATCCTGGTAGAAATTCTTTCCTTACTTCTGGCTCCATCCAAATATTTCTTTTTTTCCAGCGTTATGAGGCTTTCTAGGCTGTCTGTGAAGAGCTTCTTTGAGAAGACAATTAAACTTTCTGTGTTAAGAGAGTAGCCAAGTCTCCAATCCCTTCACTAAAAGCATTCCAGAGATGTCCCAGTTTCGTCAAAGGGCCTAGATCCATTATCATCTACAGATTAAGTCCATTCCTTGTGAAACTCATTTAATCAAATTATTTGGTAGAATCATGGTGCTAGAAAGATCTTTGAGAAATCCATTGGTAAAGCCTCAAGCTCTCAAAACATTCGACGCCCAAAATAGAGGAGAAAACAGCTGTCTTTCTAAGGAAAAATTTCAAAGAACTGGGAGAGGCTGCCTGGAGTTCCGTTTGGGGGATTTTATATGGCTGGCCCAAGCCCTGCAGGAAAAAATGTTGTGATTAATTAGTAACGATATAGGAAAGGGTAAAAGGTTGATTCTGGCCTGACTTATCCAAAACGAGGCATTTTCTCTTCTTTTAGCTTTGCTCGCAATCTTTCTCCATCATATGTTGTTTCTGTTAACCATGTCTTATAAAAACCTTGCAGAATCACGCTCTACTTTAGTCTTCTCTTCTGGAAACAGCAACAAACCTTTTTATCTTTCATCCTGGAACCTATTATCCAACCCTTTAATCATCTTGGTTGCTTGTTTCTGCAATCACTCTAATTTCTTCACATCTCTTTGAACGGTGGTGACCAACACTGAACATAGTACTCTATAACTCAGACCATAATCTGACTAATGCAGAATCTAAAGGAATGATTGCCTCTCATCTTCATATTTCTTCATATGTCCTGGTATTACATGGGGTTTTTCATAATATTCTTTGATTTACATCCATGACAGGTCACTGTTACCTGTGTTCAGACATCATTCCAGATCTCTTGCTAATGAGATTGTTCAGAGATTTCACATCAAAATAATTTGCCCAATGGAAGTCTCTGTTTTGAGGGATAGGGAAGTTTGCACAAACGTAAAAGATGTTTTTAAAAAAAGAAAAAAGACAGCCATTTTAAAACTAAAGCAGATGTTTAAAATGTTGAAAAGGGAAATTTAGTAAAAGGCCAACATTTTTGAAAAGCAAATTTTAGCAAATTAGATATTTTAAACAAGAAGTTTCATGGGATACTAAATTAAAACTCCAAGTGTGTCCCAGATCCATGCCCTGTCCTCCCATCACCCTCCCATGTCCACCCCTACAGGATCCAGGTTGGAACTAACACAAGGAGAAAGTGTGATGCTAATTTGGGGGAGCTAAAATTGGTAATAAAACAATTTAAAAGTAAAATTTAAAACAAAAGACAGCTGAATTCAAACAGATATAAGGTCAGTCCCAAGTGAGTTGACCCAGGCTGATGGAAGTGCTATGAAAAGCTTACCTAGCTAGAGGCTAAATGTGGGAAATGTGCAGCCTCCTAGAGACTTACATTTGTGGGTGCTCTGGGGAACCCCCAGGATCCCTCTGGAAAGTAACCCTTCACAAGTAACCTAAGACATCTTTAGACTAAGGAGCAAGATACTTAAATGTCCAGCCAGCTCCTTGTACTTAACATGTCTAGATCTGAGTTTATAATCTTCCCCCTCAAATTCTTCCTCCAGCTTCCCTCTTTTGTTCATGGCGTGGCCAGTTCCCCCAACTCCAGTCTGGTAAATCAGAGTAATCTTTGTTGCCTTCTCCCTGAAATCTTGCTGAATCACATGACATCTAAATCATACCTTTTGTATTATATTCATCTCTTCCATTCCCATCCCACCCACTTTGTCCAGTTCTTATTACCTCTTCCCTCAAGTACTACAGTAGCCTCCCAACTATTTCTCCACCTTCTTCACTTCTCCTGCAACCCCCTGTATAATCTGCCAAATTCATCCTTTCAGAGCACATTCCAGTTATATCATTGCTCAAAAACGTTTTAGGAATTCCCATTATCCTTCCAAATCATTGTGAAATTCCTAACCCTGAGAGTCAAGACCTTCTGCAGTAAAGCCCCCAGTCTACCTTTCCAAATGGGTCACTTGCTCCAGCCAGCTTTTCCATCGCTATGATTTCGTTGGCTGATCTTTCAACTTCCAACTTCTTTACAACTTCCAACATTTTATTCACCCTTAAAGTTCATCTTAAATGTATGCACAGCTGGATGAGGACCAGAGCCTATTCAGCTACTTTAAATAAATGCAATGCTCTAAAGCAGAGGTCATTCTGCCCAGGCCTAAGGGCTGTACTACTTAGGAAACCCATGGATGTTTTAGGAGAATTTTATGAAAAAAATATATATGTGTACACTTTTACAGAGAGGGCTTTAATCACTTTTAATGACCCTAAAAATAGTAACAGACAACCCCCAGAGGCACATTTCCTCCCTTCTCTCTCAGCATCAATGGCACTCCGCCTGCATTGGAACCACCTGTCCAATTCCCCGAAACAGTGAGTGCCACAGGGGACCGGTTCTGTCACCCGTGATGATGTGTCCCAGCACCTTCCCCAGCCCTTCTCACACAATTATATTGAACATCTGCTAATTGCCAGGCATCCTGCTAAATGCTGAAGGAAAGGAAATGAAATATGAGTTCCCTGCCCTCTTGTAGCTCATGGTCCAGTGAGAGAAGCATGCAGTTTAACCCACTATTCAAATATTCTGTGACAAATGCTCTGATGAAATACACATATGATATTATGTAAACATTGACAAAGCTCATTTCAGTAGGGCCTGGGGCATCAGGCCACCCTTTTGGAGATGAGGAATGTGCT
Organism: Homo sapiens; assembly: GCF_000001405.40. Lineage (NCBI taxonomy): Eukaryota > Metazoa > Chordata > Mammalia > Primates > Hominidae > Homo > Homo sapiens. The sequence continues at coordinate 13,223,330 of NC_000012.12, read as the reverse complement.
CTGATCCTGTGAAATCAGGATGAGTTAGCCGGATACCAGGGGAAGGACCTTCAGAAAAACAAATGACATGTGGGGAAAACCCCCACAACATGGTATAAGTGTGTGTTTTAGCCCTGGGATAGAGTGGCCATGGGGGAAAAGGCAGCAATAGACAAGTTCTGAATTTTATCCTGCACAACCTGAAGGAGAAAATGAAGGATTAAAAGCAGGAGAATGGCACGCTCATATTTGCACTGCAAGAAAATCAGTTTTTGCAACAGAGTGGAAAATTAGTTGGAGCAGTGAATTCTTATGAGCCTATTCAGCTACTTTAAATAAATGCAATTAAAGGTCTAAACTAAGATCACACTGAAGGGAATGGAAAGAAAGGGAAAGAATCTAGAAATATTTGGGAATTAGAATCACCAAGATACAGTTATTAATTAAATGTGAAGAATGGGGGAGAAGGAGGAATGGTGAGTGACGCTTGGATATCTGGCCTGTAATTCTAAGTGATAGGTGGCTATTTCCTGAGATGGGGAAGTCAAAGAAAGGGAGGAGAACTTCAGGGGTTCAGTTGAATTTGTAGTTCTTACGGCCCTGGCTTCAGAAAGCTGATCTGAGTCTAGATGCAGTTTTTGGATTCATTCCAATATAGGTGATCATTCATTATAGGAATTTTAATTAAATCCCATGCAAAATACAAAGATACAATAAGCAGCAGGCAAAAAAAAAAAAAACAAAAAGGTACAGGCTAAGAGTGCCCATTGGATTGGAGAATATAAAGTGAATCTTGATCCTCAGCAGAGCTATCACTTTGGAGTGCTGAGGGCAGAAGCTGATTGGCTCCAGGGAGGCCCGAGGTGAGGGAGTGGGAAGAGAGGCCTGAGCCTTGCACCCTTAGATCAGGCGGGAGGCCTTCTCTAGGCCTGTGCTTTCCTGGCTTTGCTCCAACCCTCCTCCAGCCACACCCTCCCGGGGGCAAGAAGTCCTTGGGCTCAGGACCAAAGGAGCACACCCACCTGGAGGCCACACCCTGCTGCCAGACTGCATTTTGATTGCTCGTGCTGCCAAAGTCCCTGGCCAAATGTCCTCATGCTCATGACTAAGCCCCTCTCCCTGGGCCTGTCAAATAGAGAGTGGACTGTGTTATGGGATGGCCTATGAGATGGCCCAGGGGCAGCTGTCTGCAAGATGGGGCATGGGTGAGGGCTGTTCTCAGATGTGTGGGCCGGAGTACCCACTCATATGCACTCCGTGTCTCTCATGGTGGGAGATGGGGCAGAGGAGGAAGGGAGAAGAAAGTCAAGCTATGAGCAGAGAGCCTGACACCCACTCCCCCAGTAAGCCGACTTCTACCCCAGGACTACAAGGAGTCTGAGTTTTTTCAATTTAACCTGACCTTCTAGGTATTTCTATCAAGGTAGGACAATAGAACACTTTTATTTAATGGCTTGTTAACTTGATATTACAACTTTCAAATATGTAGATATATGGTGTGCCTCTATGTGAGCTCTTACCCTTGACCCCAGAGACAGGGCCTGGTGGAGACGGATAATAAGAGACCAAGAGGCAAAGTATTAGTATAGAGAGGAGTGATTTTTTTGTTGTTGTTTGTGTGTTTTCTTTTGCTTAAGATATGGTAAACTTAAGCATATTTTACCCACAAGACAAAATCTCCAGTAGAGATATAGGGAGAAGAAGAATAACAATAGAGCATCCTTGAAGAGCTAAGAGAGCACAGCCTTCTGGCCAGGCACGGTGGCTCACACGTGTAATCCCAGCACTTTGGGAGGGCCGAGGTGGGTGGATCACTTGAGGTCAGGAGTTGGAGACCAGCCTGGCCAACATCTCTACTAAAAATACAAAATATAAAATTGAGCCAGGTGTGGTAGCACACGCTTATAATCCCAACTACTTGGGGGGCTGAGGTAAGAGAATTGCTTGAACCCAGGAGGAGGAGGTTTCAGTGAGCAGAGATGGCGCCACTGTCCTCCAGCATGGGTGACAGAGCAAGACTCCATCTGGAAAATAAAAAAGAGCATGGAGTTCAAAACTGGTGGTAGTGGGTGTTAGCTCCAGAAATTAGGAGCCACGCACGTTCCTCTGAATTAGGAAGAGTGGTTCTGGGGAATAAGGACGTCCAGGGTAAGGTCAAGAGAATGACCGGCTGAAATGAACCTAAGCTGAGCAATGAATAATTGTCTGCATTTATCTTTTATCTGTCCTTCCAGGAGCTCTGACAAGTACTAAATACAATGAGACGTAAAGAATTTAAATTATTCTGGGGAAAGAAATTAGTAGTCAGTTCTGGTATGCCATGTTGAAGTAAATTTCATAAGTGAGTATATGGAAAGAAATCTGGAGTTCAATATCACTGCCAGAATATTGCCTTGCTTTTTTAAAACAAGGTGACTAAATGTCAGACTAATTAGTGTAATCCATTTCACCCATAAATCTAGCACTATAATTCTCAAACTTGATTTTGCAACCCTAGTAACCTCAAGAGCTACTGCAAAACTATATCCAAATACTCAAAACAGGTTTACTTTTGATTCACCTTAAAAATTATAAGGACACATGTGCTCAATGTCAGCTTTTTATAAGACAGAGGAGAAGTGGTGAAATCAAATTAAAAATAGTACGATTTCATAATGCCCAAAAGCCTGTAAATGTCTATACTAAGGAGTTGGAATCATTCAAAATTCCCAGATAAACTGAATTTAAGCATTGATACATGATATGGTTTGGCTGTTCCCCCACCCAAATCTCATCTTGAATTGTAATCCCCCAAATCCCCATGTGTTGAGGGAGGGACCCCGTGGAAGGTGATTGGATCATGAGGGTGGTTCCCTCATGCTGTTCTTGGGATAGTGGGTTCTATAAAATTTATGGTTTTATAATGCAGTTTTCCCTTCTCTTGCATGCTCTCTCTCCCCTGTCACCATGTAAGACGTACCTCTTCCCCTTTTGCCATGATTATAAGTTTCCTGAAGCCTCCCCAGCCATGCAGAACTGTGAGTCAATTAAACCTCTTTTCTTTATAAATTACCCAGTCTCGGGTATGTCTTTATAGCAGTGTGAAGACGGACTAATACAATATGCTAATGCAAGTGGGAAAACTAAGATTGATTTTGGAATGAAACATGCAGTCTCAACTTAAGAACACCCAATTTACAAAACTATATATATCCAGACAGAGTCATACTGAATGCCATGTTCTCCCACATCAATGTCAAATGCTTAGCATGGCCAGCAAAAAGCTGTTCCTTTGCTGTAATGCAACCGTGTCTTCTGAATATGGATCCATATTCACTTTCCATCTTATCCTCCATCAGACACACTCTTCTTTTCCTAAAGCATTTGCAGGGCAACAGAGGGTTCCAGGTTTCAGAATTTAAACAGTCGTATCTCATTGAAAATAAGTTTAATGATTATTAAGTTTCCAAGCTAGATTACAGAAGTCTTTTTAGCCCATATCATAAATAAAATAGTTCTGAATTTTTCGTATGGAAAAATATACTCTGAGTTCCAAGCAAACAACTTAAGAAAATTTTTAGAACTAACACATTCCTATATTGGGAAGAGCTCAAAAGTCTGTTCTTCCTCCCCATCCACTGTTGTTTAATTAATCTCTTAATATCATAAAGTCCCTCATGTGCCAAGTGTAGACAGTCATTTTTGAATCAGGGCTCACTTTGTTAGCTTTTTTGTCAATTAAACCTCTTTTCTATATAAATTACCGAGTCTCAAGTATGTCTTCATAGCAGTGTGAAAACAGACTAATACAGGAATTTGGTACCAGGAGTGGGGCATTGCTATAAAGATACTTGAAAGTGTGGAAGCACCTTTGGAACTGGGTAACGGGTAGAGGTTGGAAGAGTTTGGAGGGCTCAGAAGAAGACAGGAAGATGAAGGAAAGTTTGGAGCTTCCTGGAGACTTGTTGAATGGTTTTAACCAAAATGCTGACAGTGATGTGGACGATTAAGTCCACACTGAGGTGGTCTCAGAAGGAGATGAGGAACTTATTGGGAACTGGAGTTGCCAATAGATCAGCAGTTAACCAGAAGCTTGAGTTGAGTATGGACCTGACATATGGATAGACATATTGACATCTTATGCTAGTGTTCTGGCCCTCCCTGCCCCGACAGTGATAGAAGCATCCATCAACGCCCATCCTGACATCAGCATAAAGCACAGGTTGGAGAGATTGTAGATAAAGGCAGAGAGGCTATTATAATGCTTCTCACCTCCAGTTCCCCAGATGGAAGACAAGGAGGCCCTGGAACAAAGGAATGGCATTTGGGACAAAGTGATGTTGGCAAGTAAGAAATGCAGCAGTGGTCCAACCCACAGGAGATGCCAGACAATTGCTCATGGCATGAGATAGGGTCATGAGGAAAAGCTGAAGAACTGAAAATCTTTCTTCTTCCCTCCCTAGGCATTCATGCTCCCACCTCATCTACATCCCACAGATCCTCCATTTTCTCTAGGTATGAGATTTATTTCCAAGCTAGACTGAAAGCTGGAAGAAGATGGGACACATGTCTGCTTCATTTTCTATTTCCCCAGCATGTAGGTGCAGCACCCAGCCCCTAGTTGTTTATCAATTATAGGTCTTGATGGTCATGTCCCCAGCCTCCCGCCTCAGGAGTAGGCTTCACATGTCTCCCTTTCAGAAACAAAGCCACGTAAGACTCCAAAACCCCGCCTTCCCTTGGGCTCCACACAATCAGCATACATCTTTCCTTATCTGTTTTGTGCTCTGAAAATCGTGTCTACCTCCAAATGATACATCTTTAAAGTGAGTCACCCCTCCTCACAATCTACTCCAAAATTTCCAACAAGTTTTCTTCTTTTCATTCTTCCTCCCACCAGCCTATCCTATTCCCTTCTCTCCCCCCACAAAATCTAGCTCTTCTTTAAATACATTTAAACATTTTCGCTAGGACATTTCATCTATACAGGATATGCTATATTCTAACTATTTCTTAGTAAACATTGAAGGGAGTTTCTTCCTTTATTCAAGTATGGAACCCTGCTCAATATCCTTTTGGTCTTCATATGCCTTCTTTCAAGGCCTTTGTGAAATTTTTTTCCATGCCTGAAAGCCGGTGGGGTTTTACACAGGGACTGCGATGGCTAAATCCAAGGCAGAGTGGGATCTTTATCTATTAACCATTTGATAACTCAAGTTTATCCCTTGATGAATGAATAAGTTATCATTTGCCTTTGGGTCCCATTCTTGAGTGGTCATGGAGAGTTCTGTAGCTCACCCTCTTTATACTCATAATTTGCACAAATTTCACCTAAGAGTATTTACTTAACCACTTTAATTCAATTTGTCTCTACCTAAGACATTTAATTCAACAAATATTTTTTAAGCTTCTCTATAAAAGGGACTCTGGCAACTTTCAGACCCGCACTGTAGCACCAGCTCTCTGCTGGCCCACCCCTTGCAGACTTTGGGCTTGCCTGCCTTCAAAATCATGTGAGTCAATTCCTTAAAATAAATATATTTTTATTTATTTATATATATGTTTGCACACACACGCGAATCTTATTTTTTCTGTTTCTCTGGAGAATTCTGACTAATGCACCCCCATTCACCATCCAGGCTTTTGAGGAGAAAGATACCAATCTTAGCAGCAGAGGACACTCTGGATAGAGCTAGGAGTTTGTTGCAGAGTCTGACAAAAGTTCCCTCTGCAGAAGGGATGGAAGGATAGCCTTGGGGGTTGATTTAGGACTGGGTGTATGACATGGGGGAAAAGAAATCCCTGGGGGAGCTAAATGAGGGGAGGTGGACCCCTTATGATAGTTTATCAGAGCAATCTAAGAAATCATGTAGGCCTCTAAGAAAGCATCAAGAATCAATGCAATTTGATTAATTGACTTAAAATATGTTGAACTTTTCAGCCTCCATTGTGTATTTTTGGTGCAATACTCTGTGCAACTATTTCATCCAAGACCAGAAGGGGCTGGAAGATTGCCTGCTTCACATTAAAACCCTCCTTATTGTATTGGTGCTGACACGACACAAGGATATGCAGTCTTTATCCAGTCCTTATTGCTCACAGAAAGATACCAGTCCTTACTGCTCACAGAAAGTAGTGAAGCCTCCCTTCACTCACAGAGCCCACACAGGTATGCCCTGGTTTATGTAATGAATGGGCTGCTACAAATAGGTGTGATGCATGCCTTTGTGAATCACTTTATATTTTGAAGACACATTAGAGGAGCTGGCTATTTCAAAGAAATTTCACAAGTGCCTCATTTCTTAATGTCACAAGCATTTCTGATTTATAATCATAACCCCTTTCTAATGTATTAGCTTATGAAGTTCCATTTTTTGCCTAAGAGGTTTAATCAAAGCAAGATAAAACTATGCTTAATAATATTCAGTTACCTGAAAGAGCTATTGCAGAAATGCCTAATATATTACCAGAAAGTAGCTTAATGTCTCAAATAAATGTCAAGTTGTCCAAATCAAACTGATAGGCAGCTTAATGAGGGATAAATGTCATAATTATCCATATTTCTCCACATTTTTTTTAGAAAAAAACATTCACACAATGAAGGGAATCAGAATCTGTTTTTATATCCCTAGAGTTATAAACATTTGTATCAAAATATTTACAATTATAGTATATGAAATAATCTATTAACGAAGAAGCCCAATACAGTACTAGAACAATCCACCAGAGTAATGCAAATTACATGAGACATAAATGTCACAGAAAAAAAGTAAAAGATAAGGGAATACATGGTTTACTCCAGTCATAGTTCAACTTCTTAACAAAATGTGAGTATTCCCTTTGGATATGTCTGAAATGTAAGTATGTTTTTTGCACTAAGACAGCCTTCTATAATCATGTGATAATGAAATCATAATGACAAAGTTCATCTTCCCACAGTTTTTGCTGGCCAATCTCTCTAACCTCAGCCTAGGTAATTTGGTGGCTTGCCCTCAACATTTCCTTAACTAGAATAAACATAGAGAAATAGAATTAGTAATAATCCTTTTACATAAATACCAAAAATCATGGCATAACAACTCCCCAAAAAGGAAAGGTATAAAAGAAATGGATGAGGAGAAAGCTAATAAAGAAAAGTAGGCAAGATGTCTCAGATTCTCCCTGGGGTAGATCTTCTCAGGGCGATAAAGAAAACGTCTTCCCAAAAAACCCCTTTAGACAGAATCTGAGATGGCTTAAAATAGCTGCTCCAGGGCAAAGCAATGCCTGCTTAACCAGGAATAACATACTACTTCTAAGTCCTGTATAGAGGTGCTCCTGCGGCAGCAGACAGCTCGTCTACCATCTGACTAGGTACCACAAGAGTTTTTGCTTTTTTATTTTAAAGAAAAGATCTGCCCATCACCTATATTTTTATTTATCTCATGGGATTTTCGTATTTTCCTGGGAATGCAGGCACTCTGTTCTTATCATGGCTGAAATACGGTAGGCTTAATACTTCACAATTATATAGCACCTTTCACCCAAGGGCCTGTTGTTTGGTTTTGGTTTATGTGTGTTTTAATCAGCTTCCAGAATTGCCATGCCTCACCTGTGAAGTGGGATAGGCAGGGTCCCCAAGAGGTGATCACTCCAGGTGGTGTCTAAGCCAGAGCTACCACTGAGCCTAGGAGCCCTGATCCTCAATATTGATAATTAGACAAAACTTCCTCAAAAATGTTAGAGGAAGAGTAATAGGATTGTGCTACAATGAGCCATGTCCATCTCTCTCCTGTTGTATACTTAAAAGAAACACTGACTGCATTGAGGGGAATCCTAAAAACATAACCCTAACATGGCACTGTTGCAAGACTGCCCCTTGGATCCCATAGTTTGTGTGGTACTTTTACCACCGAATTGTTCACTAGTGACTTTAGAGAAACTCCAGAAGAGCTGCCTTGGCTTTCAGCAAGAGGCCTAGCAAAGACCATGGCATGAGGTCTCCATGAGGGACAGCCGTGTGTGAGGTCTCGACTGGGCTCTGACCATCCCCCAGGTTTTCCATTGTGAAAAGGTCTCCTTCTTGGTTTAGCTAACCCACCAGCATGACCTTACAAACTCTCTTTCCTCCTCCCATTTTGTCACTGAATTCCACAGAGCTAAATATCTGTTCCAAAGAGGGACAATGGCTCACAGGCCAAAGCCCCCCAGTAGGCACTTCAGACTGGAATGTGATGTTTTGCTTTGGGTCAGAAGGGCAGGATGGCTTCCAGGCTTAGCGTATTCAGCACAAAGACAGTATCTGCTCTTGCCAGAACTTGTACCGCTATTTTAACTCAGTGCAGTAGGTCTGTGGACCTCAGTGCATGACCCAGAAGTGGGGCTGGTGTTGTGGCAGCTGATGGGGCCCCAGACAGTGTGTGTCACTAAGAACAGCTGGAGGCCAAGTCTGGTGGCTGCAGGGAGGCTCTCTGGACCCCATCAAGGGAGCATCAAAGTACTAGCCAACTACTTTCTCCCCAGGGCAGGGGCTTGGCAGTAGAGAATCCCCTCAGTAATGGTTTGGGATTTGACCTCCCCCCTTTGCTTCCCCCTCCCCCCTCCCCTATCTCGGTTTTTCCTGTACAGCAACCTCCACTTCCCTCCCAGATTCAACGGCTTCCTCCTCCCCACCCCCCAGATCCCCATGAACTCGTCCGGCCTTATTTCTTTCTCAGGACCAGATAGAGAACGCCGATGATGAAGCTGAAGCAGAAGCAGATCCAGCCCAGGATGTAGGAATAGCCGTGGTGATACTGCGTTCCATCACGATTCGCATAATGACTAGTGTAGATGGACACCCCCACAAGAATGCACAGCCCTGCAGGGGAAAAGGAGATTTGTCGGTGTGTTTTCTTACATTAAAGTCGAGAAAAAGTTTTACTAATTTTAAGAAGATCCTATTTCCCTCATTAGCAATAGGAAAATGAATTCTGCTTGTTTGTCCCTAAACAGGAGTTCTGATGGATGTCCCCTGGGCCAAGCTCGACGGTATGTTGATAAATTAGAGGTGTCTGGGCTCTCATGTCTGCACTGGTTTGTGTGGCCACGCTGTGATGTAAAACACAGAACCTCATGCCTACCACCCAGCTGTCCTGTCTGGCCCTTGTGGGTCTAGGAAAGCTACTCAGGGATGCAAAAGAGCATGTCCTTCCACCAAACCGAGTATATTGGGAAAGAACAACAATTAAGTGAGAATCACAATAATGATGTGCATTGTGGCAGTGGTTTCATCTTTCTGAGAACTCCTACCTTTCTGCCTTCTTGAAGTGTCTTGTACACACGTGCTACTAACAGATATGCACTGCCACTTGGTAGCTACCCAGGAGCACTGGTTTTGAACAATGAAGCAGATGAGGGTTCTTAACCTAAGCAGCAATCCAAGGTTCTCCACAAGAGAACAAATAACCAGAGGAGAAAATTGCACAAGGAAGTTTCACTGAACCATGTGCTAATCTGTTCAAGTTGCCAGAAACACCCATGGTAAGATGGACTTAAAAGTGTAAACTGGAGTCTACCCATGAGATACTCACAGCACACCAGTGTGGTGGCCCCTGAGAGGAAGAACCGGTTTCCCTTCTCCATGGTGAAGAGCTGGAACACGAAGACCAGGAGGGCAATGACACAGAAGATGATAGAGAGAATCATGAAGGCCTGCACTGTCTTGAGGGCATCTGTAGACACAGGACGAGGAGAACAAGGGCATGAGGTCACTCCAGGGGCTGAACATTCCCTGACCACACCTATTGTCAGCACTGGGTCAATATCTTTATATATACCTTCACTGGCATATGACAGGCTGTCACTGCAGCTAATGTTGGTACAGTTTTTCCAAAGACCTACTGATGCATCTACCGTATTGGAAACCAACCAGACCTGAAACCAGAAGGAAAGAAAATGTTAATTGAAAGCTGGCCCTCTGATTTAAAAATAAAATAACAAATCAGCTTGCATCGGGATCAGATTTTAATAAAGACATTCTATTTAGCTATAACTATGGCTATGCAGCTTATCTGTGGGCGGAAATAAGGTCCGATTAAAACTGAAGTTCACAAAGTTGCCAAGAGAAGAGACACAGAAGAATGTGAAACCCAGAAAGAAATCACCTAGCCCTCTTTGGGCTCCACATTCTTCACGACTTAACAAAAATGGAAGTAACTCAACCACAGTGGTTTAAAATTCTAAGGTTCTGAGAAACAGAAGTCCAGGATGAGGAAACTGGCTTAGGTATGTGCAGTTCATATACTCTAACAAGATTGTTTCATTTAAGTCCCTGGTTAACCAGGAAAAAAGTGAAATGTCCAACTGGAAACAATTAAGAAACATAAGACCTACTGGGAAAATAACAATGAATCTAGTGGTTAATAAGCCACTTTCATCTAAACAGAAGGATCAAACTTGACTGTCACAACATGCAAAGTAATTTGATAGTAAAATACTACAGCAAGTGCTTTCCTGTAGGGGCTACTAAAAGCTGAAGGGTGACCTGAATGGATTCCCCCAGACTGATCATGGTGCCGCCATCCCTTCCTGCCTGGCCCAAGAAAAGGAATTATCCTTCTGGAAGAGAAAACAAGTGCAGTGTCCTGTCTACACACACACAAATGCACACACTGGAAAGGTGGGGCCGGGAACATGCATCACCTACGCCAATCCCTGCTCTTCATTCAATAAACAACTGTGTGCCTAGCCTTATATTAGGGGCTGGTAATTCACAGATACGCAGCGCTTTGGCGCTCATTAATACACTTTGAAGAAGCTTATCAGATTTATCTGGATAGATATAGGAGTTGACATATAGAATGGCTAAATTACAAAACAAGGAGGTCACGTGGGCGGGGGTTGTCTTATCACAGTTATTCTTAATTAGCCTTGCTTATGATCACACCCACTAATGTTTGCAAAGCTCTTCTATCTGAACTTTAAAACTCACTTATACTTTAACTGTGATAGGGACCTAAACAGATTCTGAAACCATGGTTTGCCTGCCTAGTGATTGGTGGCCTTGGTTTTTAGGTCCAAGGAGCTGGCTTTTTTCTGAGAAAAGCACAAGTAAAAGCAAATTGGGCGCTGTAAGCCACCACTAGAGGTCAGAGTAGCCCAGGGTTCAGAGAGAAAAGACACTACCTCCATTTTTTTTTTCTCGTTTTGTCTGAGTTAGTTAATTCAGTGGCACTGGGTTAATCTTGCAAAACTCCACTTTCACATGCTACTCTTTGCTCAAAATTTGAATTTGTCAGTCTGGCATCCTCTTCTTCCCATCTATCCTTCTAATCAAGCTTCTCAGAAGGAGGGGAAGTTCGGCTCCAGCCACATAGGTGTGTGTCCTCCTTATCCTCTGACCAAAGCTTGTCCTTCCTACATATGCTCCTTTGCTAGCACTCCCACCTGAATGCATCCCTATGATCCTTCCACCTTCCCTCTTTCACTAAGAGAAACCTCAGCCATCTACCACTCCTCCAGGTTCACCTCAAGCTCCACTCACCCCTGCTGCTGGGAAGGCTCTTCTAGAGACCGAAGAAGCTGCACTAGATCCTCCAGCCCTTAACCACCTACAGCTCTGGCAGGATTACTCCTGTGGACATTCACTTTTATCCTCCTGTTATTTAATTGTTTGAAGGGCAAGCGTGTGTTTATTTTGTTTTCCCACAACTGAGCTGTAAGTTCATGAAGGGCAAGGGCTGTGGCTTAAACTTCTTTTGTGCACTTGATGTAAATATTCGAATGATTTCTCAATGAATGAATGAACAAAAGAACATTACTCACATTGGCAATGGTGCTAACAAATAGCATAATAACAGTAGCGATGTGGACCACAAAGATACCAGCCAGCAATACCAACATGTTGGCTCTTTTTTTTTTGGTAACTTGTGAGCAAAGAGAGTTCTGAAAAGAAAAAGAAAGGGACAAAAACGGTTACTGTCAGATTCAATAAGACGACTCAGCTTTCCCACACGTGTGGGCTATCTGCTAACATGAGGAAGAGCTGCACTAAAAACCATCACAATCTAATCATAAATTCCTGAAAACACCCCTGTAACCTAGTTCTGATTTGCCTAAGTGCCTATTCATCCAGTTATACATACCTACATGGAAACAGAATTTGGTTTCTTCTTGGGTATTTACATATTCATTTCTCTAATACATTCTATTTCAAAAAAGGAACAAGAACATTTTATGATAACTGTTCGTATTTTATTTTGTTTGTGTTTTAGAGGTTAAAAATAGGACTTTGATTTTCAAAGAAGTAGGCCTTTATAATTTCCAGGTCTCTGAACAATGTCATATAAATGTCCATTTTCCACTAGGAAAATGTCCATGCTTTCATCAAATTGCTCACCCAGCACTTTTAATAGAAGTAAATGCCTTCTGAAGAATAGCAGCTATTACTCAATGCCCATATACTGAATAGGCTACTAATATGATCCTGGGCGAGATATAAAATGTGAGAGGCACAATTCTATTATTATAATGCTGTTTGGTTTTCAATAATTATAACAACCTAATTACAGTTTAATGGTCTGGTCACCCTGTGACTGAGCATTTCAGACTAGTATTACTACACCTGAGCCTTTGGGCTCTGTGTGCCTCATGGCAGGAAGCCTGCCATTGGTCTGGGCAGAGAGTCATATTTTCCACAGCTCAATGTGATGGTTCTGGGGGCTTTAAAAGTAATGCAACTTGAGATAGCACCAAATGTGCCTTCTCCTTGTACATGACATTTACACAAATTCCAATCCTTCAGGACTCAATACAGAAGACAGGCAAATGCATAAATCACAGGGTGGGAGGATTGGGAACTAATATCGATTAAGAATGTGCATGGATAAACAAAAGCTTTCAGCCATAATCACAGCAGAGAAGGGAGCCCATTGATCATAAAGCCTAGGAAATAAAGGAAGTGTGAAGGATACACATGGGGGAGGCTATTCTGATTTATGTCAGCTACAGAAGGAGAGCTTTGTCATGCCTAAGACTGTCACAAAGCAGTGCAGGCTCAGAGGGACATCAAAAGGAAAGGGCTTGAGGTTATTCACACCCTAGACAGAATGGATGTGTGGATGCCCCAACCAAGGGAGGAGATGGCCAGGCGCATCCTGCAATTGTTCCACTGCCCTCTCTCACTCCACCTAATTTAATTGATGCTTTGAATGTGCTTGAGGCACTTTCATGCCACATCAGGTATTTATTAGAGAGCACTGATACTATAATTCCAACACTTCACATGCCTTTTATCTCCTCTCACTGTCTTTATCAGGCAACCAAAAATCTAGAGTGATCTAATATACATCAGGGTGCCTTGCTCTCTGCAAGCAAGGAATGAGAGGCAGACAATGGCTTCCACCATTCTCCCTGACCGTCTCCAACAGCCCCTTCCCAATCTGGCCACTTCCTTCCAACCCAGGCTGTTTTTTAGGAATGTGTCCAACTTAACTGTGAATGCAAAAATTATGACGTTTATCCTGCCTCTTCAGGGGAGAGGTTGGAGCTTTCATGTCTGCTATTAGTAATCCCCCCACACATTCAAATTCATTTTTGCTTTTCTCAGGTTCTAGCACACCTCCCCAATTTTCTGCTTGACTTAAATGCACAGTAAAAAGAGATTTTTGAATCAGACAGAGGATGAATTAGAATCATATCCAGTTATTTGACCGCTCATCTGTTTCCTCATTTAGAAAGTGGAAGTCGCAATGTCAATTGCAAAGGGAAATGTGAGGATGAATTCAGATTGTTTATGTAAAACACCTAGTGTCTGACACATGGCAGCTACTAATAATGGGGTTGCTTTAGCTGCGGTTATTATTATTACTATTATTCATAAGTGAAGCCGGGTAGCTGTTGCCAACCCAACCCAGTTACTCAATCGCTAGGCTGCCCCATGTTAAGTGCAAGTAATAAGATATCTGCTGTCTAGTTCACGAGGCAGGGTGTATACAATCCTTTCGGTCCTCTTAGAAATTGTCATTTGTCTAACCCTTGCCCCTTAAGGGGGGAGACCTCTAAGAGCACACCCTCAGGAAAGACCAGGAGAAAGTTCACTTTCTCAGCCCAACTTCCTCATACCTCCCAAGATTCACACCTCACCAGATCCTGATCTCCTTGCCCCCTATGGGGAAAGGAACAGGCTGATTGCAGGGAATTACAAATATTACATAACGAATACTTATGTTTAATCCTCCTCGGGCTCTTCAAATGACTTTCTTGTTCCTGTTGCTTCTAATTTACAAACATCCTCTTCTTAAAAGGGGGAAGGGCTGGAGGGGCCAATGACAGAATATAATCCACCAAGTGAGGCCACTTAAATGAGTCACAGAAAACATTCCCTCCCTGATAGGCTGTTGGGAATTCAGCAGCATTTTGTCTCCTTGGGTTGCTCTGTAACCCCTAAAGTCAAGTCTGATTTCCTCTGCCCAGCTCACACTCTCTGTCTCAATGACCCCTCCCACGGCACCTCTACCTGGGCCCATGCATCACAGCCCTGGTGGTGTGTGCGAGTGCCTGGCCCCTGGATCCACCTGACCATATGCCCTGCCCATTGCAGGCTGGAAGAATGGATGTGAGAATCAAGCAAAAGAGCGACTCTCTTTCATCTTAGATTTTTGTGATGGTGCCCTCCCTGTCTTTTCACCACGGAAAGAAGCAAAATGTCTTGAGTTAGCAAGCGGTCTTGTGCAAAACACACAGTTCTCTCTGTTTTTAGCTGCTGTATCCAGCCAGAAGGAGGGGCTGTTTAGCTTAAGCTACAACTTCTCCATCTTTTCACTGGCCCATTATTTGTCAGGTTTTACTAATATCATTCACTGTCAGTTTAGAGGGGCTTCCATTATTTTCAATGGCCTTCCCCCCAACACAGGTGAAAACAGAATGAGTTATCTTCTTGAGTTTCTGGGCTGAATCATCCCTAGTTACCCAGTCTTTACACTGTGCTAGATACCTCCTGCCCCCAGGGAAACCCTCAGTCTGGGAGGAGGCGATCACTGAGGTCTTTATGAAAAAGCCATTAGTGGTAACTAATGGGTAAATGTCTGGGCATTTATCAAATAGCAGAGTATAATAAACAGAAGAACCCCTGCTCCTGAAACTTCCACCCACCCATTACTTGCAAGGTAGCTTGTGGGGAGATTCATTCTCTGCCCCATTGTGAATCTTGCTTCATACAAAGGCACTGAAAAAAATACCATTTATGAGAATTTATACCATTGGAAGTATTGGTGGCTACTACTTATTTCTTAGCAGTGTGTTTCACTAAAACAATAGTAGACTTCTCCCTCAGCCCTCTCTAAAATGATATGGGTGGCACTCTCCAGTGGAAAGCATACCCCTAGTCCTAGTGAGGCAGCGCAAACCAAGATGCAGAGAATCACAGCATTGCAATTCTGAATACTTTGAAGCAAGAC
Source organism: Homo sapiens (assembly GCF_000001405.40). Classification (NCBI taxonomy): domain Eukaryota; kingdom Metazoa; phylum Chordata; class Mammalia; order Primates; family Hominidae; genus Homo; species Homo sapiens. Next base: position 13,207,956 of record NC_000012.12, on the reverse strand, counting down.
CCGCTTTTTGCAGAGCATTTGGTGCACTGAGCAGTTCCAAAGTTGTAGGGGAACGCTCATAACAGCGTTCATTTGTGGTGCTTAGACTCCCAGACCTAGGCCAGCAGAGCTTATCAATTCATTGCATTTTTAAAGAACAGGCCGTCCACTGACTTCTATGTGGATGCCAGGAACACATTTCTGTACCCACCACTGTGAGTGGAGGATGATCTCCTTCTTAAGCCTCATCTACCTAACATACATGGCACAGGGGCAGTTAGGGGCTGGGTGGGAAACTGAGGAAGGTATAGGACCCATGTATGTTGACTCTGGAGAGAAGTATTATTAAGAGAAATGGAGATCAGCACCTCGGAGCCACACACAGGTCTCTGATATCCCTTTTCTGTTCTTCTTTCTGCCCTAACGGACAGGCTTGCAGTTCCCTACCTCTGACCACCATCTTTTGTTTCTGATCACTGTTCCTCCTTTTCTTTCTGCATTGCCCAGACCACACTAGAGCAGAGGTGTCTTTGTGCTCCTAGCTCTAATGCAAACCTCACAAACACTGACCATTCAGTATTCAGATAAAGTTCTTAGCTAACAGAATAGCTAATATAGTCAGTAGAAATAACCCTGAGGGAGTTCGAGATCATCCTGGCTAACGTGGTGAAACCTAGTATCAATTAAAAATACAAGAAATTAGCCGGGCGTGGTGGTGCACACCTGTAGTCCCAGCTACTGGGGAGGCTGAGGCAGGAGAATCACTTGAACCAGGGAGGCGGAGGTTGCAAAAAGCCAAGATCGCTCCATTGCACTCCAGCCTGGGCAACAGAGCAAGACTCCGTCTCAAAATAAAATAAAATAGAACCCTGAGGATTAAAATTGCTCGTGACTATAGCTCTAAAGGACTAACTAATATGAGACATGAGGGAAGGGAAAGAGGGATAACCAAACCTCTCAAGTTATCTCCATCCATTTAAATCTTTATTGGCTTCTTGCCTCCCTCTTACACACCACACACACACACACACACACACACACACACACACAAATGAAAGAATCAAAGGAACACAGCCCTGAGACTGCCATGCATTGCCTTGTTGCCTTTGTTCAGGCAGCCTAACACTTTTAGGGTTCTCTGACCAGTGAGAAATTACTCAGGCCCCCATGGGAGCCTTTCCTTTTCTGGTGGGTAACTAAATCTGCAGAGACTTTGAGAAGAATTGACTTCTAAGGACCAGAAGGGAAGTTTAGAGGTGCATAATTTGGTTCCCTGATTGCTAACCTAGGAGTCAGATAACTTCTTCCTGTCCAGAAGTCTGTGTGTTCACTGAACTGCCATGGGGCCTGGCGGCAGCAGCAATTCTTTAAGAGTGACCTAAAACACAATAACTGGGAGCAACACAATAGAATAGAGCAACCAAAAACCCACTTCCCCAGTGAAGGAAGTGGTCAAAATCCTGGGGCTTGAGTCACTGAAGAATTAGCCCTAGCTGAGGGGTGGGAGGGGAGCATGCTCAGAAATCAGGAGCTGAAGACGATGCAAACACTGGGGGAGGCCCTCAGGGCTCAAATTTCCATGATTCATTTGAGAGTGGGTGAGATTCTCCCAGAATGAAAGGCATCATGGAGACCTTCTCTACAAAAGGGCACGAGAGAGCTTTCTGAGAAGCAGGGTATGGATCTGGCTGGCATTTCCCTGGCAGCTTAAGAAAGGCCAGGATTTTTCTGGGGAGAAAAGAGCAGTAATGACCACTGCCAAATGTCCTATCTTCCCTTCCCCTCATTCCACTTTTGTTGCCCAAAACATCACAGTCCTACCCTGAGTTTCTACCTCCATTACTTATCTCACATCCTTCCTTATGTTCTATTCCCATTGCTACTGTCCAGTTCAGGTCCTAGCCTGACCATGGCATCAGCCTCACCCATGACCCTGTCTCTGAACAACTCCCCTCTAACATATCTTCTACCCTGCTACTGGGTTATCTGACCATGGCACTCCCCTGCTCAAGAACCTCCAAACCCCCACCTCTAACCACCACCAATCAGCAGGAAAGAGGCTCCACGCACCTCAAGCCAGCCCTTGCAATCCCAGGACTTGGATTTCCAAAAATAAAAGCTCTGCTTTTGTATTCTTCTTTCAGTGACAGTCTATCAAATTCTTTTCAACCAAGCTAAAATCCTACCTCTTCTAAAAAGCCTTCCCAGATCCATAGGTTAGGAGCAGTTTTCTTTTCTCTCTTCTTCTATTGCCCTCACATAGCTTTTTATTAAAACCACTGATGACAGCCCTAAGATTTTAAGTCCCTGAAGGGAGAGTCTTGCCTGTGACAGGTACCAAATAAATATCTGTTCAATGAACAAATAAATGAATTAAGGATGGCCATATTTTCTTCCCCATGGAAAAATAATCAATGTCAAAATGACTGAAGACTTCATAATAAACACAGAATTATAGAGGGAAAATATTTCCTTTTTTTTTTAACATACATAGACTTTAGTCCTTTATTATTTTTCAGAAATTGCTTAATACTTTACTACAACTATGTATTGAGCATCTTATTGTATGCAAACTTTGTTATATATTTCTATATAAATACCTATGTAAATATGTGACTGTTTCCTGAGTGCATTTGAATATACAAGGGTATATATGTGTGTGTTGCCTTTTGTTCAAGAGGAAATAAGTGAATGCAAAGAAAATGTCTTAAATTTCTAAACACTAGTTTGTCTGCAGATTTAATCTTTCTCTCTACTTCTTTGAATTATAGAATCTCAGGACTGAAGAGGGAGGTCTTTAAAATTCCTTTTCAATTCAAGAAAGTCATCTACAAATCTGACCAAAGAACTATCTGAATCATGCTTAACCTCCTCCAGTCATGGAGAGCTCACTACCTACCAGGATCCCTTCCCCGATTAGAAAGATTTTTCTGACAATACGTCCGAGTGTGCTCTTTGCAACGACCACCATGACTTTTAATTCTGCCGGTGAGATTACCTGACTAGACTAATTCTTCCTCTTTCTAGCATGGTTGTCTTCACAGCAGAACTACCAGGTTATCAGAAGATTCACCAGAGGCCTTCACCTTAGATCTCAAAATCTCAGTCAAGTCATAACACAGTCCTGAGATTACTGCTAGACACTCCCTGTCTTTTTGCTGGCCAGTGTTTTTCTGACAGTGAGATTCTGATCTCTTTCTGGATAACTGTAAACTTTGGAGAAAGCTTTCTCACAGCATCTGACCAAAGACGTGGTGCTTCCTCCAAAGCACGAGGAGAGAGAGAGGCGTAGCCGCTTCTGGTCAACTGACCCCCATGAGTCAGACGACCCCACACCACCTTCCTCAGCGTGACACCTGAAACTCCGCAGCTGCCTCTCCTTCCTAAGACACCACGCAGGGTGGCACGAAAGCCTTTCTGTCCTCTGCGCAAGTCGGGAGCATTTTGCTTTTGTTGGTTTGGTTTTGATGTGTTTGTTTCCCATGAAGGATCATTTGGTTGGCAAAATGGATGCGCATGTAACACAAAAGCAGAAAAGGAAGCACTCCCTTCTGGGGGCAGCCGGAGAGGATGTGTCTGGAGGAGGAAAAGACTGGGATTAAAGGCAGGCTGAGTGGATGAGACCTTGGATGAGCCTCTCTGGCCACTGTTATTGTTGTTTTATATCAAGTGTACTTTTCCATTCTCAATATTGTGTTTATGCAGGGGTGGGAAAGCAGGGGATTAATTTCTCCGTGGGAAACATGGGGAGAAAAAGGATTCTCAGGGGCCATTTCCTCCGGCCTCTGCATAGCTCATGTTTGGTGTGGAAGGAAGGAACCTCAGGTAGGACTTGATGTTGGAAAATACAGGGCAGTTTTTACAACCAGGAGAAACATCGTCAATCAAGCAGCAAAAGTAACAGGGACCTACATGCTGCAGGGAAAACAATTATTTTTTTCATCTTCCAAATGCAGGCTATTATAAATGGGGGTTATTATACAGCAAGTCGTGTTGGTCTGGTGCTGTGTAGACTAGCACAGAGTCTCACATAGTCAGGGGTGAGGAGCCAAGGTGTGGGTTGGGAGTGGGGCAAGCACACTGTATGAGAGAGAGAGAACCTATTGGAGAACCAGATTCTTATAATAAATCTGCCCCTGACCAACTTCTGACTTTAGAAAAATCACATAACCTCTCTGGTCAGTGGCTCCTACAGGCACAGAGTTCAAAGTAGCACAGAGCAGGGATTCTCAGCTCCAATCCTGGCTCCACCATGTCTGAACTGTGACCTGTAGACCTCACAGGATTAGCATGAGGGCTGAAGGCCTGTGCCAGGCACAGAGTGGGGGCCACACAGTTCCTGGTTGGTTGGTCTCTTCCTCTGTGTAAAATGAGAGGCTCGGGCCGGGGAAATGGGCTTTATGCTTCTCTGGCAGAGCCTGAGGGCCAACAATTATGCTAAAGGCAAACAAGTGGCATGAATATTGTTTTTGCAAATGCTCCCAAGAAGAATAACCTCTCTCTCTTATTTCCGCTTGTCCTCCTTCGTGTCCAGGGGAGGGGTGGATCTGGGCAACATCTGCAAAGACTGAGGCCAGACCTGGGCTGTGAAGTTGGGGCCCAGCCTACTCCCCCAGACTGCAGCTGGTCAAGGGATCAGGCGATGTTCCCTGGGCGAGGACGGAAGCGTGAGTTGCCTTCTGCTTTTGACAAACGAGTGTTCTGGCAGCCAGAATGTCTTCAAGGGAGAGGTTGCCAAGATAATAACTAGGGGTTTGGGAAGAAAACCTAGGTGTGGCCCGGCCCCAGCGGCGCTTGGGTGGGACCAACAGTAGATGGCGGCAACATGCTTCAACCAGCAAAGCTGCAGCCTCCTGGAAGGCGGCAAGCTGGGAGGGGAGGCCCCTCGCCTAGAGACACCCCAGACCCATCAGGTGGGCTCAGGGCTTCATTTCAATTCGTTCTTTAGAGGTTGAGAGGCATTGAGGTCATTCAGTCCAACCCCTTGATAAGAAGGAAATGCACGTCCCCAAAGGAGAAATGGAATTGAATCAGAACTGAAGCCATTTCGCACCTTCCAGGCAGGGCTCTTCCACCTGGCATGATTTTTTCTCTCCTGTCTCTTGGCTTAGGGTTTGGTGGAAGTTCTAGAACTTCTACCAGATCTACTGTTCTCTCTTTTCCTCCTACCCTCTCTGAGTTAATCAGAGAGTCAGCATATACCCCTTAAAACTGTGCCAATTATAAAAACACAGGGTCTTCCGAGGCCACTGCTTCTCCCTGTCGTTTTGCTGAGAAGTCCCACCCAGCAGAGCCAGCCTGCCTGGCCAAAACAGACCCGAACAATATCCCCCTGCAAACTCCGAGCAACCTTCTAACCCTCAGCACAGGAGTCCCCACCCCACCCAGACATGGAGACTATCTTTCAATAAAGGGAAGCTCCAGGTCTCAGCTTCAGAGCTTTCTCTGAGATCAATGTGAACACACTGCCTTGCCCCAAACTAGTTGTTTCAGGGTTGCAAACCTCTGTCCAACTCCCCTTCTCCAGCGTCCTGGGGAAGGGTCTTTGATTCTTTGAAATGAGAAGTCTAAGGATCAAGAACCCCGTTTTGCTCTCAGCTCTGATCTGACCTGGAAGAGGAGAAACATTGAAGAGGTTCCAGCCTGGTGGGCACATGTAGTGGAAACTAAAATGATACCAAAGAGGTGTCAACCATCCTGAAAAAACAAGAAGTAGCCAATGCGACAAAAGATTCTTCACAGGGGACAAAGAATCGAATTTTGACCGAAGGACTGCCTTGAAACATTGAGGGTGGGTGGTCCCCAAACAAGAGTGGAAGGATGGAAGGGGAAACATCCTCATCACTTCTCCCTTGCTCTTTTGCCCCCTTTCTGTCTTTCTCTATCCACTTAGCTTTTTCTCCTGCTTCTAGGTCTTTCTGCCTGCCTCCTCCCTCAACACACAGGCCTGGGAAACAGCATCCCACTTGCCCTCCCTCCCTCCCTCCTGTCCTAGTTGCACCTTCCTCTTCCTCCTCTCAAACTGTTCCTCATTTGCTCCTGTCCACACCTGTACACCACACCTTCATGCTGCAGGGTCTCCCTCCTCAAGAAGAGGGTGGAGTTTCTTTCCCAGAGCCAGCTCAGTTTCTCCCTGAGCCTGATTCTGTTCCTGGTGAATGCTTTGCTGTTGTCAATGTCTTCACAGACTCAGCCTGCCCTCCTCATCTGAGCTGGCACCCTTTACGTTTAATTACTCAAACCTCTTTCTTTTATTCCTAGTGCCGAGTGAATGCTCATGGCTGAGGGTAAGTCCGGGGAACACCATACCTAAAGAATCTGTGAGTGGATGGGGCAGAGGAGGCTCCGTGGGTCCTCAAGGCACCCAGGAGACGAGAATCCTCTGCAAAATGCCCTTTTCAATGCCACACGTTGCCCTATTTCACTTTTCTATCAATTTTTACAGATTAAGCCAGCTGCTAGCATCAGCGCAAGGGATATCTCAAAATAGAAATGGTAGGATCTTAATTTTTTTGTTTTTCGTTTTTTTGGTGTTTTTGTTTGTTGGTTTGTTTTGTTTTTGTTTTTTTTGAGACAGGGTGTTGTTTCATTGCTCAGGCTGGAGTGCAATGGTACAATCATAGCTGACTACAGCCTCAAAGCCCTGGGGCTCAATCAATCCTCCTGCCTCAGCTTCCCAAGTAGCTGGGACTACAGGCATGCACTACCACACCCTGCTTTTTAAAATTCTTCTTTTAGAGACAGGGTCTCACTATGTTGCCCAGACTGGTCTCAAACTCCTAGGTTCAAGTGATCCTCCCACCTCAGTCTCCCAAGTAGCTGGGATTACCACGCCTGGGTGAATCTTAGAATCTCAGAGCCATAAGGGGTCTGAAAGAACCACCAAGTTCAACTTCCGAAAGCAAGAAGACAAGTGTCTCGCCTGTGGTTACATGGCAGCGTCAAGATAACACCACTGCCCCTCTGTCTTCCTAGTCAGCTGTCTTACATCTGCTCCAGGATTCTTGCCACGCTTTCAACCTGTGCTGAAAGGGCTCTCTAGTTTAACTACCCGGTTTGAAGAAACAATTCATGAAACAGGCTCAGCAAATAGAAAAACTGTCACAGCCACGTAAGTCCAAGCGCACCAACAGCAGAGGATTCCATTGCAGTTCCAGGGAAATGCCATCTCCACAACACAAAAGAAAACCTTGACCCAAACATTTTGTTAAAAAGGAAGAGAGAAGCAGCAATCACCACAGGTGTTTGTGCTTTCATCTTTCTGCTTTAGTATCAGTGAATCTCCCAGGTAAATTGAAGGAAATGGTTTTACCCAGGCAGGACACCAGGGACTGAATTGTTGCAAAGAGCAGTCTCAGGACGTGTGTATGTCGGGGCTGGGTGCTGAAGATTCAAGTAAACCCCTAACTGGAACCATATTTGGGCTTCCTTGATTACTGAATAGCAAGTGCAGTCCAGAAATTCAAGATCACCTGGGCGGATCTGGGAAGAGTATTAGAAAAGGGAAGCTTATGGTGAGAAAATTCCCGTTCTACGCTGGTTAAGGGTTAGGAGCTCTTCTCAAGGGGCTGATACCCAGATTGCTGGCCAGCAATTACAAGGAGGCTACATTTGATGGGCAGCCTGTTCCCGTAATTACTATGATGGGTGGTGACAATGTATAGGTGTGGGCTACATGAACTATGGACCAAATTATGGGACAATCCCCAAAAGGCCTAGCTAGAAGCCTGTGTCCTGGTATTGGATTGATCTAACCATGACCTAGTAGGTAGCAACACTGGGTGTGTCCCTCCGAGTATGTACATCTGAGAGTCCCAAATAGGCCTGAGCTTTTGTGTTAGGCAGCTATGTACATACATGTGGGAGGTTAAAGAAGGAACCATATTCATGCATTTAGAAAATTAAATACCTCCAAATCAAAAACCCCGTGAGTATGATTGACTATGTACATAATTCCAAACTTCAAAAATGCTCCCTGCCCTTCTGAGCCTTAGGCAAAAAAAAAAAAAAAAAGAAGAAGAAGAAGAAGAAGAAAAGATAATGCAATGTAGATCCATCAAGTTGTATTCATTAAATATTAAATAGGCGTTAAGTGTTTAGAGGATGAGAATCATTGGGTGGAGCAACAACAAAACCAGAATAGATATTTTCTGAGTTGTTTCAGGCCAGCAGAATCAGGAAGTTATAAGGAAGTTGATTTTGCTTGATTTAAGGAACTTTAATAAAATTAGAGTTGGCCTGCTAAGGGGAATGAGTGTGGAGGTACACACTGAGGTTCTGAGCTCCCCGCATCTGGAAATTTTAAGATCTGTAGGATGGCCATCTGTTCAAGATGGTGTAAAAATTAGATTTCTGCATACAGTAGGAGAATGAATGAGATCCAAGATCCCTCCCAAATTTAGAATTCTGTGAACGAAATGAAGGATGAAATGGAACTGACTTGCCTCCTGCCCTTTCCTGTGTCCACGTTTCAGTTATGTGCCCCACCAGGCTCCATAGAGTCTACAGAAAAGCAGTCTTGCCTCATCCACAAGTTTTCCCCGGTCTTCAACGTGTCTCTCTCCAGTAGTCCCTGTGGGTCTGGCACTACCTGAAATCCCTAGAGCCACCCAGAGCAAGCCAAGAGGGTCTACATTCCCGGGTGAGGGGTCTCCATGAAGCCCACTGACAAGGCTGGGAACTTGATGGGCCTAATCTGGTCTCTGGAGGAAGCAGGAAGGGCTGAGGAAGGCACAGTGAGTCCTTTCCACTCTCCACAGAAGGGATCTCTTTCCTTTCCCCAGCGGTCTGCCCAGCAGTCCTGGGAGATAGCCAGATTCTAAGGATGTGATTTGCTCCAAGTTGGTTCTTGATGGCCTTTTGCCAACTCCCAAGACAGTTTAGTACCCACAAACAATGTAAATGTGGGGGGCCCTCTGACCAGGGCGCCAGACAGGATGTCCTGCAGCCCCCGCCCCCGCCCCATTCTTCGGAGTCTGGGTGGAATTGGATCTGCCCCTGAGGGTGGGAGGCAGCGGGCAGAGTGGGGGGGAAAAATAACCCTCACATTTCGGGATTGTCAAAGCTGAAATCCAGAAAAACTCTCACAGCTAAGGGACTCTTTCACTACTTCTTGGAGGAAGAGCAGAGAGCAGGAATCAGAACGGTATTTTTCTAAATTGTCTTCAAACTCCAGGAAGTAACATGTAGCATATTTTCTCCTTTATAAACCTACAGTATCATGTGAAACCTTGCCACAAATAATGCAGTTCATGATGGTTTACACTCCCAACATTGTCAGGGCTTTCCGTGTGTTGACTGGTTATTAGTTTTAACCTGCACAGAACTAAAAGATTTGTATAATTTTCACAGGATATTAACACTATTGATTTAATAATGGCTAATCCACATCCATGTAATGTGGAAATAATAAACATGTGAAGCAAATGTAGGAGTTCCCTTCATCTTGAAAAGTTGCCCTGATGCCTACTCAATCGTCCCCCTTGGGGCAGTTTTACAAGGAGCATTGCCTGCTCAACACAGGGTTGATTACATGTAACTTCTCTCCCAACGTACTGCCTTTCTAAAGGAAAAGCCTAACTTTGTCAGACAAGCTGAATCCTGTCATTCTCATCTTGTTTACTTGGGGAAAAAATATACCAGTGTCTATGTTGAAATGGGCCACACCTCGGTAGACACTCACCCAAAATGCTAACCGAAAAAAAGAAAAAAAGAAAAAAAAGAAAAAGCACCCTTCTTCATTCCTCCAGATTTCATGATTAGCATGAGTGTTTGCATTTATACAATCACATTTCGGGAACAAGAGAAAAGATAAGCATTTCAAAACAATCACTGCCTTCCATGCAAAGAAATTCCACATCCACTTTCTTTTAAAAGTTCTTTTATCGTTTCTGGTATGCCATCTTTTCACTCAGCACTGAAAGGCAGCTCTTTCTGGGGTGAAAGCACAAAGCCACTCAACAATTTTTAACAGGCACAGATGAAGTTCTCCTGCCCCACCCTCTTCTCCAAACCCAGCTTCCCTTTTGCCTCCCCCGCCCTCCACATCTGGCCAAGAGAAGGCATCTGGAATCCTCATCAGCTCCTGCTTCGACCAAGTGAACCCCTCCCACGTTTCATTTAAAACACCATTTGCCTCCCTCTCTTTCTCTCTCTAACAGTTTTCTTTTTTCATTTTTTTTCTTTTTCTTTTTTTTCCTTTTTGAGACAGAGTCTCACTCAGCTGCCCAGGCTGGAGTGTAGTGGCGCAATCTCAGTTCACTGCAACCACCATCTCCCGGATTCAAGCAATTCTCCCGTCTCAGCCTACCAAGTAGCTAGAATTACAGGCACCTGCCATCATGCCTGGCTACTTTTTGTATTTTAGTAGAGACAGGGTTTCACCATGTTGGCCAGGCTTGTCTTGAACTCCTGACCTCAGGTGATCCGCCCGCCTCAGCCTCCCAAAGTGCTAGGATTACAGGCATGAGCCACCGTGCCCGGCCAACAGTTTTCTTTAAACAAACCAATCCCCCTCTTCCCATCCTGTGAGGAGAAAAAAAATACTTAAATTTAAACAGAAGTGAATAGGGAAGCAAACAGGCAGGAAAAGCAATGTCAAAAATAAACTGAAAACCAGTTATCTATCCACCACCACCCAAAAAATCCCAACCAACAACCAGCGAGCAGAGTAACAGTTCAAGTCCTGAAGCAATCGGAATCAAAACGGAGGAGGTGAAAAACATCTGGCCAGTTCCCGATGTCATTTCCAAGGTGTGTGGTGTTTCCTCCATAAACAGGATCCTATCCCAGTTTGTTTCAAAGTCCCTGCTCCCTCCACATCCTAGAACAAGAACCCGGTCACTGCCAGGCACGATTTTAGCCCCATCCCATTGATTTCCCCAGACTCCGTCCTCAAAATACACTTTTCTGAACTTTCTAGAAAAAGTTGTCTCTGTATCCACTTTGAGCCAAAAGTTTCAAGGACTTGGTTCTTAGAGGATCATAGAAAAATAGCGAAGGAAGAAAAGAAAAAGCAAAACTAAGATGAGGTCAGAAGAAGCAGAGCCGTGGAAAGGAAGGAGAAGTTTTGCTGAGAGTCCCCACAGCGTTGGGAGCTGTCCTACCTGAAGGGTCCCAGCGACAGAGGCGCTCTGAGTGGCAGGTGCTGGCAGCAGCCCTGGTCCGCTCTTCTGGAAGTATGTGACCGCACTGAGGGGAAGGACCTGCCTCCCGAGGTTATAAGTTTCCTCTGCTGGTGTACTGGGGTGTGTAATGGGCGGTTTCTTTTCACCGTGTTTTAAAGGAGTTTCTATGAATCAGTCTGGCTTTAAAAAAAAAAAAAAGATTTGTTGGTAAGCTACGCCCTGCTAAGCTGGCAGTCAGTCAAGAGTGGCTGGGAGTGAGCCATCAATTCAAAGAACCCTGTTGTAGGCTCTCTCTGACTCAGACACACAGACCACAGTGGAAAAAAGGAGGGACATTGCTTCAAATGAGTAACAGGATCACACAAATAGATCTGTTTACTGAAGCCCATTCCTCCTCACCAAAAAGGAGACTTGGTTACCATGGACATAAGGCAAAACACAAGGTTTCAGCCTGGGAGGGGGAGGAAAGGGGCCAGTGTCCTGCTGACTGAAGTCCTAGGTCATCATCAAGCGAGATTCCCAGTCTTCCTCCCCCATTAAAAGCATCAGCTGCTGCTCACTGTCAGGAATTATCAGATTCCTTTTTTTATTTACTTCCCTGCCTGACCCTGGTGCACTGTCCTGTGGGTGGCTGTACAGGGAGGCCCTGAAGGCGAAGGGGACACACTAGGAGCTCTTGCAGCCCTGCCTCTGAGTGATGGAGCACTGATTGAACAGCAGAGAATTCCTGGTCTTTCATTATGCTCTGCTAGTGCCCGTGTGGACTCTCCACATTCCAGGAGGAAGTCCTCTAGTTAAGAACTTTGCTCTCTGTAATAATCAGCTGGACCTTGTTCTACAATTGACTTTCTTGAACTTGGCCAGTAGCATAATCATCCCTACTACCTCCCTGCACCACTCCTCTCTCTCTCTCAACTCTGGAGCTGGGAGAGGCCTGTGAAGTCATCTCATCCCACAGCCCAGGCATTCCACTGGAGAGAGTAAAAGCCCAGATGCCTGAGTTCAAGCCCAGCTCTCCACAAATTTGCTGTGTGACTTTAGGCAAACCACTTAACTTCTCCATGCCTATTTTCTCATGCATAAAATGGAGATGGCAGGTATGTAACTCATAGAGCTATGATGAGAAATACACATATAGGGGCTCATGGCAGTGTGCATAGTGAGCGCTCAACAAATCTTAGCTACAAGGATTATTTTACTGAAGAAGCAGCTCAGGCCCAGAGAGGTGAAGTGACTTATTCAAGGAGATACAGTACGTTACCAGTAGCAGCTTGGATCTAGGTCAGCACATCCAAGCAATTCTATTTCTGTTATTCTCTGCTGCACCCTGACAACTTATTTCAATTCAAAATATGCGTGTGTAGTATTTATTCATTCATTCTGCCAATACAGGCTGCACGTCAGTCTTCACTGGGCCTGATTCAGAGCACTGAGTCACAGAAGTGAATGACATCCCTGCCTCTTGGAACTTATATTCCCTAAAAAGATAGAAAACAGACTGGTGGCTATTCACCAAAATGTTGATCAAATTCGATGATAAAATTATGGATGCAGTTTAGTTTGTTCTGGTCACAATTCTGTATTTTCCAAATCCTCTGCAATGAACCTATATTACTGTCTTTAGGATGTTGGCATGTGGATGGATGGATTTTAGGAAAAAATATTTTAACATGGGAATGTGGAGAATATTTTCTAAGGTGGATGATAAGGAAAACACAACACACACACACACACACACACACAATGATTTGATGATGCTGCATCTTCACAAGTCCCTGAGAACTGAATTCTATCTCTGTAAAAGTAAGAAGGTCTGGATTTTCTCACTGAAAACTGATGACGTGATAAAAGACTGCATGTTTCTCATAGAGTTCCTCACCTCTCCCCTCTCTCATTGCTCATTTGATAATAAAAATGCCTGTCTGAGAGGGGCCACTCCCAGCAGTGGGTTGAGAGTCCCTGTGATCTCTGAGCATCCCAACCCTCAGGGAGGGGAGGGTGTCTGCAGGTGAGGCCAGGAAATCCCCAGGCATGTGCTGGCGCTCCAGATGGGCCAGTCTCCCCTGCTGGAATCGGCCTGTCTCCCTGGCCTTTTCCTACTCTCAGGGTTGCCTTTCACCCCTGATGCCCTCTGCCAGTTTTAAAGTCTCTCTTCCCTCAGCTGCCTGGAAAGGAGAACTGGACTCCAGAGGAAGTGTTCTCAGATGCTGAGGAGTATGTGGTCTGATTGCATTTCTTAAAGAGAAACCTGGAGCCAAGGAATAGCAGAGGGGAGGCATTCTCCCTCCCACCTCCTTCTCGGGCTTAACAAGGGGAAAAATCAGGAACTTTTCTTAAAGTACTTGAGTAGAGGAATCCTTCAGTCTATCTGGATTTCCATGGATTTCACAAAGAGAGACGCTGGGCTCAGGGACGGGCTTCAAAACAGGACCCAGAAAGCAGGAGGCCCAGTTTCCACGCCTACTACCTGGCAGTGGCTGTGAGCGAGGCATCTGCCTGCCTCCATTTCACCTTAAAGTGAGTAGACAGCATCACCTTCCAAATGGGTCTGATAAATCTCACCTTCCTGTGTGCTTTTGGAGATGTCTAGGTTTGGAGAGAAAATATTAAATGCATTGAGCTGTGAAAACACACCCATGCACACATGCAAAAACACATGCACGCACACACACATGCACACATGCACACACAGAGTGGTGCCATAGAAAGCCAAGTTGTGTAAATATTTTTAAAAGATGAATGCAAGTCCAGGATTTCTAAAGACTTATAATTAACCCTTGAAATATCACTGAGCTTATTTTATAAAACAAAGTTATCCAGTCTGGGAAAGCAATTGGATCTGTTCTGGCTGAAGTTCTAGCTTTTTGTGCCTCTGGATGTGATTAACTCGTTAAGCCTGAGTGTTCCTTTGGCTATGAGCAGACAATTTTGAGACTACAGACAGTAAACGGTTCAGGGCCTAAAACCACATGGGGCTGGAGATACAGCTCCCCTGGCGTTTATATGGTCTTTCCAAACAATGTCGAGTAAGCTGCCTTTCTGCTCCCATTTCCCCCATTTGGAAGGTAAATTAGACACATTCATTTTCTGCATGGGCAAAGAACCGGACAAAGTTTCATTTGACCTCACTCAATAAAGCCATATATTCTTGGGAGGGAATGTCTCTCTCACCCAGTGCAAATGTTACTCCAGCAAAGGGATATTTTCCCCTTTTTCGGAAGCAACAAGAATCAACTTCTGGCACGTTGCCATTTGGGGCAGATTTTCAAGTTTGAACCGGCGTAAACATTTTAATGAATGCATGAAACGAAGGCTTTTAATGACTGATACAAGAAGTCTACTAAGGCAGGTCTGGCCCCTACAGCCCACAGAAAAGAAAACTAATAATAGCTTGAACTTGTTTTTGTTCAAACTCAGTTAACCGAAAAGAATCCCAAACTATGCAACATGTTCCCCAAAGCTATTATATGAACAGGGATGTCAATATTAATATTAGCACACACTGCTTGGAAGGTAAATAGAATGGGGGAAAAAGTTACACAGTATCTTCCCAAGTCAAAGGAATGTTTGTTCCTCACAACTCCTCTTTGAAATTTGAGAATTTACCAGAAATGTTGTATTCCTTCCCTTTCCTTTCTTTCTTTCTCCAACTCTCCTCTCTCTATTTCTCTCTCAGGCTTTCTTCTGGCTTTCTTTATGGTTTTTGGGGGTGTTTTTGTTGTTTTTTGGGTTTTTTGTTTGTTTTTGTTTGTTTTTTTGAGACGGGGTCTCGCTTTGTCACCCAGGCTGGAGTGCCGTGGTGCAAGCTCGACTTATTGCAATCTCCGCCTCCTGGACCCAAGCGGTCCTCCCACTTCAGCCTCCTGAGTAGCTAGCACTACAGGCGTGTGCCACCACACCTGGCTAATTTTTTGTTTTGCTTTGTTTTTGAGACAGAGTCTCGTTCTGTCTCCCAGGATGGTATGCAGTGGCACAATCCTGGCTCACTGAAGCCTCTGCCTCCCAGGTTCCAGCAATTCTCCCACCTCAACCACCAGAGTAGCTGGGCTCAGATAATCTGCCCAACTCAGTCTCCCAAAGTGCTGGGATTACAGGTGTGAGCCACCACACCCAGCCCATTTTCTTCTGGCTGTTATTGCTTTCTTTCTTTTTCTTTTTCTTTTTCTTTCTTTCTTTCTTTTTTTTTTTTTTTTTTTTGTGATGGAGTTTTGCCCTTGTTGCCCAGGCTGGAGTGCAATGGTGCGACTTCAGCTCACCACAACCTCTGCCTCCTAGATTCAAGCGATTCTCCTGCCTCAACCTCCCGCGTAGCTGGGATTACAGGCATGCACCACAACGCCCGGCTAATTCTGTATTTTTAGTAGAGATGGTGTTTCTCCATGTTGGTCAGGCTGGTCTCAAACTCCCAACCTCAGGTGATCCACCCGCCTTGGCCTCCCAAAGTGCTGGGATTACAGGCGTGTATTGCTTACTTTCTTAAATTCCTCTCAGTAAGATGTAATTTTAATATAGTTTCACAAAATGAGAAGTCTCTAAAATCCTCCTAGTACCCCACTTTCTGGTCTCTTAGCTAGCTGGTCCTTAAACTGCTTAGGAAAGAGAACACTGATGAAATACCAAGAGCCTTTCTAGAATATGGGCCATGGCCTGACACTTTTGGTGGAACAGAGAGGAAAGTGGCATGTGGCTAGAGAGGAGAAGTGGTGATGTCAACAATGACATCTAAACTTGCAGGAGAAATGAGCCACCCTTGCCACATTAGACAGTTACCAGATTGATACTAATTGCTGAACCCAGTTTTTTCAGGCAGTTGGGATATGCGTGACTGATCCAAATCGCTGACAAAGGGAGCTGAGCCATTTCCAGTGTGGATACAGCTTTATGGCGGGAGAAGAATAACAAGAAAATAAGTAAGAAGCAATTGTAGCCAAAATGAAAAATGAAGAGATCCTTTCTCCAGCCAATGCCAGCTGTAATACTAGAAGACAGATATTAAAGGTATACTGAATAAATGTTTTTCTTTTGTACCTTAGCTCTCCTGTTACTGAGTGCATTGTTCTTACTGCTTAATGGACCATTTCAGGTAAAGAACTGAATATTCATAAGAAATAAAGAGTGATTAGCCCTTCCTTTGCATACAGTGAGCAGCAGGTCCAGTAAGCAGATGCTGGCTACATAGTAGGCATTCAATTAAAATGTAGTACATTCAATCAATGAAGTGTCAAATAACCGAGTAATGGGATCTCGGTTCCTCAAACTCAGATGCCGCATGGTCAGAGCACCCATCTAGCTAAGCCACCATAGCTGTGGGGAAAGTAGTTAGTACATGTCTTTAAATTTGCCTGAGAAAAACTGCCATGGAAGGGGCACAAAGCCAAGTGGTCCAGCCTAAGAATCCTAAAGCACATTCCCCATGAGACTGTGTGGTCCACAAAACACACGAGACCCAGAGATGAGCCAGAGTAATCTTTGAGACCAAGTTAGCACTTTCAAAGACACAAATTGGTTCTTGGTGGAAACAAACAAATAAACAAGTACTAAGTAGAGTGACTTGATTATTCAGCCTCACTGGAAAACGGAATATGCATCCTGGTTAAATTTTAGGATAATTGGTCAATTTTTAAAAAAATATTACAGGATGAAACGAGACCTCTTTCCACCCTTTGAGACATGCACATGCACAAAAGTTGGCCTTTGCCATTCCAAACACAGATGCCAGGTCCAGCCTCTTCTTGTAGGATGATGTGTAGGGAGGAACTTCAATGCTCTTAACCTGGCAGAGTCCATGGCCACAGGATTTACAGCTATTCTTCCTTGGACAAAGCTAGATAAACTCTGACGAACACACAAAGCTAGATAAACTCTGACGAACACACAAAGCTCTCTTTTCGGGACATGTTGCTGATCAGCCCTCTTTGGTTAACATACTATGTCCTCAGCCAAATTACAGCGCTAGCCAATGCAATTGATTCAGTCTCACCTTTCCAGCTATAATTCCACTCTAGTCATGCTTGCCTGTGACTATACCCGGTCATCTTAATTAGAGGTAGGGGGTTCCTAAATCTCTCCTGCCACCCATTTGTGACTATTTTAAAGGTAGTCACCTCCACAGAAGCTCAAAGCAACCATTCCATTCATTCCAACTTTTACTCTTCAAAAGAGACTTTATCTTGAAGTTCTGGGGACATCTTAATCTACTTCCTGCACCAGCAACTTTCATTGGAAGATCCAAGGTACCATGCTCTCTGAATGGCCATCCCCTGGATTGTGTGCTGGGCAGCACTTGCCTATTATTGAGGAAAGCAACTATAAACCAACTGGGTGTGGAAATTCACTCCCACCATCCTGGGAAGCTCTGAAACTGCACATGGAGTTCCATGACCAAAAAAAGAGGAAGTCCTTTTACTGTTCGATTTCTGATTATAAAAAATAATATATTATCTTCAAACAAAATTCCAACAATGCATGGAAGTGTAAATAAAAAAGTTAAAATTATCCAAAACCGCACATCTTGGGTAATTATTATAAACATTCTTTCATATATATGTATTCATATACGCATATGAAATTTTACCCAAAACGATGTGCATGCTGCATTGACATCCATTATTATTACATACCAAAATTTATGTGTCCCTCTAGCTAAGCCCCTCAGCACCCCATGTCAATAAATGTAGATCGACATCATTATTCGTAATGACTATGTAGTATTCCACTGAGTGCATATACCATAAGGCATTTAAGCAATTCTTTATTAGTGGATAATAGATATTTATGCTGCTTCAATTGTTTGCTATGATAAACAATACCATGGTGGAACTCCTGTACGTAACATATCTGTACATGTAATGACATATTTGCCGCCTTATTAACTATTCTGTTTCCCATCCATTGGACTGGTGTACAGCACTGATCATATCACTCAATGGTGTGCAATCTTAGAAAGCTTACTTAAGCACTCCAGGTCTCAGTTTCTTCCATGGGGTCATTTCTCATGATCTTGAGGGTCCCCTCTAGTATTAATATTATATGGTCACTTTCCCAAATCTAAAAACTTAGGCGAAGCCTGTGTTAATGGATGCCAACCAGCTCTCTCTGGCCTCTTTCCTTCTCTTTTTATGTCATGAGCAATGATTGACAGTTCATATTGCTGTCCTTCTGATCTTTCATCTGAGAACATGAAGCCAAAGGAGGCTGCCTAACTTTAAAGACATAGGGCTGAGTTGTTGCCAGGAATCTGATCTTTTAAAGATCCCTTAGTTCTGGCTAAATCTCCCCAGACTACTCCATTAGCATTTTCAGTTCCAGCACATTCATTTCCCAAAATTTCAGACTCCTGGCATCATTTGAACCTCACTTTATGCCTCAATTCCCACAGCTCAGCATGTGACTCTAGTCAGTTCCACAGGCTGGAGCCCACACAGAGCTCTGCAGGGCAGCAGGAGGTATGCTAGTGAATTGTCCCTAATGAGCTTATAGTTCCCTATATCCTGGTATGGTGGGGTTCCTTCAGCACCCTGGGTGCAGTGAAACAGGCAAGTCTATGCTGGTGGAGCCCCTGCCAAGGAATTTCCAGCCTTGGTGCAGAAGCAAGAAAGTGCAAGGTCCCTCCTAGCTGGTGGCAAGGCCACAGCTGCACAGATTCCTCAGCCCAGTGCTGGCTGATTGATGGGCAGGACAGGGGGTCGCTCACTGGGTAATGGCTGTTGGACTGTCCTTGGCCACAGAGGGACAACCCTTGGAGTAGCCCCAAAGATCCAGGTCCAGATTAATGTAGGCTTTAGGAGGGAAGCCTGCTAAAAGTAAAAATAATAATCACAACAGCAGCAAAAAACAACTTCTACTTGCATAGCATCTTATGCACACACACTGCTCCTATTCCAACCTTTTAAAAAAATCTTACTGGGCAGGTAAAATCAAGGCTCAGGGAAGCCTACTTGCTTGATCGAAGCCACAGATCTATTAAAGAACAGCATCTAAGTTTCTTAGAGTTTTTAACTCTTTGTTTGCTGTTAACTTTTCTCTTTCCTTTACAATGCTTGCCTTTTCGTGGCTCCTGGAAGCTATGAAGTGTCTGCCATAGATCAAGGATGGTACAAATAGATGAAGAAATTGCAGATATGAGGATTGGTTTTTTTTTTAACTACTGCTGTTGGTAGCAATCCGAGCCAGAGCTTCCTAGACCTTCACAGAGCAGCTTATGACTCCGAGAGGTCTCTGCACCCCTGTTGTTTGAGCAGGGCACTCACCCAGCCCAAATGACCCCTGCAATGGCCTCTTGGCTCCTCATCCCCAGGTTATCTTTGCATCCCAGGTGACCTGGTGAAAACCAACCTCCCCAGAAAAGTTTTCTTGAGTATCCTGCTCTGCCAAATCCATACCAGTGTACCAGCTCAAGCCTGAGTTCCAGGCCCCTTTTGGGTCTATCTGAACACTTTCCCGTAGGAAGGACTTTTAGCTGAGGACAGAGAACAAAAGACCACAAGGGCTTTATGACAGAAGGTGTGCATCTGGTGAGTAGATCCATGGGAAGGATAAAGGGTCTGGTTTAAGGATACAGTTAAATTATCTTATCAGAAGAACATAAATTGTTTTCAGAGTATATAGAGGAACGGTGATATTTAGAACTTGGGCAAAGTATTTAAGGTTTTGTTTGGTACAGTGGAGATTTCAACAGCCAAGGTAAAGAGCTGCCATGCTGCAGACAATTCATATTAGGGGAACAGAATGGACAGCCTCAGATGATGGGGAACACAGCCTCACTTGAGAGGGGACTGGTGGGAACATTCTTCTGGCTGGGAGGGGGCCACACATCTGTGCACATCCCAAAAGAGCAACACAGAAATAAACATGAACAAATCATTTAGGCTGCAGGAAAGCAAGGCTGCATGAGGGTAAGAGCCCTTCTTTGTTCACGAATGCAACCCAAACACCTAGAACAGTGCCTGGCACATGATGGGTGCCCAACAAATGTGTGTTCAATGAATGAAGCAAAACCTTGCCCAGGTTTGAATAAAGAATGTGTGGCACTCTCAGACAGGAGGTGGAGTGATGAACTGCACAGGGTGTCTTCCTCCTAATTAATCCACCATATGATAATCATAATACCTGAAAGAAAGCAGATCATTCTCCACAACAGCAATGAGTAATCTAAACAAACAAGCCCAGGTTCACCTTGCAAATATTGCAACACCTAAGATGGATGACAAGTGGGCAGGGACCCAGGAAAGAAATGGACGTTGACAGTAACGCCAGCATCTGCTACACTCTCAGCAGTATACACATGTATGCCAAGTATCTTAAAAGAGGATACGGGGAATGCATGACCTCAAGAAAGGAATGTGTCATATGAGTGAGCAAGCTGTCTGGACTCTTAACGTGTCATGAAACTAAAAGCATCACAGAGCAGTGGTATCAGATCACAGAACAACCTGGGCTGTAGCTAAAACCCAACTCAACAAATCCAAAATCCAATGTGTGCCCCTCTCTCTCACACCTGCACTTCTCCTGCATCAGCAGAGCCTTCCCTAACACCCTGCTGCTTCAGACTAGGGTGGGTGCTCTTCCTACATGCCCCCAAATCTCTCAACAGACCTTATCTTTCAACAGACCTTCTCAGTAGATTCAGAGCTTCTTCACAGCAAGGTATCGTGTCTTATTCCTTGTGGTAGCTCTGCTCCTCAGGCCATATCTTGGATATAGTAGGTACTCAATAAATAATTGTCCAAAAATTAAATGAATGAATGGCTCCATCATCTACCAGGTCAACCTTTACTCCTCCCTCTCCCACTCTCCACATTCAAAGTCAACTAATATTATTTAATCTACTTAAAATCTATCTCAGGCCTGACCCCTCCACTTCCTCCCTATGCTGTGGCCTATGCTCCAGTCTTCTTCCTCTGTCTAGACTGTTACAATGGGCTCCTGACACTGAGCCCCTTGCCTCTGAGCTCTCTCTATTCCAATCCATCCTCCATGTCAGCAGTAGCAAACTTGCAGCCCACACACATAGTTTGTTTGGTCCTGAAAGTGTTCTAAAAAAGGAATCTGAATTAGTCTCCTATATTTTAAAATCAGGACATTTCAAATAAAATTTTGCTTTGCCAAACATCCCCTCCTTCTCGCTTGGCCTGCTTGCCTCATTTGCCTTATGGGCCTGGCCCCCTGTAGGCACTGAGTTTGTGGCACCAGAGTATCTAGATGAAACACAGACCCAATCAGATCGGATCACATGACTGCTATCTAACTTTGCTGGGAAGATAAACTCACGCAAGGCCCATGGCACACTGGCCCCACCCCCCTTTCAGGCCTATGCCCTCCTCCCTCCTTGCATCCACCCTGCACCTTGAGTGAGCTAGGCACCTTTACACCTCTGAGGTGTTGCTCAAGCTCTGTTCTCTAGCTTGAGTGCTTGCCCTGTGCTGCGGTGGTTGAGAGAATGAGCTGGAATCGGACTGCCTAGGTGCAAATCCTCCCTAAGCCTTCATTTCCTCATCTATAAAATGGGCCTAATACCAGTTGATGCCTTATAGAGTTATTGAAAGTAGCAAATGAATAATATCTCTGAAGTTCTTAACACAGGGCCTGGCACATAGCAAAGACTTAACCAGTGATCCTGTTGATGTTGTTGTCTCTGCCCTTCTTTCCCTAAAGAAATGCTGTTCTACCTCCACAGCCAGTCTCAATGTCACCTCCTCTGTGGGGCCATCTCTTCCTTCCACCTCGCCCTAGGCACAATGAGTAACCCCACCCCAGGAGCTGGCTTGTTCTGGCCACACCTCTGGGATGCCACTTACCACCCTGTCGCACCTTCAGCTCCCCTGTGTCCATCCTTCTGTGCACCACTTGCTCCCTAAGGGCTGAGCTGGGCATCTTTGAACTCCCAGTACCTGGACACCTTAGGTACTGCGTGTTTCTTGAATGAGTTGCATTGGATGCCAAGGCAGAAACATTCGGAGAGTTAAATGGCATTTTCCCTCAGTTTTATGCACCAAAGAATGTTCATGTGATACCATTTGCCACCTGAGTGTAGTCAGTGAGAGACAAAAGGCAAAGGATAAATTCATAGCACAGGCTATGCCATTTAATCACATGACGTCTGCTTCTCTGCCTCAGTTTCCTCATCAATCATCTGGAGAAAACAATGTCTTTCCAAGCTCAGTGGAACATAGGAGGACCCAGCAAGGGCAACATAGATGAAAACATTTTACAAATTACAAAACCTCCATTTCAGCACCTGGTGCAATCTTTGACCTTTATTTAATTAGGAAAATTTGAAGATATAAAAATGAATTTCTTAAAGGACCTGGATTGCTAACATACAGCTAAAAAGTGTGGAGGGTGAAAAAGGGAGGAATTCACCCCCTTCAAAACAAATACAAAAACCCACCATGGGACTTCACTGAGAATGCTATGCTTGGTTGGAATCCCAGCTTTGTCACTTTGAAGGACTCTGGGCAAATTCTTTTCTGTTTGTAATTTTTGTAGATTTAGGGAGCACAAATGCAGTTTATTACATGGATGTATTTCACAGCAGTGAAGCTGGGCATTTAGTGAGACCATCACCCAAACAGTGCATATTGTGCCCATTGAGTAATTCCTCATCCCTCATTGCCTTCCCACCCTCCGCCTTCTGAGTCTCCAGTGTCCATTATTCCACTCTCCATGTCCAATTCTGGCCATATTCTTGAACTTTCTGAGCCTCAACTTCTTTATCTGTAAAGTGAAGATAATGAAATCTATCCCAGGAAGTTGATAGGAAGACGAAATGACATGACATATGTAAAGACCTTGAAGAATACCTGCCGCTGAGGCTCCCAATACTGTTGTTTGTAGACTGTTTGTTATAACCAATAGGCATTAGATGTAAACAAATAGAGATACTAGTTTGAACTAAATATGACAATGCTATGAGAACAAATGCAGTCTATGTATTTTCTGATTTGAGATGGAGGGCAAGTGAGTGTCGAGAGCTGTCTCCCCCAATCAAGCCCTCTGCAGCCTGCTTCTAGCTCACTGTCCTGGATCCTCTCATTGCTTCCTAGCCTGTCTCTCCTCTCCAGCTGCCCTGTCCTGGTTGATCTCCCCTGCTCTCGGAGTGGTTTTCTAAAACTACTAAGTCTTTCCTCTGTAGCAAGCTATTCAATGGCACCCCATTGCTTTTAGGATATGGACCCACTATTTGGCCAGCACACAAGGCCTTCCCTGGTCTGACTGTCCCTGTCTCTCAGGCCCACCAGCCTGTCACCCTCTTCTCCCTGCCTTTTGTCCCAGCCATACTGAACTCTCTCTGTGCCTGAGCCTGAAACCTCCAAGCATTCCATGTCCTGCCTGATGAAATGCCCTTCTGCCTGGCCTGCTCTCCCTTGCCTGGCCTAGTCTACAAGACTCAGCCTGGCCACCAGCATCCCCAGGAAGACACCCGCAGCCCTAGTGTGAATCTGATGCCCCTCCGGGGAGCTCCCACAGCCTCTAAGTACACCTGAGTTTACCAATATTCACTTTTCTGTCTCCCTGTTTCCAAGAGACAGCAAGATCCTGAAGGCAGGAATGATCTTTTGTCTCTAAACCCTCACCAATGGCCAGCCATGCTTAAACATAGTGCGTGCTTTATTATTTTTATTGAACAAAATCGATTTATACATGAATGAAAGATTGTGAAAATGGATTGGTTGTAACATTAGTGCACTATAAATATGTTTATCTCCTTATCCTACTCGCCCCAAAAGATCACACATCTACCCATCCTTGGTAACCTACTTTGATAGACATAAACAAGTCAAAAATTAAACACTGGTGGATGCTAAGGCAGTACTGCACTGTGTTCAAGCTCACAGCCATTGGTGTGAGCCAGTCTCAATGTCACCTCCTCTGTGGGGCCATTTCATCCTTCCACCTCACCCTAGGCAGAATGAGTAACCCCACCCCAGGAGTCCTCCTTCTTACTAACTGTGAGGCTGAGGCATATCACATAACCTCTCTGAGGCTTCATTTCCTTCCCTGCAAAACAAATATGAGTACATGTATCATAAAGTTTTTATAAGATGAGATAATGTGTGTAAAGCACAGTGCCTAGCATGTAATAAGTGTTCAATAAACCTTAAAAATAGATTGTTAAAAAGTCCTAGTTACTGCCTTGTTGATCAATGAATCATCAAGTATTTGAATGCCTGCCCATTCAGCCTATGGGAAGTCAAGAGAAATCTTCATCAGCAATGGACACAGAATTGTGCATGTGAAGAGCCTGGCTTGTCCCTTGTGCTCAAAGGGAGACCAGAGCTCAGTGATGAGCATGACATTGCAAAGTGACTTAAACACTCAAGAAGCCGATGTAAGATTTGCAGCAGGACCTGGTCTTCCTGCCACCCAGAGTGTGAGCCTCTAGCACACACCATGGACTTTTCATTTGCTCCGAAACACTCGGCTCTCTGCAGCCCCATGTTTCTTTTCTCAATCTTCCGAGGGCCTTCTATCCTTCTTAACTCGCTGACCACAGGATTCCCCCAGGTCTT
This sequence comes from Homo sapiens, assembly GCF_000001405.40. Taxonomy (NCBI): domain Eukaryota; kingdom Metazoa; phylum Chordata; class Mammalia; order Primates; family Hominidae; genus Homo; species Homo sapiens. Next base: position 13,183,340 of record NC_000012.12, on the reverse strand, counting down.
ATCCAGACCAGTTTTAAATGCCTGAAACTTCTTACAGCTTCACCATCAGGTTGATCAGGTTTTTTATCATAAGCTTTTGAGCACTCACATGGTGAACTGTCAAGATCAATAAGAAGGAAAGAGATAGTGCATGGGAAAGCAGAAGTCTCAGTGCCAGCTCTCCCCAGGTCCCCTCCTGAGTGACACTCCCCAGGGAAGGATGGATGGACAACCTATGATGCTGGTGAGCTAGCACCTTCTGGTAGGAAGGTTCACAGGAGTTCATGGCCCGGAGGCTGATGCCAGATTCAGACCTACATCTTGGTCAGCCCCACCTGCCTCCTCCCCACCTCTTCTCCACTCTTCTTCCCCAGGACTTGCCCCAAACCCTCAAAGTACTCCACCTTGGTGCCCCAGGTCAGAGCATGCATCCAACCACACCTCCCAAGTGTGGTGGACAGGGGTGCATTATTTAGCCTCTCTTTGTGCCTGATTTAGTCATTGACCCGAGGCTGGCAGTTCTACAGTGAAATACAAGTTTGACTGATGTTAGCACCCTTCAGACTTATGACAGATTTCACAATTGTCGGCTCGTCATTTTGTTTCACATAGTTATGTGGTATCATGATAACAGTAATCATGGGTATGACTTGCTGAGCTCTTAATGTGTGCCTAATAACAACCCTGTAAAAAGTAATAATAATAAGGTAATATTCTCAACTAACAGATGAGAAAATTAGCACACCAGGTCACAAGGTTAGAAAGCGGCTGAGCAACTCTCAACCCCATGTCCCCCTGGGTGAGGGCAGAGCCACTGCCCTCCCACCCAGGCTACCTCCCCGGTGGACATTGCTAAGCAATCCTCGTGCTGCCTCCCAGTCCCCAATGCTGTGATGGGGACTGCCGGACATCCCTGGGAAAAGTCCAAGTGCTGATGTATCCACCCAAAGGGTATAAGTAGGCAATAGAATTGTTTTTCTTGAAACTGTGTAATATATAAGACACAGAGCAGAGAAAACATTTATTGGATTATACAAATTTCAAGGTAATCATATCAATTCTGTCCCTCTTATCCCTTCTTCTTACTAGATAAAGCCTTTCCGACTTTCAAGGGTGTGGATATAGCCTCAGCCTCTGCATGAATGTCCTCTGCTTATTTCCCAATTTACCACTCTACGATTGTCCTTTTCCAGCCTGAACCATGCAGTTTCAGTACTTGTATCTTTCGTGTTTCGACTCAAATGTCACTGTCTCAGGAAGAACTTTTCCAGTCACCTATCCTAAAATTGCAACCCTTCCCCAACACTTCCTATCCCCCTTTGCCACTTTATTTTTCTGCTTACCTGTTATCCATTATCCAGCATTAGCCAGCATATGGCATATACCCCACTTATTATTCCACCTGCTCCCCCAACTAGAGCATGAGCTCCTGACAGCAGGCATTTCTTTATGCTATTTCACAGCTGCCCTCCCCGGAGCAGTGTCTGGTAGGCACTCAGGACTTCCTGGCTGAATGCTTTGCATGTCTTGTCTCCAGTTTGCTTCAGCTGAGTTCATTCTCTCTCCTTAACTATAAAGTCCTCAAAGATGGCAAACAGCTCTTATATCTCTTCTGTATCCCCACAACACTTCAGGAGGTGCTAGGCACACAGAACTTATTTTTAAAACTCTTGCCCAATGAGTGGCAAGGCTGGGTGCAGTGGCTCATGCCTGTAATTCCAGCACTTTGGGAGGCTTACTTGAGGCCAGGAGTTAAACACCAGCCTCGGCAACATAGCAAGACCCTATCTCTAGAAAAAAAAATTTAATAGCTGGGTGTGCTGACTCATGCCTGTAGTCCCAGCTACTTGGGAGGCTGAGGTGGAAGGATCACTTGAGCCCAAGAGTCCGAGGCTGTAGTGAGCCATGAGTACATCACTGCACTCAAGCCTGGATGACAGGGTGAGACCCTGTCTCAAAAAAAAAAAAAAAAGCAAATTAAAAATTAAGGACCATAAACCTATTTAGAGGGATGTGGATCTTTTCATCACTGTGAATTTACCTCTGCTTTGGAGGATTTTAATCTGCATGGCAGGGGGTGGAGCAAGGTTCTTCATTGTAAAAACTGATCTCTCTTTTATTCAACATGATTAACTGTTGGAGACCCTCAAGTACTGTTGCGGGAAGTCTGGGACCCCAAACGGAGGGACCAGCTGAAGCCATGGCAGAAGAACGTGGATTGTGAAGATTTCATGGACATTTACTAGTTCCCCAAATTAATACTTTTGTAATTTCTTATGCCTGTCTTTACTGCAATCTCTAAACATAAATTGTAAAGATTTCATGGACACTTATCACTTCCCCAGTCAATACCCTTGTGATTTCCTACACCTGTCTTTACTTTAATCTGTTAATCCTGTCAGCTGAGGAGGAAGTATATCGCCTCAGGACCCTGTAATATTTGCATTAACTGCACAAATTGTACAGCATGTGTGTTTGAGCAATATGAAATGTGGGCACCTTGAAAAAAGAACAGGATAACAGCAATTGTTCAGGGAATAAGAGAGATAACCTTAAACTCTGATCGCCGGTGAGCCAGGCAGAACAGAGCCATATTTCTCTTCTTTCAAAAGCAAATGGGAGAAATATCGCTGAATTCTTTTTCTCAGCATGGAACATCCCTGAGAAAGAGAACACGCACCCGGAGGTATAGGCTTATAAACAGCCCCCCCAGGTGTGCCTGTCTCTTATGGTCAAGACTGCAGAGGTGAAATAGACTCCAGTCTCCCATAGCGCTCCCAGGCTTATTAGGAAGAGGAAATTCCCGCCTAATAAATTTTGGTCAGACCGGTTGATCTCAAAACCCTGTCTCCTGATAAGATGTTATCGATGACAATGGTGCCCAAAACTTCATTAGCAATTTTAATTTAGGCCCGGTCCTGTGGTCCTGTGATCTCGCCCTGCCTCCACTTGCCGTGTGATATTCTATTACCTTGTAAAGTACTTGATGTCTGTGACCCACACCTATTAGCATACTCCCTCCCCTTTTGAAAATCCGTAATAAAAACTTGCTGGTTTTTGTGGCTTGTGGGGCATCACGGAACCTACAGACATGTGATGTCTCCCCCAGACGCCTGGCTTTAAAATTTCTCTCTTTTGTACTCTGTCCCTTTATTTCTCAAGCTGGCCAATGCTTAGGGAAAATAGAAAAGAACCTACATGAATATCAGGGCAGGTTCCCCGATAAAGTACCTTCTCAAACTATCTTTGTCTTCACATAGCCTTAGAAGCCCACTGGGTCCCTTCTGTACCTGTCACTGTGACAGCTCCCTATGCTGAGTGGAACTGAGCATACTCTACAAATTCTTATGCCTGCCAGGGCCAGCTGAGGATGCACACTACCCAGACCACTGCAGGAATGACTAGCTCAGATAGCAGACAGGCTCCGCCCCCAGCCTTGCCTTCCCAAGCCAGGGCGGGTGTGTGCCACCTGCACTGCTCACAGGCTGGGCCACGGAGAGATCTTGCATTTCCACCAGCTGCCTCACCCACAGTGTGCACGAGTGTGGTAAGCTGGCTCTGCCTAACACGCCGCCCTCCTGAGCTGGGCTGGCTCCTCAGGGATACCCCGTTTTGAAATCCTGGGGCAGGGACCAGCTCGACCCTAAGAGAATTCCCAAGGCGCCAACTCAGAGGATTAGCTCCCTCTCTGCCACCACCCAAATCAGGCCACAAGTTGCAGCGGTTAGACAATGAAATCATCTTTTCTTCTGGTTTTGGTGGTTACTATTTTTAACTGCATTGAATGCCCAGGAAGAACCTGAGGAGAAGGTAACCAGAGCAGCAAAGACCCATTTCCTGGCTCAGGAGCCCACAGCCCTGGGAGTGTTTCCTGTTTGCCAGAGGAGAGCTGTGTTTGTGTGTTGTGGGGAAAGCTGTTATTCCCTTACAGTTTTAAGGTTTTGCAACACTTTAAGGAAAAAAAAAAAAAGAAATCTTCAGGCTCAGCCCTCGTAGCAATTATTTTTTCTGCTGGGGTGAGGGGGGTTAGTGAGCAGGAGAGAGCAAAAGGAGGAAGAACAGAATGGAAAAGAAGCAAGTGTTAGTGGAACAGGATGTACTTAAAATTCCCCCTGTCTGTTATCCATCCCAAAACTGGCCTCTCCATGGGTGTAGGAGGCTACTGCGACTTCATACATATTTATAGCATTTGGCAGCTCCGTGGAGCACATCGCTTTAACAATGTATTTTAAATGAAGCTAAATGAAACGCGTTCCCAGTTCCTGGGAAAGGATCTTTTTTTTTTTTTTTTTTTTTGATAAACTGTGCTGTGGAGATGCTGCTGGCTGAAGTGTCATGGATAATCACAGTGTGGAGGCTGACGCGAGTCTGGGTAGAAGCCAGATGACCCAGACCAGAATGGGACATCCTGGGAAAGATACAGTCTAGCCTGACCGCTCCCAGATCTCAGAGCCCCAGGGAGCAGGGTGTAGCTCTGAGATCCCACCAGTCTTCTGCCCCACCATGTTTTCCAGTGGCTTTTGGAGAACCTGATCCTTTCCATCCGTAGTAGCCCCAATGCAAAGTAACTTACTACCTCCCAAAGGTCTCCAGGGATCAAGGGTCAGAGCTTATCAGGGGTCAAGTTTTCTGGAATCAGAATGCAAAAGTCAAAAGCCTGAAACCAGTGCTCTGCTTGACACACCGTATTAGTTAATTAAGCTTCTGTGTCTGAAACCTAAAACATATTTATGTTATTTTCCAAATAAAATATAGACCTAATTGAATTTCATTGGCCCACCTGGAAGTCTATAGATACAACTTCTTCACTGGCCCCTCTGTGCTTTGGTTTTCCCATTTGTAAAATAATGATATTAGACTAAGGGCTCTTCCAGCTCAAAAATTCCAAGAGGCAAAAAACACATGTAATATCTCTCCTCCAATTCCATCACCATTTCTTTGCTGAGCCCTGGCTAATAGTTCCTCTGCCCTATGTCCTGTCTTAGGGTCTTTTTCTCCATTCCAAATGTCTCAACACAGGTTCAGTTTTTATGCTTCTCAATGCTAGATTATTAGAGCTGTCCTCTTGCAGATTTCTTTGGTTTCAATTGTTTTTTATGCTAATTGATACCAAATGCAGCTGCTCAGACCAACTAGGTTCAAAGCCCATTTCATATCTGGCTCAGAACCTGTGCATAGCTCCTGATATCTCCACCCGCACTCTCCCCCACCTCGTCAGCACCTGCTGCAGCACAATACAGCCCTGTGGCTCCAATCATGTTCGTTCTTTATCCAGTCATTAATACACCTGAAGACTCTTGCCCTTTGCCTGGACAATATGTTACCACGTGGCTTCCCCTTCTCTCTGAACCAGGCTTTGTTCATGGCTTCTTCCAACCTCAGCCTGGCTACACTGCCAGGACACTGACACCCTTTCCCTTTAGCACTCCCTTCACATTGCTTTCTTTGCCATTTTGATGACCGTCCATGTCCTTCTTTGGTGGCTTCATGCCTGATTCTTCTTCCATCCTAGTGAAATGCTGAAACGTCACAACCTCACCTCCTCTTCTGGGTGACAAGTGCAGTACTTGGCATATTGATGTCCAAAGGATGATCATTAATAATTGAGAAACTTAACTGACCTCAAATTTTCAAATAATTAAAGAGCCACTGGACTTGCTCCACCCCACACCTGTTTTCAGCACTAACTACATGTACCCATTGCAGCAAATATGCATATTGAGGGCTGGGAAAGAAGGCCAGGCTCGTGCGCTGAACCCATCACCTGGCTCCAAGCCAGACTGAAGGAGGCTGAGATCATCAGCTTCTGCTGATGACTTATTCTTCAACTAGTGACCTCTCTTGATTTTTATTCTCATCTCTGCAAATTAGAGGGAAGGTGATTTGACCAAGAAATCCTATGATAAAAGATTCTGCAGAGATGTCATTCTATTTTGGTAAATACGATAGTCTCCGTAGAGTTCATCAGTAAGGCAACTAATATATAATGATAAAGATTCCAAAATGTTGGCTCATATTTCCTGAGTAAGCATTACATACAACCTAAGGAGCGAGAGGTTTTGATCTCCCTTTCCTAATAGTACCCCCATCATAGGCAAAAAATAAATGAATAAATAAATAAATAAAAATTAAAAAATCCAAGAGAAAGATCCTGGGAAGGGTGTTGTCTTATCTTCTTTATTTGTACTAAACAAAGGTTGGAAGACACTTTTCTAAAAATCTGTTTTGAGGGCTCAGAATTTAAACTCTTCCTCTGCAGTCTTTGCAAATCCAATAGCCTTTTTCATGCCAAATGAAAAGTTTCCTGTGCATCCTCCAGAAACGCCATTTCTTGTGACAACTCTTCAGAGCTATATGCGTGACTTCCAGCATTGGGGTCCATCAGAGGACCCACTGGATCCCTTAGGACTGTCTGCAGAGTTTCAGGAACACAGCAAAGATATCCATGGTCACTGTTGGAAGAAATGGCAGCACAGCTGGTGATCATGCTATTGTCTGAACTGCCTCAAATGCTTTATAGACGGATGTGAAATGAGGGTGCAAACATGCACTCAGCCACGCATCTACTCTACGCCTACACAGGCTTGTCCTCTGGTGGTCAAGAGAGGCTGTTCTTCCAAGGTGTCAGGAAGAGGGGGTATGCACAAGAAAACAAACTTGAGGGTAAACGGTCCATGTTTGCCGTTCACTCTCTTGTTACAAGTTCCAGAAGGAAGATCAACACTCAATTGTCTGATAAAATGAGGAACAAATCTAGAACCCTCTTGTATCTCACTCTGATTCCTCCAGCTCTTCATTCTGTCACTCAGAGTCTTCCGGTTCAAGATCCTGCATCTCCAAGAGCGGGGTCATGAACCAGGAAGGAATCTCCTCAGTCAGGTTCAGATACAGCGTTAAATCAATCCACCAAATTCAAAGGGTGGTGGCAGGTTCACATACCTACAGCAAAAGTCATTCTGAGGGAAACGTGTCATTTGGAACCTGAAATCTTCCCTTCAGCATGGAGGGGGTGATTTCCCACCTTTCCAACTATAACACTCTCTTCTGCTTCCTTTCACTTCATTATACCACCTGTGAGACAGACAGGAATTATTATCTTTATTAATAAAGTGAATTAAAATAGATTGCTTTGGACATTTGAGAAATTCTTGAAGTCACAGGGCTCTACTGGGGTAACATGAACCAGAGCTGGAAGTCCATGAAGCACAAACTTTGGAGTCAGACAGACGAGGTTTAATCTGATTTCTAGCTGCAGGGCCTTGGGCAAGGCATTCAGACTCTCTGAGCCTCAGTTTTCTCATCTAAAAAATGGGGACAACACTATATTGGGTTGTTAGTAACAACAAATGTGATACGTGTAAGTTACTTGGCACATAGGCATTCGAGAAATGGTAGATTTAAACTAATATTAGAGGTATAGGTGTCATAGCACACACAAAAAAAACCTTATCCATAAAAAGTTTATTCCTGAGGCATTTTCTTTAGTTTAGATCACCAAAGGATTAGAATTAACACGTGCAGGAGGGTAGAGCTAAGCATAACAGACAGGTGAAAAGAAAGGTAGAGAACAAGTCAACTGAAAGCAACATTCCAAGCGAAATTACACCCTTGGCAGCCAAAGACAAGGGTTGGGTTTTCAGCGTTAGTCACTGCTGAGGATTAATGAGCTGGAGAACACATGGCTGAGATGCCCTCTTAGGCAAGAATTAATCCAGTAGGGTCCTGAGTTGCAGAAGGAGAAATGCCATTTCCCTTCAGTCTGGATAGCCCTGCTCACTCTAGGGAAGCACATGAAGTAAAACGCCATTTCTCCTGACTCTGGGCTGCAAGCTGTGGGGAAAGCCTAGAAACAGAAGGTGGATAATTTTTATGATCCCAATGCTTGGTCAAAATGCAGTAGTGCAGCATTTAGGGTCAAGGTGGGCTAACTGTAACACCAGGCTTTCTGGAATCTTTTTAAAATAATGATGAATGCAACTGACAAGAACAAAATAATACACCATTGCCACAATACAGGCCAAACATAGAAATCTGTCCAATTCAGAGGCAAGAAACACACCACAGTTTTAGTTGGAAGCCAGAATAAAGTGTACACATTTTCTAAACCACATACTGAACTAAACCTAACTTATTTTCCTAAGCCTTAAATCAATTTGAACTGGGTTTAAGTATAAAAATATGTAAAGATGTTTTTGATGCAGGGTGTGTAATTTTATACATATATAAACTGAATTGGGTACTAACTGGAATATCAAAATATGCCTAGAATCAAAACAAACAGCAGCTTGAGAATTCAGTTCTAAATTGATTAAAAACAAAAGGAAATGGGCTGGGTGCGGTGGCTCATGCCTGTAATTCCAGCACTTTGGGAGGCTGAGGCGGGCAGATCACTTGAGGTCAGGAGTTGGAGTTCAAGACCAGCCTGGCCAATGTGGTGAAATCCTGTCTGTACTAAAAATATAAAAAATTAGTCTGCCATGGTGGTGCACGCCTGTAGTCCCAGCTACTCGGGAGGCTGAGGCAGGATAATTGCTTGAACCCAGGAGGCAGAGGTTGCAGTAAATCAACATCACGCCACTGCACTCCAGCCTGGGCAACAGACTGAGACCCCGTCTCAGAAAAAAATAAAATTAAAATTAAAAAATAAAAACAAAAGGAAATAAACTCACAGTTAGTCATTGATTGATGATGATGATGATGATGATACTATACTTCCTGATACTTGATTCTCAGTATAATGACATATGTCCTCCCAGGGTGGACTGGTACTGGGTTTACCCCTGCAATGCTCTCAATACCTTCCAACTGGAAAATCTACCTTCTGACTGGTGTGGCCTTTGAGAAATGTGTTGGGCCCAAGATCACAGGGAGGATTAGGCCCCACATACAAAAACAGAAGACAGCTAATTAACTTTTTCAACTTAGTAATCATCAATTTTATTATTAGCATATTAACCAGGGATTATGCCAGTTTAGGTTTGTGTGTGTGTGTGTGTGTGTGTGTAATCAGTATGTAGACATTATTACATGTGCAAATGTAATAATGTTTTAATAATGTAAATAATTAGCAACTTAAATTAACCTGTTTTGTCAGAATGTATTGTTTAGAGGCTGGGAACTCTTAGGGGAAAATAAAAATATGGATCCTCACCAGCTGAACCAGTACAGAGTGAGTTAACTGTGTTGCTTAAAAATAGAGAAGGTATGGGGAATAAAGATCACTTTCACACTTCCAGAGTGACATGGAAATTGGGACTCAGGGACAGTCTCTAAATGGAAAAGGAGGAAGGTTTGGGAAAGTGGGGAGGTGGGTGGACCTGCACCTGGAGCAGTCCTTTGGCAGATCTTCCTGGAGAAGGTGAAGATGCTGGCAGAGGGAAATAAAGGGTTTAATTCCCTGCAGCCAGGAGTTTGACAATGGCTCAGATTTTCAGAGATGTGACAAACCAAGAGGACTTGGCCACAAGGCCTCAGTTTTCTGTGGTTTCAAATTTACTCATCTGAGAAACATGGGACCTTCTAGCCATTGTAAAGAAACAAACCCAGCGATCCCCGAGAGAATGAGTTGCTGATTCAGAAGCTGAAGAAAGAAAGGACTGTGTGACTCCTGGCTCCTTCCCCTTCCGCATTCTGGGCTCTGTTCTCAGCTCCGCTGAGTAAGTCTCGCCGCCTGTCCTGCTTGATCTGCCTGTAGTCTCAACAGTTCTCAGTGAGGCTCCTCTAAGGGGCTGAATCAGATTTATGCAGGTCTGAGAAGAGTGAGTTCCTGCAGACACAATACCTTCTGAGTTTCTGCTCAGCAGCACAGTTTGAGGTGTGGCCTCTACACATACTGCATACGTAAAATATCAGCCCACCTGGGAATGATTTCTTAGAGTTAGTCTGGCCCCACCTTGAAGAGTTTAACTTGGATTCCATTTGTCTTCCCCCTGTCCTACTTTCCCCTGTGGCTGAGAGAGGATTTTCCATTTCATGTTGCAGACATGTGAGGCATCTCAGTCCCGCTCCATTCGTCCACACATCTGGAAGAGCAATGCTCACATCTGGAGCCCATTCTCAGCTGGAAGATGTCTTTCGACATTCTTTTCTTTGAAACCCAATCCATGTAACCTCTTGTTCAAAAGGGCCTCTGAACTACTGGAATCATTTGCAGAGGCTCAGGAAAAAGTCCTTAATTTCATCCCTACATGGTGGAATTTATGACTCAAACCAAACCCAACATTCTGTTTCTGATTGCTTTTTTTCAATAATGACTCTTTGGAGCTACGTGTTTAAAAGGACAGAATTTCTAGCCTAGGACACATACCAAAGGAAGGTGAAAGCAAGCTGTTCAGTAATCACCAGGGCGAGTCCATTGAAGCTCTGTAAGTTTCAACAACCTAGGTCATTTCTTCATCAATAAAATTGGGATTCGTTGTTTAAAAATAGACACAGGAGTGTGTGAGGATAAGGGAGGTAACATATCTGGACATGCCTTGTCTCATACCTGTGTAGGGTAAGGATAGATGGAGAAAGGGGAAGGGGTTTGTGTCAGGCTGAGACAGTCTCTGCATTTGCTCACTCATCTCTCCGTAAACCCATGAAAGACCCCAACATAGGACTCCATGACGCCCCACTGAGCAGGAGAAAGGAAGAAGTCTCAAGAACACAAGACCGAATCGACAGTATTTGATCAGCATGCATGCAAATTACCCAGTCATTCTGAAAAACTACAGCTTCTGTTTCGGTGGTCTGGGATGGGACTGAGGTCTGCATTCCTAACAAGCTCCCAGAGGCTGTCCATGCTGCGAGTCCCCAGATCATGTTTGGTACTAGAGAAATGGGCCCCAACTCAAAAAATTCAACCTCTGCTAACAAGTGAATTTGTCATTTTGCCGGGTCGACTCTAATTCTCAAGCCCAGCCACTGGACAGAGAGGTGTGGAAGGAAATGAAATTCACATTTCTGAAACGCAGAAAGGCCAATTCATCTCCACCTTTACCCTCTTCTGCCGGAAGGCAGGAGTCACGCCAGCCTCTTGGGTGTGAAGGGAAAACTAACTGCCTTACTTTACCCCATTCCCTACCTTCAAGTATTTCCCTGATTGTGTCAGGTTTATACCTAGTGGAGGGAATGACACAACTATGGATGGCTGCCTTTGACCTTCAGCAATTGCCCAACTCCCAGCCAAGCTGCTGGGAGAGGAAGACAGGCAGCCAGTATTTCCATGGGGGCACTGCCTGCCAGCTCCTCCTGCCCCTCAGCTGTGTTGCCTGGCAACCAGAGGGTGGGAGAAAGGGAGGAATGCAAGTAGGTGAGGAGGTAAGGGAGAAATTATGATGACAGGAGACAACAGCCAAGGAATCCTAGTCACACAGACACACGCCCAGCAGTGTGGAATGTTAGTGAGCCTCAGAGGGAGGGCGCCAGTGGGTGTGAACCTCGAAAGCAAGAGGCCAGAAGTGCAAAAACATTCATTTTTTCCATTTTATTATTTTTTAAATACCAATAATAAAAAAGGAGAAAAAAAATCCTACTTCTTAGATGAGCTGGCAGGCAGGAGGAAAAAACTGGAAACCTACTTATAAAAACCAAGGGAATCATTAAAGGGTGTGGAGGGGGCTAGGGAGAGATTGGTAAAAATCCTGTGCTAAAAACTAAGACATGTCTTGAAATGTGGCCAAAAAATTGTTTGTAGTAAGATTCTAAAAATCTGAAGTGAGATTTGGACCAGACAGGAGGTTCTAGTGGCCCCTGAATGAGGAGGGGTGGGCAGTTCCCTGTGGCCCACCCACCACCACCCTACCGCCCCATCAGTGTCTTCCTGGGCAGAGGACACCCCAGTCCACAGGAGGGCGAGGAAAGTGGTAGAAGAGTTTTGATTCAAGTTGCAATTATGGAACTTCAGTTTTCTACAGAGGTTGAAAGCCTTAATTCGGACCCTAAAGAGTCCCTTAAGCTTGTAACCATCTCTGATCTGGCCTTCCCGCTTCCTGCCATTCCCACACTCCAAATCCTACCACATTTTGCCATAAGGATGATTCCTCTGAAACACAGATGGAATCATGTTGCTCAAAACTTTTTTTCATAGTTCCCCATGGTCAACAGAGGAAATTCCAAACTTCTTAGCATGGCATTCAATGCTTTCCACAGCCTTGCCTTAGCCCACTTTTCCAGAGTCACCTCCAGCCGCTCCCCCTCTTCCCCCCACCCACCCACTGCCAAAACAACCTCCCTAGAGTCCAGCCACTAGATCACACCACTCCCTATCAGGCCATGAACTTCCAACTCATCTCACCCTTTGAACATTACTATCATTCCCCTTTTGGCTTATCTTCCAAACAAGCCCTATTTACCCTTTTAAAAGATACACAAATGTACAGTTTTGCAAAGTAATTCATGCACATAATTTAATTTTTTTAAGGTGCAGGGGATTTAAAATGCAAAGCAACAGTCTCTTCCCTTCCTCTTCCCTCTCCGCTTCCCCCTGCCCACTCCCTCTACCTAATCACCTTGCATTCTCTTTGAGTTTTCTCTCCTGGTGATTACTTTTATTTCTCTAAAAACTGTTTCTTGATTTCTATAAAGCTATTTCTTAATTTAGCAATTTTACATAGCGTTTTTTTGCATTCTGACTATAATAAATGAGGGTTTAGCATACATGGAACATATCACTATTTTCATTTTCCTAATGGAAACCGTTAATAACATTAAGGCAGGTTACCAGGAGAAGCACTGTATAGTAAGAGGTAAGAGCTCAGCCTCCAAAGCCTGACAGGCTGAGTCGGATCGCTAACTTACTGCTTACCATTGAGTGATCTTGGCCAACTGATTTAACGTCTCTGTGCTTACATGTCATCAAAAAACATTTGAAGACACAAATTAGTGTTTCCTGAAAGGCTGTAAAATCTATACTGGTGTCACTGGTCTCTCCAGACCTGCAGCAAAACTGTCATTGTGTGTTACTCTTCACTATGATTCCAGGTTGAATACACTGCTTCTGGAATTTTATGTCTTCCTCTGGCTTGTTCTACTTTCTCATTTTGCAGGAGTGTGTTTTCAAATGACTTCCAAAAAAAAGGTGTGTAAAGTTAAGCCTTCTGACTTCTTATCTGTCTCAAAATGTCTTTTCCTCTGCCTTCAAGTTTCATAGATATTCTTGAGGAGTATATAATTCTAGTTGATACACAAGCATATTCATCTAATAAGAAGAAGAAAAAAATAAAGATTCTAGTTGAAAACCATTTTCCTTCATAATTTAAAGCAGTTAAAAACTGTTTTCTAGCAAACTGTGCTGCTGTTAGAAAACTTTGGAGCTCATTTATTTGTAGGTTGGCATTATTTTTTCTCCATTTCTCTCTCTCAGAAAACATTTAAGAACTCTCTTTTCAGTATTAGTGTCCTGAATTTTATGCTGTTTCATTTGCCAACTCTTCTTTATTGTAGTGAGCACAAGGTGAATATGTCTTCCTTAAATTTTGTGTCCTTCAACTCTGGGGAATTCTCTTGTGATGTTTTTCTGTAATTCCTTCCCTCATCTGTTTGTCTTCATCTCTTTTTGGAGCTTCTATCAGTTAGATGTTGGTTCCCTGGATTAGTCTATGTGTTACCTTTTTTGTCCTTTTCTTTTTTATTTTTTTTTTAATCTCTGTCTTTTTATTTTACTTTTCCTCTATTTTATCCTCCAACTTTTTAATTATTGTTTTTATAGCATTCTTTTCTTTTAATTGATGTGATATCTTCATAAATGTCTCTGAATATACAAATTTGAGTTTCTTTCAAGTTCCTCATGTATCCTGAATTAACTTGTTTTCCTGTGGAGTCATTTCTCTTTTTCTTAATTGTGTTTCATAGTTTCTTTCAAATGCCTACCAGTTGGTGATGCAAGCAAAACTGGCTGAACTCAAAGTACACTGGAGGTCATGCAGACTACCCGGCTCCACTACAGGGTCAGTGGGAATGGAGCCTGGATGTGGCATCAGCTCCCACACCAGGAGCAGGTTGTTCAGTTTCTTTACAGAGGAGCAATCCATCCCCCATGATAGGGTAGAGAAGTGGGGAGTTTCAGCCCACATCTCACTCCTGTTCACCATCAAATCTAGAGTTTTTGAGTCCTCCAAATTGAGAATTTTGTAACCTTCCAGGTTTCTGCAGGAAAAATCAGCCCTTGCCAGCCACCTCCTGCCTGCACATCTCCTTCCCTGTGCCTTGCCCTGCCCACCCCACCCTATTAGCTCTTGGTCCTTTTGCCACTCCTGCAATCCACACAGCACACCATCACTAAGCCTCCAAAGATCCTCTCCACATTCTCTTGATTTCCAGAGAGAAGGTTCAGATCCCCTGGGACAGGGTGGGAGGTGTTGGGGGACAACCAGGAATCCTTACTATCAACATTGGATGTGGGGTAATAGAATAATTTTTTCAGTGTTGAAAGACAAACCTTCAACCTAGAATTTTAATTCCAATTAAACTGTCTTTAAATTTGGGGGCAAATTAATGTTATCTCAGGCACACGTAAAACCTCTTTCAATATTCTCTTAGAAGAAGTACTCCAGGAAGAAGTGAAATACATACAAGGGAATACTATGAGACTTATTTTTATTAAGAGTAAATAAATAAATACCATATAATTTTAATTTCTTTCTAAAAAAGAAGCAAAAGTGGAAGTTAGATTTAGAGAAGTAAAAGAATCACTAACCATACAGCAGATGCTCTCCAAAAAGACCAAAAAAAATGAAAGGGGAAAATACTTAAGGAAATAAATATTATTTCTTAGAATTAAAGAAAATGAGAGACTTCAATTGGGAAGACTTATGGAATGTTGTACAACACAGATGGGGAGAATGGTCCACACCTAGACACATTATAGTGAATTTATAAAGTACCAAAACTGGCAGAAGAAGAAATTGAAGGTTTGCATAGATAACCATTATAGAAATTAAAAAAGTAATCAGTTGACAAGGCTATTAAGTATAATCTCGCTTCCAAAACTGGATAAGAACAATACCCGAAAAATTATAGTATCTACATACATAGATAATTATATATCTAATATATGCAAAAACTCCTGCAAATCAACATGAAAAAGACTGGAGACCCCAAAGAACAATGGCAAAACATGTAATACACAAATTAGAGAATAGATAACAAGTAAGAGATGAGATATGTAACCCTCCTAGAAATCAGAAAAACACAAATTTAAAAACAATGATATACTATTTTACACACACCCAGTATACAAAGATTAGAAAGCCAGGTAATAGCAAGTTCTGGAGAAGATTCCAGGAAACAGGCTCATTCATTCACTGCTGGAGCGCAGCCATTCTGGAGAGCAACCAGGGAGTATTTAGTGAAATGAAGTACTCCTATGCCTTATGGCCCAACGATCCCACAGGCTGGTATACGCCCAGAGAAGCTCTTGCCAAAGCCATAGGGGCACATGCACGGGGTTCTTGTTCTGTCATTAGAATGCCATGAGTGAGTCAGGGGTACAGGTAGAGTGTGGAATAGGGAAGGGAGGTACAGAAGGGAAATGGAAGTGAAGATAAGGGATGAAAGGAAAAAAGCAAATGACCAAAATAAAACCAGAATGTGACCTTACACAGCCTACTAACAACAGTGTGGCTGAGGAATGTGTTTAGCTTGGCTGTCTGCATCTGAGGGTCCACAAAACAAAAATCACCACATGCAAGCATTGATTTACCACCTGATATCCTATCCTGGGTCAGGGAACTGGGTCAGGGAATTGGTGGTAGAAAAATAAATGAGCAGCTTCTGCCAGGCTTTGACTGAAGAGATGAGCTGGGGAATAGATGTGGCCTCCCAACAGGCTTCTTTCCTCACCTCTCCATTCATCTGGCCTAGTGGGAAAAAGAGAAGGCCTCACCCTCTATAAATAAACCCCTCCCTGGCCCTCAGTAATCTCTCCAGGTTTAGTTCATCCCAAGGCTGCAAGCCCGTTTCCCACCCAGACATCATTTCCTTCCACAGAGCCTTTGTGGAGCGGGTTCCTCAACCTGTGAGTCATCCCTGCCCATTTCACCCTGGAGTCAAACTGGATCAGTGTTGGGATTTGTCACCTGCACTCACTAGAGCATGGCCACAGCCATCTCCAAGCCTCTGACCTGCGTGTGCAGGAAGGGCTAAGGAACCAGGCAGAGGTGAAAGCCTGCGTTTCCCAGGGAAAAGAAATTACTCTAACATCAATAACATCTATCTCTCCTAGGTAATCAAACTGAGCACCTGGATAAAGAAACCCCACCTCCCACAGTCCCAATAAGGACCGGAAATTGGCTTGTTGAAGTGACGCAGGAAAATGGAGCCGGCAGTGCAAAGGTGAACTCTAAGAGCTGGTGAAGTTACAAGGAATAGGTTTTAGTAGAAACATTGCTGGCCCCTTTTTCTCTGGCACATGCCTGCACCAGACATCTCTTTTAGGACCAAATCCTCTGTTACCCCTAGATTCCTATTTCATGGATCCTGCCTCTTATCCGGTTCCCTGGCTCAGAGACACACACTGAGCCATCTCCTGTGACCTACTTGGAAGGGGGACCCGCATCCTGGACTTCTCAAGACTTCACCCAGACCGTAAAGTGGCCCTAAGCCCTTTCCAGCTTGCTTGTTCTTAGGTACCAAATAGATAGTCAGTTTGTGGCACTCATTAAGCTTATGCTGTGGACAGAGCAGTGTAGTGAGGCCTTATGGAGAAAAACAATAGAAATAGAAGTTTTGGTCCCTCAGAGTATGTGAGTGAGTGTCAATGGGCCAACCTGTTAAATGCAAGCCATTATCCTCAGCACTTTCATATACATTCCTTCATTTATCTTCACAGTGACTCCAGGAGTTAGAGCCTCATTTTCTGATTTCCAGAGGAATAATCTGAACCTCTCCGAGATTGAGGAACCTGCCTCAAGTAACGGCTGGTAAGTGACATATCCAGGATTCCTGACTCCGAGGCCACAGCGCTTTTCACAACACCACAGTTGCATTAAAGAGAATCCATCCCACCTGCAAATACAGAGCACTGTGCCCT
Source organism: Homo sapiens (assembly GCF_000001405.40). NCBI lineage: Eukaryota > Metazoa > Chordata > Mammalia > Primates > Hominidae > Homo > Homo sapiens. The sequence continues at coordinate 13,166,350 of NC_000012.12, read as the reverse complement.
GAAATAGACTCAAAAGCGTTTTCAAAATAGCACATCAATAAGAACAAACGCATTAGAAAATAAACTCTGAGCCTGTGTGTTCTGGTCTCTTCTGTAGAAAGGAGGGGTTCAACAGTGAAAGATTCCTAAAAGAGGTAAATTTGAAACCTAGTTTGAAAGAACAGAGGCTACAGATAGGCAGAGAAGAGAAAATAAAGTTGGAATTAGCATCTTCTCTTAAGGTTATGTAGACATTCCTGCCATTGTGGAACAAATTTTCCACTCTGTCTACCAAAGTAAGAGGAATTATGCTTAAACATGGCAGGGTGGATTCAGGTTAGCATAAAAGACATTTCTGGTGATGAGGTGGTTAAATACCAAACTATTTCATTAAAGGAAGTGGTGAAATGTAGATTGTTTTTTTCCCCTCAGATGACTTTGGCTTACTCCTGGAGACAGGAGATGAACACAGCAACTCTGCAGACATCAACTGAAAACGGCAATTCTGGGGTTATAAGATAACTTTATTATGCTCATATAAAAAGGGTTCAGGGCAACCTGTATAATAACAAACTATTGCTCATCCCTAGACCCTCCCAAAGAGCCACTGCAAAGTAGTTTCTCACCTTTCCCATACCCTGACAAGCAGGAACCAGAAAGGGCCTGAGTCACCAGGTCACGTGACTGAAAGTGCAGCTGGGGCCTCTGTCTGCACTTGGCATGGCCGCATGAAACCAAAATTGCCTGTGCCCTGCAAGCTGAAGAGCACCAAGCAGTTACAGGTTATGTCAGGAAACCCAGGGCTGCCATCCAACTGCTGGAGCCGTCCCTGTTTGCAATGGAAGAAAAGGGTATTTGCAATTGCTCCTTCCCCACACTGTGGCTGCTGTTCAGGTGTTAGTTTCAGTTAGTTAGTTAGTTAGTTAGTTAGTTAGTTAGTTAGTTAGTTAGTTAGCTAGCTAGCTGGTTGGTTAGGTAGTTAATTGGCTAGTTGGTTAGTTAGGTGGTTAGTTAGCTGGTTGGTTAGTTAGTTAGCTAGTTTTGCAAATAGTATAAGGGCATGCTCCATCCCTAAGAAAATGATGCTTTTTCACAGACCTATTAATGATTGAACTGCCCCTTCAGGAAGGCAGGCCTTGAACCAGAAGTCCCCAAGAAGAAACTCTTCCCTTCCTGCTCTAATGATTTCCATTTTCCTAAGAATCCTGGACTCAGAGACTATTCGAGTTAGTAAGACCTTAGGCATTTATTTCAGTCTCGTTGTTTTCCAGGAAAGGAAGCTCAAGCCTAAAGGGATGAAGTGACTTGCCCAAGGTCACACATCTGGTCAGTGCCCTTCACCTGGGGTGAACCTTCACACATCCAAGGTGAAGACGAAGGAAGTCAGCCGTTTCCCTCTTGTGTTTCAAGCAATGAAGTTTGCTTAAGATTGGTGAATGTAGTCTTAGACATTTCTCCTTCCTCTTCATGCCCCACATACCAACACCACCAAACACATAACAATTGCCTGCTCTGCTTCTCTTTTCATGGGAAGATTTTCAATCTATAGGCACCATCAGTTCCTTCTAGCAGAAATGGAAATGGCTTCCTGACCCACGGACGGAGGTGGCTACCTTTGGCAACTCAGGCGGGATGGCTAATACAGGTGTTTTTCGTCATTCTCATCTCCCAAACCCCAGAGCCCACCTTCTCACCACCAAAGGAGATCAGTCAGATGCAGACCATGTGAGATGGCTGGAAGAGCCCGGGTTTTCAAATCAGCAGCCCTAGATACCATTAACTGCATGGCCTCTCTAGAGGCGCTTAGTGATTGGCATCTCTAAATTGGAGATGAAAATGCCGTGGTGCCATGAGAATGGAATGAGATCATATTTGGGGAAAGCCCTTTGGAAATGGTTATGAGAGGAAATGCCAGGGATTTTCATTACTGGCTTCAGGCTGCCCTAGGCTTGACCATGCAGTCGAGTTCACAGCCCAAAGGAAGGGTGTCTGCAGCTGGGCTGGGCCAGAGGTGGGGCTGGAGATTGGAAATGTGGGTTCCTCCACCTGTGTACATAAGAAAGCGCCTCTTCCAACAGCCCTCAGAGAGGGGCATGGACAGGGCCAGCAGTAGCCCAACTCCCAGAACGCAGCTGCCATGTGTCAGCCCTGAAGCTACCTTTTTTTCTCCTTTTTTTTTTTTTTTTTTTTTTTTTTTTGGTTCTCATAGGTCTGGAGCATTTGAAAGGGGCTGGTTCACTACTGGCCTGGCAGACAGGCAGCTTGCTCCAGGGCAACAACTCATGTTTTTCCCCAGTGTGAGCTTGTGCAAGTGGAGAATGCTGGGAATGTGAAGCCTGTTCCCTATTACTCCACTTCCTTTGCGCACTCAGTTTCCCCTCCCTCCTCAATTTCTTCCGCAGTCTTGATGAGAAATGATAGTCTCAGAGAGAGAGCAAGCTCTTTTACTCAAGTTAGCCACACCACCTATTTCATCTCTTCTGGAAAACTCCTCCCTCAATAAGCACGGCTGGCCCTGTATACTCCCTTTTCCCATTCAACTGCACCTTCAATTTCTCCTGTCCACAGACTTCCTCTGTGTTTATAAGCATGTACAGACTTCTAATAACTCGAGAAATGTTCCTTGATGTCTCCTCCACCATTCACTCTACTTACAATCCTATTCATATTTGCTTGCCATTGCCACACTTCTTCAATCAGTGGTCTGTACAAGCAGTCTCTTCTTTCCCGAAAATCAGTATTTTGTCCCACTTCGTGTTCTATAGAAACTCTACTCCCAGAGGTCAATGAGGAATTGTCTAAAGGTCAATGCCTAATTTTTGGTCTTCGTTCTTCCTCTGCAATGTTGATGTTCCATTCAGTGGGATCCACTTCTCCTCTGGCTTCTGTGACAGTACTCAACCCTCATGTCATCCCCGTCTGCTGCTCTGTCACCTTAATCAACTCCTCTTCTCTTTACTGCCTCCTTCAATAGACATGTGTCAATATGAAGTTCCCAGGGCCTCTGCTATTCTGTTTATTCTGTTTCTCTAGTTAATTCCACTTTCTTAAATGGATGGCTTTTCATTTTGAAAGCGTGTCCCAAATCTGTATCTCCGTATATGACTACTCTGACCTGCAAACGCCTATTGGATATGTTCCTCAGGGTCTTCGTAGTTATTTGATATATCTAAAATTAAATTCATCATCTTTCTGGATTCCCTGTTTCTGTTAATAATACTTCTCTCTCAATTACTCATTTGGAAGCTAAGCTTGAAAACCATTCCTAATTCCTTCACCTGTTTCATCCCCATGTTCAGTCAATCACCAAGTAAGTCAGCTCTTCTTTCTAACAAGTAAAAAGGAGAGTTCTAAAGCAATCTCCTTTCCTCCTTACTCATTTTATTTCTACTGACTTCACCCTCCATAGTTCAGATAAATTGTTTTTTTATTCATTCATTTAACAACTATGCATATATATCAAGTGTCTACTCTGAGCCAGGCTTTGTGCTAGGAATTAGGTAAGCAAAAACAGACTCAGACTTTCCCGATTCCAGCAACAGAATTTATAACCTGGGAGAAGAGACAAGCATCGCTCAGGAAAACTCTAATGAAAATAGAGCTATACACTGAAATTAGTACTCCTGAAAGAGAAGAACACAATTAAGGATTGAAACATCAAGTATGAGTAGAAATTGACTAGACAAATGGAGGTGTCCTGCTCAGAAGAGGAAGAAAGTTGCTTACTGATGGAACAATTTATTCTAAGACTATTTGGTTAAAAGGAATATAGGAGGTTCAGGAAACAGAGAGGCCAATGAGGCTGGAGCTGAGAGGGCAAGGGGTAAGATGAGACTGGAGAAGAAAGAAAGGGACAGACTATGTCAGGTCTAGTCAACCAAGGTAAGGTATTTGGTTGGACTCCATCCTAAGATCAATGAGGAGCAAAGGAAGAGTTGTTACTATTGCTCACTTTGACAGTAGCCACGGCCTCCTGCTGAGATTCTGGCTTTCCTTACTCCAATCTGTGTTGCATGTCATCACAAGCGTTTTCATGGGATAATCTGCTAATCTATCTCTCTACGTTTACTTCCCAACATCATCTTACACAATGTATACATCATAGCTAACCGGTCTACCCTTTGGTCCCTGGGCTATCTTGTGCTTTCCTGACCCTGAGATTTTGCTCACCTCCCATAGCCTCCTCTGCTTCAACTGCTGTCTACCACTCCCCTCTATCTCATGCCTGCCCCCTCATTGAAGGAATCATTTAAATCCAATATTTTCTGGAAATCATAAACCTAACTTAAACATGACTCTCCGTGCTTTCAATAACCATGATACTTATATTGCAAGAGCCTGGGCTTTAGGGCCACGGAGTCTTGGTTTGAGTGCTGATTTTGAGCAAATCACTTATTTCTGGAAGCCTCAGATATCTAATATATAAAATGGATAAAATTATTGTACTTATCATATAGAGTTGTTGGGAGAATTAAATCAGAATACATTTCTGAAGCATCTAAAAGAATACCTGGCACATAGCAAACACTGAATACATGTTACTTACAGGCCCCCTTCTCATTCTCTTACTTTTCAAAAGAAATGATAGGCTTTCTGAAGAAAGGGACTATGTGTTATTTATCTTTATTTCTACACCTGACATAATAGATCTCCAACCCATAACATTGAAGGATTGAAGATGTTGAATGAATGCTGAAAAATGTTAGAGAATTGTTTAATGATGTGGAATGCAATATTAGAAAATCTTTTCATTAACACACCACATTAGTAGATTAAAGGGAGAAATCTGATCATCTCATAGATGGAAAACAGCCAAAATTTAACTTTGTCATGAAAAACATCTTATCAACAGTAAAACATTTATGCCTATCCAATGAAGAAAAAAGAAAAAACGTAACAGTCTTAATCTCAAAAGTGTATTCACTAAAACACTATAGGTAACATTATATTCGATGGTAAAATCTTAAAAGCAATTGCATTAAAGTCAGGAGTAAGACAATAATGCTTATATCAACATTTCCAGTCAGTCCTAGACAGTGAAATAAGACAAGGATTAGAAAAAGAAATGCACAAAGTAAAAAAAAGAATTTACAAAACTGCCCCTACTGGCAGAGGAGAGGAGTGTCTATAGAAAATCTACATTAAAAATGAATATTGGCCAGGCACGGTGGCTCATGCCTGTAATCCCAGCACTTTGGGAGGGCAAGTCGGACAGCTCACTTGAGGTCAGGAGTTCGAAACCAGCTGGCCAACATGGCGAAACCCCGTCTCTACTAAAAATACAAAAATTAGCCAGGTGTGGTGGCGGACGCCTGTACTCCCAGCTACTCTAGAGACTGAGGCATGAGACTCACTTGAACCTGAGAGGTGGAGGTTGCAGTGAGCGGAAACCATGCCACTGTGCTCTAGCCTGGCTGACAGAACAAGACTCTGTCTCAAAAAAAAAAAAAAAAGAGTATCAGTAAAATTAATAAAAGCTTTCAGCAATGTTATTAGAAACAAAATCAATGGGTAAAAATCAACAGTATATATCTGTATCCATATCCATATTCATAGTGCTGAATAACGGAATATTATTCAGTCTTAGAAAGGAGGTACCAATACAGCTACAACATGAAAAGCACCTTAAAAGATTGTGCTAAATGAAAGAAGCCAGTCACAAACGACTACATCATATATAATTTTATTCATATGAAGGCCCAGAAGAGAGAGACATAAAAAGATAGAAAGGAGATCAGTGGGCCGGGCACGGTGGCTCATACCTGTAATCCCAGCACTTTGGGAGGCTGAGGCAGGTGGATCATGAGGTCAGGAGTTCAAGACCAGCCTAGCCAACACAGTGAAACCCCATCTCTACTAAAAATACGAAAATTAGCCGGACATGGTGGCACGCACTTACAGTCCCAGCTACTTGGGAGCCTGAGGCAGGAGAATCACTTGAACCTGGGAGGCAGAGGTTGCGGTGAGCCAAGATCGCACCACTGCACTCCAGCCTGGGCGACAGAGCAAGACTCCATCTTATAAAAAAGAAAGTAGATCAGTGGTTGCCTAGGACTGGAGGAGGTAGGGAGGGACAGGAGAAGGCGGGGAAATGAAGGATACTGGGTTTCTTGCTGTGATGAAAATGTTCTAAACTTGATTATAGAGATGGTTGCACAAATTTTTGAATATAGTAAGCTAATAACCATTGAAATGTACATTTTAAATGGGTGAATTGTACACTGTGTGAACAATAAAGCTATTAAAACTCAATAGATGCCTATAAATAAGTAATACACTGTTAGAAAACTTAGTGGGAAAAAGAATTTCATTCATAAAATCAACAAAAACTGTACAATGTCTACAAATCTAATAAATATTATATAAAACCTTTATTAAGAAAATTACAATGTTGAAGCAAGAAAAGACCTGAATAAATAGAGAAATAAAACATGTTCATGTTCATGGATGGAAGACTCAATTTTTTTTTTTTTGAGATGGGAGTCCTGCTCTGTCGCCCAGGCTGGAGTGCAGTGGCGTGATCTCGGCTCACTGCAAGCTCCGCCTCCCAGGTTCATGCCATTCTCCTGCCTCAGCCTCCCGAGTAGCTGGGACTACAGGCGTCCGCCACCACGCCCGGCTAATTTTTTGTATTTTTAGTAGAGATGGGGTTTCACTGTGTTAGCCAAGATGGTCTCCATCTCTTGACCTTGTGATCCAGCCGCCTGGGCCTCCCAAAGTGCTGGGATTATGAGCCACGGCGCCTGGCCTGAAGACTCAAGATTTAAAAAGACATCAATTCTCTTGAAATAAGTCTTTGAAAAAAATACAATTCTATTAAAATCTTTATTTGGTCCTAAAATTCACATGGAAGAGAAAAGGCCCACAAATCGCCAAGATACTCCTGAAATAGATAAATAAAGTGAGGGACAGGGCTTGCTGGTCCTGTCCCTCACTTTATTTAATTACACTTCGAGGTATCTATAGAAACAAAAATAAGAATGTAATAAAGATTTATGTTCAGAGAGGTTATTTGCTGCATGGTTTATAGTAGCAAAAAAAATCAAGATTTTTTTATAAAGTAAAATTATTGAGACAGTGCATTAATAAGGGATGAACAAGTAAGCCAACAGAGCAGAGAGCTCAGAAACAGACTCTCATATAAACTAAAATTTAATAAATGAGAAAAGTCTCTTTAAAAAAATCAGTGGAGAAAAGACGGCATATTTAGTAAGTGGTCCTGATACAATTGAGTACCCCTAAAATTATATCGCCCCCCTCCCAGCAGTCACAGACATAAATTCCAAGTGGATTAAAACATAAATTTGGAAAGAAAACTTCACGAATTTTAGAATAAAATTGGGAAAATATCTTCAAGACGTCTTTTGTCTTAAACAAGGCAAGAAAACACTAAATTTATATGAAAAAAATACAAACTGATTATTTTTTAAATTCTGCACTATTATAGATGTGAGGAAAAAGTGAAATAAGTCACAGATGAAGAGACCATATTTTCAATGCATATAATCAACAAAGGATGTCTAGAAAATATAAAATACTTTTATAATTCAATATGAAAGAACAAGTAGCACAATAGCAAAATAGTTAAAATATACAATAGGAAATACACAGGAGAAAAACAAATGGCCAATATACTTGTGAAAAAGGCTTGACCTCACTAGAATTATGAAAATGGAAGTTAAAAAAAATTAAAGCTTCTCAATACCAAATCTTCTCCAGGACGCAGAGAAAGAAGAACTCAAAAATTACTGGTGAGAATGTAAATTGGTAAAACCCACTATGGATTAAAATATGGCGATATGTGTAAAATTAAGGATATTCATGTCCTAGGACCCAGCAATTCTCCTTCTCTGTATATATACCTTGGAAAAACTATAGCACAAGTGCACAAGGAGGCACATTAAAGAATTTTTTGCAGCATTTTCTGTGATAGCCAAAAAAGTCCTAATAGAAGAATGAAGAGTTATAATTAAATATCTATAGTAGTTAAAGTGGACAAACTTCAGAAACTTAATTTGGTTATTTGTTTATTTAAAATAAATATTGTTTAATGTAATTTGGAGCAAAAAATAAAAATACGAGAACCACCTCCTGAAGGGCATATTACAGTATGATACCATTTATACACATTTATAAAATGCAAAAAACAACACTGTAACTTAGGACACATGAGTATGCAGTAAAAGTATCAAAACATGCACAGGAACTACCATCAGAAGCCTAAAGAAGTGGCTTTTCGGGTGCAGTGGCTCACGTCTGTAATCCTAGCACTTTGTGGGGCTCAGGCAAGTAGACTGCTTGAGCCCCGGAGTTCGAGACCAGCCTGGGCAACATGGCGAAACCCTGCCTCAACAAAAACCACAAAAATTAGCCAGGCACGGTGGCGTGTGCCTGTGCTCCCAGCTACCCATGAGGCTGAGGTGGGAGGATCACCTGAACCCAGGAGGTCAAGGCTGCAGTAAGCCATGATCACACCACTGCATTCCAGCCTGCGTGACAGTGAGGCGCTGTCACAAAAAAGAAGAAGGAAGAAAGAAGAAGGAGGAGAAGGAGAAGGAGAAGCTTTTCTGGTTGGGGTCAGACAGAAGAATAGTGGAGCATGGCAATGAGCAGTGAGGGGAGTTCCACCAGGGATTCAATTACTTCTAACATGTTTTGCGAAATACGGCAAACTTTAAGATTTTAAAACTGGCAGCGATCGCTTCTCAGCCTTTTGGCTAAGGTCATATGTAAAACTGGTGGTGAGTATACAGAATTCTTATAAATATTCTCTATTTCTTTGTATATATTTAAACTATTTAACAATAATTTTGAAAGTAAAAACCTAAGTTTTTACGAATATGCTAGACAAAGGGTTAATGCCTTTAATATAGAAGAAAGCCTCTTACAAAGGACAAAAACATCCACCATAGATAAATGAAAAAAAATGAACAGAGAATCCAAAAAAATTGTACATAGTTAATGAACATTCTAAGCCATCATCAAAGAAATTCTAATTTAAAATAGATGGATATTATTTTCACATATAAGATTAGCAAAAATATTTTTCTTGGTAATATTCAGTGTTGGCAAGAGTATGATTCCATGAGGTTATTCACTGCTAGTAAGGGCATTAACTATTATTAATCTTCAGGAAAACCATTTGGCAGTTTGGATTAAAATGTCCATAACTTTTTTTGAGAGAGAGTCTCCCTCTGTTGCTCAGGCTGGAGTGCAGTGGCATGATCTCAACCTCCTCCTCCCAGACTCACGCAAACCTCCCAGCTCAGTCTCCCAAGGATCTGGAAGTATGGGTGCACACCACAATGCCTGGCTAATTGTTTGAAGAGATGGGGTTTCGCCATGTTGCCCAGGGTAGTTTTGAACTTCTGGCCTCAAGCAATCCAATCCACCAACCTCAGCTTCCCAAAGTGCTCAGATTACAGGCATGAGCCACTGCGCTCAGCCTAAAATGTCTAACTTTTTACCCTGTAATTAGAAACAAAAATGGGAATGTAATAAAGATTTGTGTTCAGAGAGGTTATTTCCTACATGGTTTATAATAGCAAAAAAAAAAAAAAGAGGAAAAAAGAGGCAGCATAAACATCCAATAATAGGGAATGATTCCATAAATTATAGATTATAGTTTACTCATAAGAGCGATTATTATGTACTCATTCACTTAAGATGATGTTTCTAAAGAATTCTTAAAGTACTTGTAAAAAGGATGCAAAAAAAAGAATTCCTAAAGATATGGAAAAATAACTGTGATGTAATATTAAGTGGCAGTATACGATAGACCTGTACACTGCAGTGTACAACAGTGTCACCCCAGCTATGTAAATATATACAAGGGTCCTCATTACCCACATATTCACTATCTAAGTCACCACAGTTGCAAGATTTCATGAAGTATGAGAGGCAGTTTGGAGAACTACACAAATCACATGCAAAACCACTAGCAGATAAGGAGCTGGAGAGTTAGAGTGGTAAAAAAACAAAGAGAAAGTCAACAAGGATGATACGAGACAGGTCCTGCAAAAGAGAATGATGTAACAGTTAAAGTCTTAAAAGAGACTCTTGAGGAATTTATGAACTCTTCAAATATTTTTACAAAAAATTTCCCTTTTTAATTGTTACCAAAAAATCAAACATGCGGTCAAAGATGTGGTATTGAAGCTTTCATTTTCTTTTAAGGATCACGAGGTCAGGAGATTGAGACCATCCTGGCTAACACGGTGAAACCCCGTCTCTACTAAAAATACAAAAAATTAGCCGGGCGTGGTGGCGGGCGCCTGTAGTCCCAGCTACTCGGGAGGCTGAGGCAGGAGAACGGCGTGAACCCGGGGGGCGGAGCCTGCAGTGAGCCGAGATCGCGCCACTGCACTCCAGCCTGGGCCACAGAGCGAGACTCCATCTCAAAAAAAAAATAAAAAATTGTCTGCCCCATGTCACCCCAAATCTCCTTATTTATTGACATTTTCTTCTAAGAATTGGTATAAAATTGCAAGTATAACTTAAATTTTATTTAAAATACTTACAATAAAATTATTTTTATAATTTCATTACATTCCCAAGATAAAATCATAATCTTTTTAACTGCTTATTATGAAATTTTCACTCTTATTTTAATTAACTTCACATGATCATTTTCTAGTACTGTTATCTTGGTTTAACAAAAACTTCCTGATCGTTCATATAGAAGACAAAAAATAGAATGACACTGTCCAATAGAAACATAACGTGACCCACTCATGCAATTTTAAATTTTCTAGGAAACACGTTAAAAATTTTAAGAACAAATGGATGAAATTAATTTTAATATATTGATTTAACATAACTATCCAAAATATAATAACTTCAACATGTAATCGATATAAAATTATTCATGAGATTTTTAACTAAATCTTCATAATCCAGTCTGCATTTTATACTTACAGTACATCTCAATTTGAACTAGCCACATTTCAAGTTCTATATGGCTCAGGTCTGGAAGAAAATGCACCAAAATTTTGCTTTTCAAAACCCATACAAAATGGTTCATATATGAACTCGATGTGTGAAATTGCTTTCACAATTTAAAAATCTTTTTAAGTTTGGCATTTAAGTATCCCATATTTTTAGCTTTCTTTTTTCACTTGTGAAGGATGTTTTTCTATATCTCTCATTTATGTCTTAAGTATTTAACTAATATATGGCATTTTTCTGTTTCTCTTTATGTCCTTTGAGAGTTGCATTTCATTTCCTACTTTGGCTTTTCTGGTTTTCTAAGCAAATTATTTCCATTTTTTTCCATCCTTTTTACTGGTAGCCTGGCAAACTTACCACTTCTGAGATCATTTCAAAGCAACCCTTAGCCCTGCCAAGTTAATTTATTTCTACCCTTCCCTGCTTTCTCATAGATCAAGATCATTTTTTCTTATATTATTAGAACCATATTGTTTTCTTATGGAACAAACAGCTCCCTTGGACTTCTTTGTCTTTTAAAAAAATTCTTCCCAGAGAACCCTTTAAACTATTGGAATTCACTTGCTTGATGTTCCTTTTTTTTCTCTCCTACAGGATTCCTCCTTTCGTCCTTCAGAATCATACCTTTTACAATACATAAATGTATGGTTGCTTTTAACTAAGTTGCCAGGTGCAAATTCTCAAATACTCCCTGAGCATGACTACGGCATTAAGAGTTGTGTTTTCATTCCTGTAGTTTGATTTCTCTGCCACTTGTCATACATGGCTTTTTCTTTGAAGAGAGTCTAAGAACTGATTTTACATCATTTCAATATAGCCTCCTTTCAAGTCAGACATCAGCAAAAATTGTTGGGCTACGCTATTGCATTCTGTATTGAAGAACTTTGGGTAAATTGTTTAAAGAAAACTCTGGAGCTTGGTCAAGAGATTCTCTGTGTAACATTTTCTTGAGGTCAATTGCTGAATCATGCCTTTCTGAAGTCCTTAAAGTTCCTGAGTTGGTTGAGAACAGAATTGCCAGTATATAATATGATTTAAGTAAATTTGACATCTGCCCCAAATATTAGGCAACTGGCACTCATTACTGTAAGAAACGAAACTCACAAAAAGTAGAAGTGTTCCTTTAAATAATAGAATGAAACTGAAAAAAAAAAAAAGTAAAAGAAGTGGTAGGAGGAGGTACTAGGTAGCAACTTACTGAATACTCACAGATTACCAAAGTGATCCAGCCACAAATTTACGAATGCTGAAAGCTAATTCCCTCATCATCTGCTCAGAAACCTTACAGGCCACTGGCAGAAAACTAGAAGTTGGGTTGTTTCTTCCTCCCACCCACTCTACCCCCGGGGGTGGGAGTGGAGGGCTATGAATCATAGTATTTTAATGCAGAAGGTGGAAAAAATAAAATAGGACAAGCACTAGGATTTGGGATGAAATGAATTAGTGATCATTTATATTTGATATGCATTGTGGGTAAAAGTGGTGAAACAGATCAGATGAGATTATTTGGGGGAGGTTCATTATTTGTTCAAAATCTGCCCTTTGTGTGCAGGGCTTGGGAGACTGAAAGGTACTTGGAGAGTGTTGACATTCTTTATAAATGTTATGAGGTATAGAAAAAGGTAAGGAATAAAAGAGGAGAAAAAAAAGCTGGGTGAAGGAAGGGAGAGAAGGGAGGGGGAAAGAAGAGAGGGAGAAAGAAATTTCATTTACATGTATTTTATTTGAATAAGTTTTCTGGGTGAGGGTAGGGGGAGGCAAAATATTGGTTACAATTTAATTAAATCCAAAAAGCGGTTGTTGAGTACTTGCTCTCTCATAGCTTTTCCTCGGTGCTAAAGAGGGTCACAAGGCAGCACGAGTGACCAGATCTCCACATAAGGCATCACTGTGTCCTCCCTCCTGCTTCTGCAGGCCCGCAGAGGATGGCCCAGTTTTTACCCCATCACGAGGCAGGAAAGCACACCAGGATGGAGCCCAAACCAATTTGGGTGCCCTCTGAACAAGCCCAGTGGGGAGGAGACTCAGACGGCAGGAATGATTCCAGAGCTCATCTGGGGCTTACAGAGCAGACCTTGCTATTCAGTTACTGTAAGCTTACCCTGCAGTGGTCGCTGGCTATTCCCAGGATTCGCTGTCTCCTCATTAACTTCTGAAAGGGCTAGGTTGGAGCTCCTGGCAACGACTCAAACCAGAAGAGAGTGTTTAGGGAGAATGGCCTACACAGCCTATAGAAACATCATCCATTTCTATGAGGATTAATTGTAGCAGGTCACTCTCTTCCCCTAGAAAGGGTAGAGATGCCATAGGTTTAGGGAAATCCTAGTGTCTGGGGCCAAAGAAAAGAGGGGCAGAGTCAGGAGGAAGCCCAGAGAATCCGGGTTGGGGAACTAGTTACCAGCTGTGTGCTACTAGACACGTTGGCCAACCTTTCGTGTTCTCATTACCTCAGTCTTCAAATGATGATAGCATTACCAACACCACCGGGTTCCATTGATGATTACGTGAGATTAGATTTCTGAACATTCTGGAAATGGCTAACACAGATGTTAAACAACATTTGTAAAATTATGAAAGAGAATACCTAGGTAGGTGAGAGAATAGGTTTCTTAGGCAACTAGGGGAGTAAGCTTGGACCAAGCAGGTGGGAGACTAGCGTTCTCCTAAGAGATCCCCTGGAAATCAAGAAAGCACTAGACTCAGTAAGTTGGAGAGAAACATACACACCAGTTAGGGAAACTGTCTAAATAACCAGCCTCTACCCTTAGCTTGTGAACCTGTGACTGCAGTCTCATGATGGTGTTGAACCTAAACTCTGTGTGTTGCCTGTGATAGAATCATAACCAGTAGACACCAGAAGACAGCCTGGAATCCACTGCTGTCCTGGGCTTTAGTGGCCACAAGTATTGTGTTTCTGGAGCCATAAACATGGGAGGGAGAGGCAGCCACAAAGCCAGGGAGCTGGCCGCTTCCAGACATCTGGCTGAAGTTCCACCACACCCTCATCTCCATCCTGTCTGAAACTGCACTCCTGGGGCTGGCCTGAAGCTGGACCAGATCCCACACAAGTTGAGGAGCAAAGCACATCTCCCTAGATAATAACCCAAAGAAAGTCAGTGTTTCTTCTTGGGTCCCAGTTTTGAGGTTTCTTTCCCCTTCTCTTTGATAATTTTACAACATAATTTGCCTCTTTTCGGCCCACATAATAAATCTGTGAGGAGATAAATGAGGTGCTGAATTGACAAGCAGGGCTGTATGGGTCTCACTCCTGGTAAATTCTAGAACTACTAGCTTCTCCATCATATCTAAATGTCAATAAAGACATAGTCTCAAAAACATACCTTAATTTTGCAGATAGTTGAGAGTTCTAGGACACTAATTCTGACCAACTAAAGCAGTAAACATTAATAAGCAAACTTCAGTTAGCTTTGGACAACAAATCCATGTCAATTATAAGATGAACAATATTGAATATTGATAGAGCAGGTTAAAGTTTACAATATGTTTTATACCCATTACCTCATGTGATCATGAAAGCTACCCCGTGAGGCAGGTGTTTGTGTAGCCAGCCTCCGAGCTGTTCCAAATGATTTTCTCCTCCTGATATTCATGCCCTTCTGTAGCCACTCCCACACTGAATAGGGCTCACCTGAAATGATGGAGTGTGGCCTCTAAGATTAGGTCATTAAAGACTTTCTGGCTTTCACCTCATACTCTCTTGGGTTCCTCCCCCCGGAGGAAGCCAGCGGCCATCTTGTGAGGATGCTCAGTGGCCCAGTGGGGCAGGAACAACATGGAAATGGATCCTGAAGTTCCTATCAAGCCTTCAGATAACTGCAGTCACACTCAGCATTTTTAAATATAATTCACATACCATACAGTTCACTCATTTAAAGGATAGAAGTCACTAGTTTTTAGTACATTCACAGATATGTGCAACCATCACCACAGTCAAATTTAGAACACCTTCACCACAAAAACAAAAACCCATAACCTTCAGATGTCACCTCCATATCTTCCCAGTTTCCCCAGCCCTAAGCAACCACTAAACTGTAGATGAGTTTGGAGAATATTGCCATTTTAACAACATTAAGTCTTCTGATCCATGAACATGGAATATCCATTTATTTAGATCTTGTTTAATTTCTTTCAACAATATTTTGTAGTTTTCAGAGTATAAGTTTTCCACTTTTTTAATTTCATTTCTATGTATTTTATTCATTTTGATACTACTGTAAAGGGAATTGATTTGATTGGATTTTCAGATTGTACATTGCAAGTATTTAGAAATACAATGGATTTTTGTATATTGATCTTGTATCCTGCAACCTTGTTGAGCTTATTTATTAGTTCTAATAGTTTTCTTTAGTGGATTCCTTAGGATTTTCTATATACAAGATCATTTCATCTGTGAACAGAGATGGTTTTATTTCTTTTCTTCCAATCTGGATGGCTTTTACTTCTTTCTCTTGCCCAATTGCCCTGGCTAGATCCCCTAATATGATGCTGAATAAAAGTGACAAAAGCAACATCCTTGTCTTATTTCTGAAATTCAGGGGAAAGCATCTAGTCTCACCATTAATACGATATTAGCTGTAGGCTTTTCACAGATACTCTTTGCCAGACTGAGGAAGCTCCCTTCTGTTCCTAGTTTGTTGAGTGTTTTTATCAGGGAAGTGTTTTGGATTTGTCAGATATTTTTTCTGCATCTACTGATATGACCGTGGGCTTTTGGTTTTCATTCTGTTGCTGTGCTGTATTATGTTCATTGACCCACCAACATCTTGACCATGACCTTATGGGACACACTGAGCCAGACCAAACAGCTAATCTGCTCCTGCATTCTCAATGCACAGAAACTGTGTGAGATAATAAATGCTGTTTCTTTCTTAAGCTGATAAATTTTAAGGTAATTTGTTATAAAGAATAGATTACAAAGATAGCATCATTATCATTGTTTTATACATGAAGCAACTGGCATTTGGAGTATTTACTTATCTCACAAACATGCTCTGGGTTAGAGTTGGTAGTGGAAGTGGTTTGAACCAGATCTTCTGACTTAAATCATGAATTTTCCTCCACAAATTTCTATCTTTAGTGACTCAGCCAAGTTTACACAAATTTGATCTCTTTGATTGGCAGGCCCATCTCATATATTGGACAGGTAGTTCACTGCACAGGGCAAGTGGCTGATGGGGCAAATAGTAACTGATACCTGGCCTGTGCTACCTTTTCACATGTGCACAAAGGCATTGCATAAAGCCGGTTGGGTTGTTCCAATAAAATAACTAGAAAAAGTTTTGTATTTCTCTAGTTTCTAGTTTTACATGCCATCAACCAATATTAGTCAATGAGACTTGTCCCACCCAGAAAAATTTTTAAATCCGTGACAAGATTCGTTCTCATTACCATCTGTTCTTACCATCATCACCCACCCAAACCATGCCACCCACAGCCTCTTCCTCAGGATCTGGCTCTTAGGAAGGAGAAAAGTAGGGAAAATACTTCATGTGATTTGAGGGTCTTCTGTGTGCCAATACATAGCTGGACACCTTACACACTCAATTGTAATGTACAATTGTAACTACGCAATTTATCTCCATGAGTTCGACAGGCAAGTATTATTATCCCCATTTTACAGAAAGTAAACCCACTGAGAGCGGTCAAATAACTATCCAAGTCACACAGATGGTTAATGGTGGAAACAGCGTTAGAACACAGGTCCATTTGATTCCAAAAACAATGCTCTGCTCACCATATCTTGCTGTTTCATCTGACTAACAAATCCAAAGATGATGTCCCATGAGGAATATTGACGTTCCCATGGAGAACTACTGCCAAACAAACAACACTTAAGACCAAAATAAATTTATCTCAAACGCTGGACTGTCAAGCCTTAAAATATGGGATGATTTTGGATGTTAAGAACTCCCAATACCCTTCAAAGCATATCACATGAATGACCTCTTTGATTTAAGGGTAGCCCCACTGACCAGTCCCTATGGATACAAACCGACAGTCCACTAAAGTCCATGTCCTGGGTCTCAGAGAATGGTTTACTTTCTAACTCTGCAATGGAAGGAAAGACCTATTAATACAGTAAGGCAGATGTTCACTCATTCCTTCAGCCAATATTTATTTGAAGCTCACAAAAGCAACATCCTTGTCTTGTTTGTATCTGGTATGTGATAAGCCCAGAGGATAGACGACACAGCACTAAACATGGCGGACATGTTCCCTGACCTCATGGAGCTCAGAAGATAATGAGCTCCTTAACTTGCCCTTACCCTCCTACACACCACACACACAGACACACACACACACACACACACACACACACACACGGCTACCCGAAGTGGCAAAGAAACTACTTACATAGCTATCATTAAAACCGCTATAGTAGAAGACTGAATTGATGGGGCACAGCTTGGGGGTTTAAAAGTATGAAGTAACTAAGAAAGTTAAAGCAATGCTTCCAGAAACTTCTCTCACCTTCTCAGGTGAACAACGAGTGCGCATTCACACAGATGCCTCTAAGCAGCTGCACAGGGGCCAGAAGAAGAGGCTCAGACCATTGTTCTCCCCTCACCTCCAGGTCAAGCGACATACATGGCTAGGAGAAAGAGCACTGAGAAGAGCTGACCCTTAGGAAAACTTGGCTTTAAAATCAGGAATGTCCGCTTGTTATTGCCACAGTCTGACTAGGGAATCTCAGGAGGTGGCAGGGTTTGGGTTCATTTTAGAACAACATGTAGAAAGAATTGACGGGCCACCCACAACCTTATCTGAACCTGTAATGTCTACAAAATTGGGCAACAAAGTTTAAAGAAAGAGCTTTTTCCTTACAGGTTTTTGGTGCCAAGACCCCTTCTGGTCCAATTGTAACTAAGTAAATATAGAAGCCAAGAAAAATTAAATGGAATTTTTGGAACTTGATCCTGGATGTGCTGCAAGCTGAGGACAGAAATATTTGGACTGTTGAAAGTGGGGTGTCGGCTTGTTTACTTTAGGGTCCTTCCCATCCTACAGAACTCTGGCCAGTGTTAGAGTCAGACTGGCTTCGAGGCTCCTTGGAAAGATCAAAGTTCAGCGTGATCTGTCCAAATACTTCTCCTTTTACAATGTATCATATGGAGAAAATTAGGTGACAGCCCCCTTTTAAGACAGAACCGCTTCAAAAACTCCATGTACCAGAAAAACTGGTTAGAAAAGTGGAATTTGAAACCATGTCAAAGAAACAGATGCACAAGTACTGATAAGGTAAGAGTGTGGGCAGTCTCGAGGGCTGCCGCAGAGGGCAAAAGAAAAGCAGTAAGCAGGGAGCTGGGCCTGCTTCTGCCTGCGGCCCGAGCAGCTCAGCTTTCACGCCTCATAAACTGGGATGTGAAAAAGCTTCAGTTTAGAGAAAAAGGTCCTGATAGATGAGCTGGCTTAAATAGGTGATAGATAGAGAGATAGATAGATAGATAGATAGATAGATAGATAGATAGATAGATAGAATAGAGATCGATGATAGATTAAATAGATGATTGATAGATAACAGAATAGATATAGATCGATGATAGATTAAATAGATAGATAATAGATAGATGATGATAGATCGATAGAAGATAGATAGATAGATAGATAGATAGATAGATAGATAGATAGACAGACAGATAGAAAGAATGAAGGTTGGAAGGTAAACCAAGACAGAGAGAGATAGGCAAAACATATACAACATGAGAAATCCTGGTGGGGTAGAAAGAATGCTGCCTTGGGAGTTAGGAGAAATGACTTCTGGCCTAGGCTGCCACTAGTTCTGATGTGATCATAACCTGTAAGTCTCTCTCTTTTTTTTTAAGTGCTCTCTAAGGACCTTTAACTCCAACATTAGTTGGCTCTCTGATTGCAAGGAAGCTCTACAAGATGCCTACAGTTGCCTTTAATGATCTTGGAACTTACTCTATAGTCTCCTCTTCATGGGAAAATGGAGTTTTATGGAGAGATCAACCTGGGAACTGTTAGATCCTCTCTATGCTTGGAAGATCCTTGTAACCCATCACAGAGAGCAATTCAGAGAAGAAAATTTGCACACTCTACTCCAAAGAGGACTACCCTGTGCCCTGGGTCATTATAATCACCCCCAAAATGAGAATAATAAAAGCATGTTGTTATTGAGAACTCATAATGGGTCAGATATGGAGCCCAGCATTTTATACATATTAACCCGTTTAATTTCCACAACAGTCCTATGAAATTGGAACTAATATCAATCTCATTTTACAGGTTAGGAAACTAAGGCTCAAAGAGGTTAAGGGACTTGTCCAAAATCATGTTGCTGCTAATAGCAGAAGCCGACTTCAACGTCAGTGCTTTTAACCACTATGCTGTTAAAAATGGAGACCAATATGAAGACCCTGTTGAGATC
The DNA here is from genome assembly GCF_000001405.40 of Homo sapiens. Lineage (NCBI taxonomy): Eukaryota > Metazoa > Chordata > Mammalia > Primates > Hominidae > Homo > Homo sapiens. The sequence continues at coordinate 13,147,014 of NC_000012.12, read as the reverse complement.
TGAAGACCCATCAGAGTAAAAGTAGTGAACTGCATTGTCTAGCACACAGTAGCTACTCAATAAAAACAGGAATCTAGAGGGATGCCTCAGAGAGAATTCAGAATAGGCTGGCCACACACTGAGTTATTAAGGAGCAGTGGCTTTTAGGGACAGAGGAGGAACATACTGAATAGCTCTCCAAAGCAATGATGAAACCAGGTCAATGACTACTGGCAGAGTGAGAGAAAGATAAACAAGCAGGTCCCAATAGACAGGCTGAGGGGCGCATGTCACAAGGGGAACTGCCAGAAATCCATACCACGTTCCAAGAGTCTGTCTGCATTGCTTAATGGTTCTAGGACTATGTGAATGGATCTCATATACTGCTGAATTCCTGGTATAAAGCTTTAAAAGGGTCAGTTCTGGGTCAAGTGAGCTGAGAGAAAGCTCTGCCTCCAACTTCTGAGGTCAGTTCTCCTTCATATTTGTGCCTGTTCCTCATGGAAGGGAAGAAGGAAAGAGATACCCGCTGACATTTCAATATTTTCCCCTAGAACATTTGACTAAGTCTTCCCCAGATTCCTCTTCCCTATGGACCTGTAGCCTTTGTATTCTAGCCCAGTATCTCCAGAATCCTAACCTTTCCTTCCACTCCTTTGTCCACATGGCTTGTTTCTTTTGAAAAACCTTCACATCTCCCTAAACAAGAATGGTTGCCCGCCAGCAACAAGGAAGCGTTGCTGTCCCTCAAAAAGGGTCTGGAAAGGCTGGTCTATGGGACAGAAAGAAAATCTGTCCTGTGATGAAGACATGTGAGGGCAGACACCAACCAAGAGCCAAGGGCAGGCACACTGCCTCCCATGAGGAGGGAGGGGAGGGAGGAAAAAGGAAAGGAAGGGAGGGAGGGAGGGAGGGAGAAAGGGCAGGAAAGGAAGGAGGAAGGGAGGAAAGACACAGGGAGAGAGGAAAGGAGGGAGGGAGGTAGGGAAGGAAGGGACTTCCCTTCCCTGGGGAGGATTACCTTGATGGATAGTTACATCTGATATGAGGATTTGGAGACCTCAGACCATACTCAGGGCCTGCCAGTAGCCTTTGAAAAGTTTTTCTATAGAATGAGTCAATAATACATTCTATTAATGACCTTGATGGATATTTACATCTGATATGAGGATTTGGAGACCTCAGACCATACTCAGGGCCTGCCAGTAGCCTTTGAAAAGTTTTTCTTATAAAATGAGTCAATAATACATTCTATTAATGACCTTGATGGACATTCTGTGCTGTTTTGTTTTTTCAGCCCTAAGTCCCTTAAAAATGTTCTGCTGAGTGGTCCTGATATCCATCCCACTTTATCTCTCTCCACTCCCAAGGGGGATCCTCTACCCCAGTGAAGTCACCTTGTCTGATCTTATTACTGTCTTATCTCACTGTCTTTTGTTAGAATTATGTATCAGTCTGTCTCTCAAACTACAATATAAACCTAAAGACTAATGTACTAGATTTCCTATTTGTCCCTCCAGGTCCACTTTCCACCTTCTCCATCCTGCCCTTGGGAGGATGAACTCTTCCGTTCCCCACCAACCCACCTTGGGTCCCTTGCACCTGTGGCTGCTGGTGGGTGTGACCAATGGGAGGTGCAGATGAAAGATTGGAGGATGATAAGAGAGTCCAGGTATTTATTCCCTCCTGCCAGGCTGTGCTTTAAGCAGTGGTTGTGTTCTTCTACTAAATGCCATAGCTCCTATCCGATGTCCCCTCTCCAACAGCCACAGTGCAGATCTGGTAGCCACTCCTTCCCTGTGCCCGTTCAGGCTGAGAGATGTAAGGATTTCCCCGTTGTTAATCCCTGCATACTGCACCATCCCTTCCTGGTTCTCAGACTTAACCCACAGCTTTGTAAAGTGTCCACTCATTAAATCCCCTGTCATGTATTTATTCATTATGGATTATTCACTTAGTGTGAAGCTGACACCGTGCTAGGCACACGCCAGTTTCATGGTGGACATGAGCCCTGTGTCACTTCTCCCTCCTTCCTGCTAGGGCCCTGGAACCCCAGCCCCAGCCCTAGAGAGGCGCCTCCTACCCAATTCTTTTCCCTTTGCTAATTCTACTGAAGGTGATTGATATATCTTTGGGTTTAGGCTTAGAAATCTCTCTTACAATGTAAATATGGCTTGTAGAAGAAGTACATTCTTATCTTGCTCATTATGGAAGTGAATGAGCTTATCAAACTTGTTGGAAAGAGCGGGTAAATATAGCATATTTTGAGAGCCTGCCATTTACTTGCCATTATTGAAGTGTTACTGCTTCTGTGAATCCCTCAAGACAGTGCAGTAGATGTTGCTTTAGGTTCTGAAGAGGGAGGGGAAGCTTGGTCATGGCAGTACTAAGGAGGGCGCTGAGGGTGATGAGTGCAGGGCTGTGCAGACAGGAGAGTAAGTGGAGGGGATTGTGCCCAAAGATAGGGAAAGACCCTGAAAGGAAACTGGATTCATTCACATATTTGTGCAGGGCTGGTCTGGCCCACCCACTTCCTTCCTCCTCCTCCTCCTCCCTGCCTGCCATTACTTCTCTACATGAACCACTACTTCCTCCTCTTCTTTTCCTGCTGTTTTTACTCATATATGTACAGTTCAGGTTACACAGGAAGCCCATGCTCACTATTGCCTAAAAAAAGATGCCAGGTACCTCTTATGTAACATCCAAACACCAGAGGCTCTGGGAAAAAATTAAGGAATCTGAGAAAGTAATTCCATAAGAGCCCTGATATTTCTAGCTCTGCCTGGAATGAGTGAATGTCATGTGGATGGAACCCTAAGAGGTAGGATATCTCCATGTTATGTGCTCATGGAGGGCTACTGTGATCACAAATTGGGACAGCCTCTCCTTTCTCCAGTGTTTAGATTAGAGCCAGTAAGAATCAGATCACAGAGATCATGCCTATGAGTATGGAGTATGGGGCTTAAGGACTCTAGAGGAGCCCCTGCCACCATGACATGATTCTCTGAGGCCCCTGGGCCTCATTGCCACCAGGGATGGGGGATAAGCAAGGGTATGTCAGTTCGCTGATCACAGGTACAGTGCTGTACTCTTGATAGTGGGATTTGTGGCAGAGGCTGCTAGTTGCCTACTGCAGTTTCTCTCTATTCTCATCATGGCAGCTGGAGAAATCACAATATTTCCCAGCCTCCACTAAGCTCTGGCCAATGTGCTATAAGCAGAAGCAACATGTGGTGCTTCCGGGAAATCTCTTTATAAGTCAGTTGTCAGATGCCATTTTTCCCCTCCTTCATTGTTCCTTCTTTCTCCTGCTTAGAATGTGGATGTGATGGCTGGAGTTTGAGCAGCCACCTCAGACTATTAGGTAGAAGCCACATGCAGAGGGTAAGGGTGTTAAGACTGAAATCTGAATCCCTGACAGTTTGTATGATCATATCAGCCCTGGACTGCTTATCTCTAGACCTCTTTTATTTAAAAAGAAAATAAATTTCTACTTTGTCTATAACACTATTATTTTGGTTTCTTTGTTATATGTGACCTGATCTGATTCTAATTGATAAAAAAAATCTCTCCAGGCTTTAGGTAGGACACGTAAGTTATCTTAAATAAATTCTTGCTCAGAAATTCCACTGTCATTTCCTTAATTTTTTCCAGAGGTGTCTCAATATGGAAGTCACTTTCTCTTTCTTTCTAGGGAAGTGGAGGCAATATTTCCATGGTCCTTGAAGATGTGTATTTCATGGTCTAAATGACAAAGGAGAAAATGGAATATCATTCAAGTCCCCATCCTGGTTCAAGGGTTCCCTGGGGGCAGCTGTGCCACAGTGTAACTATTAAACAGAAACATAAGACCCACCTACATTTAGAACCAACCTAGAGATTAATAGTAATTTGACGTCTCCAGATTACTGGGTGATCCTTAGATAAAAGACGCTCAGGAAACAGAAACACATACGTGTCTTCAGCTAGAAAACAACACTCAGCGAGTCAGAGCCCACACAACACAATTGCGTTGGAGAATGATAGATCTGGCCATTTCGGGAAGTAGTTGGCAGTGGAGGGAAGTGGCAAAGGAAGAGGAGAGAGGCTGGAGGGTGGGGCTGGCAGGGAGTGGACACAGTGTTCCTGACCACCCTTTCCTCCAGCTGTGCCCATCATAGGGTGTGCTTTTGGTCCCTGCATGGTCTCCAATGCCATCATCACTGCCCCCATCACTGCCCCAAACGTAAACTCCAGTTTATTCTCTGAACCAGCCATGTTCTTCCAGAGCAACAAGCCTTCGTTCATGCTGTTCCCCATGTTTAGGAAGCTCTTAAACTTCCACCAGTGCAAATAATACCTCCCCTGCCTTCCAAAATTTCCTCAGGCAGAGTTAGACCACTTCTCCTCTACACTTCCAAAGCACTTTGTCTTCAAGTAAATTTCAATCTTTAGGGACAGCCAAGGGGCTGCATCATATGCATGCTTAAGTTGCATTAATTTAACTGGGCATGCTCAGTAAACAGAAAAGAAAAGAAAGAGAAAGAGATCTCTTTATTCCCCATCCTCTAAAAAATCAACCTTATACATCATTTTTATAAAAAACTTTTTAAAAGGAGGTTCTAGCTAAAAACAAAGGAAGCTATTTAGAATCGATTTATGGGATTTTTGAGGGAGGAGTTTTCTGGGCTGTTTGTCATCTCCTTTTCTGTGCTGACTTTGGACTGAGTCTGAACACGACGTGACTCCTCTGCACAGCATCCGGGGATGGCTTTTTGGAGTGTCTCCCTTTTCTCAGCTGTGAGCTTCGGAAGGGCAGGAACTGGTGATATTTACCTGGGGATCTTCTGGGCCTAGCACAGTGCCAAGCTCGCAATTAGTGTTCAAGAAATGTTTGTTGGAAGAAAAGTTGAATGATTCCAGTGTTTCCCACTGGCTGTACCATAGTCAGAATCTGAAGGAAGCTGTTTCACCCAGCGTACCTCTACCACAGCCTTTGCAAACTGTCATCCAACCCCATCTCTGAAGACACCTAACCCAAGCTACTCACTTTCCAAAGCGGCCCACGTCACTGCAGATATGTGCCATTGTCAGCAGACAGGAGCATGCAAGATGCCCATCACGGTGCCATGATCACAAGAAGCTTAAGTGACTTCTGCTGCTGCTGCCACTACTGATGATGAGTCAGTAATGGAATCAGAAGCCTTATGTTCTGAATTAATTACACTGGCTTTGTGTCATCAGGGCTTGGGAAACTGTCAGGTATTAAGGGCCCATTCCATTCTCAGCCCTGCTCCTGAGAAGTCAATCTTTCGAACCCCTCAGTTCTCCAGAGATCAGCCTTCTGAAATCCTCAGAATGGCTATGAACCTGGCAGTAATAATGCAGTGGAAGGGGAAAAAAACTGGCATCTGACAACTGTCTTATAAAGAGATTTCCTGGAAGTGCTACACGTTACTTCTGCTTACAGCACATCGGCCAGAACTTAGTGGAGGCATCACCCATAACAGGAGACCAAGGAGTGATGAGGTCCTGCAAGTGGCAGTCAAGAATGGCTAAGAAATTCGGCCTTTAACCTGAAAAAGACAAGAAACCATTAAGGGTCAGGTCTGCCTTTTAGAAAGGTCACTCTAGCTATAGTGGAGATAGTGGATTCACTGGGTTCAAACTACAGGCAAGAAGCCCAGAGAGAAGAGAGTTGTTATGGTCAGGCACCAGAGGGCTGCCAGTCACTGAACCAAGTAACGGCAATGGGGGAAGCGAAGTAGGCCTGAAGGCCTATGATGAGAAGACTGGATGAGGGATTAGATGTGGGACCGGATGAGGGATTGATGTAGGAACAGATGAGGGATTAGATGTGGGACCGGATGAGGGATTGATGTAGGACCAGATGAGGGATTAGATGTGGGACCGGATGAGGGATTGGATGTAGGACGGGATGAGGGATTGGCTGTAGGATGAGATGAGGGATTGGATGTAGGACGGGATGAGGGATTGGATGTAGAAGCAGATGAGGGATTGGATGTAGGACCAGATGAGGGATTGGATGTAGGGCCAGATGAGCGATTGGATGTAGGGCGGGATGAGGGATTAGATGTGGGACTGAATGAGGGATTGGATGTAGGACCAGAAGAGGGATTGGATGTAGGACAGGATGAGGGATTGGATATAGGACTGGATGAGGGATTGGATGTGGGACCAGATGAGAGATTGGATATAGGACCAGATGAGGGATTGGACATAGGAGCAGATGAGGGATTGGATGTAGGAGCAGATGAGGGATTAGATGTGGGATCAGATTAGGAATTGGATGTAGGGCCGGATGAGGGATTGGATGTAGGGTTGGATGAGGGATTGAATGTAGGATCGGATGAGGGATTTGATGTAGGACGGGATGAGGGACTGGATGTGGGACTCGATGAGGGATTGGATGTAGGACCGGATGAGGGATTAGATGTAGGATCAGGGGAGGGATTGGATGTAGGATGGGATGAAGGATTGGATGTAGGATGGGATAAGGGATTGGATGTAGGACGGGATGAGGGATTGGACGTAGGACGGGATGAGGGATTGGATGTAGGACGGGATGAGGGACTGAATGTAGGACGGCACAGGGGCTGGGTGTAGGATGGGATGAGGGATTGGATGTAGGACGGGATGAGGGGTTGGGTGTAGGATGGGATGAGGGGTTGGATTAGATGTGGGACCGGGTGAGGGATTGGATGTAGGACTGGATGAGGGTTGGATGCAGGGTCAGATGAGGGGTTGGATGTAGGACGGGATAAGGGATTGGATGTAGGACGGGATAAGGGATTGGATGTGGGACAGGATGAGGGATTGGATGCTGGACAGGATGAGGAATTGGATGTAGGGTCGGATGAGGGATTGGATGTGGGACCAGATGAGGGATTGGATGTAGGATTGGATGAGGGATTAGATGTAGGATGGGATGAGGGATCCGATGCTGGATGGGATGAGGGATTGGATGTGGGACAGGATGAGGGATTGGATGCTGGACAGGATGAGGGATTGGCTGTAGGACTGGATGAAGGGTTGTATGTAGGGTCAGATGAGGGATTGGATGTAGGACGGGATGAGGGATTGGATGTGGGACAGGATGAGGGATTGGATGCTGGACAGGATGAGGGATTGGATGTAGGACTGGATGAGGGATTGGATGTAGGGTCAGATGAGGGAATGGATGTAGGACGGGATAAGGGATTGGATGTGGGACAGGATGAGGGATTGGATGCTGGACAGGATGAGGAATTGGATGTAGGGTCGGATGAGGGATTGGATGTGGGACGGGATGAGGAATTGGATGTAGGATCGGATGAGGGATTAGATTTAGGACGGGATGAGGGATTGGATGCTAGATGGAATGAGGGATTGGATGTGGGACAGGATGAGGGATTAGATGTGGGACCGGATGAGGGATTGGATGCAGGACCAGATGAGGGATTGGATGTAGGACAGGATGAGGGATTCAATATAGGACCAGATGAAGGATTGGATATGAGCAGGTGAGGAGAAGGGGCCATCTAAGGGGACACCTGGGTTTCTGGCTTGGGTGACAAATGAGTGGTGGTGCCAATCACTGACAAGCAGCTCCATGGAGATGTTAATGCCCCATCCAGAGTATCCACCATTGGGATGAGAAGGGAAGAAGTCAGAGCCTCCCATCCCTCCAGATCCAATTCTCCACCACAGTCAGTTACATGAAGCCATTCTACTGCTGTCTGCAATCTAGCCCTTAGGCGTCCTCAAAGTCCTGCAAGGGCCAAGGGTGACCCCAAAGAAGACAGGGCAAATATTGGGACAATCAAGGAGAAACCCGGTTAGAGACAGAAGACAGACCTTGCCTGGAGTCCAACTGGCCAAGGGCCACACAACTCTGCAGCACTACTACTGCCTGTCTGAGAGTTTCTTTGTCCATTTACAAGAAATCATGGAGCTGAGGATGGATCCGTACAGTCCTCAGCCTAATGAATTTATAAAATACACACCAGGTGCCAGGTACTAGCTAGATAATAAGGGTTCCGTGTTTAAAAAGCCCTGTCAATCCAGTGGGGGAGGTTGGCTCCTGCAAAAATCTATGGTTCAGCGTGCTGACTATGAGAGTACAAACCAACAGAAAGGCTCAGTGTCAAAGACCCTGAATGGAACAAGAAAGACAGAGACAGGAAGGATCAACCTACTAACTTTTCAGACTGAGAAAACACTGGTGCTTCTTGATAGCAACCCAGAAGAGAAGAGAGGACCAAGAGGCCAGGGTCAGCAACTTAGGAAACTAGGTAGAAAGGGAAAGAAGGACTCAGCAATGGGAAACATAGCATGGAAACCTACTCCTGGCAAAGGCAGGGGTGTCTTTAAGAACCAGGGCCCAGAGGAGTCAGAGGCAGGAGATCTGAATATCACAGAACCTCAGAGAGAGGATGTGGACACCTAAACAGAAAGAAAGATGACAAAAGTAGCCAGCCATGGTGGTTCTCCTCTGCAATCCCAACACTTTGGGAACCCGAGGCAAGAGGATTGCTTGAGGCCAGGAGTTCGAGACTAGCCTGGGCAACATAGTGAGACTCCATCTCTAAAAAAAAAAAAAAAAGAAGAAGAAGAAGAAGAAGAAGAAAGAAAGATGAAAAAATAAAAATACATGCCCCTGGCCATTTTGTGACTACAAGTGGGAAAAAGAGCATCTTCCTTGGGTGATATGGGTGATATTGGTAGAAGCAGGCACCATGAATGGTAGAAAGTGGGAAGCTGGAGTGATTGCAAAAAACTAAGTTAACCAGAACAGAGAAATAGAAGTGAGAAAAGACAAGAAGGTAGGTGGTGGTGAAGAAGAGGACTGAGAAGAAGACAGGTCAAGGAAACTGTCTGGTGGGCATTTACTAAATGAAGCTATGAGGCTGGCAATGATGATAACACCATTGGTGAGTTTGCGAGGAAAGCCAATATAGCCAGGGGTTGGTAAATGCTTACTCGTGTAAAAACATTTTCCATGGTGTGGTGGTTCATGCCTGTAATCTCAGCACTTTGGGAGGCCCAGGCAAAAGGATCACTTGAGGCCAGGAGTTCAAGACCAGGCCTGGCAACATAGTGAAACCATGTCTCTACCAAAAATTTAAAAAGTTAGCTGGGCATGGTGACCTGTACCTGTAGTCCCTGATCCTTGAGCCCAGGAGGTTGAGGCTGCAGTGAGCTATGATTGCATCATTGCACTCCAGCCTGGGTGACAGAGCAAGACCTCATCTCATTAAAAAAAAAAATCCATGGAGAAAAACTATGGTCCTCCTCATAGTATTTGCATTGGTGGTCTCACCAGCCACAGCTGGGAGGGCCTTGGGACCCTGTCTGGTGTGGCTCCTCCTAAGTTGTCCAGTCCAGTGGTGTTCAGGGGGTGTCTATTCCATAACAAGGAGCTTGAGCCAGAATGTAATCAATTAGTAGCTTCCTTCATCTAGAACAGAAGTCAGCAAACTATACAGTCCCTTGTCCCCACCAGCAAAGCCCATCCAACCCACTAGGTATCTCCAACCTGTGCCAGTTTTTATTTTTATAAAAAGTTCCCAGGCATGGTGGCTCATGCCTGTAATCCCAGCACTTTGGGAGGCCAAGGTGGGTGGATCACCTGAGGTCAGGAGTTCGAGACCAGACTGGCCAACATGGTGAAACCCCATCTCTACTAAAAATATAAAAAATTAGCTGGGCGTGGTGGCACGTGCCTGTAATCCCAGCTACTTGAGAGGCTGAGGCAGAAGAATCGCTTGAACCCGGGAGGCAGAGGTTGCAGTGAGCCGAGATCATGCCATTGCACTCCAGCCTGGGCAAAAAAGAGCAATACTCCATCTAAAAAAAAAAAAAAGTTATATTGGCACACGGCCACACCTATTCGCTTATGCATTGTCTCTGGCAGCTTTGGCACCCCTAGACAGCAACGTTGAGTCATTGTGACAGAGACTGTCCTGCAAAGCCTAAAATACTCACTCTCTGGCATTTTATGGAAAAAAATGCACCAATCTTTGGTCTAGAAAGCCTTATTCTAAAAAATCAATAGAATCTGAAAGTGTGCTTCCTGACATCATTGGTTTACATTTTGGTGCAAGCACCTTAACTGGTTGTAACTGGTAGCAGTTTGTGGCCCGGCTTCTGTGATGGACTTTGAGCAGTGCTGTCCATAGAGCAGTGGAGAAGGACAGCTACAGCTTACCTGTGGGTTCAAAGGTCAGGCTCCAAGGAGGCGAAGCCACCGTCCTTCCCTCCATAACAGACTGACGTCCTGGACACCATACTTAAAAGGTACTCAGAAGCTACAGAATGGAGGCCCTGCCTGCAGGTTATTTTGATGAGAGAAGCATGTATGTGTGTTATGCTTGTTTGTGTTCATTATAATTAGACTGCTCACTCCTCAGCGTAAAACTTGTTTAACCATCAACTTCTGAGTATACATTTCGTCACTAAAGGAAAATAAAATTATAACAGGAAACCACCAAACTGTTTACTAGGAAAGGAAAAAACTATTTATTTTCATTCTACAGAAATTTTTGTGAAGTAGTGGATAATAATAATTTGGAGGTAATTTGTCCAGTTTCTCCCAATTTTAGCATCTGATTAATTTCCTTGAGCTTTGCGAAATGTCCTAGGTCAGGATGGTGTTGTTTGCTTTATTTCTTGGGAGGTGTGTGTTTTAAATCAGGAATGGCAAGTCGTTTCAGAAATGCAGTTGGTTATATTATAAGAGGATAACAAAGAACTTACTCGATCTATCCATCCACCCATCCATCTGTCCATCCATCCATCCATCCATCCATTCATTCATTAGTGAACACTTACCTCATACGAGGAGCTGTGCTAGGTACTAAGGGTAAGTGATGAGAAAAATACACAGAAAAGGTTGTAGTGTGAGTAGGCTAGTGAGGAGAGGCCTCCTGCATGGCTGAACACTGGCTTGGGTCCTGATCCTGCTCTAAACTAGTTGTTCAACTCAGTCGTCTTTGGCCTGCTGGGCACACAGTGTTCCATGACACTGAGATGACCCTGCCAGAATGTGGTCACATTCGGACCGGATCCCTGGGCTGGCTCCGACTCATCTCACTGCCCTGACACCCCTGTGGTACTTGAGTCACTCCTCAGCCAGTCCGCAGCGAGGCGTGGGTGCCCGGAGGAGCTCTCCCACAGCCACACCTCCCCCAGCCTTCCAGAAAGTCCTCTCAAGGACTCTCCTGCATTCCAGCAACCAGCCCTTCCAGTTGGGCAGAAATTTCCTGCCCTGGCAATCAAGAGGCATTTTGTTTTGTTTTACTTTAAATGCACAGCACATCCCCAGGCAGCTCCACCCTCGGATCTAAGCCCGTTAAATCTATTCCTTTTGGACCTTTATTTCTATGCATGAGAAAGGGAAACCGGGACAGAGGGCGGCGAGAGAACGTAATGTAATAAGGGTCTCCCATAAACAGAGGAAAAGAAATTGGAAGGCCCCTTGCCCCCCTTGTTCTGTGTCTTTGCTTTCTCCTCCCTTGAATATGTCACCTCCAATCACCAAAGGCTCTTGAGCTTGTGCCCTGCCTCCTCACCCCAGGGGCACTTGGCTGCATTAATTGAGCTGAAATATGTAAGGTCACAGGAGCTGGTAATAATTAAAGAATACAGCAGACATCTCTGTCTTCAGACTAGAACATATATGTCTACTGCTCTTCATTTAAAACTAATAACAATGTCATGCTAATATAATTAATGCCTCATTTATTAGGTCTAGTGGGAAATAAGCTGTTCTACATAATTGATTCAGATTCTTGGAGCTTACGATTTGGGGAATGAAGTCATTTAAACATTTTTAATTGTTATGGAAATCTTTCTAAATATATTATTCTCCGTTTTTCTAAAGTTTACTCAACATAATTTATTACCTTCTATTAGGGCAGGACCATGTCTGTCATTACATACCCAGTGCCAGGTACAGTATCCAGGCTTCCAATATATGTTTGTAAAAGAAATAATTACAACCTCTAATATTTAACTTCGATGAAGAAAAATAATGAACTCTTGGACTCATGAGTTCTGGAGAGCTGTTTGCTCTTACCTCAAATCATTACATTTTCTGCATTCTTATTTGTGCTTTTATAATTCTCCTGTCTCCTCCCTCATCATAAAACTGCTAACTTCTAGCTTCTGTTTCTAAAGTTTCCCCCTGCCCCATTAATGTGCTGGTTCTAATCCGCTGTAGATCATAATTAAGCTTACTAGGTCATGCCTGAAATAAAAGTGAATAGTGTTGAAGAGATACAGAATAGTTCGAAGATTTTTTGATGTCCATGTTGGCCACCCAAAGGCCTTTTTTGCATCCTGCTGGTTTCAGCTGTGTTTCAGATGGCTGTGTCTGCCATGTATGAATAATTGCCAAATAAGTCAAATATTACTGTAAGAACTGCAGAAGAAATGCATAATAGACACCTTCTACATTGGTTAGAACATCTCACCATATGTCATCCAGGAAAAAGATTGCTTCTAATTATAGAATCCAACATCTAAATTAACCAGTTCCTCCACACTTGGGAGTCAAAGCCAACCAGGAATCCCAGTCCAGACAAGGGGGAGCCCCTGACACATCTAAAGGCTACAATATTCCTCAAAAGTCCAGGGTAAACTTCTCCCAGTATTTGGTAAATCTTCCATTTGCTGTTGCTTTGGATCTGACAGTAATTCCCTCCCAGGTTCCAGGAGTCTCCAAATTTATCACCATAATCAATCTAGAAGGATTGAGTGTCCCACAGTCCAATGAAATTGTAAGAATCTCTCCTTTATGCAAAAAGGATGCAATAATATATTCTGTCAAGCCACAAAGAGTTCAACGAAGACAGCAATGGACTGGTCCAAAGTAGGGAGGGAAAAAGTAGAGAAATGAGATGGATTTAGAATTCGACCCACTGGTTCCCACCCTTGGTGTGGCCTCTAACACCACATTGGTTCCAATGCAAACTGGTTAAACCATGAATTTTCTTCCCCCTACTTGGTCTGGTTTAGGGCCAGAGAGTTCTTTGTTGGTTGGAGTCAGGCAGGGCAGGGCCAGAAGGCAGAACTCTTAAGCTTCACCCCGAGTCAGGAGCTGCCTCGCCAGATGACCTCAGACAGGTTGTCTGAGCTCTTGGGGGTTCCAATTCAATATCTGTTAAACAGCAATGAGTGTACCCCTCTGCTCATACCATGGTACAAGATTTTGTTAATTGGTATCTGGAAAAGCTTGTATCTTTGGATGAAAGGGTTTATTAAGTTTTGAGCTCTGTTCTTAGCTGAGGTCTTTGTACAGTTGGGTTTTATGGCAATGAGGCTTCTATAATTTCCCTTTGGAGAGTTAATTCTATAAGCCTAAGAGTGTCGTGGCAAATAGATGCATTTACAAACCTCTTCTATTTCCTTCTGACTGATTTTCCTTCTCATAGATGACCAACATAGATTCATTCAACTCTAAGAAAAATTCTTTGAATAATTTTAATTCTAAAAATATTTGGGGGCCGGGCGCAATGGCACACGCCTATAATCCTGACACTTTGGGAAGCTGAGACAGGTGGATTGCCTGAGCTCAGGAGTTTGAGACCAGTCTGGGCAACATGGTGAAACCCCGTCTCTACCAAAATACAAAAAATAAGCCAGGCATGGTGGCATGTACCTGTAGTTCCAGCTACTCAGGAGGCTGAGGCAGGAGAATTATTTGAACCCAAGAGGCGGAGGTTGCAGTGAGCCAAGCTCGTGCCACTGCACTCCAGCCTGGGTGACAGAGAAAGACTTCATCTTAAAAAAAAAAATGGATTAACTAAATTTTTCTAAATAAAATTGTGGATTAAACATAGTAGTAAATCTTGCTGGCTTAAAACATTTAATTTTGAATCATTTAGAAAAGATCATGTTTTTTAAAGTGAATAGATACCTTTTGACATTATCTTTTTTAATAACTTAATTGGGATATAATTGACATACAATAATATACACTGTTTAAACTATACAATTTGAACAATTCTGACATACGTAGACATCCATGCAACCATCAACATAGTCAAGATAATGAACATATCCACTACACCTAAAACTGTTGGTGCACTTTTGTTAGGGCTCACTGTCTCCCTTCCTCCATGGTTTGTATTTTCTAGAATTCTAGGGAAATAGAATCATGAAGCATGTGCTCTCTTTTGTCTGGCTTCCTTCTTTTTTTTATTTTTTTTTGGGGGGACAGAGTCTCTGTCACCCAGGCTGGAGTGCAGTGGCATGATCTCGGCTCACTGCAACTTCTCCCTCTCAAGTTCAAGTGATTCTCCTCTCTCAGCCTCCCGCGAGTAGCTGGAATTACAAGCATGCACCACCATGCCCGGCTAATTTTTGTATTTTTAGTAGAGACAGGGTTTCACCATGTTGGCCAGGCTGGTCTCGAATTCCTGACCTCAAGTGATCCGCCCACCTCTGCCTCCCAAAGTGCTGGCATTACAAGCATGAGCCACCGCGCCCAGCCAGGCTTCCTTCACTCAGTATAATTATTTTGAGATTCACTCATGTTGTTGGGTGTATCATAGTTCCTTCCTTTTTATTGCTGACCAAGATTCCATTATGCAGATATTCCACAATGGTATATCTATTCCCTTGTTGACGGACATTTAGGCTATTTCAGACACAGCTACTACACACACACAGCTGCTATGGACATTCATGTACTAGGCTCTATATGGATCTATCCTTTCATTTCTCTCAGGTAAATACTCAGAAGTGGAATGGCTGGGTCATATAGTACAGGAAGTCCTTGTTTAACGTCATTGATAGCTTCTTGGAAATTGTGACTTTAAGCAAAACAACATATAACAAAATCAGTTTGAACATAGGCTAATTGATGTACACCAGAGTTAAATTCCTACAGCATATTTCTGATCACGAAAACATCACCAAACTTTTAAATAAAGACAAAAGCAATTATAATAGTAAACACTCAAATAAAAGGGGACCTGGCATGGTGGCTCATGCCTGTAATCCCAACACTTTGGGAGGCCAAGGTGGACAGATGGCTTGAGTCCAGGAATTCGAGAACAGCCTGGGCAACATGGCAAAACACCGTCTCTACAAAAAATACAAAACAATTAGCTGGGTGTCGTGGCGCGTGCCTGTGGTCCCAGCTACTTGGGAGACTGAGGTGAGACAATCACTTGAGCTCGGGGAGTCGAGGTTGCAGTGAGCCACAATCATGCACTGCACTGCAGCCTGAGCGACAGAGCAAGACCCTGTCTCAAAAAAAATAAAATAAAATAAAAATGAGTTATACATACATTTATGAAAGATTAATAAAAACAAGTAAGATAGTTATTTACCCAATTATTCCAGTTCAGTGCCATGGGTGGCCAGAGCCTCTCCCAGCCTCTCAGGGCACAAGGCAGGCAACCACCCTGGACAGGAGACCATTGCATCACAGGGCACACTCACTCACACACTCACACACACACAATCAGAATGGACAAACTAGACACACCAATTCACCTAACGTGCACAGCTCCAGGGTGTGGAAGGAAACTGGAATACCTGGAGAAAATCCACACAGACAAGGGGAGAAGGAGTAAACTCCACACAGACAACAGCCCCAGCCAGGAAGCGATTATTTTTCCTCATCAGTATTATTACAAAACTACATTGAACGAAATGACATTATTCAAGGACCTGCTGTACAATATTCACTTTTTATTAGATCCTGAATAAATAGTGTATTGTAGAAAGCATGACACATGTGAACCCTTATTTATAGTTCTTTGAACCCCTGCAAGTATTTATCATGGTAGTAAAACATTGACACTTTCTTCTTCTTTCCTTATGTTGTGTTAATAATAGAAAGAATTTGCTTTTGTGCTGTGCAGTGCAATTGACAAAAATTCTTTTGCATTCCTTTTAACACGTCATTACAAGTAATTTTTTCTTCTCTTTCTCTGGTTCACTCCAACTGATTGTCTGCTAAAAAACACTAACGTTTCCAAGACTGGATGAGATAGTCTAGATGTGTTCTCGAAAGAACTATATATCCATATTTCTTTTGTTCCCTTGTTTCTCAAATGGCAACACTGACCCTAGGTCATGCTCCCTTGCCAAAGGCTGCCTTGTCCCCTACCTCAAAAGTGAAACTGCAAAGTGTAGCCAGACCCTCCCTCTGACTGCTGTGCTCTTGGCTGCTGCTTTCTCTCTCTCTCCTTTCACATGTCCCCAGACTGATCAATCACTAATGCTGCAGTTGATATCTGACAAATTGCACACCTTGACTCCGATGCTTTCACAGATAAGTCTTCACTAAAAAGATACAGAAACTGGTTTTTATATAATTCCCAAGCTCTGAATCACCTTATTATTCTGTCAAATAAAATTATGTGGGAGATATTGTTGAAGACAAAACTTGCGTTTTCACAGTTTTATGCAAAAAATAACTTCGTTCAATTGTTGCAGAAAAATTTAGTGAGACTTTTAGAATCTTCACTCCAAAATCTCATTTTCTCTCCATCCCCTCTGCACTGCTTTCTCCTACTTTCTTGCTGACTTTTCTTCCTCCACTCTTCCAACTTCTTCTAAATTTTGGAGAAAATCATCCATCAAAGACTACAGCAGATAAATCTAAAAAGAGTCTTTGGCTTTGGGACAACTGGTTTGTTATTGCAAAAGTTAGGTTTTATCACTCCCTACACAAAAAATAATTTAATATGGATTTTTAAAATTAAAAATATAACTACCAGAACACTGAAAAATTGAATTTTTAAAATCATATTGGGACGGGAGAAGTCATCGTAAGGGTGATGCAAGCTCTAGAATCCATAAAGAAAATTATTGACAGATTGACTATGTAAATTTTGCAGTTCTGTGTGTGAAGGATATGATAACAAAGTTAAAAGGTAAGTGCCAGATTTGAAGAAAATACTTGCAATATAAATAAAAAGGGACAATTACTACCCTTAACATATATATATAAAGCCCCCTACATTGAATTAAACTTTAAGATTTGTGCATTTTACTGTATGTAAACATTACCATAAAAAATAAAAAGGACTGTAAACAAATATTGAATTCTGTTATTGATAAGAATCTGAAATAGTATACTGATACCTGCAACTTATTCTGAAATGCATAAAAAGAAGGTGGATTGATAAATGAATAAAAGGATGGATAGGTGAAAAGCTATGTGATAAAAGTCAAAACAGCAAAATGTTATTTATAAATTCTTGGTGGTGGACACACGGGTGTTTACTATATATGCAATTCTGTTAATTTTTCTGTATGCTTAAAAATTCATCATAAAGTCTTAGAAAAGAACCCCAAAAAATTAATAAGAAAATATGTACAATTCCTAAGAACAGTAAAAAAAAGCAAATGAACAGGCAATTTGAAATTTAAAAAAAAAAAACAAATGGACTGAGAGCAAGAGGCTCAATGTCACCTGGAATCAGCAAAAATACGTAAAGTTTTATAATATCCACAAAAATATATATGAGAAAAAATATATGTGTAAGGATATTTATTGCTTTATGGTTCGAAATAGAAAAAGGAAAGAGAGAATAGGAACGATGTCACCCCAACAACCCTCCCTGGGAGAATGGTTAGGTAAAGGTTATTATGCCCATGTTCCAGAACCCTCCACAGCAGCTAAAGAGGGAGATTATTCTGTATGTACTAACATGAAAGATCTCCAAGGTCTATTATTCAATGAAAAAATGAACATCACAGAATAAATTGTACACAATGACCATTTATGTGAAAGTAATAATAGAACCGAGCGTGTGTGCACAGGAAAAGAAAATGTCCCAAAGCGCACATATTCAATCCTTGAATTTGTCTCAGAAAAGAGTGAAATGGAGGGAGAGGAAGGAAGGCAGAAGGGACATTTAAGCTTCTGCTCTGTAGATTTCTATATTATTTGGACTTTTTACAGCAATCTTGCAATAGTTTGCTAACTTTTTTAATTATCTAAACTGACTCGAGATGCTAATAATGACTATTACCTAAATATCCCTAAAACACCCTGTGAAAATTGCAAAGTTCAGTCAAGAATCCACATTTTTCCTGCCTAACTTTGAAAGTCTCAAGCCTTGCAGACAAAACATCTGCTGATCTTTTACTGGATTTTTCTTTACTTTTCATTTGAATGTCTCAGCAGTCATGTCTATAAGTCAAATGGTCACAAGCCTATAAATCATGTGAAAATTCTTTCTTCTCCCAACTTCATCCCCTTAGGGCTTAAACCAACTCTGGATGCAAGGTCTGGTCTTAATAGAAGCCCCATTGAGAGAAAAGTGTTCTTAGATATAATGGAATGCATTCTGAGCTACATGCCAGGGATTATATGGGGTCAAGAAGGGGAGAATTTTACAAAAACACTGCAAGCCAAAGGAAAGAGGGAGGCAGAGATGAGAAGTAAGAAAAAAACAGAAGGAAGGTCGCAGTAGAGGGAGGAGAAGAGAGCAAGGAAAGGGTTTTGACTTAAGTTTGCAAGATTCTGACCCGTGGAAGAATTCAGAAGGTATTTCACCACCTGAGCACGCACATGCACACGCTCTTACAGCTCCATTCAGGAGATGAGACTTTGTGGAGGCAGACAGAATGGTAATTGTTCCTTCACAGTGAAGATTCTAGCTAAATGATAAGCAGAAATGGAAAAAGGAGTGGGAAGAGCTGAGTCGGGACACACTCTAGAAAATTATATGCAGGCGACAGACACGCTTCTTGCCCACGAAGACCCCCAGAGCAATTTATAAATGTATTTGCCCTGACTGGGGAGGAATTCGGCCTCTAATCACCCACCCCTTTTCTGGTGGGGAGGGATGGCTTACATCTGGGATCTATTAAAAATACCTGTGTCCAGGCCGGGCGTGGTGGCTCACGCCTGTAATCCCAGCACTTTGGGAGGCCAAGGTGGGTGGATCACCTGAGGTCAGCAGTTAGAGATCAGCCTGACCAACATGGTAAAACCCAGTCTCTACTAAAAATACAAAAATTAGCCAGGCGTGGTGGCGCATGCCTGTAATCCCAGCTACTCAGGAGGCTGAGGCAGGAGAATCGCTTGAACCTGGGAGGCAGAGGTTGCAGTGAGCCAAGATCGCACCACTGCACTCCAGCCTGGGTGACAGAGCAAGACTCCATAAAAAAAAAAAAAAGGCTGTGTCCAGGTAAGGATGTAATGGAAACAAGACCAGAAGACAGAGCACATTTCTCACTACTTCTGCTGAAGGAAAACTCACCCAGTGCTTTTCAGGGAAGCAGGGGTGCCCTGCTCACTTGGGTCCTCATTGTACACCTTTAGCTCACTCGACACACATATACTACGACACACATTAGCTAGTGCCAGATACTATGCTTTGCTCTGGAAATGCAAAAATGAGTGGCATGTCCCTCCCTCTTCCCGAGAATGTTACAGTCTGATGGGTAAATATTTACAATATGATGGATATTTGTAAAAGGCACAGTAATGGCACAGAGTCAATAGTGATCAACTTCTGGAGACAGAAAGAGACCGTTCCAGTATCACAGAAGTTGAGTCCCAAGCTGTGCTTTAAAAACGAGTAGGAGCTCTTCCAATCTGGGGAGTAGAAAAAAATAAATTAAAAAAAGAAAGAAAGAAAAATGAGTAGGAGCTCAAGAGAATGAGAAAACAAGCCACAGACTGAAAGAAAATGTTTGCAAAAGACATATCTTATAAAGGACTGTCATCCAAAATGCAGGCCGGGCGTGGTGGTTCATGCGTGTAATCCCAGCACTTTGGGAGGCCGAGGCAGGTGGATCACCTGAGGTCAAGAGTTCAAGACCAGCCTGGCCAACAAGGTGAACCCTCATCTCCACTAAAAATACAAAAATTAGCTGGGCATGGTGGCAGGTGCCTACAATCCCAGCTACTAGAGAGTCTGAGGCAGGAGAATCACTTGAACCCAGGAGGCAGAGGTTGCAGTGAGCAGAGATTGTGCCATTGCACTCCAGCCTGGGTGACAGAGTGTATATACATATACATATATATATATATATATATATGTATATATACAACTCTTCAAACTCAACAATTATGAAAACAATTTGATTTTAAGATGGAGAAAAGATTTAAACAGACACCTCACCAAAGAAGATAGACAGATGGCAAATAAGCATATGACAAGGTGCTCAACATCATATGTCACTAGAGAATTGCAAATTAAAATAAGATACTACCATGCACTTATTATTTAATAGAATTGTCAAAATCCAGAACAGTGATGACATCGAGTGCTGACAAGAATGTGGAGCTAAAGAAACTCTCATTCATGGCTGGTGGAAATGCAAAACAGTACAACCACTTTGAAAGGCAGTTCAACGGTTTCTCAAAAAACAAAACATGCTCCTATCAAATGACTCAGCAACCATGTTCCTTGGTTGGTTTCAACCAAATGAGTTGAAAACTTATGCCCATGCCAAAACCTGCACACAGATGTTATGGCAGTTTTATTCATAATTGCGAAAACTTGGAAGCAACCAAAATGTCCTTCAGTTTTGTCCTTCAAAAACTGTTTTGCATTCAGACAATGGAATATTATTCAGGACTAAACAACAGTGAGCTATTAAGCCATGAAAATACATGGAGGAAACATAAATGCATGTTACTAAGTGAAAGAGGCTGCTCTGAAAAGGCTATGTACTATATGATTGCAACTACATGACATTTCAGAAAAGGCAAAACTATGGAGATAATAAAAAGATCAGTGGTTGCCAGGGGTTTGAGGGAGGGATGAAGAGATGAAGCACAGAGGATTTGTAGCACAGGGAAAGTACTCCGTCTCACTATAATAGTGGATACATGTCATTACACGTGTGCCTAAACCCATAGAATGTACTACACCAAGAGGGAGCCCTAATGTAAACTAGGGACTTGGGGTGATACTCATGTGTTAATGTATCAGTCATAACAAATGTATCACTCTGGCTTGGGATGCTGATAATGAGGCTGGGGCAAGGGCTCAGAGGATATATTGGAACTCTGTGCTTTCTGCTCAATTTTGCTGTGAACCTAAAACTGCTCTAAAAACCAAAGTCTATTTTTTAAAATGAGTAGGAGGGCATCACTGACTACCACACATGACAACGTGGGCTCAAATAAGGGCCCAGTAAAGTCAAGCCCTCTGTATTCCAGGTGAAGCACTCCCATAAACCAACACAACGATATATTTCTAAAGATCATAATTCTATGGCCAGGCGCAGTGGCTCACACCTGTAATACCAGCACTTTGGGAGGCCGAGGCGGGCTGATGATGAGGTCAGGAGTCCAAGACCAGCCTGAACAATATGGTGAAACCCCATCTCTACTAAAATTACAAAAATTAGCTGGGTGGGGTGGCACACGCCTCAGGAGGCTGAGGCAGGAGAATTGCTTGAACCTGGGAGGCGGAGGTTGCAGTGAGCCAAGATCGCACCACTGCACTCCAGCCTGGGTGACAGAGCAAGATTCCATCTCAAAAAAGAAAAATCATAATTCTATTTGAGGAGTTCACCAGGTAACCAAGGTTGGGGAAAGACAGATTATGAATGCAAAGCACTGAGCACAGAAAACGGTTATTGTTGTAAATCGCCAATGCATGGCAGCTGTTACTGTTACTCTCAGCCTCTTCCTCTTCATCGTCATCATCAACAGCATTCCTAGAAAGCAGAACAACATGTCAAAGGCACAGAGACAGGAAATGCCATGAAGCTGTTGAAAGTGCACCGAGAATGCCCTGTTGATGGACACAGGGATTGTGATAGCAGCAGTAAGGAGACAGGCTAGGTCTTTCAAAACCATGATTAATCCCAAAGAAATGCAGGCTTTATCCTGTAGATAAAGAGGGCACCAGTGGATAGTCTTAAGCAAGGAAGCAATCAGCTCAGATTTGCATTTCTGAACAACTGGGGCAGGGGCCAGTCTGAGGGTGCTGCCATTGTCCAAAATAGGAATGAGGCTGCTCTGGACCAAGTAGCTGGGCTAAGGTCGGGGGAAGGAGGGTGAGCTGGTAGAACTCATAGACTTTAGAGACTGCTTAGATGTTGAAGTGAGGGAGGAGGAGAGAGAGCTGTCTAGGGTGATGTCTTGGTTTCTGGTTTTAGTAAATGAGATGGTGGGGACATGAAGGGAGTCACCTGTTCGGACAGGGCAATAAGGTGAGGAGGAGGAAACAGGAAACAGCGGGTGAGTTCTCTGTCCATAAGACATTCCAGGGCTTCCTGGAACCATCAATGATCAACACAGGCAGCATTTATGAAGCCCTGCCACTCTGCTGAGCCTTCTGCTGCATGAGCTCATTTAATCCTTCCAACAACCATATAAAACAGATCTTGTTGTTGCTGTTGCTTTTATTCTTGTTTTACAGATAAGAAAACTGAGGCTTACAAACTTGCCAAAAGTCACACGGACAGTGGTGGGGGCAAAGATCTAAACCTATGCACATCTTCCTGCAAAGCCCACATGCTCCAAATTAATCCACTCTATTGACTCTTTGGACGGCCATCACCTCCTGCCCTTTCTCCTTTGTGTGAACTAGAAACATGTGGCCTTGTCTCCCTAACAGACCCAGACCCCACTTGGGTACACAGTTTGGAGACGGAGCTCACTCTTCCCTCAGCTGGGGACACTTGGCAGGGTGCAACCTGCACCACTGTACACTGGACAGTGTGAACTGACCTGGGAACTAAATAAGCCACCATGACAAGGTAAGATTTTCATTTAAAAAATAAAAAGTAGAGCTAGGGTAAAAATTGAGCCATGAAGATATAAAAGAAGGTTGTATATTTGGTAGATTTGTCATGGAAACCTTTGGGACTCAGAAATTTGCTTTCCTTAGTAATGTAGAGCAATGGCAATTGCTACAGCTAATTAATGGCTGTGACTTTTAGGAGAGCAGTTTCCAAATACCAGTCCTTGGACCAAGTGGTCCATGATGAAGTGTCACTGCAAGATAAACTGAGAAGCATAAGGGCAATGCAATGCCTGTTTCTGTGCCGGTAGGTAGAATACATATTACATAAATATGTACCTATCAGTATAACCTTCCTCATTGCCTTTTTTGGGAAGAAATACTCTAAGAACTACTCCATTTTTAGTGTATTTTTTACATCCCAAGCAGCAACTCCAAAATTCTGGAACAACGAATTAAGGTTTGCAGTTAGCAAACCTTAATCAGTCATTTAACCAACATTCACTAAGCATCTACTCTCTGCCAGGCCCTGGGGGTGTCCCAGTGAACAACACCAACCAATTTCCACTCTTACAGAGATTCCCTAGTGGAAAAGGTGGGTACTGATGATGTCAGGAGAGGCGCAGTGAAGGAGGAGACCCAGGCATTAAGGGGGCAGATGACAGGCAACCTCACCTCACTGCTGGCATTTGGGAAGGCTTTTCTGGAAAAACAGCACTTACGCTGAGACCTTAAAAAATGACTGGGAATTGGCTGAGTGAAGTGGCCCTAAGTGGCAGCAAAGAGTAGAGCAGTTTTGAGGAACTGAAGGAAGGCGGTGAGGCTGAAGGGCTGGTAGGCTGGCTACATCACAGAGGACTTCACTGGTTTACATCCAGATAGTCCATAGCTAAGAGAGGACAGTGCCCCCACTACAGGGTAAGCCATAACCAAACACATCACCTGTGTCTCCAGAGGATGCTGCTGTCTGTCTGCTGGCAGCGAGTCAGCAACCAATAAATGTCTGACTGCACACGATCAAGCCCTTGATAAGTAATCAGTGTTCAATGAGTAAGTTTCTGTCACCCCTGGCAAGGTTGAGCAAACAGGTCACTTAGCTGACTGCTCTGAGCTTCATTTCTTCTCATGTCTAAAATAAACAGGTTAGATTAAATATGCCGTAAGGGTCCTTCCAGGGCTAGCATTCCATCAGGATCAATCTATAACAGCTACCATTTATCGAGCATTTATAATTCGAAGTCACCATGCTAGATGTATCTGTTTTATGGACAATCTTCATAACAGCCCCATGGGGTAGGTATCATTACCACAGTTTTCTAGATGAGAAACTCTGAGACATAGAGTAAAAGTTCCAAGGTCACACCTCATAGGTAGCAGATCCAGGATTCAAACCCATCTCTACCCGATGCCCAAGCCACACTCTATCCACCAGTCCACACCACCATGAAGTCTCTTGTGATGTTCAATGATTCAGTCACTGAGTTCTATTTGCATTCTTCACCCTAGCATTGGAAGTCTCTATTCTCCCATTCTTTACCCTGGGTCAGATCAGACTGGCTTCCTGGTTGGCCCAATACACTCATTTCTCTGCAGCACTTTGCTTTGCTGTCCACCCTTGAAGCACCCATCACCACCTCCCTCCCCTCATTGCAATGAAACCACGTAAACAACTGGACAAATGACTGCTGGAAACTGAATGTTTGTGTCCCTCTAAAATCAATATGCTGAAATCCTAACCCCCAATATGATGGCAGTAGCAGGTCAGGCCTTTAATAGGTGATTAGGTCTTGAATGGGATTAGTGCCCTTACAAAAAAAAAAAAAAAGAGAGCTCCCTCACTCCTTCCACCATGTGGTGACACAGTGAGAAGACAGCTGTCTTTGAACCAGAAAGTAAGCTCTCCCCAGACACAAAATCTTCTAGCTCCTTGATCTTGGACTTCCCATCCTCCAGAACTGTGAGAAATAAATTTCTGCTGTTTATAAGCCACCCAGGCTATGGTATTCTTTTATTGCTGCCTGAGTGCATCAAGACAATGATCCAGCAACAAAATACATGGTACAGGGTGAGACAAGCACATGGGAGTAGATGTTATAGAAGAAGATACTTGAAATCCAACAGAACCTGTGGAGCAGTCTCAGGTCAGCAGAGGAAGTGACAGGATAAAGGTCTCGGTGGGTAGGTCAACATGGAGGAGCTCCTGCAAGCGTGACAAGTGGCCCACATACAGCAGCACATCTGGGATAGAAGACACAATGATCCAGGCATCATGCTGGCCAAGAGTGTCCTGGAACATGGCAGCTGAATTCTTGGGATTGTGGGACTAGGTCAAGGACAAGGCAGGCACTTCATCCTGAGGAACTAGGAAAGAAACACCGCAAAAGTGGAGTCCAGGATCAGGGCGTGGCCCCAAGGGACAAAGAAGGAACATAATCACTGACACGGGGCTACCCCACACGAGCCAGGCTAGCAACATAAAGGCCGTGTTGCTCAAATGCCAAAATTGCCCAAACAGGAAGAGAGGTGGTCCCAGAAATTGGGATAGATTGGAGTCTGATGATCTTGGACAGGGAGTCAGTGAGGTCATTAAATTTTCCTCGGCCTGCTTGGTTTCTAATCCTAACCCAGATGCTTGCTGCTAGCTTGGGAACATTGAGCAAGTTGTTAGGAGGGAATTCTCCATGGGTCTCTCACATTTTTCCATGTTTTGTGAGAAAGGCACGGACTATCTTTTGTTCCAGATTACTTTTTCAAGGATGTTTGTATAGTAAGCAGCCTTGTAAGACAGAGTAGAATTTTCCTTTGGAACAGAAGTCAAGCAGACTTACTGTCCATTATAAAAGAGTTGGGAAGCCAGGCATGGTGGCTAACACCTATAATCCTAGCATTTTGGGAGGCCAAGGCAAGAGGATCACTTGAGGTCAGGAGTTACAGACCAGCCTAGGCAACATAGCAAAACCCCATCTCTACAATAATAAAAATAAGAAAGTTACAGGCATAGGGGTCAAACCTGTAGTCTTTGCTACTCAGGAGGCTGAGGTGGGAGGATTGCTTGAGCCTGGGAGGTCGAGGCTGCTGAGATCACACCACTGCACTCCAGCCTGGGCAATGGAGCAAGACCCCATCTCAAAAAAAAAAAAAGAAAGAGAGAGAGAGAAAAGAAAGAAAGAAAGAAAGAGAAAGAGAAAAGAAAGAAAGAAAGAAAAGAAAGAAAAAAGAAAGAAAAAGAAAGAAAGAGAAAGAAAGAAAGAAAGAAAGAAAGAAAGAAAGAAAGAAAGAAAGAAAGAGAAAGAAAGAAAGAAAGAAAGAAAAAGAAAGAAAGAAAAAAAAAGAAAGGAAGGAAGGAAGGGCAAAAGAAAACAAGAGTTGGGTTCTGTAAGTTCTTAGAATGAACCCTATTTCCTGAGCAGTTGTCATCTGGTCCACTTTGCACAGTTACTCAACAAATTGTCTTCCCTCCTTCTGTCACCTTTCTCAGAGGGATTATAAAAAGAGCTCACTGTAAATGCTAATGTACTCCATTATAAGTAATTATTATTAATAATCCAAACCTTCTTCAAGGCCCTGCTCATCCCTTTGTCTTCATGGTGACCTTTTCAAATACTCCAGGACAGAGGTTAGTCACATCACTTATACATATTGTCAAAAAATTTTATGCTTGCTTCTTGAGTGTTATTTTTAGCTCTCGGACTTGATTATTCATGCACGAGGGAGGCAGGGATCATATCTTTCACCTCTTCTGGATCAAGCATCTATGCTTAGCTTTATGGTGGGAACACACGAGATGGCAGTAAACACTTGTGTATGGATTGAGTCTCACACATCACCATTCTACATACTTATTTCCAGGGGAAGCTTAAGAAAAGTCAATAGGAAAGAATGTTAATCATTTTTACTCAGTTTTACTGTCTCTATGATACAGGCTTTATATCCTGGAGAGAGGGCAGGCTGGTAAAAACTGTTTGTGGGATGGCAAACCCATTGAACTTATCTGAAGCTGGTTTAGCAGTAAATGTGTTTGCAGGATATTTGCATCGAGTGTATTATTAAGCACAACTTAAGTATTTATGTATGCAAAGTCAACTGCAATAATTCATATTAGTTCTTTCCAGCAACTCGTCATGTGGAACAGGCCATTTGCCCACCTACAGAACACAGTCAGGGTCAAACCTCAGAAGCCACATCTTTGCCCCGTTCCTAGGATCCCTGAGCCACCAAGCATGTCATCTATTCCAAAAACATGTTAATGGAATTAAGGTCTAAGCTATTATGATCAGCAAGAAATAATTCTTGTGAGCAAAAGCAAAACTAAAGCAATAGGAACCAAAATCAGCTGACATTACAAATGGTTATTATGCCATTGCCTGCATTTTTACAGATTGGCGGTAATACAAGCAGTTTACTTCCTCCTCCAAGATGTTTGTCCTGCAAGGTGAGAGAGATGCCTTGGTTATGGCCTCATGGTCTAACAGCTATGATCCTCAGACATGTGGCTAACTAAGAGCTGAGAATGTTCTCCCAATGAGTTAGGCTAAAGATACTAAAGTGTTTCTACAGAGACACTAACACAGATCCAAAATGCCACTGCCAATGGTATGATAGTCCAGAATGTAAATAAATCTATCATTTCAGGAACCTGCAAACAAGAATTTGTAACCCCAAAAAGTACCCAAATGTGGAAGTATACCAATGCTAGAATCTGACAGCATTTCAGCGCTTTCATCCCCTGTGAGCAGAAAGAATAGAGGAGGCCTTACAGGGAATCTCCCTGCCCTCTTATCTCCTGTGTTCTGGTCTAAATGTATATTAATATGTGTATTACCCACTGTGTTCCTTAACTTGGATTTTCAAAAACGCCACATCTCTCAGGTCACATTACGACCTGCAAAATTAATTGAACTCATGTATGTAACGCGTCTGATTCATTATAAGCATCCACTGAATGTTAATTCACTTCTCTCTTTACATCTCCCTTAAGAAACTAGAAATGCGGGATAAGAATGTGCCACCAAACCCAAGAGAGTGGTGACAGTGAGAGGCAACAGCCAGTTTCATTGAGTGCCACCTCCATGCCTGCCAGCCATGCATTGAGCAGAGGACAAAAGGAACACCCATCGGTGCAGAGGACAAGGGCAGCAGGCAAGAGGAAAATCTAGTGGCATCTGTTGCCACTGGAAATGGAAATCATATATACGTGTGTGTGTGTGTGTGTGTGTGTATAAACATGATTATATGGACATACATATATATAGACATATATATATGTATTTTTTTTTTTTTGAGATGAAGTCTCACTCAGTTGCCCAGGCTGGAGTACAGTGCCACAATCTCGGCTCACTGTAACCTCTGCCTTCCGGGTTCAAGCAATTCTTCTACCTTAGCCTCCTGAGTAGCTGGGATTACAGGTGCCCACCACCATGCCCGGCTAATTTTTTTGTTTTTAGTAGAGACAGCATTTTGCCACAGTGGCCAGGCTGGTCTTGAACTCCTGACCTCAAGTGATCCACCCACCTCGGCCTCCCAAAGTGCTGGGATTACAGGCATGAGCCACCACACCCAGCCCAGGAATGTATGTCTTTAAAAGCCCGTGTGGTGAGCAGATCTGCCCTCATCAATGAACCCTAATCCTTCAGATTGATAGGTTCAGGTTATCTCTAGCAGATGGCACACCCTATTGAGACTGTTCACATGGGTGATCAGGAAATAAAATTTTGCCATCACTTTCTTTCACTAAAAATGAGGGATTTGCAATGCAACTGAGTGCTAGTGAATTAGACTGAGTCAGCCTTGGACAATTCACAGCTGTGCATGTGCCAACCTCCAAATGACCCACTATGTGGTCACTACAGTGCAATCAGCTGGCCCAACCACGCAGCCCAGAACTGAGGCTGGAGCAGATCTTTTGCACATCCTTGACTGACGAATGTTCCAGAGTTGATTAAAAATGAGAAACAATGGACTGATCTTTTCACAAGCCAACACATTACTGTTGCTGCTGTTTACACCTAAGAAGTGACACTCTAACCTGGGTCAAGTCAGAAATTAAGCACAGCTATGCCTAACAGCAGATACCAGATATGTTGAGTATAAATAGATCTGAGATCTTCAGATGAAAGGCCCATTTCTCTCTGCTGTTGGTGATGTTATTTTGTGGGGATCCAGTATGACTGCCCTCTCCCTCTTTTGTCTTGTGCTTTCCACTTTGCCCCATCTGAGAAAACAGAGCTGGAGGGGACCTTCAGACCAAGCCTTTGTCTCTGGTTTGCCAAGGGAGAGGGGAAGAAGGAATGGAAAGGAGATTCTGGGTTCAACTGGTCACTGAAATTCAAAGATTACTTGGAATAAGCAAAACCTCTTAAAACTGCTTGAATGCTCCAGATAACGAGCATGTTTCATAATGGGCTGTATCATCGGGATGACTTGTTGTACCTGCCATGCAATTGTTAATGTTTTAATGAATGTTTTTGCTTCTTTTATTCGAGGGCCTTGGAATCTTTCAGGATGAAAGGCCTCAGGAGCCTGAAAGGCATTAATGACAGGCTTTAGGTGTTGTTCTCCTCCCCCAGAGACACCTGCAATCTAGAGGGCAGAAGGTGACTTTTCAGCTTGAAGCACTCATGCAAGGTGCAGTTTTTGCTGCTCTGGAAAATCTCCCCAAGAGTAACCAACAGCACCAAGAGAAAAGGAGGGCAGGGAGAATAATAACGATAATATTTACAGCATGGGTTGAGATGTACCATGTTGCCAAATGCTGTTCTCAGTACTTTTAATTTGATCCTGTACGATTTTACATCTCCCAAAGGAGGAAACTGAGGCACAAAGGAATGAAGTAACTTGCTCAAATTTAAACATTGTTTAAGTAGGACAAGACAGGATTTGTATCCAAGTAGCCTGATCCTGGAAATGAAGCTCTTGACATAGCAAAAGAGACACAGGTATTGAATCATATTCATTTCATAAAGCCCTTGAGCAACTCAGATGTGAATAAAGCCCCCATACTGCTGCCCTTGTTCCTCCCCCTAATTCTGGTCTTGTCATTGATGAGCACCAATCCCATCTGCTGTGCCCAAGAAAGTATGTGAAAAGAAGCTCAAGGAAATGAGGGGGCTGAGCGTCTGCTCCCTGAGTCTAAGAAGCGGCTGTGTCAGGTCAGGCTGAAAGACACGAGAACTAGAGGCTGGAGGAAGCTGCACCGAGCTCTGGCCAGACTCTGTAAAACACAGACCAAACGCAGCTCATGCAGAGGAGCAACCAGGCCAATGAAAGGCCAGAAAACTACCCCAAATAAGGGACTGCTGAAGGACCTAGAGATGTTTAGCCTGAAGAAGAAAAGACGCAGGAGATGGGAGAGCTGTTCCCAAATAGCTCAGCTGTCCTCTTGGGAAGAGGGATGAGGCTTTCCCTGCCTGGGGATCCCAAGGGGGAGAAGTCACACAAAGGCAAAGATGCTAATTTCAGGAAATGCTCAGAGATATTCAAAGACAAATGAAGTTCCTGATCTCAGTAAAGTATTTAAGTACCAGCTAGAAGCCCACTGGCATCCTCGTCAGTAACACACCTTTTCACTCTCAAAAGAGTCCTGGTTTGGGTCTCAATTACTGGTCACCAGAAAGAGGGTCCACAGCCCCTCAGCTCCCAAATAGCTTGTGTTGGCTTCACAACACTTCCAAGCTTGCAATTATTAAATTTGCATATACAAGATGTTTTGAGATAGCAATCTTTTTAAGGATTTGTAACTACATGGCTTATACTTTTTATCTACTTTTCATCATTTCCATTGTGATGATTGAACATATTCCTTCAAAGGTTTGCTCCATTTTCCTCTACCTATGAGCTGCATGCCAGCAGCGGAAACAAGCCCAGGAATGTTGTACGGAATGGAAAAGGCAGGAAAGCGCTGTTTGGCTTGGAATTCCGCGGCTGGGGCAGGCAGGGTGGAGGAGTGATACAGCTTTCTGAACAGGGTGTTCTTTGGGGCGTAGGGGACCTGATGAAGGGATCTAAGTTCAAAACAAATGGGCAGCAACAGCAGGAGGGGCGTGAGAAGGGCCCAGGCTGGTGTCCCTGTGGGCCAGGTAGGAAACAGTGTCCAGGAGACAGTTGTCCTTTCAGATTACAGCACTGTTCTGTTTTGCTAATTTATTTTTTGCATGCATCACATACCTCGTGGCTAAAATAGTAATTTTTTAGTTACAGCTTATAGGGAGGGAGGAATTAAGAGAAAAAGCAAGCAAAAAGAGAAAGAGAGAGAGGCTTGGAAGGGATCTCAGCAAAAGAAATCATCTAAGATGAAGTAATGCTGCCTCAATTAAAGGAGTAGAGCAAGGATCTTTCAAGTTTCTTTCTAGTTTATGATTCTTTGATTATTGCAAAGAGGAACTTCAGTCCAGTGCAGAGTGGGAGTCTCTCTTGCCCTGCTCAGCTGAAGGACTTTAAATCGTCTCTCCTCTTTGAGCTTCAGGGTCCACATGAGCTCACATGAAATCTTTAGGATAGATATGTCCAAGGCCCCTACTTACTCTGAAGTTCAGTGATGCTGTGATTTAAGCTTAAAGGAGTTTGTGACTGCCCTGGAAACACCTTCCTCCAGGTAAAGCAATGAAATGGACAAAGTGGCAAGAAGGGAATTTGTTCATGAGCTGCCTGAAGAGTTTGTAAATATTAATAGGAACACACATGATGAGAAATGTAAGCAAGGAAGCCCCTAGACTTTTCCACGGGACCAGCCACCTCTGTCTTTCTCTGTGTCTTATAGTTACCAACAGGAGGGGCAAAAGCAAGCTCAGATGCCCGTTGTCTTTCGGAAATCTCCCAGAAAAATGAGGTGGTGGGTGTAATGTTGAGAGCTGATGGTGTCCCCTTCCCGAGGCACCTGAGGAGGCATGGATAGGAGACCTATCTGGCATCAGCAACTGACTTTGTCACTAGGCAAGTCAGGCTTAAAGCTCCATGGGCCAGGTGTACCAGTGGCTTATCATTCTTTCACCCCATACCATAAGTTAAAGTAGAGACACTCAAAGGAGAAATCTGGCAAAATGTGGAGTAGACAAGGGATGTGTCATGGTAGAAATACTAGCAGAAGACCCAGAAAACACCAGGAGCCCTGATCCACTAGGGGCTGGTTACCTTCCCACAGGGAAATTCTGCTCTGGGGTCCTCAAAAGCACCCCACTCACAGCCAGCCATTTCCTAAATGCCGGCCAGTGCTCCCAGGGGCCCTGCGTGAAACAGTGGCTAGTCCATGTGAACACACGTGTGTTGGAATGGGGGAATATATTCATGCACCTCTCCTTTACTTCTGAAGGACAGACAGGTTTGCATCTGTGCTGTTTGGGGACAATCGAAGCACAGTCCATGCACTGGAGAACTGGGGCCACCAAGGGGCTCAGCCCCCAGAGTGCTCTGTACAGCCATCCCTCCTAGAAGCCAAGGAAGCATGTAAAGCTTTGAACGCAGCTGATTGTCATCTCTGAGGAAGGAAGCCACCAATAAAGACCAAGGCCCTAGCTGATGACATCATAATAGTATCTTCCATGTGTATCATGCCTGACAGTGTGCATAGCTTGTCTGTATACTATCTCATCGGATGCTGATGACAACCCCGTGAAGTAAACGGAATTGATATTATCACTCCTGTTTTAAAAATAAAAAAACTGAAGCTCAAAGTGACCTAATGACATACTCAAGCTCCCACGGCTAGGGAGTGGTGAGGCATGGACTTCAGTGTCTAAATTAATGAAAGGCAGCACTTCAAAAGAGAACTAAAGGAGGCAGAACCAATCCTCTTTGCTTTATAGAATGTACTTTCGTTCACGCCACTGTCGATGGAAGCCCTGG
The DNA here is from genome assembly GCF_000001405.40 of Homo sapiens. Lineage (NCBI taxonomy): Eukaryota > Metazoa > Chordata > Mammalia > Primates > Hominidae > Homo > Homo sapiens. Next base: position 13,114,537 of record NC_000012.12, on the reverse strand, counting down.
GGAGAGAGCCGCTCAAGCATTCCTTTGTAAGCGGCCCCGAATTCCTGGCAAATCATTAGGCTTTCTAGAGCCCGCTCCCTGTGTGCACCACATTCAGCTCCCCAGAATCACATTGGGTGGAAAAGTTAATAACAATCTCAGCTTTCCTCTGGCACCAATTAGTACTTAATATATTGAACACCCACACAGTCCTCACCAAGCCCTTCAGGGCTTTACGGCCACAGAGGAAATGCTGTCATTATGCTCAAGGAATTTACAGTCTCAAGAGGAAATAGAAGAAGACGAATATCAAGTTAACAGGACATAAAATGCTTCACCAAATACCAGTACATGAAGTCTAAACATAGGTGTGCTATGTCTCAACCAAGGAAAACTCATTAGAGTTTGGTCATACTCCTATGTCTGAAGCCAATCACTGGAACAAGCATATTCACCTTGCTTACTGTCATTAGTAAATCAAAACACACTTGCATAGATTCAGACGCATGCTTTAATTTCGCAAGCCTTGCATGTTCTACTACTACTACAACTAATATACTGTTTAATTCTTTTTCACCTTTTAATTCCTTTTATATAAACATATAAAGTGTGAACATTAATAATAGTTTCCATTAATTAAATGTTTACTCTGTGCACATGTAAATGCTTTATAATTGTCATCTCATTAAATCCCCTCTAAGACTCTATGAAGTAGCTTTTATTATCTCCACTCTTTGCATATAGAAACTGAGGACTAAATGTATTCAAAATAGAGATTTTGAATAAATTTCCCCAAAGTCCTATAGCATAGAAGTGGAAAAGGCAGAATTTAAACCAAGATCAGTCTAAATCCAAAGCTCTTAAGAAGTTTATATTTCCTTATTTTAACCTTATGATGTCTTTATGCAGTAAGCAGGGAAGGTTGTATCAATTCACTTTTTAAAGGGGCAACACCCAAAGGTTCCACGACTTACCCAAGAGTTCTGCCACAAACTCTGCAACTCAGTTCTACTTACAATCCGTCCCATCATCTTTCTAAGGTAACAGCAACTACTTGCATTTAGAGGAAAAGCAAGAGTGTCATAACCAGCCTTGAGACTGAAATATAAACAGGAGTGAAATTTGTGCATTTTTTAATTGTTCTTTGCTTCATGGATAGTATCACATCCAAATGTTAAAAACTACCTTTTCCTCAATAGAGAATGCAGATGGTTTGGAATCTTCAAAGCCACGCTGCAAATGACCTACATTTGAGAAAAGTCCTGCCCTGGCCGCTTCTCAAAGCTGCATGATGCCAGAGGTGGTTGGATAATCGAGCAGACTCCCCTGAGCAATATCCAATCTAAAATAGCAGTTATGTCTGGGTCCCTGATGACTCAGCAGAGTCCAAACTCCATTGGAAATTCTCTCCATACATCCTGCCCACTCTCGGTTTGCCTCCATGGAGAGTCACCTTCTCTGAAACTCTGACATATTTGCTAATCACCATAGCAAGTTGGACAAAATGTGTATCTCGGCCATAGTACTCCCACTCGCATGAATCCCCATAAAAACTGTGGTCCTGCTGTAATTGATCAGAAAGTCATATGTCACCATCAATAAAGCCACATCCTCAGGTTCCTCTTCAGTAAAATAATATTAATAGGACATACCTTATTGCATTATGGAGATTAAATGAGACAATAAGCAAAAAAGTCTATAGCATAGTACCTGGTACATTTTAAGTAGTCCATAAATATTAGCCAGTCAACATTATATTATTATTATTATGGATGAGGAGTTTAAGTCTGTTCAATTTCATTAAGGAGAGTATGACTAATCAGAAAATGCAATGGGATTTTTTTTTTTAAGTCTGAGTGGGATCCTTTCTCAGACTAACAATGCTTTAACAAAGAAAAGGCAAGAGGTAGAATTATTCATATGGTCACTTTAGATCATGTTGTGGTCCGTAATACTGGAATGGATCAAGGAAAGCAGGTAAGGATGGGAACCACTTGCCTTTATCTATTAGAGGGAGGAGAGGTTTGCAGGAAGAAGTTGTGTTTTTCATACTTGTGCTCCTTTATGCACTATATCTTTATGTGTTCAATTTTTCTATGTCATAAATTAAAACAATAAGGCTCAGAGAGAACACGCCTTCCTGAAAGTATGCGTATGAGTTACTAGTAGAAATGGAATTGAAGTAATTTCCATTTTACCACTGTATTACTTTTCTAAGTCTGCTGTAATAAATTATCACTAACTTCGTGGCTCAAAACAACAGAAATTTATTCTCTCAAAATTCTGGAGGCCAAGAGTCTAAAATCTGTTTCCTTGAGCCAAAATCAAGGTATCAGCAGAACTGCACTTTCTCTGGAGGCTCAGGAGCAAATCCTTCCTTGCCTCTTCTGACGTCGGATGGCTGCCAGCATTCCCTGGCTTGTGGCTGCATCCTCTGCCTCCACAGTCGTGTTGCCTGCTCCTCTTCAGTATGTGTCAAATCTCCCTCTGCCTCCCTCTCATAAGGATACATGTAATCATATTTAGGGCCCACCCTGATGATCCAGGATAGTCTCTATCTCAAAATCCTTAACTTAATCACATCTGCAAAGTCCTTTTTTGGCAAATAACAGTCACAGGATATGGATATCTTTTGGGTCAGGGGGTTGCAGGGAGTATTTTCAGCCTACCACAACCACTTTTTCTGCTAAACTCTTTATCCAGCTTTGCTTATACCACTTTCACCAGATCCAAAAAAAGGAGATCTTGGAAATACTGCTGATTAGACTACACTCCTTGATTTTAAAGGGGTTTTTTCCCCCAGACCTCCAGACAAAAATTCTGATACTAGAACAATCTGGATTCATTCAATCCATTTCAGGTCAGCAAATGTTAACTGAGCATGCACCTGTGTTTCGGGCACTGTGGGAATTTCAGAGATAAGTAAGATATATTCTCTGCCCCCAGGAATGAACCAGGTGGAACTAGAAAAAACAGCGTTCCACTTCCCTATATGAAAAATAAGAGAGTAAACAAGAAATCAACAGCAATGAACACCTGGAAGCCACAGTGGGACCTGAGCCTATAGTCCCAAAAGGATCTAATGTCAGATGTTCCGGATGTATTCACATCTACCCCTAGAAAACAGTTGAGAACTGTATAGGGGGTCCCTAGATGCTTTTAATATTGTCTTGACATTGACATTTTTGAAGAATACAAATCCAACTTCTAAAAATGGAGTATTTACTCATTTTGAATTTGTATGATGATTTCTTGCGTTTAGACTCAGGTTATACAGTCACTGCCTGAATACTACATAAGTACATTGTGCCCTTCTCAGGAGACACACAATGGCCATCTGCCTCCTCAAGCTGAAGTCAATTTTAATTACCTGGTCAAGCTGTTATTCGATTTCTTGACTGTGTAAAGTGTTATCTGAGTTCCCTATTGTAGGGCTACTTTTTCCCTTACAACTAATAAGCAATCTGTGGGGAGACAGTTTAAGACCATGCAACTGGCCTGTTCCCCATTAAAATGTTCCTCTGTATTTAGCATCCATTGATGATCGTGTCTAAATTCATATTTAATAGAATAGGTGCAAAATTACGATCTTCCAACTTCAGCACACCCTCCATATTCACCAGTCAGCTCCTTGCTTTGTACAGTAAGCAAGAGTCTTCTCTTCTCATTCATTTATGTATATATTTATTTGCCTATCTATTTATCATCCATATGGACTCACAAAGTCCTGTTTTTTTCCAGTGGCTTATAATTTAATACTGTGTTTAATTATTTTGGTGCTTAAATTGTACCAGATTTAGCCAGTAGGAATCCCTTCAGGGGGCTGGTGTGTCCCTGTGAAATGTCCCCATCATTTTTTCATAGGCATTTCTTTACTTTTTGGCATATCAAGATGTTCCAGGTTCATCTTCTACCTGCCCTATCCAGGCTCTGGAATTGGACATTTATTTGAGGAGCTCTAGTTCCTCTTAGTATTAGAGACCAAGATTTGAGTGCTAGTTTTTCATTGCTACTGGGGAATCTTTCTTTCTAAGTCCTTTTAGTAAATAAAACTAGAAAAAAAATACTCATTTATTTACACATACGTATGCAAATATAATACGCATATATACATAGACAAATATACATGCATACGTGTTTATGTGTACATGCATGTATGTACATGTGTGTATTTCATATATAAATACAAGAAATCATGACTTCATACTGATGCCCCTAATTCCAATCGAACCCATAGGTTCCTTCTTGCCTTCCTCCATTCCATATGTTGATGTTCCTTTCCCATAATGAGAACTCTGGCTCTCAACAGCATTTATTCATGTGCCCAATCCCACAATACATCCAAAATAGTTCCACAATTGTTTCACAACCTACCCCAAGATGAATAAGGTATATACACTAAAAATAGCTCAGCAGACCAAGAATGAGTAATTAAATAGAATCAATAATTTAAAAAAACTGACAACCACAAAAAGCCCTGAACCAGATGGATTCATAGCCAAATTCTACCAGACATACAAAGAAGAGCTGGTACCAATCCTACTGAGACTATTCCAAAATATCAAGGAGGGGGGACTCCCCACTAGCTCATTCTACAAAACCAGTATCATCCTGATACCCAAATCTGACAAAGACACAACAAAAAAAGAAAACTATAGACCAATATCCCTGATTAACATGGATACAAAAATCCTTGAAAAAATACTAGCAAACTGAATCCAGCAGTACATCAAAAAGTTAATTCATCACAATCAAGTGGGCTTTATTCCTGGGATGCAAGGATGGCTCAACATACACAAATCAGTAAATGCGATACACCACATAAACATACTTAAAAACAAAAAACATATGATATGATCATCTCGATAGATTCAGAAAAAGCATTTGATAAAATCCAGCATCCTTCATGATAAAAACCTTCAACAAACTAGGCATCAAAGGAACGTACCTCAAAATAATAACAGCCACTTAAAACAAACCCACAGCCAACATAATACTGAATGGGAAACCCCTAAGAATGGGAACAAGACAAGAATATCCACTCTCACCACTCATATTCAACACATTACCCAAAGTCAGAGCAATCAGGCAAGAGAAAGAAATAAAAGGCATCCAACTAGGAAAAGAAGTTGTCAAACTATCTCTTTGCTGATAATATGAAACTATACCTAGAAAACCTTAAAGATTCTACCAAAAAACTCCTAGTCTTGGTAAACTTCTGCAAAGCCTTAGGATATAAAATCAATGCACAGGCTGGGCGTGGTGACTCATGCCTGTAATCCCAACACTTTGGGAGGCTCAGGTGGGCAGATCACTTGAGGTCAGGAGTTCAAGACCAGCCTCGCCAACATGGTGAAACCCCGTATCTACTAAAAATACAAAAATGAGCCGGGCATGGTGGTGCATGCTTGTAATCCCAGCTACCTGCAGGAGGCTAAGGCAGGAGAATAGCTTGAACCCAGGAGGCAGAGGCTGCAGTGAGCTGAGATCATGCCACTGCACTCCAGCCTGGGTGACAGAGCGAGACTCCGTCTCAAAAAAAAAAAAAAAAATCAACGCACAAAAATCAGTAACATTTCTATACACTGATAACATTCAAGTTGAGAACCAAATCAAGAAATCAAAAACACAATCCCATTTACAATAGCCATGCACACACACACACACACACACACACACACACAAACCTAGGAATACATCCAACCAAGGAGGTGAAAGATCTCTACAAAGAGAATTATAGAACACTGCTAAAATAAATTATAGACAACATAAACAAATGGGAAAGCATGCAGTGCTCATGGATTGGAATAATCAATATCATTAAAATCACCATACTGCCTAAAGCAGACTACAGATTCAATTCCCTATCAAACTACAACATTAATTTTTTCGGAATTAGAAAAAAACTGTTTCAAACTTCACATGGAATTAAAAAGGGCCCAAATAGCCAAGGCAATCCTAAGCAAAAAGAATAAAGCCAGAGACATCATACTTCCCAACTTCAAACTATACTGCAAGGCTACAGTAACCAAAACAGCATGGTACCTGGTACAAAACATGAACACATAGCAATGGAACAGAATAGAGACCCCTGAAACCAAGGTACATACCTACGACCAACTGATCTTCAACAAAGTCAACAAAATTAAACAATGGGGAAAGAATAACCTATTCAGTAAGTGGTGCTGGGAAACTGGCTAGCCATATGCGGAAGAACGAAACCAGACCCTATTTCTCACCATATACAAAAATTAACTCAAGATGGATTAAAGACTTAAATGTAAGACCTCGAGCTATAAAAATCCTAGAAAACCTAGGAAGTACTCTTCTAGACATTGGTCTAGGCAAAGAATTCATGGCTAAGTCCTCAAAATCAAACGCCACAGAAACAAAAATTGACAGTTGGGACCTAACTAAACTAAAAAGCTTCTGCACAGCAAAAGCAACTATCAACAGAGTAAACAGACAACCTACTTAAGGGGAGAAAATATTTGCAAACTATGCATCTGACAAACACCTAATATCCAGAATCTATAAGGAACTGAAACAAATCAACAAGAAAAAAAAACAAATAATTCCATTAAAAAGTGGGCAAAAGCATGAACAGACACTTCTAAAAGAAAACATACAAGCCACCAACCAACATATGAAAAAATTATCAAAATCACTAATTATCAGAGAGATGCAAATCAAAATCACAATGAGATACCATCTCACACCAATCAGAATGGCTATTACCAAAAAATCAAACAATAACAGATGTTAGCAAGGTTGTAGAGAAAAGAGAACGCCTATACACTGTTGCTGGGAATGCAAATTAGTTCAGCCCCTGTGGAAGGCAGTTTGGAAATTTCTCAAAGAACTAAAATTAGAAATACTATTCAACCCAGCAATCTCATTACTGGGTACACACTCAAAGGAAAATAAATCATTCTATCAAAAAGACACCTGCACTTGTATGTTTTTTGGGGTTTTGTATTATTTTGTTTTTTTTAAGAGAGTCTTGCTCTGATACACAGGCTGGAATGTAGTGGCATGATCATAGCTCACTGCAGCCTCAAACTCTTGGGCTCAAGCCATCCTCCCTCAGCTTCTCATATAGCTGGGATTACAGGCACGGGCCACCACGCCCAGCTGACTTGAGGGGTTTGTTTATTTTTTTCAGAGAGAGGGTCTCACTTTTCTGCCCAGGCTGGTTTTGAACTCTTGGCTTCAAGCAATCCTCCTGCCTCAGCCTCCCAAAGTGCTAGGATTACAGGTGTGAGCCATCTCACTCAGCCTGTACTTGTGTGTTTATCACAGCACTATTCACAATAGCAAACATACAGAATCAACCCAGCTGCCCATCAATGGTGGGTTAGATTCCTAAAATGTGGTACATATACACCCTGGAATACTATTAATACACAGCCATAAACAAGAAGGAAATCATGTCCTTTGCAGCAACATGGATGCAGGTGGAGGCCATTATTCTAAGCAAGTTAATGCAGAAACAGAAAACCAAATACAGCATATTTATAAGTGGGAGCTAAACATTGGGTACACATGGACACAAAAATGGGAACAATAAACACTGGGAATTCTAAAGGGGGTTAGGGAGAGAGGGCAGCAGGTATTGAAAAACTATCTATCGGATGCCATGTTCACTTATGTTCACTACTTGAGTGATGAAATCATTAGCAGCCCAAACCTCAGCATCACACAGTATACTCATGTAACAAGCCTGCACATGTACCCACTGAATCTAAAATAAAATAAATTTTTTACAGTTATAAATAAATAAAAAGAGTTCAGGAGTTGTTTGCAATTCTCCCCCACTCAACTTTACCCAAGACTGACCAGTAGATAGTCAAGCACTGTATTCAAGAGTTCCTTGGATTTGTTCTTTCTTTTGTTTTTTCCCTTTCTGCGTGGTTATAGTATTTATCTGAAATACCACTGAGGTCACTTGTTTCCATTTGCTTTTGGTTTCAGGCTTTTCTTTTCCTTCTCAACTTGTTATAATTTTATTTTCAAACATGTGGAACATTAGCATGCTCCCAAAAGTCAAAACTATATCATAAAAACTTCTCAGAGAAGTGTCACTCCTTCCAGAATCATTTCCATTCCCCACCCCCAGTAAACAACCAACTTTATTGTTTTCTGGTTTATCCTTCCTGAACTTCGTTTGGTAACAATAAGCAGATAGATGTACATTTTGTTTCCCCTCTTTTCTTTTTTACACAAAAGATAGTATACTATATATCCTCTTATGTACTTAGCATTCCATATCAGTTCATAGAAATCTCCCTTGTTTGCTTTGTTTTTTATAGCTGCATAGTACCTCATTGTGTGTATGAACCATAATTAATTCCACCAATTCTTATTTAGGTAGTTTCCATATTTTACAATTACAAATATGTTGTAATGAATAGCTTCATGCCTATTGTTGGAGGTGTATCTTCAGGGTAAATTTCTAGAAGTAGGATTTCTGGGTGATGGGATGCACATGCAGTTGTGTTAGATATTGCCAAATTCACCAAAGGGGTACACCATTTGGGATTCCCACTAGCAATGAGTGAGAGCGTCTGTTCCCCACAGCATCATCAACAGATTGCACTGTCAAACTTTATAATTTTGTCAGTCTGGTGGATGAGAAGTGATATTTCATTCTAGTTTTAAATTGCATTATGTTTACTATATGTGAAGTTGAACATTTTTTCATATATTTAGGGTCATTCATATGTCTCTCTCTCTCTCTCTCTCTTTTTTTTTTTTTTTTCTTTTTTTGAGGCAGTCTTGCGCTGTCACCCAGCATCGCCCAGGCTGGAGTTCAGTGGCAGGATCATGGCTCACTGCAGCCTCAACTTCCCGGGCTCAAGCAATCCTCCCACCTCGGTCTCCCAAGTAGCTGGGACTACAAGCGCTCACAACCTCGCCCAGCTAATTTTTGTACTTTTCGTAGCAATAAGGTTTCACTGTGTTGCCCAGGCTGGTCTTGAACTCCTGGGCTCAAGTTATCCTCCTGCCTCGGCCTCCTGACGTGCTGGGATTAAGCATCCGGCCATAATCTCATTTTTAAAATTCAGATCTCTAGTCCATCTAGAGTTTATTCTTGTATATGATTTTTAAATAAATATAATTTATATTTTTCTAAATGGCTATCTAGTTTATCCCAACAACATTTCTTAAAAAAATCATCTGTGCCCCAGTGATTACAGATATCACCTTTGTCCTATACTGGAAGTCTATACATAGCTGTGTTTATCTCTAGACTTTCTGTTCTCTTCCATTGGCCTGTTTGTCTAGTCATGCACCAGTACCACATTGTTTTTTTTTGGTTTTTTTGTTTTTTTTAATATACTTTAAGTTCTAGCGTACATGTGCACAACGTGCGGGTTTGTTACATATGTATACATGTGCCATGTTGTTTTAATCATAGAGGCTTTGTAGTATGCTTTATATCAATTAGGGCTAGCACCACCTCAGAGCTCTTCCTTTTCAGGGTTTTCCTAGCTAGTCTTGTGTATTTTTTTCCCATATAAACTTTAATATCAACTTGTGTTGGTCTTTTAAAATACTCATGGTTATTTGTATTAAATTTATAAATTAACTTATAACGGACATCTTGATCAATTTAAGATGTGCCAAAAATAAGGCATGTTGTTCCATTGGGGAAGTTATTGGCACTTCGAGATCCGATGTTCTCTCTTAGATACTTCCTTAGGTAGTTTAGGTCATTAAATAAAATAATAAATATTTCTTGAGCAGCTACTATGCCCTTGGCACTATATTAAGCACGATAGAAGTAAAAAACCAGATTCTGTCCTCAAGCAGCTTAGAATTTCACGAGAGAAACAGACTAACACACCAAAAGCAAAGCAGGCATGCTGTATGAGCAAAGAGGAAATGGGGAGTAAGGAGGGCTAGAGCCACAAGGTAGTGAGACTGGAATCATGTGCCCTGAGGTTGTGTAAGATTTAGGCAGGGCAGCAAGGAGAAGGAAGGGATCCCAGTGAGGGGAACCCTGGCAAAAGCTCAGAGGAGGACTGAGTGTGACAGGTTTCACAGGGCAGAGGGCCCCATCCAGACTGTTAGCTGGAATCCTGGATGAGGCCCTCTTCCAGTCTCCGAGAGTTATGCCTCCATATTAACAGTCCCCAAACACTAATTATGTATTCATTAAAATGATGTTAGTGAATGTTTGCTGGGTTTCCAGATACTAGCCCTTTAGAATGGTAATTTCTGTACATTGTTACCTTTTCAGGGAATGGCCTTGAGTTGTGCCATCCAATACAGTAGCTACTTGCCATGTGTGGCTGTGGAGCCCTTATGATATGGATAGTGCAACTGAGCAACTGAATTTCTAATTTTATGTAATTTGAATTCACTAAATTTTAATTTTAAAATGAAAGTAGTATAAAATATTTTTCATTAAACCCAACTTTATTGTGTGGGGAGGGCTACATTTTAAACATAGTATTGTATAACATATGATTGCTGTATCACAGTATGTGTGTCCAATTTACTTTTTTTAATGTGGCTACCAGAAAATTTTAAATGACATATGCTGCCCACATTGCATTTTGCTTTGACAGCACTGGTCTAGAGTCTCACAACTCAGTGTGGTCTGGCTGGACTCACGTGAGAGCCATCCCAGACTCTGCACTTGACTAAGTCAGGATCTGCACTTGACTAAGTTCCCCAGGTGAATCTTATGCACAATAAGATAAGCACTGATCTGGACGACCTCAGAAGACATCCAGCCACTGGTAGGTACCCAGCATGACCCCCCCCAATCCTTATGGGAGGAGGCTGAGGGAGCAACAGGGAGACCCCTGACTGCCGTTGTGACATCACAGAATAAACCCCACGGGTCACCCAACCCCGCCCTGGCTGGTGTCTGGCCCTCAGGACATCCTCTCCAATCCACCACACACCACCTTACCCCTCTGCTGGCAAGAGGGGACCTGATTCATCCTCACGCTAAACACTCATTCTACCCAACTGATTGAGACAGAACAGAAGATAAACTGAAACTTCTCTGCCTTCCCGCTGCAAGAGTGAATGAGCGATCCCTCTCAACTGACTCAAAATGTTTGCCTCACCCAGGAGGTAGGTACAGTGATTTTGAAATCTCATGAACATCTCATACACATATCTTTACTGCTGGATTTGTAACACAGGTTACACTAACTCATCAATTTCATGTATTTCACATGGTCACAGTAAAGAGCTTGGAAATGCACTATAGGGTTCTACAAAATGGAATGAAAATGTGTCACTCAGCCCAGTTTTCATAGATAAAACTGGTATGTCCATACCTTGGCCTATTACCTTTTCATCTTCCTTCATTAAAACTTCCATTTCTTCTTCCCTTGTCTCATCATCTTCCTTCTCCTTTCTGTTCCCAGGGCTCCCTATGCCTCTCCTTTTTTCCTTTCATCTGCATTATTCCCGTTGCCAAAATCTGGAGCCTGGTAAAGGCCCAGTAGCGGTGGCAACAATAGAGCTGTGTGTCACCCCAGTGAGCTGAAAGAGCAGACATCAAGCTCTATGCCAGAGAACAGTGGGGCATCCCCAAGGTCCTGCTGGAAGGCAGCTCTGATCTGGAACTGGGAAGGACAACACACAGTCAAGCTCTTTCTCGTCTCAGAGAATCCAGCAGAATCTTCAGGGATCCTTCCAGACCAGGAAGACTCTCACACTCTGCAGAGAAGTTGCGGCTTGTTTAGCATTTGACCTACATTCAGAAACGACCAGCCTCCCAACTTTCAGCTCTAAGGATTACTTAAAAAAACAAATGGTGTTCATTCTCAGATATCTTGCCTTTCTCAGGAGAGAAAAATGAAGCTTGCAATTAGCCAGCAAACTAGCACATACACAAACACACACACACGTACATACACTCCAACACAGGGAGCAATGTGGTATGTTGTTGACCAGCTGGAAGTTAGGATCTCAAAGGAAAGAACAGGATAACTTAAGAGGCACTTCTGGGACTGCAGAGCTGAGCTGGTGGTTCTGAAGAGCCATCGGAGTGTGGGTTCAGGCAGCTTCCCTAATTCAGAAGCAGCCCCAAGTGAATAGATGACAAAGAAGTGGATGTGAACATGACAGAAAAAGCCAGTCATGGCTTAGAATAAATTTTATTATTGTTCTTTATCAGTGGTTTTCCAGGAGAGACACAGAGGGAATATGGGAGCGTCTGGTTGCTAATATGTACCTGAGAAGTATAAAGTACACTTAATCCATTGCCTCAATCTGCAGGAGGTCCCATAAATCTGGCCTGCAATCTGTACATTTTGTTAAAGGTGACTGTGCCTTGGCTTTTACTGAGTGGCAGCCTGGTGATGAGTCAGGCGAACAGTCCTCAAAGATTGCCAGTGTTGACTTTACCATTTACTAGCTTTGTGGCCTTGAGCAAGTCAAACCCTCCGAATCGGAACCCTCACTTGTAGAATGGGGATGCCACGTCCCTTTCAGGCTGGTTGTGAGGATTAAGGAAGATGTCTGAAGGGTCTAGCAAGGTGTCTGCTGGTAGCACAGGTGCACTTCCCCTTCGTTTCTGCTTAGAGGCACTCTTCTTCTACCTGTTTTCGATTTTCACAGAACTAAGAAGGACAACTCTTTGCCCTCATTTACCCCTGAGGGTAAATTTAACCCTCTGGGAGGTTAAGTAACTTGGCCAAAATCCTCAGTGCAGTCGTGCATTGGGTCGTAAATAGAACTCGGATCTGCTGAGGGGTCTGGGTGGTGAAGTCCCGCCCTGGGGTCTTCCCAATGAGACGCAGACATCCCCTTCCCTTAGAACGGGAGCCTGGGACCCATAGCTTTACCGGGCAGAGGCAGGGAAATGCCTGACTTTGGACTCCAGCAGCTCGACACATCCCGAGCCCTGGCCCACCGGCCTGGGTGTAAGGAATCCCTCCGACTACCCAGTCTCTCCGCCCTCCCGCGCAGCCTCGCCAGGCGGCAGAGGGGACGCGCCTCAGGTGGCCTAGCGCCCCGGCCCAGCTCCGGGACACATGTGGCCCCGCCCTCCGCGGCTCGCCGGGTCCCTGGCCTGCCCTGGCAGTCCCTGCTCTCTGGGAGGGCCCCCGGGACACCGTTCTCAACCGACGGAGGAAGACCCAGAGGAAGAAACAGCCCGGGTACCCCCGCCCGACCCGGTCAGGAAGCCATGGGTGGTTGGCGGCCGCGGGGCGGGGCCTCGCAAACAATGCCAAACACGGCCGGCCTGTCGCCGCGGCAACGCGCCCCGCTGCTAGGCGACCGGGCGCCGTAGTAAACGGGAGAGACGGCGCGTTACTCATCAGGGTGGGAGGGCGCGCTCGGAAGTGGAGATGGCGCGGCCCAGGCACCCCCGAGAGGCCCCACCCGTTACGCCCCCGCCCCGCCCCGCGGTCCCCAAGCGCCCCCGGCCCCAGCCGGCCTGCTGGCGCCGTCACCCGCGCGTGAGCGATTGCCCCACAGGATGTGCAGATGTGGCTGCCCCTCTGATTCACTCCAGCTGCTTGGGGCCTGGAAGAAAGGCGGCTTCCTCTCCTGGAAATGACTGCATTAGCAAAAGTCCTCAAACAATTCCATTAAAAGGCGGAAAGGGAAAGACGAGAACGAGGCCCCGATACGCTTTTCCAGGGTCCTTCCCACTGAATTGAAGTGTTCCCAAAACTCGGGACCTACGTTAGGAAGACTAGAGTCATTTGATTGTGCGACCATTTGAGGTGATGTGGCCCCTTAAACGTGGTTACAGCTGAGAATAAATCCCGGAGCTAAGTGCCCTACAGTGATGTAGTCATTTTGAACACTAAGCACGGGCATTTTGGTGGCATTACTCTTCCCTTCCGGGCTGGGAAACAAATGTGAAAATGTCCCGTGTGAAGACCATCTTTGTCCTCATCAGTGAAAGAGTATAAGGTCAGGCACTGATGTAAACATTGCAGTTAGAGCAGCAAAAGCTCAGAAGTTTGGAGATACATTATCCAAAATGGCTCTAATCAGTAGGGGTCCACCCAGCTTGGAAAAGGACATAACATTTCCAATCTGTCACTGGTTTTTGAGCAATCTGTCTCCTGATCTCTGTGCACTAAAGATAATATACTATTTCATGAGATCATCACTGTTTTCTGCGCTTTGCTCATTTAAAAGCAGGAATGTTTCCACAGGTGAGAGGAAATGGATTGGCAGAGAATCTGTTTGATGAAACTCTGGGTGCATCTGCCTGGAAAGGCTTAGGGTGTGCCTGTGGACCCAGGGCTTCCTTTGTAGCTTCTCGCTGCTCTTACATACGTGAATCCAGAAGCGTCCTGTTTCCTTTAGCAACAGAAGGCTGTTTGGACACACTTCTTTATTCACATCTTCATTCAGGATTTCTAATTGTATCCATAAACCTTTTTGCATTACAAATCTCATTCATTCATTCATTCATTCATTCATTCATTCATAGATGTTAAAACACTGCTAGGCTCTGAGGATCAACAATGAATAAAACATAGCTGCTACTATATCAAGCAACTTAAAGTCAAATGAGCATGACAGACAAGTAAGCCATGTGATGAGTTACACGAGAGAGGCACATGCTAGGACATGCAGAAGCAAAGAACAGGGCCAGGGGCATGCATGGTCATCAGACCGGCGATAGCCGAAACATTTACAACCCACTCCAGCCTTTGTCTACTGAGTAACAGAAAGGAGCTAATGGCGCGTGGGTCAGAAATCTAGCTCCTGGGAGGACAGAGATACTCCTGCCAGGGAGGGCAAACAAACCTTTCCAGGAAGATGCCAGTATGGATGACATGAAGAAAAAACAAAAAAAAAAAAAAAAAACAAAAAAAAACACCGGATCCCTTAGCCCCAGGCCTTGGCATTAGAGAAGTGGTGTGGTATATAACCTGCTCTCCGGCTCAGCATTCACGCTTGTCATTTAATCACTTCTAACCTGCAGTGAACTCACAAAACAATAAATTGCATTCCCATTTACGAAGTATGTGTAGGTGCCCCAACACCACTGTTTTCTCTTGATGCACAGCCTAGTAAATGTGGTTCTGTCCAGTACAGGAAACAGTGACTGAGGACCTCAGCAAATATGGGTTAGTCCCCACTGTTGGCCTTGTGGTGTCATAAATGGTGAAGTGCATATATATTCCTGCGGAGGTCATCTTGGAATAGTCACAGTCCAACATGCCAGAGCTAAATACTGTTTTTAGGTGTGGAATCTTCGTGTCTGTGCTGAGTCATGAGCTTCTGAGCCGAACCTAATTATATTTATGTCACATTGACTAGCAATTACTTCTTCTGTTCTAAGAGAGGAAAAGGAAGAAAAAAATATTAACATGCCCAAATTACAATGAAAGGAAGTGAGTGGGATGCTGGGCTCTGATGTTTGTGGCCAGGCAGAGAAACTCATGTTTTGTCAAAAAGAGGAAATTAGACGTTGTGGCCCAGGGTCCTTGGGGAGGGGGAATCAAGACTGGTCACATTCAGCAGCCAGGCAGCCAAGTACACACACAAAATGCACAGCCTCCTAAGGGGTGGACCCAGGCTTTGTGGAGGCCTAAAATAATATAATTTCGGAGGCCCTCTTTAAGAAAAAGAGTACACAATTACAAGTGTAAATTAGGTAACAAGGTTTTAGAAGAGGTGGAGTGAGTAGGGGACATGGAAGCTGAAGTTTCATTAGCTTCACTCTAAATCCACCCCTGAGCCTCCTCATATAACACACTTAAGAGTCTGCCACTCCCATCCCCATTTCCCTGGAGAAGGCGAACTTCAGGCTATTAAGGCACAGGGGGTGCAGTTTATGAGCAGAGGCAATAAAAACCAAAGACATCAGGCCATGCCAAACAGTGACTCAAGCGGGCTATGAGAAGTGTCTGCAAGTATTTGAAGGGTGTAAGCACAGAGAGGGGAAAATAATTGTTCACTGTTCTGGGGTGGAAAGGGACTGAAGATACAATCAAGAAAAATGTGCACAAAACTCATCAGGAAACATTGGCTAACTGTATTTTCTGATACCGTGGAGTTGTATTTCCCATGGGAAGTATTTGAGGATCTACTGAGTCACTGAAGCTGGAACTGGCCGCCCAAAAAAAAAAAAAAAAAAAAAAAAAAAAAAAAAAAATGGGCTACATGAAACAATCCTACAAGACTCCTATAGGGAGTGGCTGGATGCCCCAAAGTTCAGCCTGAGCCCTGAATTCCATAGAGCTGACACACGGCATTCTGTAGATTAGCAGGCAGGGAGGATGCCAAATTAAAAATAAATAAATAAAAGGATCCTATGGGGAGGAGCAGCCACTTCCACCCACATTTTGCCGACTGGTGGGGGAAGCACGTGACGGAAGCGGAAACGACGAGGAGATAGCGCCACCCAGCGTTGTGATGAAACTACTAGCCAGGAAACCAACCGCCAATGCAACCGTAAAAAAAAAAAAAACAAAGAACACAAAATTCCTGCTTCTCCTTCCAAAGGAGAGTGAGTTCTGTCACAACAAATAAAGGGTTGTTTGGGCGATGCAGAAAATGTACCTGCACATGGCACATGTTTATCAAATTTGCTTGTTAACATCAGTCTGAGGAGAGCAGACATTACAGGTGACAAAAGCAGGATCCGAAGCAACTCATTTGGCTAGAACGTGGACTAATTCAAACAATTAAGTTCAGAAGAACCTGCCTTTGATTCCCTAAACGAACTGCACAAATATAGAATGGGAAAAACATGACCTCATGGCTAGTCTGGAAGAGGGGGAGGAACGGCCGGGGGCGGATACAGAGGGTTTTATTAAATGTAAGCCCAAAATGAGTTGAACAGGTGCCATTTTACATGAATTCCCTGGGTATATATTAAGAACTTTCTAAAATTACCAATTCCTGGGCCTCACCCAGAACTACTATGAAATCTCAGGGTGGGTCCAGGAATCGGCATATTTTCCAAACTTCCAAAGATTGTTCTGAACTCAGTTCATCAGAACTGAGAACGACTGCTCTAAAATGAAAGTGAGACCTTTGAGGAAGTTACATTTCAGACAAATGCAGTAGTTATAATGGAATACAGAAAGTGTTGTGAGAAGGCCGGGTGCAGTGGCTCACGCCTGTAATCCCAGCACTTTGGGAGGCCAAGGTGGGAGGATTGCTTGAGCCCAGGAGTTCGAGACCAGCCTGGACAACATAGTGAGACCCTGTCTCTATTAAAATTAAAAAAAAAAAATAAGTGTTGCAAGATATAGTGTGACAAGGATCATGAGGAGGGAGCTGTCTGTCCTAGGGAGAAAAGAAACATTTTCAAAGAGTGGATGACTTTTTAGACTAATTTCGTTGAAAGGCAGGCAATTCACCAGGTAAAAAGAGATTGAAGGCAGTCCAGGCAGAAGGAAGAGCATCAGCAAAGGCTTGGAGGATGAAAGTCCATGCAGGGTTTAGGGACTCACAAACAGCGGCAGAATCTCTTTCAACATTGGTGTCCCAATTAATTTGCACTTTTTTTTTTTAAAGATGGAGTCTCGTTCTGTGGCCCAGGTTGGAGTGCAGTGGCACAATCTCGGCTCACTGCAACCTCCATCTCCCAGGTTCAAGAGATTCTCCTGCTCAGCCTCCCAAGTAGTTGGGATTACAGGTGCCTGCCACAATGCCTGGCTAATTTTTTTGTATTTTTAAGTAGAGACAGGGTGTCACTATGTTGACCAAGCTGGTCTCGAACTCCTGACCTCAAGTGATCCACCTGCCTCAGCCTCCCAAAGTGCTGGGATTGCAGGCATGAACCATCGCGCCCAGCTATTTGTACAATTTTGAGGAGAGAAAGAACAACTTGTACTTCTGGCTGACTGGTGGCAAGAACATATGCAAACGACCCCTTACTGGTTTCTTAGATTACTTTTTCAGCATTTTAGAAACTCTTTTTTGAAATATAAAATATTGTCATTCCTTTGCCTGAAGGTTGGGAGAGGAATGGTAAATAGCCATGGCATTCCAGATCCTGGAATTCATTTATCTCCAATCCTATTCTATCTGCATCTTTGCCACATCCCCAGCCAACATTCTCACTCAGCATTCCATGTGTAGAGGGAGATACTTAATAGTACTTATTCTTTTTTTTTTTTTTTTTTTTGAGACAGAGTCTCACTCTGTCACCCAGGCTGGAGTGCAGTGGCGCAGTCTCGGCTCACTGCAAGCTCTGCCTTCCAGGTTCACACCATTCTCCTGCCTCAGCCTCCCGAGTAGCTGGGACTACAGGCACCCGCCACCAGGCCCGGCTAATTTTTTTGTGTTTTTAGTAGAGACGGGATTTCAGCATGTTAGCCAGGATGGTCTCAATCTCCTGACCTTGTGATCCGCCCACCTAGGCCTCCCAAAGTGCTGGGATTACAGGCGTGATCCACCACGCCCGGCAATAGTACTTATTCTAATGTTCTAACTGGAAGGTGGAGACCACCCATGGAACAAGGAAGCTATTTCCTGTTCATGGCTCCATGAGGCCCCGACATTGCAGAGAATAGAGTTTCTTCAAAGGGATAGGAAACCCTACTCGAGGGAAGGTAAACTTCTGCAGTGATGGTGACCTGCCATATCTTCGTCTGTCATAAATCCAAGCCCAATCCATTCACACCAGTTACCTAGGGAATGGCAGGCAGTGGAAACTAAACCATCATTTACTTTTTAAAGAAAATTTCCTCTGCAAATTGCAGGTCCTTGCTTCTTTGTGCTTAATCCCAGATCCCCATTGGCAAGCTCTCTGGTGTAATCTCCCAGAACAGCTGGGCCCTGATTGCCTTGTCAATTATTAAATGCCCGTGTTCCCTGTAAGGCAGCATTTAATCATGAGGCACTCCAAAGAATATGAGATAGAAGGGGAGGGGTAGGAGGAGAGGGAGGAGGGTAGGAAGACAGTTTGCATTCTTGCAACATTAAACCAAAGGGACTTGGAGTGCAGATGGCATCCTTCGGTTCTTCCAGACAAGCTGCAAGACGCTGACCATGGCCAAGGTAACCGGCTTCCCCTCCTATTGCTCAAAGGATGCAGTCTACAGCTATTTTGTACCTGGCTCTTTTAAGAAGTGCACCTGCCTCATCGATCTGTTGTCCTTCCTAGCCTATGCTAATTCTGGGTTACTCTGTTAATATATGCTGATGTAAGGGTTACTGATTATACATTGGCGCCTACGCACTTCCTAATGATCTAAGGGCCCAAGTGTTAGAGAAACCACTCTGTCCCTTTTCTAGCGAGTAAAGAGTCACCTTGGCATGGGATCTGTTGCATACACAAAGATAGAGTTGTTCTTATGGCCATTACTTCTTCAGGATCACTTTATGGAAACCATTGCAAAATTAGATTTGTTCTTCCAATTCAAGAGGTATCCCGACCCTAGCAGGAAAAGGCATGTTTGGGGAAAGGAGTAAAGTATGTGACAAAGGGCATGGTACTATAGGTGTTGGAGATAATTCTTGAAAATTCTTGAATGAGATGATCATTCGATATCAAGAAGATGATTTTTGAATGAGGTTCCTTGTGTCTCTCCCTGGTGGACACTCCTTCTGGAAGGAACCTCTTTGAGCTTCAGTCCAAGCTCTTTTTTATTCTTTGTTTCTCAAATTGCCTCTTCCTTAAATTGGTTGTCACCTTGGTGCCACAAAGTGGGTGTATCTTAGTATGGGGTTCGTTATTCTTTCTTATTTCTGAATAACCCCGAGAATAACTTGCAAATATATATAACTTGAAGTGGATTGAATGTGGAGTAAAAATCTTGCAAGTATAACTTGAAATGGATTGAGTGTGGGGTTAAAATCTGATGTGATAATAGACAAATTTCCAAACCAGAATGAAAATGATTGTTGAAAAATGAATGCTGAGGTCACAAAAGTTAGAATTGCCTAAGTCTTTAGGTCAGTCTTTACACCAAATAGTTAGTGAAGATGTTTTACCTGGAAGTCCATTTCTTATTCAAGCAATGTAAGAATTATTAGAAAGGATGACTCACAGTAAGAGAATGATGACTAAAACCCATAGGATTTTCATAACTAAAACCAAGATGAAAACATTTTAGGAAAGGGGAACTGGGCAACACGCGACTTCAGTGTCTACCAACAGAAAATCTTTCCTCCTCCCAGATGCTGCGGATTTTTTGTCCTTAGTCAAGGTCACCCAGAGTCTTGCAAGAACTGACAATTCTTGGCAGAGTTAATTTGTTGAGTGCCTTTAAAAGTAAAATCATATTAGCAGATTGCTTTTCAGAAGTTGTCTTTATCATGTTTTACATATTGGTTTTACATACATATGATCTTTGTGTATTTCTTATTGCCATAAATAATAAGCATTTTGTGATATGCACTGTCTTAGTCCCTGGAAATTCTGAAGAACAAATTGTTTCATTTCTCAGGTAAAGTTCTCTCTTAAATGTAGAAACAGTAAGCTGGGTGTGATAAGGGAGGGAAATTTATGGACCTGTCCATTTAGCTATGGTTTTATTTATGGCTCTTAAGATAAGCAGATTTAAGTGTGATTAATTCTGATATGAAGGATCCCCTGGAAAGCTCAAGAAGGTTTACTTTAAGAAGCGTCTGTCAGCAACTAACCATGGGCTTCTTTTCTGTTCCATGTGCATTAATATAACTGTATAAACTGCTCTAACACAAAGTGAGAGACTTGCCAAATTACTTCTCTAAGTCCAATTAAATCTGGCTCCAAGCCACCACTCAGCAAAGTTGGCCGTCTAATACCAGTCATATTTTAGCTTGCCTCCTCTTCTCTTAGGCTGAAAATGACATGGAGAGTAGGGGCTCCTGCCAGAGCCATCTGGGGCCTCAGTTCTTTCGGCAGCCTCCCCTATGTCCCCACTGTGAGGCAGGCACTTCTGCACCAGGCTGGAAGACACGGCCCTCCAGGTTCCTCTCCACTGACCAAGGGCTTGGCTGCCGACACCCTACCCATGGCTCTGTGGACACCAAACCTGGTGTCCAGCCTACACAGGCACCACACAGCCACCTCGCATTTGAAACTCTATTGTCTCTGTGGCAGTGGATGGAAGCTGGGCCCGACTGCTACCTCTCCCAGAACCATAAGCCCCATCTCCTTTCCAAAGGTTTCAATAGCCCCACATCCCAGTAGGTTCACTGCCCTCTTTTATCCTCCAGGCCCCAAAGCATCCATCTGCTTCCCCCGGAGATTTCCAGTTTAATATTCATTGCTATGACTCCTTTCAGAGGAATCTGTAATGCAGGGAAAAGGACACCAATAGCTCACTTTGTTACAATAGCAAATGCTTCAGCAAGTCAGTGCTACTACCTGTCAGTGAAGACAAAGCCAAAAACGATTATCACAAAGAGCATTTGGAATGCTCCCAATTCTTTTTTCTAAACTTTTATATAAAGTTTAGACTTTACATAAAACTTTTCCAGAAGTTATCAATTGCCTTGTCAATTATTAATTATATAATTATATATTTATATGTATTAATGTTATTTTACATAAAGTTAAAAGCTTATATAACCGGCCAGGCGTGGTGGCTTAACGCCTGTAATCCCAGCACTTTGGGAGGCCGAGGCGGGCAGATTACCTAAGATCAGGAGTTTAAGACCAGCCTGGCCAATATGGTGAAACCCCGTCTCTACTAAAAATACAAAAAAAAATTAGCCAGGCATGGTGGCAGGCGCCTGTAATCCCAGCTACTCGGGAGGCTGAGGCAGGAGAATCTCTTGAACCCGGGAACTGGAGGTTGCAGTGAGCCGAGATTGTGCCATTGCACTCCAGCCTGGGCAACAAGAGTGACACTCCGTCTCAATAAAAAAAAAAAAAAAAGAAAAAGTTTATATATCCTCTGACTGAGGTTATTGCTATCTGATGCTTATTCAGAACACCCTCAATTTACTCAGCAGTTTAGTGTTGAGTGTCTAATGTGTAAAATACTGTGCTAGTTGCTGTGGGAAAGATAAAAATTACAAAGACACGTTTTTGCTACCTAATGGCAGCTTGAAATCTTGGAGGGAAGATAAGACATGACCAAAAATAAATGTGAAAAGAGTACTATTAAGAAGGCACACACCACAGTCCTTGAAGCCCTTCCAAGCCTCACTTCCCATGGAAGGTGCTGGTTAGGGGACCTCCCTGAAGCAGTTGGGACTTGGGGTGAGCCTCAGAAGGGGCAGGACTTCAGTAGACAGGGCCTGGCCAGCAGTGGTATCAAATGTGCAGCAATCCACCTTCTCTCTCTCTCGCTCAATCTGCTGGTCCAAGAACTCCAGGTAGTGGCTGCTGGCAGATCCATCACTGCTACTCAGAAAGATCCCCCTGCTGTTTGTTGGTGGGGTCATTATGGCACTCACCATAAAGGTACACACACACACATACATCCTCCCTAGGATTTGCCGGCTGGAGGCTATGTTGATTCCACTCTCACCATTTGAGGCAGAAATGGAAGATTTTAACATACTCACTTCCAATTCACTCTGACTTCTGCATTCCTCATTCTAATTTGTCCTCTCTGGTGGATCACCTTTATCCTACTTCTGTGTATTGCTGCATATCATGCCCAGAGGCCAGCCCCTGTCATTCAATCTATGCAAATCACCACTTTTCTGTAGTTGGATCTGTGTAAGGTTCAACTTAAAGATGCATCATCCCCGTGTTGTGTAAAAGCCAGGGGAAAACTTTCCCTTTGCCCTCCGAAGGTTCACTGAAAACCACTGATAAGAGGCAGATTAATAGGAGAAAAAACATTCAAGTTTATTTGATCGTAGTTTCACGTGACGTGGGAACCTTCAGAATGAAGTCACAAAGATGAAGGGAAAATTGTCTATTTTTATGCTTAGGTTCAACAAAGTATGGACAGTCACATAGAAATATGATTGGACATCAAGGCCATGATCTATTGTTGTTATTTATTTTTTAGAGACAGATAGCCCTGTTGCCCAGACTGGAGTGCAGTGGCATGATCGTGGCTCACTGCAGCCTCAACCTCCTGGGCTCAGGTGATCCTCCCACCTCAGCCTCAAAAGTAGCTGGGACTACAGGCGTGCGCCACCGTGCCCGGCTAATTTTTTTATTTTCCGTAGAGACAGGGTCTCACTATGTTACCCAGGCTGGTCATGAATTCCTGAACTCAAGCGATCCTCCCACCTCTGGAAGGGATTACGGTGCTAGGATTACAGGCATGAGCCACTGCATCTGGCCTGATCTAATAATGTTAATAGATTGAGTGGGGAAACCCAGCAAGGGCTGCTTCTCCTTGGCCTCTCTGAGCGTGCATTTCTTCCTTCTGGGTGTGGGGCAGGACCCTCTCTGGAATGGGAGTCTTATGACCTACAGTCACACAAGCTAGGTCAGATAACCTCTTTAGGGCCAGTTTGGACACGGGAAGGCAGAGGGAAAGTTAGAGTAATATTTTTAGGTTTTATGGCTGGCTCTGGGGAAAGGGACTCTGGTTTCTACAACCCACCTTGAGAAAGAGGGATTCTAGTTTCTGTGGCTAGCCTTGGGAAAGAGTGGGACTGAGACAGGAGGACAGGAGAATGTCAGAGAGAGCTGCTTCTGAGGCCCCCATTTGGGCGTATGGTTTTCTTACGCCCTCAGGGTGCTTGCTGCAGACCACTCCTGAAGCGGGGCTTCCATGCGGCCCCTGGAGAAAAATGTCAGAGGCGGGTTGTGCCTATCTGCCTTGGAGGAGTATGGCTTGAGCGGAGGGAGTGCAGGGAAGGATGGCCACATCTCCGAGGCGGCTCTGAGTCAAGCTCCCCTGCTCCCTTCCCTTCCACTTGTGCTTGTCTATTACAGATGGAGCTCTCGAAGGCCTTCTCTGGCCAGCGGACACTCCTATCTGCCATCCTCAGCATGCTATCACTCAGCTTCTCCACAACATCCCTGCTCAGCAACTACTGGTTTGTGGGCACACAGAAGGTGCCCAAGCCCCTGTGCGAGAAAGGTCTGGCAGCCAAGTGCTTTGACATGCCAGTGTCCCTGGATGGAGATACCAACACATCCACCCAGGAGGTGGTACAATACAACTGGGAGACTGGGGATGACCGGTTCTCCTTCCGGAGCTTCCGGAGTGGCATGTGGCTATCCTGTGAGGAAACTGTGGAAGAACCAGGTAGCCTACATTCTGGGATATAAGAGCAACGGGGTCAGGGCGGGCAAGGGATCTAATGCAGGCATGGAAATCAGGTAGGCCCGCTTAGGGCTGGCGTTGCCCTGGAAGTGCAGCACTGCCCACACCCCAGTGGGCCTCACTCCCTTCTCCCAGCACAGAACCTTCCACCTCCGTCCAGTGTCCTTCTCTATAGGAGCCCCTTTTAATAAGGTTGAAAGTCCTCTGGATTTTCACTTCCTCCCTCTGTAGTAGACTTGTTGGTTCAAAATAGCATGTTAAAAATAGAATTAACCTTAAAAGTTTCATTTAGACCTTTCACATTATGAGAATTTCTGGTCTAGGGAGCTAGAATTGCTGTTTAGAAACAAAACGAAGGGAGAGGAATATTGTAGGAAAGCCCTAGCTCTGCTCAACTGTGACCTCATACAAGTAACTTCATTTCTTTTTTCTTTTGATATGGAGTTTTGCTCTTGTTGCCCAGGCTGGAGTGCAATGGTGTGATCTTGGCTCACCACAACCTCCGCCTCTCAGGTTCAAGCGATTCTATTGCCTCAGCCTCCCAAGTAGCTGGGATTACAGGCATGTGCCACCATACCCGGCTAATTTTGTATTTTTAGAGAGACAGGGTTTCTCCATGTTGGTCAGGCTGGTCTCGAACTCCCGACCTCAGGTGATCTGCCCACCTCGGCCTCCCAAAGTGCTGAGATTACAGACATGAGCCACCATGCCCAGCCTATAACTTCGTTTCTATAGGTCTTGATTTGCTCATTTGTGAGATGAAAGCATCACAGCAGATCATCTTACAGCCTCTTCCTGGCCCCAAAGTATTTTCTCATTCTAAGTATTACCGCTACCATTTAAAAGTGGGGGAACCGAAGCCAGCCAGCCAGGGTAACTGATCATGTAAGAGAGCCCTCAAGGAGCTGAAGGCAGATCTGCCAGGTCTCCTGCCCCTCAGTGCACACTAGCAAAGCAGGCAGGTGCTGGTCGATGTGCGTTCCTCAGGTTTGGAGGAATGAGCTGAAGACACCTCCTCTTCCCTGCCCAAGAGCACTGAAAGGTGACCGGCCTGGGAAGAAAGCACCTGGTACTAAAGTTCTTCTAATGCCCAGAATCATGAACAATTTGATATCTGCTACTTCTCCCTATTTCAGCTAAAAGCGAGATGGAAGAGGAATTAAAAAAATGTGTGTATTTACATTTATATTTATTATTGTGCCACTTAGCACTGCTCCATCCCCAGTCCTGGAAACAATTTAGAGCCCTTCGGTCCAGTGGTACAGCGGCAGCAAAAGGTATTAGTTAACACTAAGATCATTAACTCTTCTGGACACGGGAAATGGGAACACTAAGCTATGTAGGTGCTCTCATGGAAACATCTTCTGCATTATCAGAGACTGAAGAGAGAAATTCACCTGGGCTGACTCTTGGCTGTGCCATTCATTCACCCAGGCATTCTTTCCTGCTTTCCTGCTCTATGCGGGGCAGGTGCTGTCAGAGCAGAGGGAGCAGTACCAGTTATGGGGTGGGGAAGGTTTTCATTCCAACCATCCCAGGGAGTAGCTCCATGACGTTGTACCTTGTATGTTTCAGGGGAGAGGTGCCGAAGTTTCATTGAACTTACACCACCAGCCAAGAGAGGTGAGAAAGGACTACTGGAATTTGCCACGTTGCAAGGCCCATGTCACCCCACTCTCCGATTTGGAGGGAAGCGGTTGATGGAGAAGGCTTCCCTCCCCTCCCCTCCCTTGGGGCTTTGTGGCAAGTATGTGTCTGATAAGGAATTTACAGTAGTTACCATTGACTTGGGCCTCTCCGGATCTAAACTGCACTGTGATCTCCCACTTTTCTCTTCTGAGCCCCAAAGGGTGACACAAATTCCTCCTTGAGCTGACTTTCATTCATATGCAGGAATGCAAAAACAGAACAGCAGGGATAAATAAGATTCACAAATAGAAAACCACCAACAGTGCTAACCTACTCTTGTTGCCAAGTAACCATGTAGGAAGGCTTAGCTTTTTCCTCCTTTTTCTCCACTATTATTATTATTATTTGGTAAAATGAAAGGAAAAGAGTGAAGAAGGGAGGCAGGGAGGGAACCACCCCAAAATTAAATGAGGAAAAAGACAAAAAATGATAACTAGAGCAACATTATTTCCCTGCAGGATTTATGAAAATTCGATGATTTCTTCTCAAATCTCCCCAACAGTATTTACAGTCAGTCAAGCTTACTTGGGTATATATTGGTTATGGAGTGGGAGCTGTGAGTGACGTCAAAGGACTAGAAATGAAGTAATGTTCCTCCCTGGTTTCAGCTGTGCCTCATTCTCCCCTTCTCAGATGCTGCTAGGGTCTTAACTCCTAATAGGCATCCTATGCTCACCGCTTATTCAGTTTTTTAACTGTCAGGGTGAGCGCTCCCTCTTCCTCTGGTTTCTGGCAGAAATCCTATGGTTATCCCTGGGAACGCAGATCACCTACATCGGACTTCAATTCATCAGCTTCCTCCTGCTACTAACAGACTTGCTACTCACTGGGAACCCTGCCTGTGGGCTCAAACTGAGCGCCTTTGCTGCTGTTTCCTCTGTCCTGTCAGGTGAGTTGCTCCTGGAGTGAGAGAGGGTGGTTGGCCCTGGCCACTTTTGAAGCCCTAGCTGGAGGGCTTGAGTCTTTGCCCTGAAGGGGAGGAGCCCAAAGGCTCTTTAAAGAATGGAGGTAGGCATCTTTAATTTTAAATTGAAGTAACATACAAAATTGTATATTGGATCACCGTGTACTTTACAAAATGATTTACCTCTAGGTTCCTTTATTTGCAAGCTTTCTCAATATGTAAAATCTATTGTTTGGGTTACTTTTCAGTTGTGACATACACACAGCTTTTCAAGACCAGTCTCCATTGGATAAAGTGAAAGATGCACATATAAGATGAAGAATTAAGCCAACATTGGGGTGTGGGTGGGAAGGAGTAGGGGTGGTGTGCAGTGGCCTTGGGTGCAGCCTTGACTCAGACTTTTTCCATAGCTCTCAGCCTACAGTCTGGGGTCACCTATTGCAAAGATGTGTATTTAAGGAGAAGCCCCCATTGTGAATTAGTCTTCGGGAAATGTGGTGGCATAGGGTAATGGGCTACTCCAACAGAGGCTGCGCCTGACTGCAAGAAGGGTGATCCAAAATCGTACTCCTGGCAGATGGCATGAAAGCCTTTCTCTAAGGGCTCTGCCTTCCTGTTTCCTTGGTAGGTCTCCTGGGGATGGTGGCCCACATGATGTATTCACAAGTCTTCCAAGCGACTGTCAACTTGGGTCCAGAAGACTGGAGACCACATGTTTGGAATTATGGCTGGGCCTTCTAGTAAGTGCTGTCATCTCCTGAACCTTTGTAGCCCCAGCCAACCTTCACGAGATTTTCTGCCCTCAGCTAGATGCTTATTCGGTGAAGCCCTGCCTTCTCTTCATCCCTCATCCCAAGAGCCTGTCAACCACACAGGGCTGCATCATCAGGGCACATCCATTCTTCCCTGCCTTCTGAGGGGGTACAGGAAGGATTCCTCGAGTGTGTCTTGGGAGGATGTTATTTTGTCCAGTTTTCCTGCTCATCAGCTGTGGCAGTTGCCTCTTTACCTGGTATATTTGTCACCCTGGGGAAACAAGACTGATTCTGTAGGCCTTATAGAAATGTGCTCTTTTTTTTTCTTTTTTTTATGATTCAAGGTATTAGAGAACAGAGAAATAGAGAAATCGCTTTGAAATTTGGATTGAATTGCATTCTCTGTAAATGGCTTACTCCTCTCCTCTTCACTTCCTTCTATATCCATTTTTATTCTACTGAACCGTGTTGGAAATAAAACTTCACTACCCTAGGGTCATTCTCTAACCCTTAAAGAACTAAGGGGTCAGTCATTTTAGAGTTCTCTTAAAAAGAGAGCGACAGCAACCATCACAAAGCAACACATTCAAGTTAAATATTATCTTTGAGAGCTCTTACTTTCTCCCTTAAGGAGCACTCTTTATTCACAGCAAGTTGCCAACTTGTACTGATATTTACTGTCTAAGTGCTAAGTACTTTGAGAGCACTGAAAAGACACAGTGATGGGCTCAAGTTTCCATTCGGGGAAGGAAGCCTGCAAGTCTGTTGTGAGGCCCTATCCCCTTTCCTGTGGTACAATCTGCGCTAATAATTTGGGAGTCTGAGTCTACTACACCAGCCAGGGCATCAGCTCAATGCAGCTCCCAGATCCAGCACTTCTCACCTTTTGTCTGTCTTCAGGCCATTCTTGGCATTAACGGCTGTGGAGCTCAGGCTAGGCAACGCCCATTAGTCAACTCCCAGAAGCATCCCAGACTGAACCTACTGCATTTGTCAGAGGCAGCAGATATGAACACACAGTGCCCGCATGTGACCTGGCTTTAACCATCACTTGGCCTCATGAAATCCCTCCCTAACCTCACAAAACTTCCTGTTTCCTGAGCTTCCCAGAACCACAGGGAGATTTAGGGATTTGACTTTCCAAGTTTTCAGGAATGTGTTTAATATGGTTGCCTAATGTCTTCTTTTCCTTTCTTGAATCCATCCACATTCTCTTAATCTCCAGCTCCTCTCCCACCCATTACAAACTCCCTTAAGCCAAAACCACACTGTTTCCATATGAAGCAAATTCCACTAGTACAACCTATAATACCTCCTGATTTGTAGTAAATGTTTTCCTGAATGACTTTCAGAGGCTCACCTTTTTGGACCCTAAGACTGCTAAGTTCAAAACAAAGGAAGATGGAAGAGGGATGATTCCTCCCAGCATCTGAGTGGGGGGACATCTTTGGCAGGGCATGTGTGTGTGTGTTGGGGTGGGAGAGGGAGGGTATGCAGTAGGTTATGTCCACTGCATACAGCTCAGCTTCAGGCCTGGGGAATCTTGGAGATTTTACAAGGGTCAATGCAGCTTGGGAAACAGGAGTCCAAATATGCACAGACATACACACACAATAGGCACACCAGATAGAAAAGGGCATGGCACCGACAACTCATCAATTCAGTGAAAACAAATCCATTAAGCTCCTTGTCTGATACTAGGACTACATGAGTCATTCTCTTTTTAGAAACCAGTAAGTTCTCTTCCCACAGTTCTTTACCTGAAACATGGTGGAAAGTCCCTAAATCCCTACAAGGCAATAAGCTAGTCCACTAGTAGGAAGAGGTCATGGCATTTTTCTCTCAAGAAAGTCCTATTCTTACTGTCCAATCTTTTTGTGCATTTGTCCCTAGCATGGCCTGGCTCTCCTTCACCTGCTGCATGGCGTCGGCTGTCACCACCTTCAACACGTACACCAGGATGGTGCTGGAGTTCAAGTGCAAGCATAGTAAGAGCTTCAAGGAAAACCCGAACTGCCTACCACATCACCATCAGTGTTTCCCTCGGCGGCTGTCAAGTGCAGCCCCCACCGTGGGTCCTTTGACCAGCTACCACCAGTATCATAATCAGCCCATCCACTCTGTCTCTGAGGGAGTCGACTTCTACTCCGAGCTGCGGAACAAGGGATTTCAAAGAGGGGCCAGCCAGGAGCTGAAAGAAGCAGTTAGGTCATCTGTAGAGGAAGAGCAGTGTTAGGAGTTAAGCGGGTTTGGGGAGTAGGCTTGAGCCCTACCTTACACGTCTGCTGATTATCAACATGTGCTTAAGCCAACATCCGTCTCTTGAGCATGGTTTTTAGAGGCTACGAATAAGGCTATGAATAAGGGTTATCTTTAAGTCCTAAGGGATTCCTGGGTGCCACTGCTCTCTTTTCCTCTACAGCTCCATCTTGTTTCACCCACCCCACATCTCACACATCCAGAATTCCCTTCTTTACTGATAGTTTCTGTGCCAGGTTCTGGGCTAAACCATGGAGATAAAAAGAAGAGTAAAATACACTTCCCGACCTTAAGGATCTGATACATCTAGTTATTGGTCTGGAAATTGGAGAAATGGAGGTGAGCAAATTAACGGTAGTGTGACTGTGGCTCAACTTTCCATGGTACGCGCGAATTGTTCTGGAAGTCACAGATGGGAAGACAGAAGCGCCCCTGAGTGCTTTGTCATATAGCACAGAAGTCCTCCACACTGCCTGGGACAGTGTCCTGCATCCACACAGTAGGTACCCAGTAAAAGTGTTATTAAATATTGTCCCAGGAGCCCTTAGGAGAGTGGTTTAACATGAGAAGGCGCCAACAGCACACAGGGTCAGGGTCACTTCTAGAAATAGCCCACCAAGGCTATTCAGATTGGACTGTGGTTCCCTTCTGGACAGTCACACCAGGGACTTCCCAGTGAACAAGGGGGCATAGGCTCCTCTCTGGATCCCACCTTTTCATCCCTTCTGAGAAATGTACCCTATTATTTCCTTCATAAAGAATGCCACCCATCTGATTCCTCAAGAATCTAGACCTAGAAATACCATTTGACCCAGCCATCCCATTACTGGGTAGATACCCAAAGGATTACAAATCATGCTGCTATAAAGACACATGCACACATATGTTTATTACGGCACTATTTATAATAGCAAAGACTTGGAACCAACCCAAATGTCCATCAGTGATAGACTGGATTAAGAAAATGTGGCACATATACACCATGGAATACTATGCAGCCATAAAGAAGGATGAGTTTATGCCCTTTGTAGGGACATGGATGAAGCTGGAAACCATCATTCTGAGCAAACTATCGCAAGGATAGAAAACCAAACACTGCATATTCTCACTCACAGGTGGGAATTGAACAATAAAAACACTTGGACACAGGGTGGGGAACATCACACACCGGGCCTGTCATGGGGTGGGGGGAGGGGGGAGGGATAGCATTAGGAGATATACTAACGTAAATGACGAGTTAATGGGTGCAGCACACCAACATGGCACATGTATACATATGTAACAAATCTGCACGTTGTGCACATGTACCCTAGAACTTAAAAAAAAAAAAAAAAGAATGCCACCCATCTACTTGCCCGTTCTCTTTTCCATATGGGGAAACAAACCATCCTTGATGACTAAGACGAATGAGAATGGCACACAAGTGTATTCCTGTAGAGTATTTATTTATTTACTCTATAACAGTTCACATTTTAAATAGTGCTTCCTGACAATATACCAGCTGGCTCTTCTTTAATAGGGCAATAAGGATAGCAATTCACATTCAGGGGATTAGTTTCACCATACCACACATTTGGGGGATGGCAAAAACGGGGTCTAAGGAAAAGGGAGGGTGTTTAAGGGAAAGAGGAGGGTAAGACCCTTGCATTTGTAGAAGTCATTACTATTTCTCAGTAGTGGTCATATTGGCTTTGCCGGCAACCTCAGGATGGGATTAGAGAAAGAAAGGAGCATGTCCTATCTTAGACACCTGGGTGGGTGGCTGCCTGCAAGGAGAAGGAGGCTTAGGGACACATTTCACAAGAAACCAGCACCCACATTGGTCAGATGAAGCTTCCTCAATTTTCAGCCACCACTTACACCTTTCTGTACCGGCTGCAAGAGGAAGAAGAAAACTAAACTTATAATGTTGTTTGGCAAGGAGAGATTCAAACTTACCATAGTCAAAAGAATCTATGTTAAGTTAGTTTGCAAATACACCATGAAGAATTCAGGTACATTAAGTTTCTCTAGCTTCCTCTTATCTTTCTGGGATTTGCCCTGCATAAACACAGTCCTCTGCCCAAACAATCCCACCAAAACAGGTCCTCAGAAAACAACTTCATGTTTCACTCCTGCGCAGAGTGGCTGGCTTCCCAGAAAGCCTTAACATAACAGAGAACCAGGTTATGCCCGGACAGCTCAGCCAAACCACAGGACCACCACCCAAGTTTTGGGTATTCAGCTGCCTATAAATTAATTCTTCAAATTCTATACTAAACCAAATTAGGTCCCAGGCCCTTAAACTCAAGTAGATTCAAATCCCAGAAATTATCTGGAATCATTCCCATACTCTAGAAGTATCTTCTTATTCCTCCAAAGTCAAGCTGGACCCACAGATGACTTCCAAACTGTTGAAACAAAATTTGCCTTCAGGATCTTAAGGCAGAGGCACCCAGAAACCTGATAAGGCCAATCTACAGGCCAGGCAACATGCATGCTTGGATCTACTGCTACCAACCTCCTGTTAGGTCATAATGCCTGTCAGTGGGTAATTAACAGAGATCCCTTTGAATCTGGACTTCATAATTTTCTAGAATCCTTTTACTAACACAAGCTAAAAGATACAAGCCCAGCCGGGCATGGTGGCTCACGCCTGTAATCCCAGCACTTTGGGAGGCAGAAGCAGGTGGATTATCTGAGGTCAGGAGTTCGTGACCAGCCTGGCCAACATGGTGAAACCCCGTCTCTACTAAAAATACAAAAAAAAAAATTAGCCAGGCATGGTAGCGGGCACCTGTAGTCCCAGCTACTTGGGAGGCTAAGGCTGGAGAATCGCTTGAACCCAGGAGGCGAAGGTTGCAGTGAGCCGAGATTGTGCCACTGCACTCCAGCCTGGGCGACAAGAGCAAAACTCTGTCTCAAAAAAAAAAAAAAAAAAAAAAAAAAGATACAAGCCCAGGTAAAGAGAGAACCTGAGGTGCACTCAGGGATGACCTATCAAGGTTATTCAAGAAGCAGTTTTCCATCCGCTAACATTGAATTTTCTGCTATATAAACAATGACCTAAAAGTTTAGAGGAGAACTTAATTGAAGTAGCAGATTTATACAGAAGAAGGGAGAAGTAAGCACTGGAGATAATTCTAAATAACTTAACCATTTATAAAAGTTATAGTATTTACAGAAGAATTTTCCCAAAATACAATGCTTCAAAGGCTCTACAGGAAAGAAGAGATGCAGGACAAAATGGTTGCATCCTGGACTCAAGTAGCAGAAGAAAAAGTCCAGAAACATATCCCTGAATAGAAGAGAAAACAGAGTGAGGGGAGCTAAGGAGGGTGCCCTATAGAAAAAGATGCAGAGAAGACATACAGCAGGATAAGGACATCAAAGGCTCCTGACTTCCAGTTCTCCTCTAAGTTGAAGACAGCATGCAAACATACACTTCTGATGTCGCCACAGAAAAAAGATCATGACTGGCAGAACCATCAGAGCCACATATAACACAACATGTGGACTTGGTCAGAGATGGGTCACTGAGACTACATCCTCTTGCTCCCCTTGTGATAGGAATATAGTTATTCTTGTGGTCACTTAATAGACATGGATGGAAAATCTAAGGAAATAGGATATAAAACAAGAGAGATGAAAATGCTTGGATGGCTAACTCAGTCTTCCACTATAAATCTTTCTCATTCTGTCTACAATTTGGAAGTAGCCAAGGTACAGGTGGGAAAGAATAAGGAGAGAAATAAGTGGCCCTCAACATCAGAGGTAGGGCATCTGGAAGTCTCAAAATGACCAAACAAACCAGATATATTTCAGAAGGACAAGAAACTGGATCCCTGAAGCTTAGGACATACCTGGAAAATAACTTCACCACAACACTAAAATATACACACACACAGCACAATGTACAACAAAATGTTTCCTAGTCATAGACTTCACTGGCTTTCCCAGCAAGACTTCATAAATTAGACATACCAAAAAAATTAAATACTTAAGAGATTCACATTTCCAAACGATCCACGCAGAGTTCCTAGAGGGGATTAATGCAGGGACTGAAAAGGTAGGTAAGATGCCCCAGCCAAATAGATCATGCTGCCGTCAAAGACTCCAACATGCCTTCCCAAGCCTTTGCAACCATCAGGGAGGTGGTAAATGAGGACGAAGAAGTCTTCTCTCCATAGAACTGATTTTACAGTGACAGGAGAGTAGAGAGGGTATCCACTCTGTTCACTTCTTCTGCAACTGAAGATTCCATCAGATTAGATCTATGGAAAAAGAGTTATCGTGACTTTATTGTTTTTCATGGTAGAGATGTTCAAAGAAAAGCAGGAAAACTAAAGGTCAGAATATTTCTCTATTTTCCCGTCCTTTTCTTTAGCTCCAATAGTCTGTAAACATTTCCTCCTTCCAGAAAGGCCCAGAAACTTTGTTATTTTCCATGATAAGCTTTTGAACTTTGCACTAGACTATAATATTTCTTGGGAGTGGGGATGGGGAGGGAACATTAGCATTTTGAGCAAGATGATTCTTTGTAGTATGTAACTGCTACAAGCCCTGCATGATGTTAGCATCACTAGCCCCAACCCAGAAAATACCAGTCGTAGCCACCCCTGTCAGTCATTGGGACAATAAAAACCACGACCCCACATTGTCAAATGTCCCCTAAGGAAGATGCTATTATTTCCAGCTGAAAACAATTGAGAATCATTTCTTCATGGTCAGAAGGCATCCATAGGAAACAGTGTTGGTCCAAAACAACTGTCTTGATACACATCTACTCAAGAAAGTTCCCCATTCTGCCTACTTTCTAAAGACAAAGCTGGAATTGGTAGTATTTGTCCTAAACCCTCAAGAGGAACAATATTTCTGCAGCCACTCACCTCGTAGGGAGCTTCAACAAACTTTATCCTAGAGAGAAATCTTCGCAGCTCCCCACGGCCAATTTTGGGGGTGGACTCCTGTAGCTGAGCCATCTGGCCCTCCATTAGTGCCCACCGTAGACTAAGCTTGCTGACCACCAGGGCTGCTGGATGGCCTTCGGAGCTTGGCCCTGTTGTCCTGGTAACATAAAAGGCATCTTTCCAGAGGTCGTTAATTCCAACTGAGGAAGGACAAAAACAAGAGCAGTTAACATGGACACATACCGTCCACTAACAGGAGAGGGGTTTGGTTCAACAATACATTTATTTACTCATAAGTTCATACAGGAAATGTACTGAGCACTGAATAAACAGAAGGCAGTGAGCTAGCCCACGGGTGCAAAGAGGGGAAGGACTGGACGCCAGTAAAGCAGCACATTCTTCCTGGTCTTTGCACCTTTACTCCTCTGAAGCTATTTCCAAAAAAGCCCAACTCAGGAACTGAGAGAATGTGCCCCTTGTGGCAAGAATTCAGTAGAAAAGCAAGCCCGAAACACTAGGGAGCCTGAGAATTCCCAGACTGTCAGTGCGCAGTCACAGAGGCGATTTACCTTGCCAGTGTTTATTTTGCCTTATCTTTAAAATACAAGTTGTATAAGGTGTAAGGAAGGGATCCAGTTTCAGCTTTCTACATATGGCTAGCCAGTTTTCCCAGCACCATTTATTAAATAGGGAATCCTTTCTCCATTGCTTGTTTTTCTCAGGTTTGTCAAAGATCAGATAGTTGTAGGTATGCAGCGTTATTTCTGAGGGCTCTGTTCTGTTCCATTGATCTATATCTCTGTTTTGGTACCAATACCATGCTGTTTTGGTTACTGTAGCCTTGTAGTATAGTTTGAAGTCAGGTAGCGTGATGCCTCCAGCTTTGTTCTTTTGGCTTAGGATTGACTTGGTGATACGGGCTCTTTTTTGGTTCCATATGAACTTTAAAGTAGTTTTTTCCAATTCTGTGAAGAAAGTCATTGGTAGCTTGATGGGGATGGCATTGAATCTGTAAATTACCTTGGGCAGTATGGCCATTTTCACGATATTGATTCTTCCTACCCATGAGCATGGAATGTTCTTCCATTTGTTTGTATCCTCTTTTATTTCCTTGAGCAGTGGTTTGTAGTTCTCCTTGAAGAGGTCCTTCATGTCCCTTGTAAGTTGGATTCCTAGGTCTTTTATTCTCTTTGAAGCAATTGTGAATGGGAGTTCACTCATGATATGGCTCTCTGTTTGTCTGTTATTGGTGTATAAGAATGCCTGTGATTTTTGTACATTGATTTTGTATCCTGAGACTTTGCTGAAGTTGCTTATCAGCTTAAGGAGATTTTGGGCTGAGACAATGGGGTTTTCTAGATATGCAATCATGTCATCTGCAAACATGGACAATTTGACTTCCTCTTTTCCTAATTGAATACCCTTTATTTCCTTCTCTTGCCTAACTGCCCTAGCCAGAACTTCCAACACTATGTTGAATAGGAGTGGTGAGAGAGGGCATCCCTGTCTTATGCCAGTTTTCAAAGGGAATGCTTCCAGTTTTTGCCCATTCAGTAGGATATTGGCTGTGGACTTAAACGTTAGACCTAAAACCATAAAAACCCTAGAAAGAAACCTAGGCATTACCATTCAGGACATAGGCATGGGCAAGGACTTCATGTCTAAAACACCAAAAGCAATGGCAACAAAAGACAAAATTGACAAACGGGATCTAATTAAACTAAAGAGCTTCTGCACAGCAAAAGAAACTACCATCAGAGTGAACAGGCAACCTACAAAATGGGAGAAAATTTTCGCAACCTACTCATCTGACAAAGGGCTAATATCCAGAATCTACAGTGAACTCCAACAAATTTACAAGAAAAAAACAAACAACCCCATCAACAAGTGGGCGAAGGACATGAACAGACACTTCTCAAAAGAAGACATTTATGCAGCCAAAAAACACATGAAAAAATGCTCACCATCACTGGCCATCAGAGAAATGCAAATCAAAACCACAATGAGATACCATCTCACACCAGTTAGAATGGCAATCATTAAAAAGTCAGGAAACAACAGGTGCTGGAGAGGATGTGGAGAAATAGGAATACTTTTACACTGTTGGGACTGTAAACTAGTTCAACCATTGTGGAAGTCAGTGTGGCGATTCCTCAGGGATCTAGAACTAGAAATACCATTTGACCCAGCCATCCCATTACTGGGTATATACCCAAAAGACTATAAATCATGCTGCCATAAAGACACATGCACACGTATATTTATTGCGGCACTATTCACAATAGCAAAGACTTGGAACCAACCCAAATGTCCAACAATGATAGACTGGATTAAGAAAATGTGGCACATATACACCATGGAATACTATGCAGCCATAAAAAATGATGAGTTCATGTCCTTTGTAGGGACATGGATGAAATTAGAAATCATCATTCTCAGTAAACTATCGCAAGGACAAAAAACCAAACACCGCATGTTCTCACTCATAGGTGGGAATAGAACAATGAGAACACATGGACACAAGAAGGGGAACATCACACTCTGGGGACTGTTGTGGGGTGGGGGGGAGGGGGGAGGGATAGCATTAGGAGATATACCTAATGCTAGATGACGAGTTAATGGGTGCAGCACACCAGCATGGCACATGTATACATATGTAACTAACCTGCACATTGTGCACATGTACCCTAAACCTTAAAGTATAATAATAATAAAATTTAAAAAATGAATAAATAAAATAAAATACAAGTTGTAATAAAAATGGTGTCAAGATTCTTAATTACCATTATTTGATGTTCACTGAATATTTTATGCTACTGTTGAAAAAACAGCTCACTCAGATCTAATCACAGGATTTTCCAAGCTCATACCTCCCTGCCCCCACCCCCCAATCAGTGGACAGGTGTGCCTGCAAGTTCCAGGTAAGCTGTTCTTCCCCGTGTATCCCAATAAATCGAGAGAGCTACAAACACCAGCTGCAGCCCAAGGCCAATGAGTTTGTAAGTAGACAGCCAAGTCCATAAGTAGCAAGAGAATGTGGAAAGAAAGAAAGGAGATGTGGTCATCTGGTCCTCTCCCACTCCTGCACTCCCTGACCTCCCAACAGGAACAGCAGATTCCATGAGGGAAGGAATCGCTGAGGAGATCACCAGACAACCTAGACTAGCAGGCAGCAGAGGCTGCAATCCCAATGCTTTGGTTTCCTGAGTTGAGGGTCTCCCATATAGGATCCCATTTTATTTACAGTGTTATTTAGACAGATATGTAAAGTAGAAGAACACTTCCAAAATGCTAATAGTGGTTATGAGTGGCCAGATTATGGCCAATTTTTCTTTCTTCCTTTGATTTTTCTTCTTTCTCCAATTTCTATGCAGGGTGCACAGTTATATTCAAAAAAAGGTTTTCTAAATCAATGCCCTGGCAAAACACATTCTATCTCCATCATGTCCTTCACAGTTAATTCCAAATCCTAATCTCTGAGTGGGTCAAGAAACTAGTCTTATTTGTAGTCCCAGCACCTGGCACAGTGTCTGGCATACAGATGATGCTCATTAAATGTCTGCTGAAGGAGTGGCTGGATGAATCATCACCTTACAGACCCTTTGGAATGGGACGCGCTTTCACCTCCACATTCAGAGCATATGGGTTCTCACCCTGTGAGCCCGGGGCTTCCACCCAGGGGAGCATTCCAGCAAAGAGGCACCAGGGACACCAGGGAAAGTGCCCTGCTGTCGTCTGAGAAGCACACATCCTTCCCTGGGTGGGGCAATGGTCTCATTACACACAGCCAACACATACTCTCCCACCATCTGCGTACACAGACTCCCGCTGGCACTGGGACTCACCCTCTGAAGCCGTCACTGTGCCGGTGGTGTTGGCCAGATCCAGAAGGATGGAGGGGAACGCAGGATGCAGGAGGTAAAGGTGGTGAAGGCTGGGCGGCTCAGTTCCTAGGATGATATCCTGATAATAAGCAGCAAAAAGGAAGAGCAAAGGTAACGCTACATTCCCACACGTGACAGTCCTCAGGTGAAAAGGCAGAGTAGAAAATGGTGATTACTCATTCCTCTCAGATGCTAATGCCTGATCCTAACTACAAGAATGTGTTTGAAAGAAACTCCCCTGTATAAGAGACATATTTCAAAGAGCTCAAAATAGTAATCACTAACTCTTTCAAACCACTATCTACAGCTGGAAAATGCTTTCTCCCTTGTAAGAAAAAAAAGGAAGGCAGGCCTGGTGCGGTGGCTCATGCCTGTAATCCCAGCACTTTAGGAGGCCGAGGTGGGCAGATGACCTGAGGTCAGGAGTTCGAGACCAGCCTGGCCAACATGGAGAAACCCTGTCCCTACCGAAAATACAAAAAAAAAAAAAAAAAGAGAAAAAAAAGCTGGGCTTGGTGGTATGCCTGTAGCCCCAGCTACTCAGGAGGCTGAGGCAGGAGAATCACTTGAACCTGGGAGGCACAGGTTGCAGTGAGCCAAGATCATGCCACTGCACTCCAGCCTGGGTGACAGAGAGAGACTCTGTCTCAAAAAATAAAAAAAAAAAAAAAGAAAAGAAAAGAAAAGGCAATGTACAGGTCCCAAGAGAGGAATCTGACAAGATGTCCCAGTCTTCTGCCCATGGAAGTACTGGAATACTGGTTCATCCCTTGCAGCAGATGGGGCTTTGTGGAGATGTAATCTATTCATGAAAACACAGTGAGCCAAAGATATTTCCTTTCACTGGGTGTCAAAGCCAACTGCAAGCATCAGGCTAAAAATTACAAAAATCTTATCTGTTCCTGAAATGAGTGGAATGTTGACCAGACAGAGGCAAATCATCAATTATAAAACAAAAGTTCCAAGGCCTGAGTGTCAGTCTTCAAACTCTCTACAGCAGAAGAAATGCACATTGGGACTATCTTTATCAGTATGACTTCTATGTGGGGATGGGACTTGAGACTTGGCAGGTACATGAGTGTGCAGCCATGCAGTTGTTAAGGCACAGAAGTACACCCATGTGAGTTAGTAAGTGGCTGCTCTCCAGAGCTTCCCAAGTGCCTCTCCTCCCCTGGGACTACCTTGGGCCTCCTGCAGTAGAGGAAATGGAAGCTCTGAGGGATGAATATTACCCCTGCTTCCATATCGCTGCATGGGAAGAAGTCCCCAAGTGAGGAGAAGTGTGAGCAGGAAGCTTGCAACCTCACTCTCAACACATCCCCACAAAGCAGAAGAGGGCATCTTCCACACACCCTTAGGATCCCA
Source organism: Homo sapiens (assembly GCF_000001405.40). Lineage (NCBI taxonomy): Eukaryota > Metazoa > Chordata > Mammalia > Primates > Hominidae > Homo > Homo sapiens. Next base: position 13,074,739 of record NC_000012.12, on the reverse strand, counting down.
GGTATGAAAGGACAGATCTCCAGCTCAGCTAACATGAGAAGAAAACAGCCATACACCTTCCTCACTGCCTACAGAATGAAGCACAAATTCCTTAGCAGTCTTATACCATTTAACCAAAATATGCCTTTTCCAGACTGAGCTGCTATGACTCACCTGCCCACCCCATGCTGCACAAATGTCTGATCATCACCCTCAATCCATGCTTCACCTTACTCTGCCTAACCGTTGCCAATCTTATTTGCCTCTTAGACTGTCTAACTATCCTCTCTACCCCATCTCTACACTTCTCGTCCTTAGGTGCCCACCTTGGCCCCCTCTTTGAGGAAAAGCTCCCTTATTACCCTAGGCAAAATTAACATCTCCCTTCTTTTGTGCTTCCATGTAAACTTCTTACTTGTACCTCTATTAAAGCATTTGTAACATGGCTCTTTTCTTTTTGTAGTTATTTATAGAAGACTACACTTGAGACTTATCTTGCCCAATACCCTCATTTTATTATAGGAGGGGTCTTCAAAAAGTTCATGGAAATGCAGATTATGAAAAAACTATGCAAGGACTTCAAAATTTTTTTTGCACCAGAGGAAACTCATACTAACTTGTTATAACATGCCTGAACAGGAGCTAGTCTGAGGCACCAAGAAGGGTAAGATATCAGTTTGAAAACAGCCCCTATCAAAGTAACACAAATTCTGCCAAAAAGGTGAAGCAAGAACATGCATCAAATTTGTGGTGAATTTTGGGTGGAAGAATGGTGAAATCATTGATGCTTTCTGAAGAATTTGTGATGACAATGCCCCAGAGAGATCAGCAGCTTAGACGCGGATAGCTCATTTTCACGAGGGACAAAATGATGTCGGAGATTAAACCCACAATGGCAGACCATCCTCAACAATTTGTGAGGAAAAAATTAATCTTGTTCATGCCCTAACTGAAGAGAACCAATGATTAACAGCACAAACAATAGCCACCACTGAAGACACCTCAATTGGTTCAGTTTACGTAATTCTGGTTGAAAAATTAAAGTTGAGCGAACTTTCCACGGGATGGGTGGCAAAACTGTTGGCCCATATTAGCTGCAGACAACAGCAGGACTTTCAATGGAAATTTTAAACAAGTGGGATCAAGATCCTGGAAGCATTTCTTTGAAGATCTGTAGCAGGAGATGAAACATGGCTTTACCAGTGTGCTCCTGAAGGCAAAGCACAATGAAAGCAATGACTACAAGAGGTGGAAGTGGTCCAGTCCAAGAAAAAGTGGAAAGGTCAACAGCAAAAGTCATGACAGTATTTTGGAGGGATGCCCAAGGCATTTTGCTTGTTGACCAGACAGAGGCAAATCATCAATTATAAAACAAAAGTTCCAAGGCCTGAGTGTCAGTCTTCAAACTCTCTACAGCAGAAGAAATGCACATTATGTTGACGTTAAGGCTAAAGAATGATAACATTGGCTGGGTGCGGTGGCTCATGCCTGTAATCCCAGCTCTTAGGGAAGCAGAGGCAGGATGACAGCTTGAGCCCAGGAGTTCGAGGCCTGCCTGGGCAATACAGCAAGACCCCATTCTCCACAAAAAGGAAAAAAAAAAAAAAGACAAAAAAAGAATGATAACATCTGCTTAAAATGAGAGTGTTTGAGAAAGCCAAAGCTTTAGCAGAAAAACACCTGGGAAAGCTTCACCAGAGAGTTCTTCTCCATCACAACAATGTTCCTACTCATTCCTCTCATCAAACGAGCAATTTTGTGAGTTTCAATGGGAAATCATGAGGCATCCACCTTATGGTTCTGAGTTAGCTCCTTGTGACTTTCTTTAGTTTCCTAATCTTAAGAAATCTTTAAAGGGCTCTCATTTTTTTCAGTTTATAATGTAAAAAAAGACTGCATTGACATGATGAAACGCCCAGGACCCTCAGTTCTTTAGGGATGGACTAAACGGCTGGTATCAGTGCTTACAAAGTGTCTTGAACTTGATGGAGCTTATGTTAAGAAATAAAGTTCTTTTTTTTTTTTTTTTTTGAGACAAAGTCTCGCACTGTCGCCTGGGCTGGAGTGCAATTGCATGATCTCGGCTCACTGCAACCTCTGCCTCCCGGGTTCAAGCGATTCTCCTGCCTCAGCCTCCCAGATAGCTGGAATTACAGGTGCCCACCATCACACCTGGCTATTTTTTGTATTTTTAGTAGAGACGAGGTTTCACTACATTGGCCAGGCTGGTATCGAACTCCTGACCTTGTGATTCTCCTGCCTCGGCCTCCCAAAGTGCTGGGATTACAGGCATGAGCCACTGCGCCCAGCCGATATTTTTTATTTTTATATTTTAATTACATTTTTCCATGAACTTTCTGAAGTCCCCTCATAGGTGGGGAGGAAGTTGAAATGTTAGGTAAATTGCCCACGGTCACACTGTTAGGCCATGTCAGAGTTAGAAATACAATCTAGATTTTAGGTAAATCTGATCCTCAAAATGAGTAAATATATTAGCATGTTCATTAACCATTAATGGATAAAGATAATGAGGTTCAGAGAAGTTGAGCGACTTGTTGACTGAGCCTGGTTGATGAATTCAGGATCCTGCCTCCGTCAGGTTCCCCCCATTATCTGTGGACCATCTGCCTTCTCTAGAGGGCCAAGATTATTTTCAGTTTATCCTTAGTCCCTACAGAGATCACAGCGCCTGGCACACAGAAAGTGCTGAGTCAAGATGTGTTTCATTGAACTCAGGCAGGGCGGGTCTTACTAAAAACTCCCCAGTACCTAAAACAGGTAGCACCCTGCCTCACCAACCCCATGAAAATACTGCAGTGTAACATTTAAGACTTTCTAAAATCTGCCTTCTAGGTGTCAGACCTTCTCTCCCATAGTTCCTCAAATGACCTCTCAGTTTTATCTGGTCAATGTCCCTCTCCAACTGCTGGCCACCCTCCCCCATCCCCGTTCCTTCAGTCTCAGGGCATGTGCCTCAAAGCCCAGCCTTACTCCTCCTTGAAATTCTCTCTGCCCACTTCAGACCAGTCATAATGATTTCTCCTCTTCAACAACCGTAGCATATGTGAATTATCTGTAAATTTGGATCTAGTATCTTGGGAGGACTTTTTATTCTTTATTCAGCCTCCCACTGTCAGTAGCCAGCAGTTAGGGGCTGTTGTCAGCTTGCACATTCTCTGCTAAAAGGCAAAGGTGTGGCTCAGGAGGACACAGGGTTCCTGCTTTTCTCCAGCGAGTGCTGACTTGTTTCTATTCCAACCCCTTGGAAAGTGATGGGTCAAATAACATCTCCAGAACACAGTCAGCCCTGCACAGCAGCTGCCATCTGACAAAGTAAAAAAGGGACCCTCCCAGGCTCACTCACGGAATTGGGAGATGCAGCTGACAGCCCTTCGGCCCAGAAGAGGAAGACAGACTTCTGGTCTGAAGTAACTGCTGAGGTGGCTGGCGTTTCTTTCATGTGACACGGAGCACGGTAACTCCAAACAATGGAGCCAGAGTCACCATCCACAACCATCATCTACAAAAGAGAAGACAGACAGTAAACATGGCCAGGCCTCAAAAAAGCAGCAGGCCCAGAAAATGCACACACAAAAATGCACAGGTATTCAAATAACACAAATATCAACACGCTGCGCTTTTAAGATGCAAGCAAACTGGGTGTTCCGAGAGCACGAATAATGGCTAAGGACCAGGCCCCAGGCTTCTGCAGCCCTTGTTCCCATTTAATAGATTTCAAGAACTGCAAAGTTCTCAAGTGGGAATGGGACATTCAAATCATGTAGTCCACCCCATTTTACAGGTGAGAAAAGGAGGATCTGAGAGACAGGAAGTGATGTGGACACGCGGATTGTCCACGTTTAGGACAGTCCTCAGAGAGACAGAGCAGCCACTCTGCAAATGCCAACAGCAGCACCTTATCCCCCACAACACAGCAGTCACTCAGAAAACAATGGCCCAGTGAACACTGTCCTGGGGCACGGTGTTCCCAGTTTTATGGATCTGACTCTTGGTGTCGTGGCATATGGACCTAGGGAAGTCTCAAATTTAAAGCAGTGCTGTTTAAACAGGCAAAAAAAATAATCCAAGAGGGAATTCATTGCTTAGCTGCATTTGTCAAAGGATAATGACAAAGGGGTTCAAATTCATAATCCTGGCATATGTCTGCTCTTCATCCTAAATGCCTCACAGATCTGGAGCCTCTCATTTACCAAAATCCCCAAGAAGTTCCCCAATTTCCTCCAGCCCAAGTGTCTTTACTCCCTCCTGCTCAGTGTCTCCACACTTCTGTAAGTGGAGGACCTAACCTCTTTGGACAACCGCTTGCCCTATTCTTCCAGGCTCCTGAGTCCTGCCTTTCTCTGCCTATGCTCAGACTCTGCATCACACAAGTTCCTGGAACCAACCCGGCAGAGACAAAATCTTCTCAACCAGCAGAGAAAGAAAAACAGACAAGCACTTCAAGATTGCCTTTGGCAATCTTGGGGAAAAGAGAAGTCTAGAGACACTGCACTAAAAACTTCTATCCACTCAAACACATATTTCATTTTATATATATATATATATATATATATATATATATATATATCTTTTTTTAATTATTATAGTTTAACTTCATTTAACTGTCACAATAATCCTATGAAGGCAGGCAATATTATTACCCCTGTTTTATAAATGCAGAAACTGCAGCTAGGCAAGATTAGGTAATATGCCCAAGGTCTCCAATAAGTAATGGTGTCAGGATTAAAACCCAGGGCTGAAACTCAGCATCTCCACCTTCAACCTACTATACCTACTATACACCTTTCTTCCGTTATCCTGCCAGCACCAGTGTATCAGAAATTCCTTTGAATTACACGCAGGCACTGGCTTTTCCTATATAACACTGCTGGAAGTCTCTCCCTAACATGATGTTTTTATCAATGTATCTGTCCTCTGCCCATAACCAAATAGCCCTGTGGCCTCCAACGCCTCCTCCAGATTCTGCAGCTGTGCTTTTGGGGCCCTCTGTAAGCCGACCTCATTCTCATCTCTCTGATGGGAGTGCACCTCAGCCCACCCTTATCTATTCAGCAAACCTTTTCTCTGCTCTCATGATTCTGCACATACAACCCCTGACCAACATGAGGCATCTCTTGCCTCCCTGGCCCTCCAGCTCGCCTGCACTCCATCTGCTCCCTGTGTTCCCGGTGGACCCCTGTGCGAACCTCCACAACAGCACTTTCCACCGCATGGTAGAGCTATGTAGTGACTCTGTCTTCATTAATTTTGTGTCTCCAGCATTCAGCATAGAAGTTGGCACGCATTAGAGGTGATGATAAAGTGTTTGTTGAATTATTTGTCTCTCTCAGGGAACAATGTGCAATGTATAGAAATAGATATATATTTCACAGTGAAAATAAACCAAAATGCAAGGTCGATAATAAAAAAAAATTGTAACTCTGTAATTCTGCTGTAATGTTAAAGAAATGAAAGTCATCCATCCAATCATTATATTCTCACAATATGCAACTTCATGCAATATCAAAGATCTATTCAGTGTCCTTGGAACATGCTCTATCCTTTCTGTCTCTGGGCCTCTGCTCTTGGCACCCCTGACCTGGCATGTTTTCCTGTCTACATAAATACGATTCAGCTTTAAAAAGCTGCTTATATTTCCCTCCTTTATAAGGTCTTCCATAAAACCCCAGTCACCACAGACTTCTCTGAAATCTTAGGTATAGCTGTGTGTTAAAGCATTACATTTCTTTATACCTGTCTTTCCCCACCAAGAGATTTCAGAAGGCCCCCAATGCCTAACTGTAAGCTAGGGATCCAAAACAAGAAACTCCTACATAGGAAGGAGATTATCCTAGAAAGGCTTCCAGTGCTACAGATTTTAGCAATGAATTGTGAGTTTTCATTTTATCCACTCAATGAGACTTTGAGTTCTTTGAAGTTAGAGATCATATTTTAGGTTCTTTTTATTCCCTGCTGTGCCTAACACAGGGTTGGACACAAAGTATATACTTTACATATGCTTTGATTGATCTGAGGCCCAAAGTTTTACCTTTTTCATCCCAACTCCATCCTGTATCTGCAGAAGGAAATCTAATGTCTGATCATCAGTGAAATATCCAGGAGTAGGCTGGCTGCAAATAAGGACAAAGTAAGCAATCAATAGTGAACAAGAAAAACAGGAAAACTAAGAACTCTCCCTCCCTTCTCTTGCACTGGCCCCAGATATAAGAATTGCAAGCAATTGTCCTGGACAATTTTTAAACATGGGAAAGTGGATCAAAACAGCAAACACAAGAAGGAACACAATGCAAACCTGCGCAGGCCTTGAAGTCTCAATGCCCAGTAAGGTGTCAGATTTTGCCCCCGAAGCAGCACAAGGCTTTGTCTGGTTGTAATCAGAAGGTTGCTGCAGTTGGAATCTGGTGCCTTCACCATCTGGAGTAGTTCAACACCATCACTGGGTTAAATAAGACCCCAACGGTTAGTCTCTGGCTTGGATGAGATTTCTGAGCCATTTACTTTGGCTTTTTCTCTCAGTATACGTACACCTGTACACACTCTTGTATTCATGCCCCACCATTATCTCATCAAGTGGGATGTACTGTTGTTTCAGTTGAATCTCATTTTCTTGACCTTAGAAACCAAGGATCCCCAGAAAATTCCATACAAGTTCAAAAGGAACTCACAGGAAAAGTGCTACAGTGCAATATCTCTCACACTGGATACTCTGGGAAAGGCAACAGAGCCAAGGATAATCACAGGGAAGGCAGACAGAGATCTGGACAGGAGGCCAGAGGTTGCCAATGAGCTTGGGCAGCAGCCCATGGCATACATTTCACTGAATTAGTTCTTGCTCAGTGCCACTGGGACCATTCTACTTCATACCTGTCAAAGTCACCAAAACACCATGATACTGCCTAAGAAAATGCTAGAAAATGATTTGGAACTTCTGGTAGGAAAGAATGAAACAATTATTAGCCAGGCTTGGGGTTAAATGGGTAAAATCCCCTGCATGTGACAAACTACATGCTTCTAGTTAGGAAATAAATAAAAATAAAAAATAAGATTTCATGGACACTATCCTTGCTTCTGTCAAAATGATGCTTCAACTAAGAGAAAAATACAGAAAAGAGTAGGTCAGATCCTTCAGCACAGTTTCACAAACAGTTAGATAAGTCTATCTCCCTCCCTACTCTGACTCAGAGCCCTAAGTATCCTTCCTTGCATCCTACCTGAGGAGTGATCACATGTGGTCACCAACACATAGATATCAACGCATTATGTTACCAAGAGAAGAAAATTTCTAACTCATGTTAACCAGATCAGAAGATGGTAAATTAAGATAAGCACTGTTTCCCCTAAACCTCTACCCACATATTCACCAGCCCAACCAAACTTAGAGACTCAAAGGCATGTGAGTTCACAAGAGATCTCACTGTGACCAAGGACAGACGTCTGCCCTACCTGTAAACATCAATGAGCTCAGACAGGTTGATGGATCTTCGCTTTTCCCATTCTGGCTCTTCTATCTGCAGAGAAGGTGGTGAGCTGTCTCGATTTTGGGCCTGAACAAAAATGTCCCGCAGTGCGACAGCTTGTATATTTCCTAGCACCACAGAAGAACCAACACTGAGAAGTTGAATTTAACAGAACTGTCCCATGGTGAGGATCTGAGCAAGAGACACAGAGCCTGACCAGATGGGTCTAACAGAGCCCGCCCAGACTGGACAACACGGAACAAGTGGGGAGGTGATTAAGTGGGTGCTGGACAAGAGTCTTCCCTTCAGAGGAGGCAGCAAGGGAAGGCAGAGTTAATAGCCTGTGATCGGTGGGGGACAGTAAGAGGCCCCTGCATTAGAAGGCTATGGGAAGGCTGGTGTCAGGAGTTCCTGAGCTTTCACCCTGTCTCACAAGGAAGGCCTCATCACAAATGCCAGTGGGGAACAGGAGCAAAAACTAGCCTTGCTTCTTACCAAAGCCAAACAGGATGTAGACAGCCCCATTTGTGGTGATGTAAACCTGAGGACCAATCAGATTCCCAACTCCAACGATGTTGTACTTCACAGGTCGACCCACTGGATTTCCGGTCCGGCCAGACACCAGCAGAAAGCACAGATCTGGCTGAGGAAGTAAGAGAGGGGGGTGGAGTCAATAGAAGCCCTATCGTTTGCTAATGAAATGGCTTCTCCAGACAGTCACTGCCTCCTCATAAGCCACGGGCTCAGAAACACTCCCCCAAGTTGGAAAGCACAAAGCCAAACCTGCTTCGCTTTATTTCCCTGCAAGTAAGCAAGTGAAGCAAATGTCCCATTGCCTCACTAGAGCCAGGCAAAGGGCATCTTCAAAGCACCTCAGACAGCTACTCTGAAGCAGAATTGTTGCTTGCTGAATAGTCTCCTGAGGCACAGAATTCTAGCCTACAGCTTAACATAGGATGGCTGGCCCCTGGGTCTTTACTTCAATACCAGAAATCCCCAGTAATATTTGGTTCCAGCTAGAGTTAATCGAGGCAGTGCTCTCCCATCAGAACACCAGATGTCGGGCCTGGACACCATCAACTTTATTCTCAAAGAGAGAACAGCAAACTTTTTCTGTGAAGGGTCAAATAGTATATATTTTAGCCTTTGCCAGCTAGATGATCTCTGTAGCAACTATTCTACTCTGCTGTTCTTGTGTGAAAGCAGTCATAAATAACACATAAATGAATGGGTGTGAGGATGTTCCAATAAAGCTCTATTTATAAAAACAAGTAGTGGGCCAAATTTAACCTACAAGCCACAGTTGCCAACTTCAGCTCTAGAGGATTTCTTTTGGGGTAGAGTCACCAGTTAAGAAATATGAGGATTTTACTGATATCTTGACTTCAGTAAAGCTTTTGACAAAGTTTATCATCATGAACTCTATGGACAAGATAAAGAAATGTGGTTTGCCATGTACCAGGAAAAGGTACTTATGGGATCAATACTAGCCTAGAGGGAGGTTTTTAGAGGAATGTCATAGCACTGTGCTATTGCCCCATTCCTATTAAACATTCTTATCAAAGACTTGAAAGAATAGAATTCAAGTTTATCACAAAGCTGAGAGGGATAGCTAATATGGCATATGACAAACTCAAAATTCAAAAAAACCTTAGGCTGGAAGATGAGTCAAAATCTGCCACAAAAAAATAAACTGGTCTATTAATAATTAATCATTAAAAGATATAGGTACTTTAGCTGATTACAAACAGAAAGCAAATCTTAGAAAAAATATTATTATCTTTGGCTGCAAAAACAGAAATACAGAGTCTACATCAAAATAAGAAACAATTCCCTTAGGTTGATATATTAATTATACTACAAATAAAATGCTGTTTTTAGATATAAGTACCACATTTTAAAAGAGATTTGGACATACTAGAATGCAAAGGGAAAGAAATCAAGAAAAAGAGGGGTTTGGACTTCCTGGTTGCATGAGGAACAGTACGAGAAATGGGGATATTTAGTCCTGAGTAGCAAGCTTAGAGGGACTAGGCTAATGGTTAAAGGGCTTTCCTATAGAAAGGGGATTAGACTCATTCACAGTAGCTCTATGGGAATGAAGCTGGAACAATGAGTGGAAGCTATGAGAAAGCAGATTTCTTTCTGCTTAGGACAGAATTTTCTGGAGCTGGCCCAAAAATGAAATGGATCGCCTCACAAATTAGTGTTATTCCCATCAGCCTGAGTGCACCAAGAGAGTAGGGGTGCCAACATGTCTGTAATGCTGAACCAGAGATCATAGCATGGTGTGAGAAAGTTAACCAAATGGTCTTCAAGGTCCCTTCCCACTAATGTTCTAGACCTTATCAGTTCCTGTAATCAAAAACCAGGTCCAGTTCTCCAAGCCCACTTCACTCTAAACCCAGATCAATGAACGCAATCACTATAAGTCACAGACTTAGGTTTCCTTCCTTGTGAAGAGAGAGTCTTCCATCTCAGGAGCTTATACAGGTTCCTGGGGTCCCTTGTTGCTGGCAGAGAGGTCAAAAGAGGTCAGTACAAGGATGAAGCTGCTGCGCTATATACCTAGTGCCTCTACAAGGTTTTCCTAGAACTGTCTACCACTTTTCAAGCAGAACTGAGACTATGCCCTAGCTGTACCCTATTGTGAAAACAAGTAAATTCTGTAGGGCAAGATGGGCAATACACTGAGTAGAGACCAACACAAAGGGCACAGAGTAAGAGTGGGCAAGAAGCCACTTCCTCCAGTGGAGACCTCCTTACTATGGAGGGTCCCCAAGGGCCTGAGCCACTATCCTGCCAACCACCACCAGCTAATAAGCGGCCAGACGGGATGGTTAGACCAAGATTTCTAAATTCAATCACGACTTAAAAACTTGTTCAATGGCTTGCCGTGTCTCCCCATATGTTCCCTTCAAAGAATTGCTCCCTGATGGAAGTAATAATTCAAATTTTCCCTAGTCCCCAATCTCTCTATTCACAATGGCTAGGATAAAAAAGATTACATGAATAATTCCTGAATCCTTGGTTCGGGTCCACTTTGAGACCAACTGGCTAGCTGAAGAAAACGAACATAAAGTACCCTTAAAGCTTAAAACCCTTAAAACTAAGTAGGCTTCAGAAATTTAGCTCATTCTGGATCTTGCCTTTATCTTGCAAATGTGAGGGAGAGTTTAGTGTGCTAGAGCAGTGCTCCTCAAAACTCATGACTGATGGGGCACTCTTAAGTTTGGGGGACTCTTGGCAGAAAGCCACAAAATCTTAACAGATTTCATTCCATTCTACATAATTTCACCTCCAGAATTTACAACTCTACTCCATATATGCAATACAAAGATCACAACAGCAAACACAAGGTCTATTAAAATTAAAATAGGTTATCAAATGAGACAAAATTAGCCATATCCACATTTTTCCACAAACATTCTTTGCCGATTGTTTGACTCTTTTGTGCACAAGCATTTCCTTGGCAGACACACTAGGAAGTCTGAGAAAAAGTCTTAGAGAAACTTTGACAAAAGCTCTGAAAAACGCTTCCAGAATAAAAACTTAAAATTGAGATTATTCTGTTCATTAATTTATTCCTTCCTGTGATTTGGGGGAAAGACTACTCTTATTTTATCTGTGTGCAGAGTAACCAGTACACTGAAGTTCCTGCAAATCATAATTTAGGACCATAATTCAAGGGCCACTGTCCTGAATCAAAGTCTGCCTTGTCACAGCCTAGATTATGACACTCCTTTCTTTGGTCATTGTTGTTATTATTGCTTGACTTAGATTTTTTCCTATGTATCTTTTATGAACTTTGTATCAGCCTGTTCTGTTGTTTTATAATTGACATAAAATGTACATATATATAATACAGTAAAACTAAAAATACATATACACAGCAAAAATTAGGCACTACTCTAGGCACTTTAAATATGTTAGCTGTAATTTTCATAACAATGATGTAAGTAGATATAACATGCCTTTTTTACATATGAAGAAACCAGAGCTTGGACAGGCTCCACGGCTTGCCCAAGGCCTCAAAGATATAAAGTGGTAGAGGTGGAATTCGCATACAGACCTAACTAACTCTAAAGCTCCACTACACCCCAGTCCATGGAGCCATGAGGCTGCCAGAGAAAATGGGTTCATAATGGTCAAGTATTCACTTAACCTCACAAAGAGAATTTACTTAAACCTAAACCCTTGTAAAAAGAACATTTCAAGCAGCATTTATAATGTAACACTAGGAGCTGAGACAACTAAAATAGAAGCAGTCCCTATAAGAAACAAAAAACATTTAATAGAGATCATACCTGCAATTCCCCAATGGCCAGAACCACAAGGTCTCGAACACCGTCTTCATCCAAGTCTGGCAGTACCACAACTGGGGCAGCCAAGGTACCGTTGGACAAGTAGTTTGGGTTTAAAGTCCAAATGGCTTTCCCTGAGGAAGGACACATAGGCTGGTCACTATGACAACTTCTTGCCTTTGGAAAAGGCAGATGCCATGTTCCCAGGCCAGAAAAGAAAGACGCAAGGGGCTGAACAACAGACAGCAACTCCTACCTACTTATTGCCTTTCGTTTTTGTCTTACTGAGGAGGAGGAAGCAGGCAGTGTGATCCGAATCCTAAAGTATCTGGCAAACAAATCCATGCAATGATTTCTCACCTAGATTTTTTTAGATAAAATGGAGGTGCTAAATCCTTTCCAACAAAGAAGGGCTCACTTGCCTGGGGTGAGGGAACTGTCTGTTAGAGATTATAACAACTATTAAGGAACCCCCAGGGGCAGCCGACCAGACCACTCTGCTTCCTTCCCCCACACGGTCACATAAGTAAGCACCACAGCATCATAGGAAGTTTTCCAGATGGCTTCAGTTCTACAGTTAACTCAAATCCCAGTTTTTTTCACTCAGAAGCACCCCGCGACCAAACTCCAACCTCTAAACCTGGGAAGGATGTTATTTATTCCGCTCCACGTGAGCACACGGCCCAGCAGTACTAAGCCTATGGGCCATATACTTAGGATTCTATAAGAGCCTTCAGGACATGTTATTCTTTTTCATTCCCTTTTGTCATGTATGTCTGAATGCAGTAAGAAGCTAAAAGGCCAGTCAACAAGCCTCAACAAACCTTTATTTCTTCACTGACGTATTTTTTTAAGTAGTTAATGCCAAATTTACACATGGCCCCCATGTATACCAAATATGAAGAATTAAAGTTCAGTCGTCTTTTGTACAAAGAACAGAGTTGGGAGACTATTTACACACCAAAGGCCTCAGGGTAGTTTCTGTTTGGGTAATTCAGTTCCAGCCCCATCCTATCACCAAACAGGTTGAACCATGGATCTGTTTACTCAATCTGCCCAAACCTTTTCTCTCATTTCTCTTAATAACCATATTCCAGATCAGTAAATCAGATACTCCACCACGTGAGAGTCAAAAGGTCCCCTACCCAACAGATTATTCTAATCCAAAAGTATGGCTCGTAGGAGCAAAGTTCTTTTGTGGTAAATGGTATTTACCTGACGTTGCATTGAATGCGCTGAGCATCTTGTGTGTCCCTGTCACAAGGCAGATGGTTTCAGCCAAGCTTCCTGGCATCAGCTCCAAACATGTGATATCTCGAGCCTCCTCAGGGAGAAGACTAGACCACAGTGTGCTGCCATTCATCCCCGAAAGGCATACAAGATTAGCAGCTGGTCTTGAGACACCTAAAAGCACACAAGAGAGATAAAAAAAGGAAAGCAGGCAAAGGAGATAAGAGGCAGAGATGAACAAGAGGCCAGAAAACTGCAAGTGGATGGTGGTAAGGCAGCAACCACACTTGTGTATTCAGCTCCCTCTCACACTTCTGGCAGCAAGATGTGAACACAGAGTGCCTGTCATCTTTGCTGAACACGCTTCTCATGTAAGACAAGAGCTGTGGCCTCCTCTACACTGTCGAATGCATCTCCACTTCTGCACCTTTCCCAACACTACTCTTTACATGTCTGCCACCTCGGCCCCAACTAAATGGTGATATCCTTAAGGAGAAAGACTGTCTCACTAATCTCTGTACCTACAGCAACCGACTGTTTGCCTAATAAGAGACAGGAGCAAAATCAAGAATGCGAAAAAGTAGTTAAGAACAAAAAACCAGGAGGAAAAGATATGCTCGGAAACATGAGACTGATCCAGAACGTGTGCAGCGCGGGGAGCAAAATACCTGAATTCTAATCATCACTAATAAATGCTTCCTGAGAGCAGAAAAATATTTTCTTTTTTGAAAAAATAAACTTGAAGATTACATATAGCAATGATGAGTGGGTCTTGCTAGTCTAGAGTTCTCTGGAATCAATTGATTTGGTCCCAGTCAGGAAAAAATATTTGGGAAGACCTAATACCTAGATCCAAGTACAGCTGGTAAGGGATTAGAGTAGCCATGATCCTTAGTAAATAAGCCTTTATGTCACTTAATTACTACATCAGACTCAGAACTTTCTCCCTTGTCAGTTTCACATTCACTCTCAGGATAGGGACACGTGACTCATTTCATACAGTTCCCACTTTCAGCAACAACTAATATGGATAAGGAAACAAAACTTTTAGAGCTTCCTTCTACCTATTCCTCAGCACGACTAATTGAATATACAACCTAAAAACAAGTGACAAACAATGGCTGGCTGTTTCAGACCCTGTTGCCAGAAGATATATATGACAAACAGAGGTGGTATATGGTAACTTCCAGGCTTCTCAAAGGTGCTAGGATCCCTATCCTGTGTGGTTCTTCCTACTGGAGGACCCTACTCCATCCTACAATGCTCTGACTCGTCTTTTCCCAGATGGTGATGGATTACCCCTTCCTGCTAGACTATGACTTCTCGAGGCCAAAGCCAGGCTCCTCTTGTTCGGCAGTCTGTGTGTAACCATCAGAACTCTAGAGAAGGTGCAGAGTGGCTGCCGCACAGTTAGTATCAACACACAGTTGCTGAATGAAGGAACAAGTGAATAGACAAAAAACTCAATCCCTCTGTGTCCAGTAGCACAAAGCTTTGTGGGTTATGGGCACAGCAGCTTGGCATGAGGGTCAAGGACATGAACTCCAGAGCCAGACTCCTTGGATCCGAATCCCCAGCTCTATCATTTACCAGCAGTAGGACTGGGCAAGTTCTTTAACCTCACAACGTCTCACCTTCCTCATGTGCAAAAGGGGGATAATAATGGGTCTACTTCACAGGACTGTGTGGAAGGATAAATTCCTTCATACGTTATGTGCTGACAATGGTGTATTAACACATAGAAAGCACCATATGTTCGCTATATCCTTATTTGTACAGTCTGTGGCCAAATCAGCCTGGTCCATATTGTGTCCAAACCCATGGCCTTGCCATTATGAGTCTTGGTATGAAGCAAACTACGTAAGATACCAAATGACTAAAAACATCTCTAAATCTAAGTAGATGGGGAAGATTTTTACTTCAGAAGTCACGGGCAGGAAAAGTGTAATCAAGTTTTGATTGCACGGAAATCTACTCCTAGGCTGGAGATGCTCTCTACAGCAGATCTCCACCCAGATTGCTTCCACATCTCATGTGGGCCTCAGAAAGCCACTCCTACTAATGTAAGAGATGTGGTTTAGAATTCTCTAAAACACACCTAGACATGTATTCCAAGGCCTAGACGACTTAAAAGCAGTCACTAGGGCATCCTCAGCATCAAACTAGGTCCCTGCATCAGCTCACAGGCTGCAGTTTGACTCCACTGTAGTGGAGGCTGCAGGATCAACCAAAAGCCTTGTGTACTTAGGCTGAAATCAGAACGCATTTTTTCTTTTTCTACAGCTGACATGTGTAAAAGCTGGGATCCCAGAAACAGCACCCTAAATGAGGGTAAGTTGTGGACGGTTTCTTAAGGAGACTATTCACAAAGATGTGGCCAGCATGTAGAAACACCACAAGTGATAGTGCAGACCCTCAGAACTGTTAGGCTCCCCAACAAAGACACAAGGAGAGGACGCAATTACTGGAATCCAGAAAAGGAAAGTCCTATAGGAGGGCCACCTTGAAACGAGCTGTGACCCAGGGTCAAGGCTGTAGCAGCCATTCTGCAGTGACCCCGGCGGGGAGGGAGCCAGGGGAGTGAATACCTCCCCTCACACTCTTACTCCCCTCCCATTCCTGAGCTGTGCTCCCCATTGAAAGGAGACCAGCAGGCAAGGAAGCCTGTTGATACCATCCATACAGCTCAGCTTCCCCATGCAGAGAGCAGGATGGACAGCAGGTCTACAAGTGTAAACTGAAGGGGGAAAGGAAAACACCCGGCCAAGAGGTATTTGTGTAAAGATGTATAAGTCTATGAACAAAAGTTTTCTTCCAGGGATAGGAGGGTAGCATAAAGTCAATGTTCACTATAATCTAAGAGGCAATGGAAAACCAGGAGAAAACCCAAGGAACCCGAGGACTAACACTGTTCGTTGCAAAGTGTGTGGACAAGTCACTTCCTCTCTGCATCACAGTTTCTTCACTGGCCTGGTCACCACTAAAAATTCCTTCCAGCTCTAACTCCCTCCGATTTCTTAGACTGAGCTTTATTTATATGTGGAAGCTTTCTGATGAGGGTTTTCATGTATGCCAGAACCATGGTAACTTTCTGTTCACTGCAGATCCTTCTCTGCAGTACCACTTGGGACACAGCTCTGATGTTTTCTCCTAGCTGACAGTGCCCCTGTAGCAGCCTTGAAAAAAACACGTCTCTTACCTACTGCACTCCCGTTCCTTGACATCACAAAGGAGAGAAGCACATCACGCAGGCCATCTCCATTCACATCAGCCAATTCCAATGGAGACAGGTCCCCACCTGTTATACACATAAAAAACCAAAAAGGTCCTGAGCAAGTTACCACAAACCAGTTCTCTGTTGCCAGTAGCTCTATAAACACCAGGCAGACTCCAGTTCCTCGACTAGGTATAGTAGACACACCTCTCCCTACTCCCCCTGCTAAGTGCATGGAAAAGCCCTGGACACTGTACATAAAACAAACATAAGACAACTCTAAAAGGCAGAGAGAAGGAAGCAGACCAGCTAGGGACTGCAAGACCCAAGGAATGACAAGGTGATGAGTCCCCTGGGTTTTCTTTTGGCCTCATAATACCCAGATAGGGTGCTGGAAAAGCCAGCAACCCAGAAACACCACAGATACAGACAAAAAAAGCCCCAGAAAAGGCTGCCTTCCCTAGCCAAAAGCCCAGGAAAGGTGCAGTCCAGCAAGACAGGAAAGTTGTAGATAATAACTGCTCTACTCCAACCAAACAGATAAAATTATCAGCCCAGCTCCACCCACTCATATAGCAAAGGCTGAATGTGGAGCCTGGCTCCCACCCTCTCCTGGATGTAACAAGGTACCCCACCACCACCACCACCATCAGGGTCATGTCAGAGAAAGCCAGGTGGGGGCAAGGACTGTCATCCTCATCTAGCAGGACCAAAGGAGTTCCACCCCAACTAGCATCAACAAGGCAGCCCTCTCCCTCCTCTCCACGGGGGTGGTGTCAGCAGAGGCCTAGTGAGGAGTCTGGACTTCCATCCCCCCACCACCCAAAAGTGTGGACTCAGAGGATGCCCACCAAATTTGGAGAGAATTCACACATTGCTAGTGGAAATGTAAATCGGTACAACCATGTTGGAAAATAATTTAACATAAACTGCTAATAATGAACATGCACACACCCTATGGTATGATCCAGCAATTTTACTCCTAGGTTTATGCCTTAGATAAATTCTTATACACTGCAATAGGAAACATATACAAAAATGTTCTTAGCAGCATCATTTATTTATTTAAAAAAAAAAAGACTGGAAGCATTACTTAAAGGTTCATCAACAGAAAAATGGATAAATCATGAGATATTCATACCATGGAAAAATCAGACAGTAGTGAAAATGAATAAACTCCAGGTATAATGCATCAATATAGATGAATCTCAATAAATTGTTTTCAAAAAATTAAGTGGCACAAAGAAGCAGGTCACAGGCTGGGTGCAGTGGCTCACAACTATAATCCCAGCACTTTGGGAGGCCGAGGTGGGTGGATCACCTGAGGTCAGGAGTTCAAGATCAGCCTGGCCAAAATGGCAAAACCCCGTCTCTACTGAAAATACAAAAATTAGCCAGGCATGGTGGCGAGCTCCTGCAATCCCAGCTACACGGGAGGCTAAGGCACAAAAATCACCTGAACGCGGGAGGTGAAGCCTGCAGTAAGCCGAGATCATGCCACTGCACCCCAGCCTGGGTGACAGAGCAAGACTCTGTCGCAAAAAAAAAAAAAAAAAGCAGTTCACAGAAGACTGCATGATTAAATTCATGTAAAATTTAAAAACCAGCAAAAGTAATGAATATACAGTTTAGGGGTACATATTGACATGGTAAAACTTTACAGAAAAAGGAATAATCAACACAAAATTCAGGATAGCAGAGGCCTTTGCTGGGCAGAGGAGGATGTGGTCAGGAGGGACACACAAGAGATTGTGAAGGTCTCAATGATGTTCTATTTCTAAAGCTGGGTGGTAGACACACCAACAATTTGTTACCTTTAAACTGTATATAAATATATGTAAATGAAACTTGCCTTCAGAGAAACTAAAGATGAGAACACAGAACTCATCAGAAGCTAATTCAACTGGGATCAGAGAAGTGGCAGAGATAAACATTTCTAGATCAAGAGGATGCCAGGGGTCTGAGGATAGCTTAATCCAGTTCACAAGAGACAGGACTACTCAACACAGGTGAGATGTAAGTCCCATTCCAGAGCAAGAGGTTTTAAAGAAGCCTACTCCAAAAAGGAGACAGAATAGCTGGAATTACTCAGACAGCACCGCCCTAACCATGAGGAGCAAGAAAGAAAAGATAGCAACTATCTTTTACAGGAAATGAAATTATTTTATAATTTAAATTAGATCAGACCTCTATCATCAAAGAATGTCAAAGGGTTCTGCAAGAGCTCTATCCCTGGTGCAACCAGGCCTTGAACCTTGCTTTTCTCTGTAAATAGCCCTTCCTACAGCTTTGCATTCCCCTGATACAGTGCTGGCTCCACAGCAGGAATCCAGCAAACCAGCCCTGTCCTCTCTGGATCTAATAAAGACCAATGCCAACAGACACAACAGAGCAATGATTCCCAGGTTTTTGGAGGTGTTTGTTTTCTTTCAAATCTTAATCTCCTTGCCACCTCCACACAGTGGGGACGGCAGGGTGGGGAATGCCGCATGACACATATTAAGTTTTAAGATTTGGAGGAAAATTTAAATGTAATCAGACATAGCATGAAGTTTCACAGGATTAGGGCTGAAGATTCTGCAGCTCACCTCCCTGGGAGCCCAAGTGGCGGCTCCAGGTGCTGTGCAGATCTCTGGGAGGACAGGGGATCAGGAAAGCACACAGGAGCACCAGGATCATCGAGATCCCCAAAGTCAGCAGGAAGACAGACGTGCGCACATATGACACCAGGGAGGAGGCCGCCTTCTGTTCCAGGCCCCCAAGGGGTTCTGAGGGGTAGCCCTCCGTGGTGACTTCTGAAAGATGTGGCTTTGCAGCCTCTGCAACCTCAGCATCTGAGTCGGGTTCTGGCGCTTCTCCCAAAGGACTCTTCCCATTTTTGACCCCTCCATTCTTCTGCAGGTTAAGCACCAGATCGTCTTCGCTCTCATCACTGTCAGCCTGGGTAAGTGGATCATACTCCCCTAGGTCTGGGCTCTTCTTCCCTGAAAATACAGAAAAACAGAGAGTCAAGGGGAACTGGGGAGAAGACACCCTCACCAAATATATGGCAACTGTAAATACCCAGAAGAACACGGAAAACTAAAACAAAAAAATCCAGGTTTACATCAAGTTTGAACCTTGGTGGCTATCTGTAAAACAGAAGCCAGTGAAGCAGGGGTTAGGAATGGAAGGAAAAACAAAAGCACAGTGCTCCAGGATCACTGCCTGCATGAGTTTAAGACAATGGAAAAGGAGGCAGAAGTTAGCAAATTTAAAATGCCTTTAGTTTAAAAAGAAAGCTCTCTTAATGTGTTTGAATCTCACTCAAGAAAAAGATCATGGCTCCACATCAACTCTCCATGTGCCTAATGTGCATATTGCCTCAGATCTTCTTAGATCTGTGACATCCTAATCTTTCCTGGTAAACTTTTAGAACAATTCTTCTCCATACGCTGCTTCTCACAGCCCAATATCTGTGGCTTCCCAACTGTTTCTATGGAAACAACTTAGAAAGTTGAACACTGAATGTTCATCTGAAGATGTATTGAAATCTCACTTCTAAGAACCATCCTGTGATTTGAATGCCCTTTCAGTCTATCTTTTAGTAAACAGTGTTTACCCCAAAAACTGCTCTTCTGAGCAAGTATTCTGGGAGGGGTGGTGATCTAGCCAGTACACAGAGGTAGGGGACTTGTCTTGAAGGTGCTTTGCATGGCAAGCACTTTGTTTTTACTTAGCTTGCAGTGTTGATTTGGGATAGCTGAGAGAGAAATTACAGAAGAGCCTAGGTACACCTCCTCCCAAGCCACCCACCCCTTGGCCTCACTGCCAATGACTGAATGATTTTATGCCTTTATTTCATGTTACCACCAAGTAACAACCAAGAAAATGTTTCTTTTGGGGAGACTTTATGCAGTAATCTATCACTAATGTAAACTCTATCATTAAATCTTTTGTTCAGAAGAAATATAAAAAAGACCACAAAACCCAGCTAATTAAAAAGGGGAAAAGAATAATTATTAATGCTAGTGTCTACCTCTGGGTCACTATGGCCTTGGTGATGTCATTTCATACATTATATCTCAGTTTGTTCAATTAATAAAATGAAAGAATAAAACACTATATGGAGACCAGATTGTTGCGGGAAGGCAAGGACCCCAAATGGAGGGACCAGCTGGAACCACGGCAGAAGAACATAAATTGTGAAGATTTCATGGACACTTATCAGTTCCCAAAATTAATACTTTTATAATTTCTTATGCCTGTCTTTACTGCAATCTCTAACCACAAATTGTAAGATTTCATGGACATTTATCACTTCCCTATTAATACTCTTATAATTTCTTATGCCTGTCTTTACTTTAATCTCTTAATCCTGTTATCTTCATAAGCTGAGAATGTACGTCACCTCAGGACCACTATTGTACAAATTGATTGTAAAACGTGTGTTTGAACAATATGAAATCAGTGCACCTTGAAAAAGAACAGAATAACAGCGATTTTCAGGGAACAAGGGAAGATAACCATAAGGTCTGACTGCCTGCGGGGTCGGGTAGAATAGAGCCATATTTTTCTTCTTGCAGAGAGCCTATAAACGGATGTGCAAGTAGGGAAGATATCACTGAATTATTTTCCCAGCAAGGAATACCCTGGGGAAGGAATGCATTCCTGGGGGGAGGTCTACAAATGGTCGCTCTGGGAGTGTCTGTCTTATGTGGTTGAGATAAGGACTGAAATATGCCCTGGTCTCCTGCAGGTACCCTCAGGCTTACTAGGATTGGGAAATTCCAGCCTGGTAAATTTTGGTCAGACCGGTTCTCTGCTCTCCAACCCTGTTTTCTGTTAAGATGTTTATCAAGACAATACGTGCACAGCAGGACACAGACCCTCATCAGTAATTCTAACTTTGCCTTTGCCTTGTGATCTTTATTGCCCTTTGAAGCACGTGATCTTTGTGACCTACTCCCTGTTCCTACACCCCCTCCCCTTTTAAAATCCCTAATAAAAACTTGCTGGTTTTGTGGCTCAGGGGACATCACGGACCTACCGATATGTGATGTTACCCCCAGAGGCCCAGCTATAAAATTCCTCTCTTTGTACTCTTTCTCTTTATTTCTCAGACCGGCCAACACTTAAGGAAAATAGAAAGAACCTACGTTGAAATATTGGGGGCTGGTTCCCCCAATACCAGATGTTGGAAGTAAAACCTTTGATGTTTAAAGTTAGTATTTGGTACATTAAAAAAATCAATAAATTTTAGATTTTTTAAAATGAACATTCCACAGAATTATAACATTAAGTACTTTCAAAAAAAATCCAAAGAAAATACTGAATAATCTGTCATCCTAATAACTAGAAATTATTTCTATTTATTTTTATTTTCAAAACTATACATTTTGCCCAATAAATATTAGACTTGATTTTTAAGGGCACAAATTACAAGAAAATAAATCAATTATTAGAAACTTAATTCAAAATAGTACTTTCAGAATATGCCATGGGGTCAGTACAGGTTCCAGATAATCTCCTACAATTTGTATTTCTACTCCATGAACCAAATTATTTGGTTAATTAGGGCACACCATTCCCTAACCATCCCAGATAACTCTACACATAATAATTTGCATACAGAGCCATGGGTTGTTAGAATAATATTAACTCTAATGCTTTTTAAAGTGATTGTTTGTTCTTGTTTTGTTTTTTAGCTAAAATACACCTGACATGATAAACAAAATGTGATATGTACGTACCATGGAATATTATTCAGCTCTAAAAAGGAAGGAACTTCTGACACTTGCTACAAAATGGATGAACCTTGAGGACATTACGCTAAATGAAATGAGCCACACACAAAAAGGCAATACTGTGTAATTCCACTTATGTGAGTTATCTAGAGTAGTCACACTCACAGAAACAGAAAGTAGAATGGTTGTTGCCTAGGTCTGGAGGTAGAAGGAAAAGTTGTTACTGAGTAAGTATAGAGTTTCAGTTTTGCAAGATGAAAAAGTACTAGAGATTGGGTGCATATACAGTTAATACTGAACTGTATACTTAACATAGTTAAGATGGTAAATTTTATGGTGTATGTATTTTTTGACAATTTAAAATGTTTAAATATATATATATATATCTGAAAAACAGGAAAGCACACAGAGTTCTCAACTCTAGAGTTACTTGAGAAAGCACAGCAAGAGACCTTAAAGATCACATAATCTATCCCCACCCCTATCCCAAACTTACAACTAGCTACTTACAAAGACCTATCAACCAGTTACTTAGCAAACACCTGAATGTAACCTGTATTAGGGAATCCACTGGCCTCCAATCTAGAAACCAATTCTTTACACTGATTCAAGAATTTTTTTCTGGGAAGTTGCCAATTATCTGTCCTAGTTTTAATTTCTGGGATCCCTCTCTCACATGTAAGTCCTTCAAACACTCAAAGGTATCAATCATAAGAGACATATGATATGGTATTTAAGAGCTCAAGTCTTCACAATCAAACATCAAGCCAAATCCTGGCTATATCTCTTATGAACTATGTAATCTCAAATTTCTTAACTTTATTGAGCATCAATTTCCCTATTTATGAAATGGAATAATTATTCTTTTTAGCTCATATGATTGTGATGAGAATCAAATAAGATAATATATGTCTGCTTCTTAGTGCCTGGCTTATAGCCACACAATAAATTTTAGCTTCTATTATTATCATTACCATCACTGGTGCTAGTATTGTATCTCCCAGTGCCCTCCCCCACTCTTCTCAGCTCCAACTTAAACACCTCCACCTCTTTCAACCCATTACTTAAAGAAGCATTGTTTCAGGTGTCCTCAACATCCTGGTCATTCTCCTCTGGACACAATGTGATATGTCTGTGCTTTTTAAAATATGGTTCTTGGAACTAGATACAATCCCAGGTACAGTCTGACCAGAGAAAGGGAGGGCAGAGCTATTTCCTACCTACTCCAGATAGCAAACAACAATTCAATTTCTATAACGTAAGATCTTGAGAGCTTTCTTGGCATTCACATCACCTACTGATTCAATTAAAACTTCCAAGCATTTTGAACACATGCTTAAGCCACCCTATAATTGTGCAATTGGATTTTTAGCACCAAGTGAAAAATTTAGCATCGACATCAAATTCAATCTTGCTAGTCAGTCTCCACCTTGCAACAAACATATCAGGCTAAAAACAGCACCTTTGTCAAAGTGAAATCATTAATAAAACACTTCCCAGCAAAACAGTTTAAAGGAAATTCATTTTTATCATGCTATGTACTATCACAGGCAGGGAGGAAGAGAAGCATATGCTACAGGAATTTATAAAATCTGTAAGAAATTTATAAAAACAATTTGAAGCATTCTTTGAGAAAAAAGCTGCTGTCAGATTGGTCTGTTTAGCAAGATTACATGCTTCTAGTTAATGATGGCAAAAGTGGGCATTTCTGTCACACTGTCTTCCCTAAAACCAGGAAAACAAATACAGAAAAATAAAAATAGAACACAAAATAGGAAACAGCCACATTCCCAAACCACAATTTATGAACTAAATGCACTGAAACTTGTACTCAATTGAGAAAGCTCAGTAAGAGTAGGCAAATACATCTTGCAGATATATATTGCACATATATTGCAGATCTTCAGCAATGAGCAGAGTTCACAGAATTAATAATCATGACAACAATAAGATGATGACGATGATGACAACTGGAAGTGTATTGAGTGCCTACTGTCCCAGGCACTGATCCAAGCATTTTGCATGTGTTAATTCATTTAATCCTCACATCAATCTTATATGGTAGATATTATTATTATTATTATTATCCCCCATTTTATCAACAAGAAAAATAAAATTAAAGAGGTAAAATGACTAAGATCACACAACTAGCCAAAAGAAAAGCCAGGATTCAAACCCAGGCATCTGACTGCAGAGTCCATTTGTTGTTCTAACCAACAAGTTATACTACCTCCCTTGTTCCACAAATATAGCCAAACCAGTAATTGCTTGCTTGGAAAGACAAAGTCTGGGGTCACAGAAGCACCAATGAGCCCCATTCAACACCACAGAATCAAATCCAAGTAGGACCGAATGAGGAAAAGTACAAGCTGACATCTTCACAAAAAGCACACTGTCAGGACGGCAGGTTAGAAAAGTAACTGGGCATAATCACTCTGACTGGGCCCAGTCAGGATACAGAAGCCAAACAATAGTTCAAAGAGGACAAGTTTAACATAAAAAAAATTACTAAGCAATGACAGGAGAGTAAACATAAAGATGAGAAGAGAACTCTAAAAGGTCCCCTAGGACTGAGAGACAATATCCAAGGCAGGACAAACTTGATATTTAAAAGGGCTCAGACCCACTTTCACAAATCAGTCAACAAAGGTGAATTTGGAGTTCAGATGCAATAAATTGATAACTGGCAAAACAAAGTCAATGAAGGAAATGCCAAACCAGCAGCCTACAGTCCTGTGCAAAGCCTCCTCCTAGCCAGGATAGAGACATCCACACAGGAAGAGTGCTGGTGGGGAGCCAGCTGACTTAACAGGCCTGGATTACATTCTTGCTTCCAACGGCCCTAGATCACCCCTTTGGCAATAGCCAGGCTGTCAAACAACCGCCCCATTTAAATATAAGTAATAATCAGAAAGGAGCCATGTTTAGTACTCATTCCACAAGATACCACAAAGCTCTACAAATATTCAAGAAAGAAGTAACAACGAAACATAACAAACAATTAGCTGAAAAACAAATGCTGGACAAATCACACCACAAGATGGAAGAAATAATGAACATATACTTCCCCATGGAGTCTGAGAAATTTAGGAAAATCGTCTTCTCTGAAATAAGCACTCAGGAAAACAATGGAAAAAATAACAAACCAGTTTTAGAAAAGAAATCCTTATTGGAATCAGCTAAAGGAACAGATATTGCTGAAAACAGAGTCAGAGACATAAAAAGAATAGACTAGTGAAAATCAAGCAAAATGTAATGGAAATAACTACAGCTGGCAGTTCTGAACACTTATCCTACACTCTTCCAAGCCCTTTTAATGTCTTATCTCAGACCAGGGGTGCTGGCTCACGCCTGTAATCCCAGCACTTTGGGAGGCCAAGGCGAGCAGATCACTTGAGGTCAGGACTTCAAGACCAGCCCGGCCAACGTGGCGAGACCCCGTCTCTACTGAAAATACAAAAATTTGCCACGTGTGGTGGCAGGCGCCTGTAACCCCAGCTACTCAGGAGGCTGAGGCATTAAAATTGCTTGAACCTGGGAGGCGGAGGTTAGAGTGAGTCGAGACCATGCCACTGCACTCCAGCCTGGGCGACAGAACAAGACTTTGTCTCAAAAAAAAATTCTTATCTCAGTAAATCTTCATAACAACTATGTGAGGTAGACACATTACTGTCTTCACTTTCAAGATGAGGAAGCTGAGGCTTGGAAGTTTAAGTAATTAGCGGATGTGGTTTGGCTCTGTGTCCCCACCCAAATCTCAACTTGAATTGTACTTCCATAATTCCCATGTGTTGTGGGAGGGACCCAGTGGGAGATAACTGAATCATGGGGGCAGTTTCTTCCGTACTGTTCTCATGGTAGTGAATAAGTCTCACGAGATCTGATGGTTTTACAAGGGGAACCCTGTTTCGCTTGGTTCTCATTCTCTCTTGCCGCCACCATGTAAGATGTGCCTTTTACCTTCCACCATGATTGTGAGGCCTCCCTAGGCACACAGAACTGTAAGACCATTAAACCTCTTTCTTTTATAAATTGCCTCGTCTCAAGTATGTCTTTATCAGCAGTGTGAAAACAGACTAATACATTGGCCCACAGATAAACAGCAAGTGATAGGTAACAATTCAAAACCAGTCTGGCTTCAAAGTCTGTACGGGCTACATATGATCCCGTGGAAAAAAAATCAAGGCTTTAAAAAGACTAGAAACAACGTGATAGATACTGACAACAAAGGTGAGCCAATATATGCATGACCGAAGAGGATAACAGAAAAGAGGATAACAGAAAAGAGGATAACAGAAAACAGAAAAGAACCAAAAGCAGTATTTTAAAGAGTTGCCAAAAAAAACTTCCTACAATAAAGACCTAAAACTGCAGAATAATGAGTACACAGAGTCCCAAGAAAAACTGATTCAGAAGAATCAATACTGAAATATATCCTAGTAAAGGCACAGGACTTCAAGGACAAAGAAGGAATCCTATAAGCAGCCAGGCCAAAGGAAAAAGAATCAAGTCACTAATGACAGGAACAAAAATCAGGCAAAGATTTCTCCATAGTAACATACACTATTAAAAGATAGCGGAGCAATATCTAAAAAGTCCTCAGAGAAAGAACATGCAATTTGATGTCCAAGCATTCTGACCCAGCCATGACATCACCGAAATATAAAGACAAGCACACAAGCGCTCTGAGTTATCATATTCCTATGCTTTCTTTACATCACAGAAGACTAGGGGCCAGTTCTTGGCCAGCCTTTTGAGAGGAATAAATACTTTTATACTAATTTTTTTTTCAGATACTGCAAAAACAAACCTCCGCTTAAGGATTACAGACTGCAAGTTTTGATTAGAGAAGTCTTTAATAATATTTTTTCTATCTATTTACAGAAAGACAATAAGAGAGCGTGAAGTAAAAGACGTCCACCAACTTGCCTTAAAAGAAGTCCACCAACTTGCCTTAAAAGAAGTCCACCAACTTGCCTTAAGTCCTACTCAGGCTGAGGAGCCAGGCGTCAAATCCAGCTTCCAAGCTTAGGGCACTTAGCACTCACTCGCTTCCTTGCTACTTTCAGCCACCACCCAAATTTTTAATGAATGAAAGGTTTTCAAAGAATAAGGGAGAGGGCACTGATTTCATAACAAATCATTATAAATGCGCTTTCCACAGCTATTGCTTTTCCTCTTAGGAAGACTGAAGATGCTGCTTAAATATAATAGGATTTCCAAAATGGTAGAGAGGAAAACACAAATAGGAAAGTGATGCAACTATACCATACCCAAACGTTTTCAGGAAATATACTAAAACATACACTATTCTATAACATATACTATACTATAGTATACACTATACTGTGCATATACTATACAATACACTCTACTGCAACTAAAGGTAAATAATTCATATCATGGGTTAGTTTACCCAAGGGCATATAAAGACTAAGTTACACAAACAAAATAAATCATAAAAAATCATTTTGCTCTGATATTCCCTCCAGTGTTTGACCTTCAAACTTTAAAATGGCCTAAGAAAAAAAATATATATATACTTAGGAGATAAGCTGCCCTACAGGCTTTATGAATGTCATATTGGCCTTCTGCTACTAATTAACCTCATTTTATGCATGTGAGCCAAACATCTTTCCTTCTTGAGCTTAGCGAAACTGCTCTTTCATAACAAGACTGCTGAGATCTGTCAATAGCTCACTATTACATCAAGCCTTCCTTCAGGTATCACATTCATAAATGAGCACACTGCTGATGACAACAGCTAACACTTACTGACTAATTAACATATGTCAGAGGTTACTAGACCTCCTAAGTACATCCATCTCCTTTACTATTTCAGATAACCCTAGGAGGTAAATATGTAGTAGAATGTGTGGCATAGAGTGAATGTTCCATAATAATGTTATTGTTACAGATGAGGAAACTAAAGCTTAAAGAGATTAAGTAACTAATTAGGTAAAGACTGGATTTGAACCCGAGCCTGTCTCATGCTCTCAGCCACCACTCCAACCTGACTTCCTCACACATGAAAACAGTGGGGATGTTGGGGCCAGACGCAGTGGCTCATGCCTGTAATCCCAGCACTTTGGGAGGCCAAGGCAGGCGATCACCTGAGGTCGGGAGTTCCAGACCAGCCTGACCAACATGGAGAAACCCTGTCTCTACTAAAAATACAAAATTAGCTGGGCATTGTGGTGCATGCCTGTAATCCCAGCTACTCGGGAGGTTGAGGCAGGAGAATTGCTTGAACCCAGGAGGCGGAGGTTGCGGTGAGCCGAGATCACACAATTGCACTCCAGCCTGGGCAAGAAGAGCAAAACTCCGTCTCAAAAAAACAAACAAACAAACAAAAAAACAAACAAAGAAAACAGTGGGGATGTTAACTACAGGAACATAACACAGTAGCCCAAACAGGACAGCAGTCTCAGGACCCCAATTACAGGGGAGCCAAAAAGAGCTATATAAAAACAACTTGTACCTAATGCAAAAACTAAAAATAGTATTTTGGGTGGAGGGAAGAAGAAAGGGCAAGAAGGAGACAAGGAAAAACGCAAGTGAACATTTTCTCCCATCCAAGTACTAACCAGGCCCGACCCTGCTTAGCTTCCGAGATCAGACGAGATCGGGCGCGTTCAGGGTGGTATGGCCGTAGACGCAAGTGAACATTTTCTTAAAACCCACATCACATGAAAGAACACATGCCTACTATATCTGGGCCTAAAAAAGCATCAAGCATACCTCAGGGCTCAGGGCCAAGCTGCCTGCCAAACAGGCCCATGGACTGGACTATGGGAACCCCAACCAGTTCCTACAACTAATACTCCAGGGAGTAATAACACCACAGCCTTGGGGCATAAGAACACAAAAGACCTCAAGAGTTGCTAAAGCAAGATTTTCATGCATTCTCATTCTTAGAGAATAACAATGACCTACACTGAAATTTTAAAAAAGGACTCTAAAAGAAAAAAAAAAAAGAAATAAAGCTAAATGTCTGACATCTTATTACCCCTCTGGGAGGACATCATTCTACACTAAGGATATACAAAGTAAAAAAGTAAAAAATTAATCCTGCAGGTAAAGGGCCACGTCTCTCCTTTAATTCCAGTGTTATGCACACATTCCAAGGCAGATGCTATCAGTGTTCCTTCCAATGTTCCAATGAGCCCATATTAAAAAAAATAATAATCTGTCTGAGGTCATGAAGTCTGGGGACAGAAACGCAAATTAATATCCAACCTAGCGTCATCCAAATGGCAAGGTTCGCTTCAGGGTAGCATACTGGAAGCTCCTTGAGAACAAGGACCCTGTAATCCCCCTGCAAGCTCAAACTAGCTATCCAACCAAAACCCAAATAGCCCTCTCTAGAGATAGCTATGAAAGCAACTGCTTTTCCCTCTAATACAAATTATCAGCAAATAAATGTTTATAGCTTAATGCTTAAAACTTACCTAGGTAGAGCCATCAATTTTTCTAAAGCCTAATGTTTAAAATTTACTTGGGTGGAATAAATATACTTTTATTTAAATATCAACTTTCTAACAGTACAATCCTACTCTGGAGGTTTAGGAGGAAAAAAAAAAAAAAAGGAAAAAAAACTTGGAGCTGCTGCCCGAAGTACTGAATCAGCTCTGGAAGTTGTCATCACCCCTAATGCTGCCTTAAAGAAGATTCCATACATTATCTTCAACTTATAGGTGCCAAATCATTTCCCATGCTTAATCTCGGCAGCTGGAGACTGACCAAGTGGAATCAAAAGCTCAGGATTTAGAGTGAAAAGACCCCTGACGTTCAAGGCCGAGCTTTCCCAATACTTGTGAGACCTTGGACAATTCACTTAGCCAAATAACTCTCATTTTCTCTTCTGTAAACTAGGAAGGGACGTAAATACCTGTCCCACCTGCCTCATGGATGCGTCGTTGCTGCCGTTAGGTGGAGGGGATGATCCACAGAGGGCCACTCGCCGTCCCGCCGCCCCCGCCCAGGTCCAGCCAAGACAGAAGGCGCCGGAGTCCCTGCGGTGCTGGGTCCGCGGCGCTCGGGAAGGATGCTCCTCTCGCCAGCCTCCCCTCGGGACAGCGGCGACCGGCGTTCTGACATTCCCCGCCGTAACACCTGCTCGGCGCCCTCTCCCCGCGCGTCTCCGGGTTCGCCCCGCGCCCGAGACCCCTGCCCCGCTGGGCGCCCCTCTCGCCCTCTGGTGGCACAGAGACCCCAGCCCCAAGGGACTGCACCCTCCTCGGCACCGGGCGCCTGCAGCTGAGTCTGGGTTGAGGCCAGGGCCCGACCGGCCTCGCCCCCAGAGCCTCGCCTCCCCTTATTCCAACACCGGCGGGGACTGGGTGGTCGCAAGCATGCGACTCCTTACCCGGCAGCTTGAGCGCCCTGGACAGCACGGTCGCCATGGCTGAGGCCCCGGTGCGCGTGCGCGCGCCCGCGTTCTGCCGGGAAGTGTAGTTCCGAGCGGCGGTGCGTGGGGCTGGGACCGGGAAAGGTGGGACCCGCTTGCTGGGGACAGAGCTGAGGGAGGCCAAGCCAGAGTACACGCTCCGCAGGCTTTTCTCCCACCCTACCTATGCAGGTCACCTCACCACTCTGAGTCTCACTTGCCTCGTCAGTGAAATGGGGAGAAAATACCCCGTAAGCTTGCAGTGAAAATGATTCGAAGGAGATATTTAAGGAGGTGTGGATTGTGCAATGTGCGTGGGCTTTGAAATCAGGCAGACTGGATTTGAATCCTGCCTGAATCACTTACTAGCTGGGCCATCTTGGGCAAGTCCCTTGGGGCGACTGAGCTGCCGCTGCTTTTTTTTAATTAAAGACATACTACCTACTTCACAAGCTTGCAATGAGAATTAAATGATACGACCTGTTTAAAACACACAGCACACAGTAGGCACCTAGTAAGAGTGTTTCTATTACGCTTCTTAGGTAGAAGTTGAAGTTTCCTGGAGCTCGAACCCTCATTTATTGCTCCCAGTTCTTTACAGGTGTCTACTCAGCACCCTACGCTGCAGCTTCTAGTTGAAGGGTGTAGAAGGAGGATCCGACTGTGTACATACATCCAATAGATGCAGCATCTCCAGCTCCTCAGATTTCAATGCTTGACCTTTAAGGCATCTGCACGCTCCCCGTAATCACCCCAGCTTTGCCTGAATGATTTTTGCGGAGAGCCCGATGCCCAGGAATTCCTCCTTCCTTGGCTCCCTGAGCTTTCCCCCACTTTGTCTTCCTTGTCCCTCTGGAAATCTCCTTCATCCCTCCATAACTTTTTTCCATTTTAACATAGGAACTGCAGCTTAGAATAGTATTTCTCAAATTTAATGTACTTTCTTTTCAATTAAAGAAAAAAATTCAAAGCAGCTGCCAAATGAATCAGGATCCTTACCTTTTACATAGAGAATACCTGTGTGTTCCTCTCTAGCTACTGAGTGGAATGTGAATACTTTTGCTGCCCAAACACCCACTGAGGTCACTGTGGAAAATGCAAACACCCAGGCCCTCTCTGACTTCTGAACTTGGCTTGCCTCAGGACCAGGCACAGTGGTGTAGAAGGAAGAACTGACTTGCTTCTTTCCCACACGCAAGTGATCAGCATTTTAGTGCAGGAATGCTAATACTGTGTTATCTTAGAACTGGAACAGATCCTAGAGGCTATCTAGTCCCACTCTCCTTGTTTTGTTTAAGAGAAAGCTGAGAAATAGAAAGGTAATGTAACTTCTGAGTGTCACAACAAAAGCTCCAAGATACATCTCATTTGCAGGCTGCCTAATTCCCGTGAGAAACTGCAGACAGGACTATCCTGTGGGAGTAATCTGAGAGTCTCCAGCAATCAGTCTCACCTCCTTTCTTCCCTTGGAAAAAAAAAATGTCATTGTCTCTGATAGAGCACAGGCTCTGGAGCCAGGAGCCAGGCCTCCCGAGATCAAATCCTGACTCTATCATTTCCTAGATGCCAGGCAGAGGGTTAGTTGCTTAATTTCTCCCCACCTCAATTTTCTCATCTGCAAAATGGGGACAAAACAGTTCCTAGTTTATAGAGTTCTCCTGAGAATTAAATATATATGTAGAAAGCACTTACAACAGTGCCTGGCACTTAGTGTTTTCTAAGTATTCACTCTTCTTTTATCGATAATTTCTTAATGTTTTAACAATTTAAAATTTGTAACTTAATAACAAATAATACATTTCATAGTAATTTAATGGTTTAGTAATGTATTTATTTATTAATTCTTTCAACATTCTACAATACCCAAAATTTCTACTGCTTGCCACTTCTCTGGAGGCATGATTAAAAAACATATTTTACATCTATGTAGGTCATCTAAAAGGAGCAACACTACAAGTCACAATGAGCCAGTAGTAGCTTGCCTGATATCAGTTTAACTAAATGGAACGCATTCCTGAAATATGAAGACTGAGAAAAATAACCTGTGAATGTGACAGGGATGTAGAAAAATGTTCATTTTAGTTGCAGAACAAGAACTTGAGTTTCTAGGAGAAAGTTTGGGTGGAAAGGAATAGCCAGGTCACACAGGATAGGAAGAAAGAAGAAAAATCTGTCTCCTTTTCTTAGTGAAAAGGTATATTCCGGGAGAGTACCTTCTTCTGTGATATAAATAAAATAAAGATGTATAAAGTTTTATTTAAAAACTTTGTCTCAGAACCAGGCACAGTGGCTTGTGCCTGCAATCCCAGCACTTTGAGAGGCTGAGGTGGGAGGATTACTGGAGTTGAGGAGTTGGAAGCTGCAGTGAACTGTGATTGAACCACTGTACTCCAACCTGGGCAACAGTATGAGACCCCTGTCTCAAAAACAAAACAAAACAAAAAAAAACTTTGCTTCAAACTGTGTAGTTACCCAAAGTGCCCATGTGCATGTACACACTTACATGTGTACATATAAACATGTGTCAGTGTACATACATCCAATAGATGCAGCATCTCCGGCTCCTCAGATTTCAATGCTTGACCTTTAAGGCATCTGCACACTCCCCATAATCACCCCAGCTTTGCCCGAATGATTTTTGCAGGGAGGCCGATGCCCAGGAATTCCTCCTTCCTTGGCTTCCTGAGCTTTCCTCCACTTTGTCTTCCTTGTCCCTCTAGAAATCTCTTTCATCCCTCCACAACTTTTTTCCATTTTAACATAGGAACTGCAGCTTAGAATAGTATTTCTCAAATTTAATGTACTTTCTTTTCAATTAAAGAAAAAAATTCAAAGCAGCTGCCAAATGAATCAGGATCCTTACCTTTTACATGGAGAATACCTGTGAGTTCCTTTCTAGCTACCTAGTGGAATGTGAATACCTTTGTTGTCCAAACACCCACTGAGGTCACTGTGGAAAATGCAAACACCCAGGCCCTCTCTGACTTCTGAACTTGGCTTGCCTTCCTGACAAGTACAAGAGTGACCGGGGCGGGATGCCTATGAACAGCCTAACCTGCCTGGTGGCTGTGCCTGCTTGAAGAAATTACTTTTCTGAAAAATCACAACTGAAGTCAGAAAATCACCTTCTATTTTTCCTACATTGATCTACAGTGAGAGTGTTCTTCCCCAACCTTCTCAAGTTCCCATAACTCATAGAGGGAACCCATATTGCTGGTTATTACCTTTGTAATACTCCAAGTACTGCTCAGAATCTCTAAGTGTCCTGCATGGGCTTATGATCAAATCTGACCATCTAATGCTTGCCTTTCCCTGGACAGTGTGGCCACTTCTGCTGGTCCTGACTATCCCCACTAGGTTTCACCACCTCTTCTTGGAACCAATGCCACTGTATCTACCAGCGGCCGCCTCCCTTCCTCCTTGGTTCCACTGCGCTGCCAGGCCCCTCAAAAACTGCCTCCTCTCAAAAACTGCTGCCTCTTCCTGTATCTCTCACTAAATGCCACCTCATATTTTAGTGCTCCTAAAATGTCAAAGCTGTGAGGGGCAAAGGAAACCAGGGAAGACTGCCTTTCTCTCCTTTTCATATTACACTTTATTAGGAAATTGCCAATGCTATGCTGCTACTCCTTCAGGTTGAATGCAGTATTTTCATTAGACAGAGCTTCTATTTTTACTTAGCAGGTCAACCAGAGCAAGATAATTGCTGTAACAAACAACCTCAAGATTCCAATGATTTTAGAGTGTAAAAATTTATTTCTGCCTATGTCAGAGTCAAGGTGGGGGTGCAAGTAGACTGCACTGGGGCTCTATTCCTCCCAGCCATTCAGGGACCCAGGCCCTTCTGTCTCCAGCTGCTTCATCCTTAGGGCCTCGGAGGCCTCCACTGGATCGTTTGCATCCCAGATCATGCAGGAAGTGTTATGGGCCAGGCCTGGAGCTGGTGTATGTGAATTCTGCCCACATTTATTAGGCTAGAATTCAGACAGAGAGTATGTGTGCCAGGAAGGTATGAGCCCAGGAAGAAAAGGAGACAAGTTTGGGGAGCATCTAGCCAGTGTCTGCGACACTGGTCACCCCATGCCTTTGTAAATTACAGACCTGAGTTCTTGAGTTCTTGATGGTAGGAAAGGGTTCAGGCGCCGCTCTCCTTAGGATTGCCTTTCTCCTGTAGGGACTAAGGCTTTGTTCCTGAGCTGAGTTTCTTGTAATGACTTATGGGTCTAAGCTGAAGCTCTCCCAGGAGGCTCCCCTCACTCCCTCTGCAGAGAGATTTCTGGAAGCCATTCCTACATCTATCAGCAGAGGATGGACAAATCTGAACTCCACTGACTTATCTGAAGCTGAGGGTAGTACCCTCTGCTACACTGGTGC
This sequence comes from Homo sapiens, assembly GCF_000001405.40. Lineage (NCBI taxonomy): Eukaryota > Metazoa > Chordata > Mammalia > Primates > Hominidae > Homo > Homo sapiens. The sequence continues at coordinate 13,040,045 of NC_000012.12, read as the reverse complement.
CAAAAAGGGTCAGGAAGCAGTAATTAGTATGAGATTCGAAAAGCAAAAAGAAAATGTCATAGCAAATAGCAGTGAGGGCAGTGAGATTGAGAAAAGCGAAAGAGGTGCACAGCAGAGGACATTTAGGAGTTAAATGCAGATGTCAAGGAGCCTGTGAAATCAGTCTTGCGTGAGGATCAGGAAGTTTGAAACGCATGTGTACCAGTGGCATATTCACTTCTCTTCACAGAGAACTGAACTCTGCCCAGGAGTTGCATGGCTTGTCATGAAGACAAACAGGTTTATGTTCCCAGAATGTCCTTTGATAAAACACAAGGGCTCATCTCACTCAGATCATACAGACTTTTAGCCTATAAAACTTTCTAGAGTCTAGACTATAAAATGCTCTGTGGGCCCTGAAATTTAAACAAAGGCTTCTTCTTAACAAGCCTCTGGCTGGAACATATGTTTGAGAACAGTGTAATTAAGGACAGACACACCCAGGCCAAATGAGCTCTTGGTCCTCCCATCCCTCATTCTGGCATGTTCATGTCAACCGAAGGACCTGTAGTAGCAGTGTAGATGGTAACAGCCCCCATTCGCTGAGCACTCATCACCTATAAAAGAAGACAGTGTTTTGGAGTCTTGCCAGTCTTGATCAGCCCCTTCACTGCCTTCCAAAAGAAAATGCAATGGGCCAAGCATATTGTGACTTGGGGAGTTTTCCTGAAGATTCAAGGGGCCAGGGAAAGGGGTCAAGGCACATAGCATTTCCCCCCCCCCGCCGCCCCCCCAAAAAGCTCTGTTAGATGCATCTCTTCTCCCAGGTCTCTGCTGTTGGCCGCATCACTTCATCTTCCCCACCACTAAGACCTCTTGGGTCAGTTCCACTCTCAGGCTTTCTCCTCCTCCCTTATTTCCTGCCTTCTGCGGCCGTTAGCTTCAACAGGAGGCTATAGTCTCACCTCCATCCTATGGGCAGAACCTTTCCATGGAAGGTAAACTGAGATGGATAAAGCCATTTGCCCAAAGTGACACAATTCCCAAGGACTTGAAGAAGGATTTGAATGCAGGTTTTTCTGTCTTTTAATCACAAGCAGTGACGTCAGATACATGGCATGTGTGCTCCAATTTGTCTTTTCTTCTTCCAGGGCACATGTCACTCACCACACTCTGACAGTGGGCCCAGACATAGCTTCAGAATCCCTCACTCCGCTGTCCAGGGAGCCACTACCTATCAATTGGATTCAGCTCAAAAATTGAAAACTATTTGTAATCCCTGCCTCACTTATGGCATTGTAACCAAACTATAAACTCTTTTATAAAAGTACTTGATTCATGACAGATTTTAGTGCTGAATGTAGCTGATATTTGGCCAACATTTGTTCTCATTTGTTGGGAGTGCTAGCTGATTAGTCAGACATGTTCTGGTTAGTCAGGACCTATGCAGTACTGTGTTTTTCTTTCCTTTTTTTTTTTTTTATATAACCAAGATTTTTTTTTTTTTGAGACAAGGTCTTGTTCTGTAGTGTTTTTCATATTTAGATTACATCCCTGTTGAGACTTCTCAGTTCTGCATGTCTAGCTCACTGGTTAAGTCCTAAGTAATCCTCTAAAAGTCAGTAAATCAGGTTACCACTGGCTACGTGACTGAAGTTCTAGAATACTTCATTTTTCTGCACATCTTAAAGTATGTATTATAGGCAGCTGTGTGTTGTAATATGAATAGATATACCATATTAAATTTGAATATCTGTCTAATATTAAATTTGAATATGTGTATTATATTAAAACTCCCATACTAAATATTGAGTTCTTAAAGAATGGAAGTGAAATTTTGTATCTTTTTAGCCCTACATAATGCATAGCATATGGCCCCAGATATGTATTGGATAAATGTGAATGTAAGAATAAATAGCCATCACATTATGAGAAAAGAATAAAATCAATTTAGAAAAAAAAAAGGGGGAGGACCTTATTTATTTTATTTATTTATTTATTTTGAGACAAGGTCTGGCTCTATTGCCCAGGCTGGAGTGTGGTGGCACAATCTCAGCTCACTGCAACCTCTGCTTCCCAGGCTCTAGCAATCCTTCCCACTTCAGCCTCCTGAGTGCTGGGACTATAGGTATGCACCACCACACCCGGCTAATTTTTGTGTTTTTTGTAGAGATGGGGGTTTTGCCATGTTGCCCATGGTGGTCTTGAACTTGTGAGCTCAAGTGATCTGCCCGCCTTGGCCTCCCAAAGTGCTAGGATTACAAGTGTTAGCCACCTTGCCCAGCTGGACTTTATAATTAATAAAACTTTTTTCCTACGCTCATATTCCCTGCTTTGGATAATGCAAATATTCTCATGTTCTTTCACCACTCTTCTCCATACCAATGTCATAGTCCAAGCACCCAGGCTGCATGACTTGGGGAAACGCCGTCCCTCTGCATGTGAATCTCAGCAGTGTGCACATGCTCCACATATGCCTCATGGCTGTCACTTCTCCCCATCCCTCCTGTTAGGTGGACTCAGCATTTCTGGTAATTACCTCTGCCCATTTCATCTCTGCACATCTGTAAAGAATTATAAGGCCGGGTGCGGTGGCTCACGCCTGTAATCCCAGCACTTTGGGAGGCTGAGGCGGGCAGATTACCTGAGGTCAGGAGTTCAAGACCAGCCTGGCCAACATGGTGAAACCCCGTCTCTACTAAAAATACAAAATTAGCCAGGCATGGTGGCACACACCTGTAATCCCAGATACTCGGGAGGCTGAAGCAGGAGCATCACTTGAACCCAAGAAGAAGAAGTTGCCGTGAGCCCAGATCGCCCCATTGCACTCCATCCTGGGCAAAAAGAGTGAAACTCCATCTCAAAACAAAACAAAACAAAAAAAGGAATGGTAACACAAAATAGGAAAAGTTGACACTTAGTATCAAGTTACTGCTCCTGGAGTCCACTGACTACAGCCTTCTCATGAGGCCATTCCTAGCCAATGCTTTCAAGCAGCTGGATATAAAAGAGTAAACAAATCCTGTAAGCTCCTTCAAAGGCCTTGCAATCTAGAGGAGAGACAGACATTAAGCAAGCAATAAATAAATATATCATTACAAAGTGTGGCAAGCACAATGAAGGAAAAGAACCTAGTACTGTGAGAAAGAATCACGGAGACATCATAGATTAGTTTGGGGAGTGAGGAAATGAATAACTCACTGAGAAACTGATACTTAAGCTGACACCTGAAGAATGGGTAGAAGTTGTTCACGTAAAGGCTGAAGAACAGGACGTGTAAAGGTCGAGTCAGAAAAAAGCTTGATTCAGCCGGGCACGGTGGCTCACGCCTGTAATCCCAGCACTTTGGAAGGCCGAAGCGGGTGGATCACTTGAGATCAGGAGTTCGAGACCAGCCTGGCCAACATAGTGAAACCCTGTGCCTACTAAAAATACAAAAAATTAGCCAGGCGTGGTGGCACATGCCTGTAATCCCAGCTACTCGGGAGGCTAAGGCGCAAGAATTGCTTGAACCTGGGAGGCGGAGGTTGCAGTGAGCCAAGACTCCACCACTGCACTCCAGCCTGGGTGACAGAGACTCCATCTCAAAAAAAAAAAAGAAAGAAAGACAAAAGCTTCGTCCTATGGAGGAAACCAGTGTGCCTGAGAATAGTTTCAATGTGAGAAGCAAGAGGCAGACAGGAACCTGATCATGCAGGTGCCTTGACACTGAAGGACTTTAATTAGCAAAGTTGATGTGATCCAACTGGCTGCTATGCAGGGAATAAACTGGAGGAGAACAAGAATGGAGAGAGGAAGACCAGATAGTTACAAGCAAAAGGTCCTGGTGGTGGATTCAGTTACTCATGCTTTGTCTCCCAGACACAACGTGTGCACAAATTCTCACTTTTCACCTGCTTTCCTGTTCTGGCAAGAAAGAAAATATGGGTACTGTTTATTTTTCTCTTATTATACAAACTATTAAGACTAACAGAACTCCTGTTTCTACTCCTGCGAGCCTGACTGCAAATGAGACAGTCACCCATACCCACCCTGACACATTCCTGCCACCCCAACAGCTTGTCTTCCTGCAGCCTCCATCAGCTTTCACCTGGGGACTGAACCAAATCATATAGACACTGAGGTTCCCTGGCTCTCTTCTCCCCTGAGAGATGCCAGGGCTATCTAGAACCATTGCGTTAGGTGACAGCCCAATACATAATATATGGAAATAAACTCCCTCTAAATTGAGCTATCATGAAGGGAAGGTAAACAGCCATCAGTTGAGATATACTATATAAAAGTAAATTATCAGTCAGCTGTGGTGGCTGACACCTATAATCCCAGCACTCTGAGAGGCTGAGATGGGAGGATCACTTGAGGCCAGAAGTTCAAGACCAGCCTGGAAAACATAGGGAGATTTCCCACTCTACAAAAAATTTAAAAATTAGCTGGGCGTGGTAGTACACACCTGTAGCCCCAGGCTGAGGCAGGAGAATTGATTGAGCCCAGGAGGTCAAGGCTGCAGTGAGCCATGATTGCACCACTGCACTCCAGCCTGGGCAATAGAGCAAGAACCTGTCTCAAAATAAATAATAAATAAATAGGCCAGGCACGATGGCTCACGCCTATAATCCCAGAACTTTGGGAGGCCGAGGCAGGTGGATCATTTGAGGTCAGGAGTTGGATACCAGCCTGGCCAACGTGGTGAAACCCTGTCTCTACTAAAAATACAAAAATTAACTGGGCATGATGGTGGCATCTGTAATCCCAGCTACTTGGGAGGCTGAGATAGGAGAATTGCTTGAGTACAGGAGGTGAAAGTTGCAGTGAGCCAAGATCACGCCACTGCGCTCCAGCCTGGGTGACAGAGCAAGAATCCGTCTCAAAAAATAATAAATAAATAAATATAAAAATAAATTATCCCTAACACACAATCATGCTAAATACTATCCATAGTCTCACTCCTACAGAGTTAACACTTTCAGCTTTCTTTATTTGAAGCACATTGTTTAATGTAATTTTATGAATGACCTAAGAATTACTTCTTTTTTTTTTTTTTTTTTTTTTGAGACAAAGTCTTGCTGTGTCACCCAGGCTGGAGTGCAGTGGCGCAATCTCGGCTCACTGCAAGCTCCACCTTCCAGGTTCACGCCATTCTCCTGCCTCAGCCTCCCAAGTAGCTGGGACTACAGGCGCCCGCCACCACACCCAGCTAATTTTTTGTATTTTTAGTAGAAACAGGATTTCACTGTGTTAGCCAGCATGGTCTCGATCGCCTGACCTTGTGATCCGTCTGCCTAGGCCTCCGAAAATCCTGAGATTACAGGCGTGAGCCATCGCGCCCAGCCAAAAAATACTTCTTAAGTATTTTTCATTATAATCTTGCCTCCAAGATAATCTAATAAAACCTGATCATCTTTAACTTCTGGCAGCTTTCTGGGTTTGGAAGCAAGCATGGTTTGTCAACCTGGGGTTTGATGTGAGGCTTAATTTCTCTCTAGGATGACATTTGAGGGTTTTTGTATTTGTTTTGTTTTGGTTGTTGTTGTTTTTTGTTTTTGAGATGGGGTTTAATTTTGTTGCCCAGGCTGGAGTGCAGTGGCACGATCACAGCTCACTGCAGCCTCAACCTGCTTGGCTCAAGCAATTCTCCTGCCTCAGCCTCCCAAGTAGCTGGGACTATAAGTGTGAGCCACCATGCCTGGCCCAGTTGAGGTTCTGAGAGGAATAATCACAATGGCAGAGCTAAAAATGTGCATGTAACCACAAACTAGAGAGAGTTGTGAGACAAATAAATCTACTGTTACCTTTGCCACCGCAAATAGTTTTATTTCTTCTTTTATGTTTTATTCCTTCCAAGAGTTTATCTTTAAGGAACTAAAGGCTCTGGAACTTTTCAAGGACCTCTGTATGAAAAGCTACCTTTTACTTGTCCAGTTCATAAAATCTCACTCACTTCTATTTCTTCTTTCTTACCATAAATATTCTCCTTTTATATTTTAGTCTTCAAGATCTGGGAATTTTATTCTTTAATCAAATGATTAATTTTTGGTCTCTTACCCCAGCCTTAATGACCAAAGGAGGATTGTTTAGATTTTTCTGAAAGGTATTTCCTAACACAAATCATTTTCTTTCTTTCTCTGACTCAATTTTTAAAACCCTAGTTTTATTCTTCTCCTGAGAGATTTTGCATGAAGCTAATCTTTTTTCCACTTCTGCAATCTTAAAGAACAACACTGGTCTGATTTGAAAAGATATTTTGTGATAAATTTTTCCTCATCATTTTTTAGGGGAATACTTATTCCCCAACCCTCAGATTCCCATGTGGAACGGTTTTCACTAGAGTATCTTGTGAGTCTCCTGACTAGTGTTCAAAGGAAGGAAGCAGGTCATGCTTAGCATAGCTGCTTCCCCTTGAGACTCATTCACTGATTCATTTTTAAAATTACTTATCCAGGCTGAATGCAGTGGCTTATGCCTGTAATCCCAGCACTTTGGGAGGCCAAGGCAGGCAGATCACTTGAGCCAGGAGTTTGAGACCAGCCTGGCCAACGTGGTGAAACCCCATCCCGACTAAAAATACAAAAATTAGTCAGGCATGGTGGCGCGCCTGTAATCCCAGCTATTCAGGAGGCTGAAGCAGAAGAATCGGTCAAAGCCGGGAGGCAGAGGTTGTAGTAAGCACCACTGCACTCCAGCCTGGGCAACAGAGTGAGTGACACTCCATCTCTAAAATAAAATAATATAATATAAAAAATAAAATTATTTATTCAACAAATATTTGAGCAGTCATTACTGAAAGGCCCTATTCTAGATGCTGGGGATGTCAGACCAGACAAAACAGACAAAAGTCCTTGTCCACATCATGTATGTTTGTGGGAACTATGAGGTCAAGCAGAGAAGAGAAATAGTTAAGTAAAATATATGCTGTGTCAGATGGTGATAAGTATTACAGAAAAATAGAATAGAGAAGGGGAGATGCAATGTGGAAGTCGCAGGGAGTGGTGGGCAGATGTCCAATTTTAAATAGGATGGTTAGGGAAGGCTTCAGTAAGAGGATGATATTGGAAGAAAGATCTAATAGAGGCATCATGAATAAAAAGAACTTGGAGGCAGAAGCATACCTGTCCTGTTCGAAGACCAGCAAAAAGGCTGCCAGAAAGGATAGTTTTTCTTCTTTTTTTTTTTTTCTTTTTTTTTCTGAGACAGAGTCTTGCTCTGTTTTCCCATGCTGGAGTGTGGTGGTGCTGTCTCCGCTCACTGCAACCTCCAACTACCAGGCTCAAGCGATTCTCCTGCCTCAGTCTCCCGAGTCACTGGGATTACAGACACCTGCCACCACACCTGGCTAATTTTTGTATTTTTGTATTTTTAGTAGAGATGAGGTTTCACCACGTTGGCCTGGCTGGTCTCAAACTTCTGGCCTCAAGTGATCCACCCGCCTCGGCCTCCCGAAGTGCTGGGATTACAGGTGGGAGCCACCGCGCCCAGCCAGGAAAGGATGGTTCTAGGGAGAGATTAGAGATTAGATGAGGTCAGATATGGCCAGAGTAGGAACAGATTCTGTAGACTTGGTAGGGAAAATAAAGACTTTGGCTTTTAGTCTAGATTAAATAGAGAGACTTTGAAAGCCTTGAGGCACAGAAGTGTTTATTTGACTTAGATTTTAAAAGTGTTCCTTGAGATCACTTTGCTGTTCTGAGAACAGACTGTGGGGGTACTGGCAGTGATGAATCACTTTTGACTATTACAATGACCCAAGCCAGAACTGATGGTGGTTTAGACTAGGGTAGTTTCTTTGAGGGTGGGGGGAAGTGGTAGGATTCTTAACTTAATTTGAAGGTAGAGCCGGCAGGATTTGTTGAAGAACTGAATGTATGGCATGAGAGAAAAAGGTGTCAGGGACCGTAGTGAGTCTTTTGACCTAGCAACCAGAAGATTGGAGAAGGGGAAAACTGAGAGAGGAGTGGGATGGGAAGCAGACATCAGGGGTTGGTTTTGGATGTGTCAAATTCAACATCCAACTGGACATGCAAGTGGAAATGTTGACCAGGCAGTTGCATGTATGAGTCTTGGGAGTTCAGGGAGAAGTCCTAGGTGGAGATATAAATTTGGTAGTCATTTGGTAGATTCGATAGTAAATTTGGTAGCTAATGCACATAACCCATATTTAAAGTTGGGAAATGGAATAAGATCACAGAAAGCATGTGTGATGCAGGAGGGGAGGGGAGCGTGAACGCTGCAGCATTTCACCATTCACAGTTCAGGGAGAAGAGGAGGAACCAGCCAGAGAAAGCAGCAGGCATAGCCAGTACGGTCAGAGGATAACCAGGAGAGTTTGTTGTCCCTGAAACCAAGCAAAAAAAGTGTTTTTGGGAAAAGCATAGTCAATTATTTTAAATGCCACAGAGAGATCAAGGAAGAAAAGGCTAAAGAGTAACGTGCCTGCCTACAGAGAGCACACACTTTGTTCTACTCTGCTGTGGTTTAAGGGCCTGCAGTTGTCCTGCTGTGCTAGCCTGGGTACACCTCTCTAATTCAAAGAAAGAATTTGCAAGCCCCTTTTACAACAGATCTAAGCCATGTCATTCAGCGTAGCTTTCTTTCAATAGTGAAGCTGATATTTTATCTCCATCTGTCCATCTCTTCAGTCTATTCCCAGATCAATCAGAGCTATGCAGAGAAGATGGGTATTAATTTACTGAGTCCCCTGAACCTTCAGTAATCATAAGTATTCCTTTTATTTATCTCTGCTTAGTAGATGTGAAGTTTTGTTCTCTTATATAGTAGATTTTCCCAGTAGTATTATCTTATCTACTTCTTGCTCTACCTTAGAGATTCTCTCTAAGGCAACTTTCTTCTTCTCTAGTCAAGCTTTTAACATCTATTATGAGAGTCTTTGCAGATGTCCCTACGTAGGATTGGAGAGAGGCCCTAATCCATCCCTGTAGTGACTCTTTCTCCTTCTGGGAAGCAGATGGGATTAACAGACCATTACTAATTATTGTTCTTAAACAAGGCACTGCAAGATTTATAAACCTCTTCCCAAAAGCCAGGCTGCACATCTGACACAAAGAGGAAAACGTCGCCTTTTTTTTTTTGTTTAACAACTTCACCATGAGGAGTCCCTCTTTGCTGAGAAATTGTGCTTTGTATTTTTTCCTGTTTCTAAGAGGACAGGCATACACTTGTCCTTCGGTGAACCAAATGAAGTAGAGGATAAGATGTGATATCTCTGTAAGCCCACAGGATCTGCTTTGAACAAAGTAATATATTTGAAGTGAAAAGCAATCCTTCTTGAAATAGTCACGAGCTCGTGCCTGCAGACACTTAATTGCAAGGGGTTGGCAACCTGTCTTTCATCCATGTCCTGATGAACAAAGACACACCCCATGTGGGCCAAAGACCACCGGAAACTTCAAAAAGTCCTCTTCAGGCAGAGGACAGGAGCCACGAGGGTCATACCTGGTACTGTATGATGAGGATAAAGGTGATAAGAAATTCTCTAATGGCCTCTGTCCCTTCGTGTCTGAAATTTCTATCTCAAGATCAAAAGAACCAAGGTACAGCCTAGGTAAGAAAGGGCTCTTGTCCTAATTTTGGAAGAGCCTAAAAATGAAACCCAGGAGAATTTCTTAGAGAGATGATATTGCCTGGAGTTACCTTTCCATGAAATTAGACATTTCATTTTCATTCTTTCTTTTACCCTGGAGTTAAAGACTTGTTTGGTTTTTTTTGGGTCTTTGTTTTCCCTTGTCAATACCTTAAAGATTTTTAAGTAGGATTCTTAGAGAGATTCACGTGAAGCTATTTTCTTATTACCATCACAAATACTTTATTTTCATCCTACCCTCCATCACCCTCTGCCTCAAAAATCTCAGATTTTATTCTTTTATTCAGGAGATTGTGCATAAAGTTACTTATTTCAATGAAAAAAAATATTTATTTCTGTATTTCTTTTTACGTCTTGGCCTGAAAATCATGAAACTCTGTTGTCTTATTCCAGAGATTTTATTTACCTAAAGCTACTCCCTCCTTCACTAATAGAGGTTGTAAGACAAATAGGTTTCTCATAAAGAACTTTCATGTGACCCAAACTTTTTCTTTAAGACTACGAATTTTTTTTCTCAGCCGTAAAAACTTACAATTGAGTTTTCTTATTGAGAAAATCTGTACACATCTTTTCTCTTTCACCTTGAAACGGGGGCTAAAATATTAGACACTGAAGAATTGTATTACCCTTTAGTTTCCTAGTACATAATTCTTTCCAAGTAGAATAACAATTTAACTTTCAATCTGTCTTCCATTACATTATTACTCAGGTTTTAAAATATTCATCTCATTGGTGATCTATCATCTCTCCCAGTTTCTGGTACTTGAAAAACTACATGTTCTTCAGTTTTAATTTAAGTGAAGAAATGAAGGAGAAAATTTGGTAAACATTTAGTTTAAGATGGAATAAGAAACAAAAATCTTCTTTACTCCTAAATACAATGTATTTGCCAGAGGTATTGTTCACCTACCAACTTTAATTTCATGCCTTCTCAGTAAATCCAGAATGACAATTTCAGAGTGAAGAGCAAGCAGTACAGCCCTCACACAAAAGGGGCCCTAATTCTGAGCATTATGCCTCAGAGAATGCCACGCTATGGGGTGTCTTCCTTGAAATCTAAGTCCCCTCCAGTGGCTGCAATGCCAATTGACTGAAGCATGCCCCTGGTATTCCCTGTTTCTCTCCTTGGGGAACCTGCCCCAACCACATGCTGGTGAATTTAGCTATGCATTTGAAACCAAACTGTTTCTATTGATGAGGCTCTGCTAGAAACACTTCCCCAGGTCTTCCCCCATCCCTACCATCTTCCCACCCCAAATAGCCACCCCACCTCACCCCTACCCAGGTCCCATTTCAGCCCTGCTGAAGGAGATTTGTGTGTGTGTGGTTGTTTCTTTTAATAACATTTGATCTCAATGTTGGAACGGATCTCAGAGGTCTGCAAATCTAATCCCCAACGAGTAGCAACTGCTTCTTTAATCCTCAGTCATGTTATCTCTGCTGGGACATTCTCAGCTCCCCAGAGCTCAGGGCACGTGGCAGATAGCCACTGTTGTAGGGCTTGGAGACTACACCTGTGACTGCCTCCCAGGAGAACTGATGCTGTCTTCTGAAGCCAGAGGGAGCAAGGCCAAATCCCTGCTCCATACATCAACCCTGAAAATGCCTGAAATATTGATGCAGGGTTCTTAGGAAATTTTGCTTAAGGTTATTTTCTTCTTTTTATCAAAAATACAGCCTGGACAGCATGGCAAGACCCCATCTCTACAAAAGAAAAAAATTAGCCAGATGTGGTGGCACATGTCTGTGATCGTAGCTACTCAGGAGGCTGAGGTGGGAGAATTGCTTGAGCTGGGAGGTTGAGGCTGCAGTGAGCTATGATCACACTCCTGTACTCCACCCTGAGCGACTCCAGACTGAGCAAGACTCTGTCTCAAAACAAAAAAGAAATTCCCCTTCCCTTTGCGTTAAGTACATGAAGTTTTGTCATTTTACTGCAAAAGGTTTTCCTTTGAGGCTAATATTTACTTCTGCAATCAAGCCTTACATTCCCTAGAGAGGTATTTCTTTATGGAGTTAATTCCTCCTGCCTCTCACAAATGTTTTCTCTCTCACTGCATGGGCTTTAGGTCTTTAAAGACCTTAGATATGGACTCTAAAAGCTGAGGAAATTTCCATTTCCACTAGTAGAGGCTTAAAGACCAAGAATGGCAATTTTCATTATTTTTCTATAGGTATTTTGTCATGAAAGAAATGGCTATTTTTAGAGAAGTGAATGTACTGGGGGTTACTTCAACCTATCTCATCACAGAACTCACTTCATGTTTTTCTACATTGGTTGGCCTGAAAAACCTGAAGTATGTTCTTATTTCTAAGAATGAAGCTATTTTCCTCATTACAAGGCCAACCTTAAATAACAGTAAACATTTTAAAGAAAGGATTTTTGCATGAAGTTTTTCTGCCTGTCTCATATAATTGCTTTCAAATTCTCTTTTTAACCTTAATTTTAATCCTCCGTTTCTGTTCTCTTGTCAGATAAATTGTTGAATATATTTTCCTCCACTCCCCAGTCTTAAAGACCAGGCATTCAAGAGTTTATTTGCTTCTGTTATGAATGTATTCCTTTTTACACCTTAGCCTTACAGATCTGTGGATTTCTTCTCTCTTTTAGTGAATGTGCAAAAAATACAAACTGGCAACATAGAAAAGAAGAGATACAACTGGGACCAATGACCAGATACTACTTTTTCAGATTATTTTTATAATGTTTTAATTTAAAAAGGGATAAAAATATATGGTTCATTTTATTCTATTTTATTTTTATTTTATTATTTTATTTTATTTTATTTTTGAGACAGGGTCTTGCCCTGTGACCCAAGCTGGAGTGCAGTGGTACAATCTTGGCTCACTGCAACCTCCACCTCCCAGGCCCAAGCCTCCCACCTCTACCTCCAGGGTAGCTGGGACCACAGGCAGGTTTCTTTTAATTTTCTCTTTTTGTGTGTATTTTTCAATGAAATAAAATATAATTTATTAATATATGTGCAAAATGAATTTCAGCTATTTCAAATAATGACATAGATCTAAATGTACTAATAATATATAAACATACCAATCATAAGTTTCAGATATATAGAGATGTAATTATCTCTCTACGTATATCTGAAATATGTATGCATTCAATATATGTGTGTATATGTAAAAATGTTAATTTGTGTTTTTAAAGTCTGGAAAGATAAATACTAAACTGTCAAGAGCCGTTATCTCTGGGAGGTATGCTGCCTTGCACCCATGAAGGGAAGGTTCTGCTATCACAGGGGAACTTTCACTTTTGACTCCTTTTTCATCTGTATTGGTAGATAATAAACATACTTCCTGTAAAAAATTGTTTAAAAGCCACCAGTACAAAAATAGAAAACAAAATACAGAGTATACTAAGGACATAGTCAATCAAGAGAAACTATATAAAAATGTAGATATTAATTTTCATCAGAAAACTTTTCTAAGATCTATTTAAGTTGTATTAACTTCCAATTATGTCATCTAGTTTAATTTTATAAACTACCTCTCCTGTTTATTTTAATGTTCATCGTATTTAACTTTGTAGGTGTTTATGCTTGACTTTATAATATTAAAACATTTTCTCTGCATAACTGTAGTGAATCATACAAGATTGAAGAGAAATAATCTGTGATGAACTTGGTATCTTTCCCCTTGTTTACCGTAGGCTGGGGAAATGTAGCTCTTGAGGAAATACTATACATGTTTACCCAAGGCAGAATTTCAGAAAGGTTTTAGAGTTAAAGCATGTCTTCACATGGAATACTTTTTGTTTCCTGGCAAGTAGTCAGTTCTTTATTTTCTTCCCCAGTATGCAGTTCCCAGCTTTGCTGAATCCCTATTTTCCCCAGTCTGAGTCTAATCAGAATCAACCTCCTTGGAATAGTTTCACAGGACATTTGAAAGAGATGATAAATCAGTTTCCCCATCTTTTTTCTCTTAAAAAAATATTCTTTCCCCTTGTTTAATTTTGAAAATCTAATAGAACTTTGAGTTCCTGCAAAGATGGAAAACTGGCATCGGTTACTGGCTTTCTTCCCCAGAATCAAACAAGGAGAAGCTCAGAAGGAAACATAGATTCCAGGAACTAATTACATCAACAGTAAGAAACCCTGGGAGAGGGAAGCTCTGCACCTGAAGGTTGGGGGGAAGAAGGGTTGACTGTAGCCCAGAAGAGAATACTGGCAGGGGACAAAGTTAGCGAGAACAAGATTGCATTTTCCTCTGCCCCTTTCCTACTCTGCTTGGAGACAATGATTGCCTACCTGTTCACCATGGAAATCAGTGAAACAGGAGTCCAGGGGCTCAAAACAGGCAACCCAAATCTCCTACATTTAGGAGTTAATAAAATCAGGGGAGAAATGACCAGCCTAGAGCGTTTACTCTTCCATTCCTTCACCAAACTCCCCGGGTATTAACTTCCAAATTATATGTCTAGCCTGGATCTCACCCTTGAATTCTAGACTAGGGTATCCAAAACTGCCTATTTGTAGTTCTTCTTGCATGTCTAATAGACATCTCAAGCAAAATATGTCCACTAAATTTCTGATATTTCCCCCAAAATTTGTTCCTTTTGCAGTCTTCCACATTGCAATGAGTGATAAATCTATCCTTCTAGTTAAGGACTCCATTACTTTCCAAATCTGCTTGCACCGTCTTCAATTTATATCTCAATAAATTCACAAAAAGAATTGTGAAGCTCTAGAAAGGAATACAATCTCTAAGCATCATTACAAAGTGAATTCCATGAAGCATGATTAAGTGAAAAAAAGCAAGGAGCAGATTAAGGTGTATAGTATTCTACCTTTTACCTAAGAAAGGAAGGAATGCGAATATATCTATCTATACATATATATAGTTTTTTTTAATGGAAGAATAACGGGCTAGGTACAGTGACTCATGCCTGTAATCCCAACATTTTGGGAGGCCGAGGTGGGAGGATTGCTTGAGCCCAGGGGTTCAAGGTTACAGGGAGCTGTGATTGTGCCATTACACTCTATCCTGGGTGACAGAGCAAGACCCTGTCTCTACAAAAACAAACAAACAAAAAACTGGAAGAATAAATTAAACTCTAATGAAAAATGGAAGGAAAAAACAAGTTGGAATAGGGTTAGAAGTTAGTTAAACTTCTCTGAATATACTTTGTTTTAGAGCTTTTGACTTACAAACCACATAAATGGTTTACATAATTAAAAAATAAAATTAAATCAAGGTGGGAAAATATCCGTTCCTAAAAATTGGAAACAAAATTAATACTAAGTTGATGGTTTAACTATTAACATATAGAGAACGTGACATCCAATTAATTCAATAACTTCAAAACATATTAATTTGACTGTACCCTCCTAGCGGGATATATTCTAAGGGAAAAGTAGAATTGCAAAGAAATCTTAAATTGTATTCAGGGATCATATTGTTAATAACAATATTGATATAGTGAGTATGAAACTATTATACACACGTAGATGATAGGGTATAGCAAATAAGTAATTTTGTAATGATGTTTGAAACAATTATATATACAAATAGAACAGGTTAAACTGTGTTAAATTAAGTTAAAGCTGCCTCCTTATGTATTTTAAGTTTGACCTAAAGGTTTCTCCTTATATAGTGAACTGTAACCTAACTGGATATGTAAACAGACTGTAACCTATCACAGGTCGCCAACTGTTGAAACCATGTTCAAACACTGAGCTGTAACCAATCCAGCTGTTTCCGTACCTCACTTCTGTTTTCTGTCCACCACTTTCCTTTTTCTGTCCATAAATATTATCCAACCACGTGACAGCTCCACAGTTGCTCCAAATCTATTCTGGATCCAGGAGATGGGAACGCTGCCTGATTTGTGAATCGCTCTTTGCTCAATTGAACTGTTTAATATGTCTAAAATTTTTCTTTTAACAAGCAAATAAGTAATTATGTTAATTAGTAAGAGTAAAGAAGTGCAAATATAAAATCAAAGAAGGTAGGTAAAGAAAAACTGTAATATTTTATTTGAATTAGAAATATGAGTACTAATTCATGAGGTATTTCTCTTTTTCATTAAACAAAAACATATTTCTAGCTCTGTCCAGGGAACAGGACTTCATACATTGACCAACCCAACAGCAACGAGGACCTCTAGTGCCAGATCGTGATCTCTGAAGGGCTCCTTGGGAAAATGGATGATTTCATGTCTGGAGCAGGAATGAGCCTAGAAGACTTTGTCATACTAGAAAACAAGAAAGCTACTAAAGTCTGCTGGATTCATGTTAAAAGGTCACAGGAACCAATTTGAAGGCACTCACAATAGCCAAAATGGGACATTATCAATAAGAATAATGAGTACAACAGACAGACTTAAATATGTTAAAATCCATAAGTTCATAATGATACTTTAAAAAAAGTCTCATTGATCATCTCTAAAGGATAAAAAAGAACCAAATGCTTTTTCCAAAAATGGAAATGTGAGAGTTATATCCCATGGGACAATCCTCGGCCAGCAACATGTAGGAGTCAGCGGTAAATATTCCCTTCTTCCCCTTCAAGTAGATGATTCTTAAGTGCGCTGCACATGACTTCCCAGACGGTCCCTAACAAGGATTAATCTCCAGTTCTCCACAGTGCCATCCACTCAGTAAGGTGCTCTTAAGTTATCTTTCCCTCCTTTCCTGCTTCATTCTTCCCTCATTCTTCTTTGGAGAATCATTTTCCAAAATAATGACCATCACACAAGCCTTGTCTCAGGCTCAGCGCTTTGAAGAAACCTAAGCTAAACAGTTGGTACTAGAAGTAGCTCTACATAATGGAATACTAGTCAGCCTTGAAAACAGAACAAGGGAATCCTGTCATTTGCAATAACATGGATGAACCTGGATGACATTTTGTTAAATGAAATAAGCCAGACCCAGAAAGACAAATACCACATGAACTCACTTATATGTGAAATCTAAAAAAATCAAACTCATTGAGGCAGAGAGTAGAATGGTGAGGGGTAGGTGGATCATTAAGGAGGATGTCAGTCAAAAGATATAAAATTTCCATTTCATAAGAGGAATAAGTTTAAGAGATCTATCACAGAATATAATGATGTTAGATGGTGATTGTGGAACATGAGTATGGTTATAACAACATGTGGTGTACTTGAAAATTGCTAAGAGTAGATTTTATGTGTTCTTGCCACAAAAAATAAGTATATGAGATAAAACATATGTTAATTCACTTGGAACTTAATGTCCTGATAAGAACACTTGGAGTCAGTCCTAAAATGCTGTTGGGATGACTCCTCGAGGCTTGGATACAGTGTCAGTCTCCCGTGAGATAGAGATGCTGGAATTGCCTCAACAGAGTATTGAGAAAGGTGTCAACAAGTCCAGAAAAGTATAAATATTAAAATCCTTTGTGATGTGAATCAGAGAACCTACCACCTGACTAGGTCCCCCAGGAAGGCCCAAGTAATAACCGGTACATAATAACAGTGGTGGTGAGGCGCCAGCATCTTTTGAGGTCAGCCATAAGTGTCCCTCAGTACATCTGTATATCACATTTGAGAGAAAGAGATTTTGCAATGGAATTGTGCTATTATCAACGGGGATGATAAGATTCAAGAATAGCAGAGACCAGATGGTGGCGTCTAATCTTAAGAGTCAAGAGGAACATAATTACTGTAATACAGACCAAAGCTAGAGTGACAGTCAAGGTTTCTTGACCTACTAGGATCTGTGGCAATGGCTAATAAGAGCAATACAGAAGGGCAACCAATTAGACTACTGCTTGGTTTATATGACCACACAAAAATTGAAAGCTAGTGAGCAAAAGGCTGATGTCAGTCACCAAATGGGTAATTACAATCCTTTGTTTCAGATCTTAGGCCAGTTCTCAGAACCAAAGCCTACTGATTGAAAAGGAAGTCTAACCTCCTTGATAAGGAATCCTGCAATGCCACTGCAAATACATACAATAAGCATGGTTGCATTCCCTCCCCAAAGGGACCTGCAGCCTTTTCCCAGATACACTAGGGAAAACGGAAATACCCAGATTTTTGAGGGCTATTAGACACACAGTCTTAGCTGATAATTCTGCCAGGGGGCCTGAAATGCCAGCATAGTCCCCAAGTTAGAGCAGAAGCTTATGAAAGCCAGGAGATATATGGAGTCCCAGTCCAAGTCTACTTCACATGGGCTACATAAACCTACCAGTGATGGTTAGGCCCCTGAGTGCATAATTGGGATGGTTATAATTAAAAACTGGAAAAGTCCTCAGATTTCTCTCTTGACCTGTTGAATAGAGCTATTATGGTAAAAATGGCCAAGTGGAAGCCTCTAAGCTCACCCATATCTTCTCTTCCAGCCATGATGGTATATCAGAAGGAAAGCCACATCTTGGAAAGAATTACAGAAATTAGTGCCACCTTTAAAAAAGGAAAGGAGGCAGGGATAGTGGTCTCCATAACATTCCAGTTTAATTTGCTTTTCTGGCCCTGAAAGAAAGAAAAAGAAAAAAATTAACTGGCTGCTGGACTACTACTATGAACTTACAAAAATTGAACCGTTATTGTAGTCCCATACCCAGCTGCTATACCATTGCCATTGCAAACCAGATACATTGCAATATGGCACATGTTACTGAAATAGACAACACAGCTCTGTATTGCTTGGTCTACATTATTGAGTTGGCAAGGGCGTTCTTTTCAATCCTCAGCAAGAAAGAGGGCCAAATGTTTTTCAGGTTTTTGCTTTTAATGTGAGATGAGCAGCAACTCCTTTACTGTTTTGCCCCAGGGCTCTGTTAACTATCCTACTCTTTGGCATATTTCACCACGGAGCAGCACTTTCACCTGACCCAGAACTCAAAGAGCTGAAGGAGTCTCCAGTCTGTACCTCCAAGACGACAAAGAAAAGAAGGAACAATGGTCGTGCCAAAATGGGCCATGGCCACATGCAGCTTATTTGCTGCACGAACTGTGCCCAATGCGTGCCCAAGGACAAGGCCATTAAGAAATTCGTCATTTGAAACATAGTGGAGGCTGCAACAGTCAGGGACATTTCTGAAATAAGCATCTTCGATGCCTATGTGCTTCCCAAGCTGTATGTGAAGCTGCATCACTGTGTGGGTTGTGCGATTCACAGCAAAGTAGTCAGGAATTGACCTCGTGAAGCCCATAGTGACCAAACACCCCCACCCAGATT
Organism: Homo sapiens; assembly: GCF_000001405.40. Classification (NCBI taxonomy): domain Eukaryota; kingdom Metazoa; phylum Chordata; class Mammalia; order Primates; family Hominidae; genus Homo; species Homo sapiens. The sequence goes on along the minus strand of NC_000012.12, from coordinate 13,021,304 downwards.
TAGACCTGCGGATGCTGCCCCACGACCCCCACCAAGCCCATGTAAGGAGCTGTTTTTTGTTGTTGTTGTTGTTGTTGTTGTTGTTGTTGTTGTTGTTTTTGAGACAGAGACTTGCTCTGTCACCCAGGCTGGGGTGCAGCGGCGCGATCTCGGCACACTGCAAGCTCCGCCTCCCGGGTTGACGCCATTCTCCTGCCTCAGCCTCCCGAGTAGCTGGGACTACAGGCGCCCGCCACCACGCCTGGCTAATTTTTTGTATTTTTAGTAGAGACAGGGTTTCACCGTGTTAGCCAGGATGGTCTCGATCTCCTGACCTCGTGATCTGCCCGCCTCGGCCTCCCAAAGTGCTGGGATTACAGGCATGAGCCACCCCGCTCGGCCTAGGAGCTGCGTTCTTAAAGACTGAAGACAGACTATTCTCTGGAGAATAATAAAATGGGAATTATACTTAAAAAAAAAAATGAGCTGAAGGAGCTGAGGATCCACGCCAACAAGGTAAATCAGCAGATCAGTGATAATGTGTCTGGGTTGCAATGGCAATTGATGCCCTACACTGTCCTTTAGAGCATTAAAGGTGACTGCTTCTTCATTTCCACACTTAAAATCTTGAACAAATTTCTTTTGTGGCCAGCTCCAACCTGGAACCACACAAGGAAGGAAATTCTGAGAATTGTTTGACTTTAGCTGGGTTAAAACAGCATACAACCATGACGTCAACTTTCTTGAGTACAGTGAAAATTATCTCAGACAGTAGTTTTCAAATTTTATTGTGCAAAAGATTCACCAGACATTCTGATTGTCTGTTGCTGTATAATAATCCTCCTTCACACGAATGCCATAAAACAGCCATTTTATTATACCTAAGGATTCTATGGGTCAAGAATTCCGACAAAGCGCAGTGAGGATAGCAAGTCTCTGCTTCACAATGTCTGGGCGATGCCACTGGAAAGGTTTAAGCAGTTGGGGATGTCTCAAATGTCTGCGGATGAAGTCTTCTTCACTGACATGTCTGGTACCTGGGCTAGGATGATTCGAATGTTGGGCTTAACTGGGATTATCAACCAAGCTTTTTCATGTGGCCTCTCCATGTGGCTTAGGTGTTCTCACAGCATGGCAGCCTTCTTACATGATGGCCCAGGGCTCCAAGGGCAAGTGTACCGGCAAACAATGCAGTAGCTGCACGGCCTCTCTGACTTAACTCAAAAGTCATGCTCCGTCATTTCTGCCACCTTCTATTAGTTATATAAGTGAGTGGCTGAAGCAAGTCCAGATTCAAGGGGAAGTGGAGGTAGACCCCACCTCTCAATGGAAAGAACATCAAAGAACTTGAGGTCATCTATCACACTGAAACCTTCAAAATGCAGATTCCATCTTTTCAATTAAATACGGTGGTATAAAAGCAGAATTTCTCTATTGCCTCTTAGAAAATTATCCAAAAATAGCAAGGAGAAGGAGAAACGCAAATACAAACATAATACTTAACAGTTAAAACCTTGAACCTCAAAGTATGCAAAAGAATGCCAAAGGTAGAGAAGATTAAGCAGGGATTCAAAAAAATTCAGAGAGGGAGCAATCACTCAGGATTGTACATCTCAGAAAGAAGTGGCAAAGACATTTCACCAAGGTTAAGGGCATGCACTGAAGTACAAAATCAAAATCACTTGTTTGCACCAATGGGAGCTGGGATGCACAGGTCGATTTTTAAAAATTATGTAGGTTTAAAAGAAGAATCCCTTGATGCAGCCATATTCACTTCCTCCACATTCTCTTCCTCTTCTCCTCCTTCTCATCATCTGTCCATGGAGTATTAAGAAAAGAGACAATTTACATTGGGAACAGATTTTATCTGGTTGGGTGTGGGAAAGGCTAAATAAACTCCCATATAAACCTGAGAATTGTTTCTTAAAATTTCCATAGCTTGAAACACATTCTTGCCCCTTTTCCACATTGACTTACCATGAATCGCTGATACAGTAAACACTGTATTCATTTTAAACTAAGTATTCAAGGGCTGGGCACAGTGGCTCATGCCTGTAATCCCAGCACTTTGGGAGGCAGAGGTGGGTGGATCACTTAAGGTCAGGAGTTCGAGACCAGCTTGGCCAACATGGTAAAACCCCATCTCTACTAAAAACACAACAATTAGCCAGGCGTGATGGTGCATGCCTGTAATTCCAGCTACTTGGGAGGCTGAGGAAGGAGAATCCCTTGAACCCAGGAGGCGGAGGTTGCAGTGAGCCGAGATCACAAAACTGCACTCCAGCCTGGGTGACAGAGCAAGATTCAGTCTCAAAAAAACAAAACAAAAAAAAAACAAGTTTTCAAAATAGAACCAACACAGGAGCTGTCTAGAAATATAAGAGGAAAAAAAATCAAGAAAAGGAACAGAAAAAGAATGGGCCAAAAAACACCAGAAAAAATATCCCTATAGAGCAGGTGAAAATTTAGGCCAAATATTTTGTCATGAATTATAAAAATTTAATGAAACAATTATCACTGTAGAACAAAACTAAAAAGCAGAAATACAAAAACTCAACAGAGCTCAGTTAGAAGCAGAAATAAAAATATCAGAGAAATGAAAAAAATGAGGGAAAGAATAGACTACGGAAACTGAAAAAGAAGGCAGGAATGAGAAAAGCAAGCAGAGCTGAACAAACATGGAAATAATAGAGTAAAATGTGAATGTTATGAAGCTCTACAGTGTATAATCAGCAAAAATTGAGTGGCAACCAAGAGGGAAGGGAGAAAGTAGTAAGTAATTTGATTTCTTCATCATTTAGAGTCAGAAGTAAAAAATATAACTTAAAAATGATAAATTAATAATAAAACCGTAGTACATTTACTAGTTCAAAGGTAAACACTAGGAAGTGAGTAAAGTGGCTAAAATCTAGCAGTAGAAGAGTATTATAGTTTGAATTGTGCTCCTCCAAAAAAGATGTTGAAATCCTAACCCCCAGAGCCTATGAATGTAGCCTTATTTAGAAATAGGGTCTTTCCAGATGATTAAGCGAAGATGAGGTTATTAGGGTGGGCCCTAATCCAGTGTGACTGCCCCCTTATTAAAAAAAAAAGTGGAAATTTGGACTCAGAGACAGCCGCATACAGAGTGAAGACAATGTGAAGACACAGAGAGAATGCCATCTGCAAGCCAAGGAATACCTGAGACCACCAGAAGCTAGGAGAGTGACATGGAACAGGTCCTTCCCTCCCAGCCCTCAGGAGAAACTAACCCTGCTGACACTTTGATCTTGAACTTCTAGCCTCCAGAACTGTGAGATAATAATTTCTGTTGCTTAAACCACCCACATCTTGGTACTTTGTTACAGCACCCCTTACAAACTAACACCAGGAGGGAGGTGGAAGAACAAAGATGCTAATTTTATTGCTGCTCATTGTAGGAAATTAATTGGCCTTATCTCAAGAAATGCAGGTGAATACGGTGTTATAAATAACATAATTATAAAGGAAACCATTTGCACAAAAATACAAATGCTTTAGTGTTGGCACAGGAAACAAAAAACAAAGAGGTTATAAATTGCAAAAATAGAAAATATAACTTGAAATTTTATGACAAAAACCAAACATTTGTCTTGGAATTAATGTGAAATAGCTAAATACACTGTTTAAAAAATCTTCAAATTGGATTGCAAAGCAAAGCTCTGTTTTGGGCACACCTAAAAGAGATGTTCTATTGTCTATTGCTTTGTTCATTTAAAAATGAATCTTTAGTGGCGAGGTAGGGGCTGAGTCAAGAGGAGTATAATACCCCTGAAGATAACTCCAGTACTATATTACCTTTGAATACACATTCTCATCCATCACAAATAAATTTGGAAACTTCTCTGGTAAAGATCATATGCATATGAATGCATCTCTGCACAAGAAAAGTGTGATTTCAGATGTACAGTGCTTTATACAGCATATAGGCAGAGGTGGAATTCTTTGTCCATAGTCAAATATGTGTGCTCAAAATTCAAAAAAATTAAAAATAAAAGGATAGCAAGAGTGTGTCTGAAAAGTCTAACTGTATAAAAGCTGGGGATATGATCTTAATATCAGAGTTAAGAGCAAAAAACATTAACAAGATTTTTAAAGCACTTTATAATGATAAAGGATGTAATGCATAATAAAGATATGAGTTACATGTATCTGTGCACCAAATCACATAGCATCAAAAAGTGATAAAAAACAAACGTTTAGGTGATACAGGGAGAAGCAGGCAGTCTGGGACTCCTTAACCTCTTTTTCCACCCATGAAAGATAAGGTAGATTATTCCATCCTCCACACATTTATCTCTAAAACCCTCCAGAGTTGCTTAAGATTACAACCTAAAGAGAGTATCTGCACTACATGTGAAATGGTATAGTGTTATTTGAAGATAGATTAGTCAAAAATTCATACTGAAACTAAGGAAAATACTTAAAAAAATTTTAAGAAATATAATTGATAAACTAAGAAAGCAGATAAAATAAAATCATACAAAATGCTCAGTTGAAACCAGAGAAGGCAGAAAGAGAAGCCTCTGGCAATAAATAGAAAATAGCTGCAAACAGTTGATATTCATCCAACTATATCAGTAACTATACCGATTAAAAGACAGAGGCTGAGCACAGCGGCTAACGCCTGTAATTCCAGCACTTTGGGAGGGCAAAGTAGGCAGACTGCCTGAGCCCAGGAGTTCAAGACCACCTGGGCAACATGGCAAAACCCCATCTCTACAAAAAATAAACAAAATTAGCCAGGCATGGTGGCATGTGTCTGTAGTCTCAGCTTACTCAGGAGGCTGAGGTGAGAGGATCACTTTAGCCCAGGAGGTTAAGGCTGCAGTAAGCAGTGATCATGCCACTGCGCTCCAGCACTCCAGTCTGGGTGACAGAGCAAGACCCTGTCTCAAAAAAAAAAAAAAAAAAAGACACTGTCAGAATGAATAAGGAAAGCAAGACTATACATTATCTACAAGAAAACCATTCTTATTATAAAGACAGATAGATTAAAAATAAAGGAATGGAAAAAGAAAGAAAGAGAGATAAAAATAGAGATGGATAAACCGTTCTAACACTAATCAAAAGAATACTGGGGGAGCCATATTAATTTCAGACAAACAGACTTCAGAATGAGGAAAATCTTCTGGGATTGAGAGGCACTCTGTAATGACAAAGGGGTCAATTCTCCAAGAAGACATAACAATCCCAAATGTGCCCAAGTCCAAGCTGAATGGAGAAACAGACAAATCCACTATTTATAGTTAGAAACTTCAACAACTTTTTGTTAGTAATTGATAAATCAAGCAGGCAGAAAATCAGTAAGGATATAGTTGACCTGAGCAGCACTATCAATCACTTCATCTAATTAACATTATAGATTATTCCATTCGACAACAGCAGAATACACGTTATTCTTAAGCCCACACAGGACATTCATCAAGATAAACCACATTCTGGGCCATAAGATACACCTTAGCAAATTTAGAAGAATAGAAATCATACAAAGGAATTTATCAGACCACAATGGGATTAAAATAGAAATCAGTAACAGAAAGATAGCTAGGAAATCCCCCTAATATTTGGAAATTAAACAACACACTTCTAACTAACACATGGCTCAAAGAATAAGGCTCAAGAGAAACTCAAAGATATTTTTGTTTTTTCATTTGTTTATTTTAAAAGGTATATTTTGATTATTTTAAAGCACTTTCTTATAGCCATTAATCAGAAAATATTATGAGCTGGGTTTGGTGGCTCATGCCTGTTATCCCAGCACTTTGGAAGGCTGAGGCGGGTGGATCACCCGAGGTCAGGAGTTCGAGGCTAGCCTGGCCAACATGGTGAAACCCCGTCTCTACTAAAAATACAAAAAATTAGCCAGGTGTGGTGGCACGTGCCTGTAGTCCCAGCTACTCAGGAGGCTGAGACAGGAGAATCGCTTGAACCCAGGAGGCGAAGGCTGCAGTGAGCCGAGATCGCGCCACTGCACTCCAGCCTGGGTGAGACAGAGTGAGACTCCGTCTCAAAAGAAGAAAGAAAATATTATTACGAATACCCATAATTGCATGTTAAATTGGTAATTTTGTTGTGCATTTTATATATTTAAAATAAAATGCTTTCCAAATAGAGATTCTCCCAATAGGCATTACTATCTGAACTCTTCCCTGGAATTCTCTCTCACCTTTCCCTGCTAACCTAAAACCTGTTCCATTTTCTTGGTTCACAACCTCCGTTGTTTCCACAACTTCGGCCTCACATTGCTCTCTGCATTTTTCTCTAAGCACGGGTAGTCAGCAAATATGTCAGTTTTTAAGTTATGCAGGCTCAACAACTTATCTTTTATGGGAAGTTTATAATATCTTGAACTAAATGAAAATGGAAATACAACTTATCAAAATTTGTGAGGTGCAGCAAAAATAGTGATTAAAGGGAAATTTAGTGCATGTGTTAGAAAAACAGAAAGATGTAAAACCAATAAGCTTCCACCTAAGAAACTAGAGCAAGAAAGACAATGGAGGAACAGAAGAAATAAAAATTACAACAGAAATCAATGAAGTTGAGCACAGAAAAACAATAGAGGGAATCAACAAAACCAAAGACTGGTTCTTTGGAAAGAACAATAAAATTGATAAACCTTTACCCAAACTACCCAAGAAAAAAAGAGGAGACACAAATTACCAATGTCAGAAATAAAAGAAGGGTTATCACTACTGATCACACAGATATTAAAAGGAGAAAAGAAGAATACTATAAACAACTCTATGCCAATAAATTTGACAATTTAGATGAAATGGACCAATTCCTTGAGAGACACAAACTACCAAAATTCACACAAGGATAAATAATCTGAATAGCTTTAGCTCTATTAAATAAGTTGAATCAATAATTAATAGCCTTCCAAGAAAGAAATCTGAAGGCCCAGATGTTTTCACTGGTGAGTTTGCCAACCTATACTGAAAATAATTTAGCAATATCTATCAAAATTTTAAATGTACATATCCTTTGGCTCAGGAAAATTTTCTTCAGGTATATTTATACATGTGGGATATGATATATTTCGGAGGTTATTCACTGCAATATTGTTCCTATTATCAAAGGATTGAAAACAATGTGAACCTCCATTGATAGGCTCCTTGTTAAGTATTTACGGCACATCCATACATGAAAATCCATACCACTGGGAAAAACGTGAATCATTACTCATATATCACTATGGCATGATTTCCAAAATACATTGGCACATGACAACAAAAGAACAATTTACAGAAACCATAAGTATAGTACATTATCATTTGTGTAATGAGAAAGTAGAGAAAAAAAATATATGCATGTATTTGTATGTCTATGCACAAAAAAACTCTGGAAAAATATATATGAAAGTAATATAACAATGCATACTTTTAGGCTGGGCGTGGTGACTCCACCTGTAATCCCAGCACTTTGGGAGGCTGAGGCAGGTGGTTTCTTAAGATCAAGAGTTTGAGACCAGCCTGGCCAACATGGTGAAACCCGTCTCTACTAAAAATACAAAAATTAGCTGGGTATGGTGGCATGCACCTGTAATCCCAGCTACTTGGGAGGCTAAGGCTCAAAAATCACTTGAACCCGGGAGGCGGAGGTTGCAGTGAGCCGAGATCGTGCCACTGCACTCCAGGCCTGAGTGGAGGAGTGTGACCCTGTCTCAAAAAAAAAAAAAAAAAAAAATGCAACAATGCATACTTCTAAGAAAGGGGAAAGGGTAGCTGAGAAACAGAGTCTAGGAGAAAAATTCTTTATTTCATATCCTTTAGTATATTTTGAATTTTTGAAATCTATATTTTACTTAAAAAAATGAAAAATTTTAAAAGTTACCAGTTTCCCTGCTTACCCGTCCCAGAGATTCTGATTTGGGGCCAAGGAATCTGCATGATTAACAGGCTCTCCAAGTGATACAGCAGATGCAAGAAGCACACTGAGAAACACTGACCCACATCATAGGTCCACATGTGAGAGTAATATAAGAGAAGAATCACAAAGAATTGAGGATTTAGGAGGGAAAAAAGAAAATGTAAGGATGAAGAGAGCCAAAGACAACATCCAGGTGCTGATCCCAAGAGTGGGAAACTTACAACATTGTCCTAAATAAGATGGAAGGGGAATTTTCCAAAATAAAGGACAATACACCCATTTAGATGTCATTGGAGACTGGTTCCTCTTACTGTTCTAGATACAATTTTAATGTGGATTATGTCATCAAAAAGAAATAGCTGACATTAGGCTGAGTGTGGTAGCTCACGTCTGTAATCCCAGCACTTTGGGAGGCTCAGGCAGGTCGATCACCTGAGGTCAGGAGTTTGAGACCAGCCTGGACAATATGATGAAACCCTGTCTCTACTAAAAATACAAAAATTAGCCAGGGGTGGTCGTGAGCACCTATAATCCCAGCTACTCAGGAGGCTGAGGCAGGAGAATCACTTGAACCCTGGGGGGCGGAAGCTACTTCACTCCAGCCTGGGCAAAAGAGCAAAACTCTGGCAAAAAAAAGGAAAGAAATGGCTGACATTACAATTGTTTTGGACATGTCAACAAAGTTCCTCTCCTTTGATTCCTCTTTTTCTCTAAAATTGCTGATTATGATCAACCTCTAAGTTTCAAATAAGCATATCTTATACTTTTTTCCTCTTTGTGCTTTCTCTCTCTTTCTCCTCCCAACCTCTTTTAAGCATATCTCCCTTCTTAAAAAGTTGTACTGGTAGTAGGATGGAATGATAGACACTAATGCACCCACAGTCTCTCTAATAACTGGGTTCATGCTGCCGACCTTCCTCCTAGAGTCTTCTCCTATCCCACACCAACCCACCCCATCCCATCCCATTCATTCAACAAATATATATTGAGAGCTTATGTTTCTGACACTATTCTAGGTACTGAAGATAGAGTTGTGATCCAGAAGATCTCTCCTCTTATGACATGTACAGTTTAGTGGGAAGAAAAAGACAAAAAGGAAAAGAAGCATAGAAATGAATTAATTATTTTCAGATAATGATAAGCACTCTAGGGAGAGGAGACACTTTAGGTTGGGGAGTCGAGGAAGCTCTCTCTGAAAAGGGGATTTGAGACCCGAATGATGAAAAGAAGCCATTCAAGTCAATTTCTGGGAGAAGAAATTCTAAGCAAAGAAACAGTGAATACCTACACCCTGATCTAGAACATACTTGTATTCTTAAGGAATACCAAGGAGATCAATGCAGCTACGGTATAGGAAACTAGGAGAAGGATACTTAATATATTAGGTTAAAGAAGTAGGCTGTGTGTATGTGTGTGTGTGTCACAGCTTATCTCTACACCATTTGATAGTAGGTCCGCTTATCCCCTTAATACCCCTGTGTGTATTTCTTAAGAACAAGGATATTCTCTTACACAACCACAATATAGTTATCAATGTCAGGAACTTTAATATTGATATAATACTTTTATCTAATCTACAGTCTGTATGCTAACTTAATCAATTTAATTCTACTAATGTTCTTTAGAGTATTTTTTCTTGGCACAGGGTCCAGCCCATAATCACAGATGACATTTACTTGTAGTGTCTCTCTAGTCTCGTTTAATTTGAATCAATTCTTTAGCCTTTTCTTGTCTTTTAAGACATTGACATTTTAAAAGAATATAGATTAGTAATTTTATGATATTGAAATAGTTGCTTCAATTTGGATTTTTCATCATTCTTCTCCTTTTTTAGGTTAAGATTCACTTACAGAGCACTTACTATGTGCCAGGCCCTGTTCTAAGTGCTTTGCAATTATTAATCCTCATAACAAGCCTCTGAGGTACACATTATCATTATTTCCATTTTTCAGATGACAGCCCTGAGGCAAAGAGAGAGTAAATAAGTCGCCCAAGGTCACCCGACTTGTAAGCAGGGATTTGAACCGAGGCAGCCTGGTTCTGGAGCCCTTGCCTGTAACCTTCTTCCTTCTCAGTAAACTCCAGCCACACTGGCCTCCTTGCTTTCTTCAACATGCCAGGTATTCTCCCACCTCAGGGCCTTTGCACGTGCCTTTCCGACTGACTTGAAAACTTCTCCCCTAGCTATCTTCTCAGTGATGCCCTCACTTTTTGGGGAGTCTCTGTTGAAATGTCACCACCCTATCTAAAGTGGCCCACACTGACATACGTTGGCCTTCAACACACACCACCTGACCTATTACATATTTATGAATGTGTTTATTTACTGCCTGTCTCCCACGCCGAAATGTAAACTCCAGTAAAGCAGGGGTTTTCGTCTGTTTTGTTCACTGCTACAGTTTAGAACCCCGTAGACTACCTGGGAACTTGGGTAGGTAGTAAATAAACAGTGGTGAATAAATTTAACACAAATCAGTAAATTTAAATCTATAAATTATTTATAAATTTAAACAAATCAGACATTTAGAAATGTTGAACATTAAAGAAGATGACTTTTCATTTTATAATTTAGAAAGAAAGATGAAAGGAAACAATTTCTTAGTGAGTAAATATTGCTGGTACCCTATGTTCTGATGGGAGACAGAAGAAAAAGCATGCCACTGTGGGCAGGGAGTGCTTCAGGGTGGGCCCACCCTGAAGAGGGGAGCATGCCCACAGTCAGACACCCTGGGAGGAGCCCTGTCCTGGATGAGAAATGCTGGTGGAAGCACAGGCAACAAAAGCAAAATAGGCAAATGGGATTATATCAAACTAAAAAGCTTCTGCAGGGCAAACAATTAACAGAGTGAAGAGACAGCCTACAAAAGAGGGGAAAATACTTGCAAACTATACATCTGATAAGGGGTTAATACCAAAAAATGTATAAAGAACTCAAATAACTCAATAGCAATACAACAAATAATCTTATTTTTAAAATATGGCTGAGCGCAGTCGCTCACGCCTAAAATCTCCGCACTTTGGGAGGCTAAGGTGGGCAGATCACTTGAGGCCCGGAGTTCGAGATCAGCCTGGCTAACATGGTGAAACCTGTCTGTACTCAAAATACAAAAATTAGCCAGGCATGGTGGCGCATGCCTGTAATCCCAGCTACTCAAGTGGCTGAGGCAGGAAAATCACTTGAACCCAGGAGGTGGAGGTTGCAGTGAGCCGAGATTGTGCCACTGCACTCCAGCCTGGGTGACACAGCGAGACTGTCTCAAAAAATGAAAATAAATAAAAAATTTTAAAAAAATTTACAGGCAGGCCAGGCGCAGTAGCTCACGCCTGTAATCCCAGCATTTTGGGAGGCCAAGGCGGGCAGAACACCTGAGGTCAAGAGTTCAAGGCCAGCCTGGCCAACGTGGTGAAACCCTGTCTCTACTAAAAATACAAAAATTAGCCGGGCATGATGGTATGCACCTGTAATTCCAGATACTCGGAGGCTGAGGCAGGAGAATCACTTGAACCCGGGAGGCGGAAGTTACAGTGAACTGAGATCACACCACTGCACTCCAGCCTGGGCAACAGAGCGAGACTCGGTATCAAAAAAAAAAAAAAAATAGACAAAGGACCTGACCTGACTAGACATTTCTCGAAAGAAGACACAAATGGCCAACAGGTTTATGAAAAAGGCTCAACATCACTAATCATCAGAGCAATGCCAGTTAAAACCACAGTGAGATGTCACCTCCTACGTCATAGAAAGGTTATTATCAAAAAGACAAAAAAGACAACCAGTGTTGGCAAGGATGTGGAGAAAGGAACCCTTGCACACCACTGGTGGGAATGTAAATTAGTACAGCATTAATTTCCATCCTTTGTGTATTTGGAAAATAGTATGGAGGTTCCTCATGGAATTAAAATTAGAACTACCATGTGATCCAACAATCCCACTTCTGGGTATACATTCGAAGAAAATGAAATCAGTGTTGAAGAGATATCAGCACATCCATGTTCATTGCAGCACTATTCATAGTACTTGACTTGAATCAAAGCTATTGGCTTTGCTTAATGAACAGTACTTCAAGTAGGCAAGATATGAAATCAACCTAAGTGTTCATCAACAGATGAATGGATAAAGAAAATGTAGTATATATACACAATGGAATCCTATTAAGCCATAAAAAAGTAAGAAAATCCTCTCATGTGCAACAACAGGGATGAAAATGGAGGATACTATGTCATGTGAAATAAGCCAGGCCCAGAAAAATAAATACTGCATGATCTCACTCATGTGGACACTAACTTGATCTCATAGAAGTAGAGAGTAGAACGGTGGTTAGCAGGGGCTAGGGCAGTTGGGAGGGGTGGGTATTGGGATCATGTTTGTTAAATGATACAAAATTTCATTTAGAAAGGAGAAGTTCGAGAGATCTATTGTACAACATGGACACTATAGTTATAACAAAATATTCTTGAAAACTGCTGAAAGAGTGGATGTTAAGCTTTCTCACCACAAAAATGATAACTATGAGGGAATGAATACATGAAGTAGCTAGATTTAGTCATCCACAATGTGTATATACTTCAAAACATCATGCTGTACATGATAAATATATACAATTTTGAATGTCACTTAAAAATAAAATATAGGAATGCAAAAATTTAAAAAGCTGACTGGGGGCCGGGCGCAGTGGCTCACGCCTGTAATCCCAGCACTTTGGGAGGCCGAGGCAGGTGGATCATGAGGCCAGGAGATCAAGATCATCCTGGCCAATGTGATGAAACCCCATCTCTACTAAAATACAAAAAATTAGCCATGCATGGTGGCACGCGCCTGTAATCCCAGCTACTCGGGGGGCTGAGGCAGGGGAATCGCTTGAACCTGGGAGGCGGAGGTTGCAGTGAGCCAAGATCACGCCACTGCACTCCAGCCTGGGCGACAGAGCCACATTCTCTCTCAAAAAAAAAAAAAAAAAAAAGAAAAAAAGAAAAAAAGCTGACTGGAAAGGCAGTCTTTGTGCAGACTGCACAAAGGAGAGAGGGGGCAATGTGGAGGAAATACCCCTTCTCTGTGAGCCTTATACTCTTGGGCCAGGACTCAGAAGAGTCTCAGGTGCACCAGAAAATACTACTGCTAAACTGAGGCAGAAACACTAATTATTTAGCCACCATATGTAAAAATCTTAATGGAATAGATCCTCATTACCTTGAGAATAAATTCCAGCCTACTTTATTACATGCAACTGTGTGTTGATGCCTTATTGCCAAATATTATTTGATTTGCCCATGTCTTACCTATAAGGAAAGAATGGTGGTAGCTGTTCTCTCCTGCTTCCTGTTCCATCATTCTCATAACCTATTTCACAGAGAAAATGAAAGCCTTCTGACAGGAGCTCCCATAACTTGCCACCTCCAACCTCCGTAAGTACATAGGCAGACACCCACCTTTTCCTCCCTCTCTCCTCCTATGATGGGAGAGATGTCTAACCACCCATGTTCTTATTCATATCTGATTTTGTTTTTTGTTTTTTGGGTTTTTTTTTTTTAGACAGAGTCTTACTCTGTTGCCCAGGCTGAAGTGCAGTGATGCAATCTGGGCTCACTGCAACCTCCGCCTCCTGAGTTCAAGCAATTATCATGCCTCAGCCTCCTGAGTAGCTGGGATTACAGGAATGAGCCACCACACTGGACTAATTTTTGTATTTTCAGTACAGACGGGGTTTCGCCATGTTGGCCAGGCTGGTCTTGAACTCCCGACCTCAGGCAATCTGACTGCCTTGGCCTCCCAAAGTGCTGTGATTACAGGCATGAGCCACTGCGCCCGGCATCTAAAATATTTTTATTTCTTTCAGAGCTGCTATCTGTCATATGATGCTATACAAGGTTACAATTTGGTATCTTATTGCTACAAAGAGTCTGTGTTTTCAGCCTTAAGATTTAATGTTAATACTGGTCAGTTGTGCCTGAATTCCAAAAGGAGGAAGGTATAATGAGGCATGATGGGACCCCCACTTCCCATCATGGCCTGAACTAGTTTTTCAGGTTTCTTTGGAATTCCATTGGCTGAGACGAGGGGTCCATTCAGTCGAGTGGGGGGCTTAGAATTTTTCTTTCAGTTTATACACACTCAACAGTATTCAATCATAATACCTAATAAATTGCAAAGGAAAATGTCTCACAGCATACCAAATTCTTCAGATAAAGAAAGACACCAAATAGCTGGGCATGGTGACTCATGCCTATTATCCCAGCACTTTGGGAGGCTGAGGCGGGCAGATCACCTGAGGTCAGGAGTTCGAGACCAGCCTGGCCAACATGGTGAAACCCTGTCTCTACTAAAAATACAAAAATTAGCTGGGTGTGCGCCTGTAATCCCAGCTACTTGGGAGGCATGCGCCTATAATCCCAGCTACTTGGGAGGCTGAGGCAGGAGAATCACTTGAACCTGGGAGGCTGAGTTTGCAGTAAGCCGAGATCGTGCCTGGGAGACAGAGCAAGATTCCATCTCAAAAAAAAAAAAAAAAAAAAGGCAAGACACCAAATAATCTGGACTTTAAAATGATGCTTCCCCACAATGCTCTTGAAGCAGCAATGTTCAGCCCTTGGTAGCAGGACAAACTTGACCACTGGTGTGGGGAGAATCTAGCCCTTAACAGTGTATACAGTGCTTTTTATTGCCTGGACTCCTTTAATCCTCCCGACAGCACTGTGAGCTGGCATTATTACCCCAGTGTTGCAGATGTAGAAAGTGAGTTCTGAGGCCAGGTGCAGTGGCTCACACCTGTAATCCCAGCACTGTGGGAGGCCGAGGTGGGAAGATCACTTGAGCCAAGGAGTTTGAGACCAACATGGGCAACATAGCAAGACCCTGTCTCTAAATTTAAAAAAAGAAAGAAAGTGAGTTCTGCAGAGGTTAGGAAATTTGCAGAAGAAATATTCATTACACTGGTAGGACAGAGCCAGATTGGAATCCCCATCTTTTGACCCGATGTTTTCTGATTCCCAAATACTTCCGCTACTTGACCATACTGAGTAATAGAGCCCATTGCACTGTATATAGTTTAGTAACTAAAATAGATGACTAGCTCTAATATCAAGAATGTTTTAAATCATTCCACACTTACTGAGCATCCTCTGTGTGTGGCTAGTGAGGGAAGTGCTAAAGAAAAATAGATCTTGCCTTTTAAAAGATTAGTTTGTTATAAAGGAGGTATGGTTGTGAGCAAAAATACTCAAGAGACCCTTACAAAGCAACCTAAGAATCTCTTATGAACTCCAAGCTGCATGCTATTTCACATTTTAATGTCTCTGGATGCATTTAAAATCAATTGAATGTCATAGTTTACTTAGTAGCATTTGTTTTTTTTCTTGGTGGCACATAAAATAACAGGGCCTGTCTTATAATCAATAGCATCTTAGAGTCAAGGAACTATGAAATAATTAAATGGCAATTTACTTTATAGCAATGAACAAATATTTGTCAAAGGGCAAATATTTTTTGTCTGGAGTTAATAAAGTTAATATCTTTTACCACAAAGCTAGAGGTCAACAGTACCACTATTATTGATTGCCACTACCTGGCTCCGGCTCAACTTCCCCTTGCTCAGGAGGAAAGCACAGCAGGCAATCCCTCAGCTCTGGTTTAGGGCAGCTGCCACAAATTAGTCTGACAATTAGGTTAACAATTTCAAATGACAATGCAACCAATGGGTAAAACATGCATAAAGAATCCTCATAAAGGCCAGGCAGGTTGGCTTAATTTAACCACTTTGGGAGGCGGATGGAGGAGGATCAACTGAGGCAGGAGTTTGAGACCAGCATGGGTAACATAGTGAGATTCCCTTCTCTGCAAAAATGTATTAAAAATTCACTGGCAGTAGTGGTGCACACCTGTAGTCCCAGGTAGTCAGGAGGCTGAGGTGGCAGGATCACTTGAGCCCAGGAGTTCTAGGCTGCAGTGAGCCATGATCGCACCACTGCTCCCCAGCCTGGGTGACAGAGCAAGATCCTCTCTCAAAAAAAGAAAAATAGGCTGGGCAAAGTGGCTCACACCTGTAATCCCAGCACTTCGACAGGCCAAGTTGGACGAATTGCTTGAGCCCAGGAGTTTGAGACCAGCCTGGGCAACATGGAGAAACCTTGTCTCTACAAAAAATAGAAAAATTAGGTGTGCACCTGCAGTCCCAGCTACTTGGGAGGCTAAGGTGGGATGAGCACTTGAGCCAGGGAGTTCGAAGCTGCAGTGAGCCAAGCTCATGCCACTGCACTCCAGCCTGGGCAACAGAGTGAGATCCTGTATCAAAAAAAAGAAAAGAGAATCCTCAAGTAGGCAGAATATTAGAACAAATGAGATGACAAGAGAGTTCAGACAGGACCACACAGTGTTCATGGACACAGTGTTTGAGGGACACTTTCAGAGAAGTCAGTTTCAAGGAGTGAGTCCAAGGGGGAAGCTGGACATTTAGAAAGTATTTGGAAAGCAGTGCCATATGTAGATGTAGATACAGGTCGGAAAAGCCAGGGTGACAGAGTACAAAGCATTATGGACGCTGACAACACAGACATGAGTTCAAATCCTCACCAAGCCACACATTAGTTGTTGCCTGGGAAAGTTACTTAATTGTTTTAAGCCTCAGTTTCCTCCTTTTTATTATTTTTAGTTTTTTCAGCTACAAATAGACTTTATTTGATGTAATGTAATAAAACATTTTCAAGTTTAACAATATGTATCTGACCATAAACAATCACTTAAATTATGAATATAAGTATACGCGGTCACATTAGCAAATCTGCAGTTCAGGAATTTGTACAAACTTTGTCTGAAAGGACAGTGCCTTCTTCCCCTTTCAGGAAAGGCAGCCCTTCCCCATGTGTGGTAAGAAGCAATGTCAATGGGAGTTGGAAGAAGTCCATAATCCATGTCGAAATTCCACTTTATCCTGAGAGGACAGCTTGCTTTATTGTAGAAAAATAATATTCTCTTTCAGTTCTCTCTTATCAAATGAAGGATTGCATTCATTTTGCCCCTTGTAGGTATAGGTACTCTTCTTTTCTCATCTACTGTCTTTCTGTCTCCTTAGCTCATACTTATTACACAGTTCGTTTAAAATATATATAGCTGCAAGGAGACATTTTCTGTTCCCTTACCTGCCCTTCATGTCTACCACTTTTTGGTGGGTAGGGGTGGGAGTCAGGGGACAGAACTGCTTTGGCACAGAGTTGATTTAAGATACAGAGAACAGGCTGGGCACAGTGGCTCACACCTGTAATCTCAGCACTTTGGGAGTCCAAGGCAGGTGGATCAACTGAGATCAGGAGTTTGAGACCAGCCTGGCCAACATGGTGAAACTCCTTCTCTACTAAAAATACGAAAATTAGCCAGGTGTGGTGGCAGGTGCCTGTAATCTCAGCTACTTGGGAGGCAGAGGCAGGAGAATTGCTTAAACCCAGGAGGCAGAGGTTGCAGTGAGCCGAGATCGCACCACTGCACTCCAGCCTGGGAGACAGGATGGGTGAGACACTGCCTCAAAATAAAAAATAAAAATAAATACAGAGAACAAATTTCTAGAAGGAACAGACTGGTGTTCTGGAGCATTTCCCAGGAGTGGTCCAGGTGACCTCCACTTCACACAATTTGGTTTAACACAATGCTGCTCAACAAGAATGAACACGTTTATGCCCCCATCTCCAGAAGCATCACAACCTTTCATGGAAAACCCATTATTCCCACACTATTTCCATATAACATACAGTTATGGACCATCCCATGGGATGGTCCATGGCCCCACTGCACCCTTGTGAAAAATGAGAGTCAAAAACATGCCAATAATCATGTTAATGACAATACAGGTGGGTACCACTCGCACTTCACTGAGATAAAAATCCTCATGGAAGGCATCCCCCTCACGTCTCAGGACCCTTCAGAGCACAAGAAAAAGCTTTGTTCAGGTTGTATGCTGCTCTCCATCCTGAGACCTGTTCCTGAGCCACACCATAACAATAAGTGAATTAACAAAGAAGTACATTTGTGGGGAAGTTACAGGGACCCTGCAGAAAAGCCAAACTATTTGACAGAAGCTTGAAACAAACACTGCTCTGGGAAATCATTTGTATTAGCTGATGACTGGGCTCTGTTTTCTAAAATGGACATGCAACATATTCGATACTATGCTTACCACAGTTTGCTTGGTAAACCCTTCTGTCATACAACAAAATACATTCTTTCTCATGAATGATTGCTGAATATTCACCACGAGACCTAGACTCGGAAGCATGGAAAGTGTGCATTGGAACTTTCTCCCACTTGCATGGATTTGGACATGTGCTAAGAACCTGAAACTGCTTCCTTTCTGGAACTCAATTCTGTCAGTGTGCTTACTGCTGAGATGATCTGCTATCTTAAACTGAGAACACACAATAACACTGATCCACAGAAAAAAGGAGAGGTCACCATCTCCCTCATAAGATATGTTGTACATCAGGTCATGCTGTTTGTCACGTTTTAGCCATCCTAAGAAAGGACAGAAGCTGCATTCCATTCTGCAGTCTTGGCAAATGACTTTCTTCTGTTTCCACCTCTATTTTGCCTTGTTTATTTCATCTCCATTATCCCTCTTTCAGTCATGAATCATGACTTTTTTTTCTACAGTAGTCAGAGTTTTGTAGGACAAACTCAGGTCTCTCTGGCCTCTCAGCAAGCTTCAGGGCTTCATGCATGCCTGCAGCTGAGAGTGTCTGGTTGATATTCTGGTACTGGCACTGGAGCCGGCTGCAATAGGTGGTCCTCAGGTCCCAGTTGAAGAAGGCATAAATAAAAGGGTTAATGAGAGAGTTTGCATAGCCCAGCCATGGAAATATCCTCTCCACCCACAGTGGGATGCAGCTGCAGGCAGTGCCATAGACAGAAGGGTCTGGCTGTCAGGAGGAAAAAGGGCGGCCAGCACATGGTGGAGGCCCAGACGATGATCCCCAAGGTAGTCGCTGCTTTCTGTTTCCGCTTAAAGATGGAGATATTTTTTCCTTTCATGCTTGAGGAGTCTCGAAAGGTTTGCACACTCTTCCACCTCCTGGAACTTCACTGTGCCATTCAGGGTGACTACTGCTGTCTGGCTCCACTCGAGGGAAGCCAGGTAACCTGTGTTAGGCCGCGCTTTTCCTGGCGGCCTTGTAAATCTGTTAGTACATGAAAAGCATGACGCACATGGGGATTAGGATGCCACTGCGGTGGAGTAAATCGTGTAGCCAAAGTCTTGACTGACCAAGCACACCTTATCATCGTTTACATTCTGAGCCCGACCAAAAATGGTAGGTAAAGTGACAAAGGCGGAAAGAAGGCAGACAGAAAGAATCATCTTCGTCATGCATTTCCCCTTCTGCCTCATAGGGTACGTGAGAGGCTTCATGATCCCAAGGTACCTGTCGATGCTGATCACGTACAAGGTCAAGATCCAGGCCGTGCAGCACATGACATTCATGGAGAAGACGTTACAGAAAAAGTGTCCAAAGATCCACTTGCCCCCGATGAGGTCGGTGACACTGATGAAGGGCATGACCGCCATGGCCACCGAGAGGTTGGCCAGCGCCATGGACACGATCAGGTAGTTGGAGGGCTGGCGGAGCTTCTTGACGAAGCACACGGAGATACCACCAGGCAGTTGCCCGCGATCGCAGAGAGATGAGCGTCAGGACAGAGCCGATCACAACTTTCTCGGCCCTTTCTTGATTTGCTCCCCGCGGCCGGAGGCATTGCCCGGGGTTGCGTCCCAGGTGGGCGCCGGGCTGGCCGTCACCTCGGGGGCCCCCGCTCAGCAGATGCGGCGTCCCGGAGACCGCGACCGGTTCGGCGCCACCGTCGGGGCTCAGGTCGGGCAGCCTGCCCCCCACCTCCGGCAGGAGGAAAGAGCAGAGGCGCCCGTAGAGGTCCGGGTGGCCGCTGCTGTTAACATCCATCACTGCGCCGCCGTGTGGCGCTGCCCAAGAAGCCGCCCCACCCCCCTCCCCACCCCCGCGGCCGCCACAGGCTCCGGCTTTCGGCCCCGGGGCTTCAACTCGCCGGTTCCCCTCCGCCCGGCCCAGCTTGAGGCCTGCACCGGCCGCTGGGCAGCGCCAGGCTCGGCCTCGGGGCCCCGCCTGTCCCAGATCCCCGGCCGCTGCGTGAAACGCGAGAGCGCTGCCGAGCGGGGACTCCCTGAGGGAGGGACCTCGGACCCCGACGGACGCCCGGGACGCGCGGGCTCTCGGGCGCTCCGGCGGGGCTCGGCCCGCGGCTCCACAGCCCGCTGCACCCGCGCGGCTCGGAGCAATGGAGGATCAGGCAGCGGCAGAAGCTTCCGTTTCCTCCTTTTTAAATGGCTCCAAAATATTTCTTGTCGGTGGTGTGGAGTAGAGATTTATTGGTAAAATACTTGACAGAAAGCAGGCACTCAGCTGAGTAAATGGTGACAAAATTGGTGAGAAGATTTTTGAACAGGAGTGAACGAGAAAAGCCATGCTTAGAAAAGTCACCTGGAAACTGTGATTTAGAGGGATGGTAGGAAAGAGTGGCAGCAGGAAAGTGGTTTGGATGCTCTTTCAATGGTCTAGAAGAGGTCATGGGGCGGGGGTAGAGGGACAGCTACCAAGACAGGGAGCCTGGCCGCCGCTGTACCAGCGGGATCGAGCCTTCGGGTAGAGGACCGGAGAAGCGTGAGCAACCCGGGGCTCGGAGGTTGGAGCCCAGGCACCTGAGAGAGGACGTTCCCCACCACCGCTGCCTAAAGCCACTCCAGGCGAGAATCGCTTTCCAGGGCCCCAGCGGATAGGTTAGACTCAGAATAAGAGAAGGGGTCTGCGGAGGGGGACGGCCTGAGGCCCGCGGCCGGGTTCCCTCCCCAGACACCCGCGGAAAGCCCGAAAGGAGGCGGAACACGGCCCAGCGGCTCGCCACGGCGGGCCCATCCCTTGCTTAGCCGCCTCGCACCCTCGCCTCACCGCACTGCTGCACTGCTGCACTGCTGCCCTGCTGCCCGCCCTTCGCATCACTGACCCGCCCTCTCTCCGCCCCCTCGCCTCGCCGCCCCGCCCTCTCTCTCCGCCCCTTCACCTCGCCGTCCCGCCCCCTTGCCTCACCGCCGGGCTGAATTGCCGCCCCGCCCTCTAGCCACGCCCTCTGGCCCCTGCCTCTAGCCCCGCCTCTCGCCTCGCCGCCTCGCCGTCCCGCCGCCTTGCCGCCCTGCCACCCTGCCGCCCTGCCGCCCTGCCGCCCTGCCGCCCTGCCGCCGGTGGTCGCTGCCCGTGGTGCTCCGTCGCCCCCGCCACCTCACGTCCTCCCGTGCGTCGGGAGCGTCTCGGCTACAACATGTTGGGCATGATCAAGAACTCGCTGTTCGGAAGCGTAGAGACGTGGCCTTGGCAGGTCCTAAGCAAAGGGGACAAGGTAGGCCCGCAGGGCTGCCGAGGACCTGAAGGATTGCTGCCTCCCACCCCCACCCTCGTCGGGGCTGCAGCGGGTGCTGAGGGGCAGGTGGGGCAGGAATGTGCTATCGAAGGTGCGTTCTGGTGTCTGTCGCGAGTGCGGCTCTCCACCGCCCAGCATTTGGACTGGGAAGGAAAGGAGTGAGAGGTCCCCCTGCAGCCGGTGGTGAGAGGAGGGGGGTAAACAGGAGAGACTGATCCAAGGAGAGAATCCCAACTTGGGGAGTTGGGCACTGCCTGTTGAATGCATTCTTTCGTTTAAAATATTCCAAACATTCCGAACAGTTTGATTTGTTGAGAGACACTCGGTTGCAGAAATGAGTGTCGCAAGAAACTCCCAAGTACTAGAGAACTGCGGATAGTAGCCCCCTTTATCCGCGATTTCAGTTACCTGTGGTCAGCTCTTGTCCATAACTATTAAATGGAAAATTCCAGAAATACAGAAGTCCTAAGTTTTAAGTTTCCGGCCATTCTGCGTAGCAGGATGAAATCTTGATTCCTGGGACCGGAATGCCCCTTTGTCCAAGGTCAGCCTCCTATCTCTAGTAGCCGCCCTTAGTCACTTAGTAGCTAGCTTGGTGATCGGATCGACCGTGGCGGTATTGAAGTAACCCTTATTTTACTTAGTAATGGCCCCAAAGTGCAAGCTTAGCAATGCTGGCATATTGTTATAATTGCTGTTATTTTATTATTGTTGTTCATCTCTTACTGTGCCTAATTGATAAAGTTAAACTATATCATAGGTATGTATGTATAGGAAAAAACGTAGTAGATACAGGGTTCAGTTTTGTCCACCGTTTCAGGTATCCACTGGGGGGCTTGGAAGGTATCTACTATAGATAAGGGGGACTACTGTGTAAAAGAACAAGATCTGTGCAGAATAGATATAAATGCGCTACGCAGGGAGCACAGAGGCAGTCAATTCTGCCAGGGGGCTATGATGGGGACCTCAGTGGAGTGTCCTGAGCTGGGGCCTCAGGGATGTGTAGGAGTGCACACAACAGAGAAGAGCATGCACAAAGGCCCAGAGCTGTACCATTGCTTTTGGCCAGTTAGATCCTCTGGAGTTGGGTACCTAGAATACAGAATGAGTGAGAAGAGCATAATTGCTGTCTTCCCCCAAATTTATATCAGTGCTAACATGGGCTAACTGGACTGCACCCCTGAAAACAAGGAGAGTGCTGCTAGATTATAATCTCCTGGTGGACAGGTAGTTTAAACAGTGCAGCTGTATACAGAGCTCCCAATACGATGCCTCATTTGTGAAAGGACTGTATTGCCTGGGGGCCAAGTTCTGATACCTAGTACAATGATCTTCATATCACGAAAGCCCTCAATTAGACTCTAATCTGAACTCTTTGACAACCAAAGACCTTTCACCTGTTCTTATCTCCGTTTCCCCAGCTCTATGTAGAATGAACAGTTTAGCCCTGATCAGAGGTCCCACATTTGAATACCTGCAGCAACCAGGCAGGTAATGGAAATGGATGAAGCTGGCTGTTTTAGGCTATAAGGCATAGTGGGGACTGAGGCAAATCAGAGAGTGAACTCAGGTCCCCATCTCTAAACGGCAGTTCCAGCCACTTGTTGCTATGCAGTGATATATGAAACAGTGTTGCCAAATTCTTAAGGAAAACCATACATCCAGATTCTTAGCGAAATCACCCAATTTAAAAATAATTCGACAAAAACTGTTTTTTGAGTGCTATGTGCCAGGCACTCTTCTAGGCAATGGGATAAAAGATTAAAACCAGCAAAATTCTCTGCCCTCATGGAACTTATGTTTTATTGGCTAATGAACAAATAAAATGTATCATGGATCAGATAGTGATCAGTGCTGTGAAGAAAAGCAAGCAGGGGAGTGAGGAATAGGGAGTATTAGGAGTGAGGCTGTGATTTTGAGTAGGGAAACTGACATAGTTGTGCATAGGCTGGACACAAATGCAATAAGGATGCCAGTTATTAATATCAGTCCTGCTGTGAGCATCCAAAGGACCCACCCAAGCCAACACAGAGAGCTGTCTATCCGCCTCCCTGGGCAATGAAAAAGGCACCTGATAAGGTCTGCAGCATCACTGGCCTCCCCATCAAGTAGTTGCCCTACTCAGAACCACAGCCTTTCTCCTAACAGCCCTGATGAAGGTTCCTGTGATTCTAACACTTTAAGAATCCATGTGTTCTTGCTTTTGTCATGGAATGGGGCTCACTTTGTCTTTTTGGATTAATGATGATGGCCCACACAGGCGGAGAGGGGTCTGGGCTGGTTCGTGGCCTGTGCCCTCAGATTCCTTCCTCACCCATTCCCTGCTCTGCTGTCTTCCTGTGGAGTGGAAGCTGACCCATTCGGCCTGTTTCCCAGGCCAGATGTCAGCCGGCGCCCAGCTACGTTTGCTCAGTGGGAGTCTCTACTGGGAGATAAAAAGGGAGAAACCAGAGTATTTCTCCTCCTTCTCCACCCCATCAGATCCATACTACTAGGAGCTTCTCTGTGGCTTTGGCTTCCGCTACACAGGCCACCATGATTCTAGCTTCTACCCAGTAACCTAGGTATCTGAACTTAGGTAACAGGTAATTCTCCCTCTGTGTCTCCTAGGGTGCTTACTAACCTCTAGGTTGCCTCTCTGTCCCCTGCTGGCATCTCAGCCCCTCTGTTATCTGTGCAACCAATCCCTTGCATCGAAGTGCTTCTGCTCTAAATACTCTAGTAGTTTCTGTTTCCTGTTTGACTCTTATTGATACAGTGTCACTTGCCGTTAATTTGGGGCCTCTGGGATAAGGAGAACTCCCTAATAAGCATCTTCTCTCAGTGTTTGATGGGAATATGGGGCCATATGGGATATTGGTACCAGGCTAAAGCAAATCATTTAACCCAAATGAACCTGTTTCTACAGCTATAAAATGAGTATAAAAATATCTTTTCCATCTATTTCCAGAGTTACTATAAGTATTAAATTCTTTAAAACCATGAAAACATTTTGTAAAGTAGTATACATACCCTACAAATATAGTAATAGCATTATATCAGTGCTCATCTCAGCTTCATTCTTTCTAGCTGTGTGGTCACAGGCCAACTTAGCCCCTCTGAAGCTAATTGTGGAAGAAAATAATAGTTCATATATTAATAGATTGTTTTGAAGTTCAAATGAGATAACCAATTATAAAACTGTTCAATGTTAGTACTTGGTTGGAGATGGTAATGGTTAGCTTTACTGTAGTTTTACAGTAAAGTTTGGGTAAATTACTTAACATCCCGTGAGCCCTTGAATTCCTCAACTCTAAGATGAGAATAACAATGCCAATGTGAAATTAATTAATTATGCATAGATACTTGTAAACCTTTTTTTTTTTAAATATACAAACATAAAGGTATTATTTTTGAAGAGAACCTCTCCCTGAAATTATATTTTATCCTGGAAACAGCCTGGGTCAGAAACTATTGTCCACTCTCCTGGGCAAATGATGGCATACCATATTCCCCACATAGCATGGGCTTCAGGCTCACCAGATGTTGGGGACTGATTCCAAGTACTTGGCAGGGAGGCCAGTGCTGCCGCAGACCTTATCAGGTGCCTTCTTAATTGCTCAGGGAGGGAGGAGGGTAGACAGCTCTCTGTGTTGGATTGGGTGGGCCTTTGGATGCTCACAGCAGAACTGATATTAGTAACTGACATCCTTAATCAGATTTGTGTCCGGCCTGTGCACACAGGTTAGGACCTGATAGCCTGGCTTTGAGTCCTGGCTCCACTATTCACCCGCTGCAGTTTGGGCATGTTACTTAACCTCTTGTTCCCCAGTTTCATCTGAAAATGAAGATTAAAGCCCTAACTTCTTCACAGGGTTATTGGAGAAATTGAATGAATGAATCCACGTAAAGCATTTAAAATAACACCAGACAAATAGAAAGTACTCTGTTAGGTTAATTGTTATGATCAGTATTTTCTTGTAATGAGAAAGCAGGTTTCCAACATTAGCATGTATACCCACTACATGAAGTGGCAAGAAAAAAACTGACCTTTCAAAGGACTTACAAATCCCATAGCCAGAGGCATTCTTGTTAAACCTTTGTCTGGGACTTGAACTTGACCAAGGTTCCCACTGAATGTTGAAAATTGGTTTTTGTAGCCACAGGCCAAAATCTCCATCTAGGAACTGATTGGGAGCATAGACTAATGGAGATGGGGTGAAGGAGGGCTACTATTGTGTTCCATGTCACAAGCAAATGCACTAAAGATGTTAAATTTTAAGAATCAAGACTGTATTAACTTAGCTGCCTTATTCTCTACAGCAGTAGAGAATTCTGGTTAAATACATTTAAATAGAGCTCCCTGGAGAACTAGAATAGTTTTACAAATCCATCTCTTAAGCCTGAATTTTCACAGTGGTCCCGTGGTTCAAATGAGTGGTTATGGATACAGATGCTATGAAAACAAGTGATCCCTGCACTAGAACTGGTTTAATACATTGTGGCCCAGCTTTTCTCCAGGAGATCCTATTAGACGAGGTCCTCATCTCTCTGCCCATCTATTATGGCTCTTGTATTCCTTGTCATTAGAGTAAAACTAGGTTTTACTCTGCATATCTCCTTTCTCACAAATATTTGTAGAGTGCCTACAATATGCAAGGCGTGGTACATCTAGGTACAGAGAGATACAGCGGTGAACAAGAGAAACAGTCCTTACCCTGTGGGGCTTGTGGGTGGAGGTGGGAGTTTAACACATCATTTAATTGTAATTACAATAAGTATTGTGTTATGAAGGTACAGCGTGGGTAAGAATATCACAGGGAACCTATTTTAAGTCAGGATCCTCTCTGAGGAAGTAACTTTTAGGTTGGAGCCTGTTAGATGAATAGGGAGACACCAGGCAAAGGCAGGAGGAGAATGCTCCAGGGAGAGGGAGCAGCAGACACAGAGGCCCTGGCGTGGAAATGACCATGGCATCAAAGGAAACAGCAGAAAGCTGCAGAGCAGGTGCTGTGAGTGTGGCTGGCAACGTAGGTAGAAGCTCAGTGGTGCCTGCATCATCAAGGGCAGGTTAAGAACTTGATGAATGAATGCCTTTAGGCAGCAGATTAATTAACACAGTTAGATTGGTGTAGAGTGCCCTATATATGCTCTCTGGACAATCCCAACCTCATTCACAGCTCTAGTCTCCCCTTATGCTAATGACTCCCAAATTTACGCCTCTATGCCAGTCCCCTGCTGAGCTCCAGACCTGTGTGCCCAACTACCCAATGGACAGTTTGCTCATCTGTATCAGGAGGAGATGAACTGATGGACACATGAGACCCCTTCCAGCTCTAGAGTTATCTGACTTTAGGGGTTCCTAGAAAGGAGGGATCACTCAGGAGGAGGAGGTGGTGAAGTTGAGCCAAGCCTTGAAGGATGATAGGTGTATCATGGGGGACTTGGCTCTCCAAGTCAAGCTGGAGTCCCTTCTTGGCAGCCTTTCTTTCCTTGCTGTGGACTTTGTGCCTGGAGAACAGGCCAAGAGCACAGGTTGCTCGTGCCATTTTATAGATCTCTTTTCTGCTGCAGAGACCCTCCATTCAAGACCCAGACATACTTGCAAAATCCTATGTTTAGGTCACAAATGTCAGTTGAACTAATTTAGAGTAGATGAACTGGCTTGCTATCAAATCACCATCACTGGACTAATGGTTACAAAATCCAACTCCCACAACAGCCTCTGAGTTCTTCTGAGATCTGGCCCCTGCCAGAACACCTTTTTTGTGTCCTGCTTGACAGTCTTTGCTCCAGCCACAACTATTTGTAATATTTGTACTCACAGTCATCATACTGTTCTTGACCCCTCCTCGTTTACTCTTATGGTACCCACTACCTGGAATATCCTCCCCAAATGATCAGAGCATTTACTGCATTGTACAATAATTTGTGTAATACTCCTCACCATCCTCCTGATTATCCCTATCATATTAATCTCCAAATCTGTACCACCTGGCAAAGGTTTTCGACAATGTTTATTCCATGAATTAATAAAGTAGTGACTGAACGTCCGGTTGGGTGATCTGTGACCACCTCAAAGTCAGCTTGACCTCCCCAAACATGTTATCACATACACCCATGCCCCATAAACTAACCTAAGTGGTCCTTTCCTGTGTTCCCATACTGCCCTGGCACTCCTTGCCCCCTAAAAATATCATTAGATGATAACATTCTGTTTTCCTGGCATCTTCCCTTATAGCACCTGTAACAATGTTCAGCACATGGTAGATACTCAGTAGTTGTTGGTTAAATGAATAAAAGAAGAAAAAGACCAAAGGAAAGAGCCAGTTAGCTCTTTCTCCAGTGAGATCTTGTTTTTGGTCTTCCCATTTGTAAAAGAAGTAACTGCGTAAAATGACTTCTGATACCTCTATTCTGAATTTGATATGGGCATACAACTGTCCGCCCAAAGTATCTAACACAGTGGCTAAAGAGAGAGGTTACAGACTGGGCAACATTGCAAGACCCCATCTGAAAGAGAGAGAGAGAGAGAGAGAGAGAGAGAGAGGAAAAGAAAAAAAAAAAAAGCAAAGACACTTTGGAAGGCTGACATAGGTGGATCGCATGAGCTCAGAAGTTTGAGACCAGCTTGGGCAACGTGGTGAAACCCTGTCTCTACAAAAGAAGACAGAGAAAACAAAATACAAAAAAAATTAGCTGGGCATGGTGGCACACACCTGTAGTCCCAGCTACTTAGGAGGATGAGGTGGGAGGATCACGTGAGCCCAGGAGGCTGAAGTTACAGTGAGCCAAGATTGTACCACTGCACTCCAGCTTGAGCAACCATGAGACCCTGTAAGAAAGAGAAAGAAAGAGAGAGAGAGAGAGGAAGGAAGGAAGGAAGGAAGGGAGGGAGGGAGGGAGGGAGGGGGAAACGAAAGAAAAAAAGAAAGACAGAGAGAGGAAAGAAAGGAGGATAAAGAAAAGAAACAGAGGTTTAAATGCTCACTTCACCCCCCATAGCTTTAGAGAACCTTGCAACGAGTATTAGACTGGAGTAGACTAGAGTTTGGGAACTGGAATTTTTGTTTCAGTTTCACCATTCAGTAGTTACATCACTTTGAGCAACTTAGTCTCTCTGGTTCTTCATTTTCTCCTTGATAAAATTAGTTAGATTAGGTAAACTTTAAAACCATTTTAGGTTCTGAACTTCTGTGATTCACAGGATAGTGTTTCTGGAATTTAAAACATTACAAGTGCCAAGGGTAGGTGCGCTCTCAAATGAAAGGGGAGTTCTGGAATTCTCTGCAGCAACAGAAAGAGCAAAACACCCTAAGTTTACTTAACAGTTTGCTACTGAAGGCTCTTTGGAAGTGTCAGATTCACCAGATGGAGGGCTTCACAGCAGCCTCAGAATGATTCAGCACGGTGCCCCACAGTCAAGGCTGACTTGCTGCCTCATGATTCCTGGTCTGGCGCAATTTCCTCTACCCCATGTGAAGGGGGATTTAAGTACAAACTTGGCACTCAGGGTTAAAATTACAATATTAAGGCCGGGCACAGTGGCTCATACCTGTAATCCCAGCACTTTGGGAGGCCGAGGTGGGCAGAACACCTGAGGTCAGGAGTTCGAGACCAGTCTGTCCAATGTGGCAAAACCCCATCTCTACTAAAAACACAAAAATTAGCTGGGAGTGGTGGCGTTCGCCTGTAGTCTCAGCTACTTGTGAGGCTGAGGCAGAAGAATCACTTGAACCTGGGGGGTGAAGGTTGCTCTTAGCAGAGATCACACCACTGCACTCCAGCCCGGGTGACAGAGCAAGACTCTGTCTCAAAAATAAAATAAATATTAAATATGCTCATTGAGACTACACTTGCCACTCACAGCCGTACAGTCCTGCCTTCCTCCAGAGACACCTTCTGTCCCCCTGGGAGTCACACCCTCTTCCCTAGTTGTGAATCTTCAGTCTAGGATATTATATGAAAACCTATTTGACCAGTCTAGGGCAGCCAGGTTCCCTACCATGTGTCTGTTTTTCATAATCATTGTTAGGAGACACAGCACCTTAATCAAATAAATATCTGTTGCACTTCTCACATGTAAAGCTCTGTGGTATAGTTTCTGCCCATAAA
This sequence comes from Homo sapiens, assembly GCF_000001405.40. NCBI lineage: Eukaryota > Metazoa > Chordata > Mammalia > Primates > Hominidae > Homo > Homo sapiens. The sequence goes on along the minus strand of NC_000012.12, from coordinate 12,991,921 downwards.
GGCTTTATTGCAGATTGTTAAAACTATAATAATGTTTCATTACCAGATGGTAAAATTAACATAGACCAACTTTCCTTCTTCTAATGGGATGGAATAAAATTCACTCCAGTAGAGTAGAAGAGAAGAAAACAGGATAGGGGAAGGAACAAAAAAAAAGCCAGGATGCATCTCATCCATAAGGGTAAAGCATTACTTTGTGAAACTTTAACTATGTGTATATTCATGATAAGACAGGCTGTAAAAAATGCTTTCCTTCTTGTGGATTGTGATTTTTTTTCAAAATGTGAAGAACACTGCCTTACAGTATGTCCAGGAATACAAAATTAAATTATATGAGCAATCACGTGGCAAGGAGCAGGAGATGTACTGAAGGAGAGCTGTGGGGGTCCATAATGAGTAAACACCAGGGAAAGGATAGTCCAAGGACAGGGCCTCAATGCAGAAAGTGGTGATGGGGAGATGAAAGAAGGATTTGTGTGAAAAGAGACAGTGGAGCTGAGCATTAAGCAGATTGGGAGGCTGTGATTTAGTGAGACAAGAGTTAGGGAGAGGATATGCTGTGTCTGGGAGCACGGTGTGAACAGAGCTACAGTCAGCCCTTCCTGTCTGTGGGTTCTGGATCCACGATTCAACCAACCACAGATGGAAAATATTCAAAAAATAATAATAGCAATACAGCAATAAAAAATACATAAATCAACAGCAGAGGCCAGGCGTGGTGTAACTGCCCAGTGGGTTCACCTTGCCTGCTGCCTAGATAGAACCAATTTATCAAGACAGGGGAATTGTAATGGAGAAAGAGTAATTCATGCAGAGCCAGCTCTGCGGGAGACCAGAGGTTTGTTATTACTCAAATCAGTCTCCCTGAGCATTCAGGGATGAGAGTTTTTAAAGATAATTTGGCAGGTAGTGGCTTGGGGAGTGGGGAGTGCTGATTGGTCAGGTTGGAGATGGAATCATGGGGGGTGCCAAGTTAGGTTTTTCTTGCTGTCTTCTGTTCCTCGGTGCAATGGCAGAACTGGTTGGGCCAGATTACTGGTCTGAGTGGTGTCAGCTGATCCATCGAGTACAGGGTCTGGAAAATATCTCACGCACTGATCTTAGGTTTTACAATAGTGATGTTATCCCCAGGAGCAATTTGAGGAGGTTCAGACTCTTGGAGCCAGAGGCTGCATGACCTCTAAATTGTAATTTCTAATCTTGTAGCTAATTTGTTAGTCCTGCAAAGTCAGACTGGACCCCAGGCAAGAAGGGGGTCTTATTGGGAAAGGGCTGTTACCAATTTTCTTTCAGAGTCAAGCCACGAACTGAATTCCTTCCTACAATTAGTTCGGCCTAAGCCCAGGAATCCCACAAGGACAGCTTAAGGGTTAGAAACAAGATAGAGTCAATGAAGTCTGATTTCTTTCACTGTCATAATTTCCTCAGTTATAATTTTTGCAAAGGCAGTTTCAATTGTGGCTCATGCCTATAATGCCAACACTGGGAAGCCAAGACAGGAGGATTGCTTGAGCCCAGGAGTTTGAGACCAGCCTGTACAACATAGGGAGACTCTACCAAAAAAAAAAAAAAATTTTTTTTTTTAATTAGCAGGGCATGGTGGTATGCACCTGCGGTCCCACTTACTCAGGAAGCCTAAGTAGGAGGATCGCTTGAGCTCAGGAGGTCGAGGCTAGTGAGCCATGATCATACCACTGCACACCAGCCTGGGTGACAGAGTGAAACACTGTCTCAAAAATAAATAAATAAATAAAATACATGTGTGTGTGTTTGTGTGTGTGTGTGTGTGTGTGTGTGTGTGTGTGCACAGAGAGTAGCAACTATTTGCTTGGCTTTTACATTGTATTAAGTATTATAAGTAATGTAGAGATGATTTAAAGTATGTATGAGGATGTGTGTGGGTTATATGCAAAATACTACACCATTTTATATCAGGGACTTGAGCATCCATGGATTTTGGTATCCATAGAGGTCCTGGATCCAGTCCCCCAAGGAGGCCAAGGGAAAAATGAACTCTGATTCCTTGAATTGCAGTCCTCCTACTAGAATGAGCCTAATTTTGGGAGCTTCACAGTTTTGTTGGATTGTCATCGTTGTATTTTTTGTTTCCTCCCTTCTAAGTTTATCTGTATTTTTTTCTGAATCTCCTGTTTAACTTTATCTTCCAACCTGTTTACTGAATTTTTCTTCTCTGTTATCAGATTTTTAATTTCTGAGAGCTCTTTTGCTCTCTGAATGTTCCATTTTTGTAGCATTCTGGTTTTCAGGATGCAATATCTTCTCTTATCTCCCCAAGAATATAATGTATAAGATTTTCCTGCTTTGGATATTGTCTCTACAAGAATCCCAGAATCTATTTCTCATGGCCCTTCATACTCAGGCCTGTCCCTTCTGCTCTATGGCCATACCCACCAAGGAAAGTTTTTTAGCCCTCTGTTACTACTTCTAGAGACATCACAAGTTGCTACTTTGTACCTCTTAAACACTGTACCTTCTCTCTCTCTAGGAAGAAGTTGCCTATGAAGAAAGGGCCTGTGAAGGCGGCAAATTTGCCACAGTAGAAGTGACAGATAAGCCTGTGGATGAGGCTCTACGGGAAGCAATGCCCAAGGTCGCAAAGTATGCGGGGGGCACCAATGACAAGGGTGAGTACCCCTGCAGGATGTGGCTCTGGTCTCGGGGACCAGCTTTGCAAGGTCTCACTTCATCAGTGGTAAATGCAAGTGAGGGGCTACAAGGCACCTGTAGTGACCTGTTTCAATGACCTGTGAACCTCCTGCACTGTGTGAACAAGCAGTTTATTGCAGGAATGTGGGGAAACCACTCTGATATCAGCCCAGTCTGTCCCTCACTTGAAGGCATCCCTGCTCAATATCTCCAAGTTCCTGCTTCACTCCCAGGTGTGGGACCATAGGCTCTATTTTTTTTTTAACCCTGCAGTGCTTATTATGTCTTTGGATTGGTTGACTAGGTGGCGTGTGCCCACAGTAAGCTGAGCTACAGCACAACGCAAGGCCAGCATCAGGCTGGAGATCCCCAGAGTCAGCCCCTGGTAGCTCAGATTCTGCTGGGTCCTGAGGCTCAGTGAGCAGTGAGGTTCCAGACCCTGTCTGGCAAATGAAGGGTCTGAGAATTCTTGGGCCATCCTGCTCTTAAAAACTTGGCAGTTCATGCTGGCCACCTCTCTACTTTTAAAATGATAAGCCTGAAGTCTCATGAAAGGTGTACCTGTTAGATGTAAACCATATTTAAAAATGAGTTTGACTCGTGAGAAGCCCTCTAATTTGGGTAGCATTTTGGAATCACTGCAAAACAAAAATGGGTCAGAAAGCAAGAGGAAAAAAAAGAGATGTGTTTAATTTTTAGGATATTTCTCAAGCTGATAATTTAGAGAGCTAAAAACGTGTGTTAGCCTTAGTAACATTTACTAGGAGCTGCTCTGTCTATTGAGTAACCATTCTTTTATTCCTTTACTTACTTAAAAAACTTGCTTTAAAAAAAAAATTTACTAGGACTAAAGTAGTCAGGCTTTGGAAGATACGTTAACCTGTAGGAGGTCAGGAAGAAATCTTTTCCTTCTTAACACTGTCTTAACATTTTTTTAAATGAAAATATGTATGAGAATTATAAAACTCACTAAAGAAAACCTTTAAAATAACAAAACAGTATTCCCTAATTCCCCCATTCAATACAATCAATGTTGTCTTTTGAATGTATTTTTTAGGGCTTTTTAATGTAATCTTAGTGTTCCTATAATTACATATCCTGCTTCTGTTAGTTATTATTTCATAATTATTTTCCACTAGTACCAGAGTCTTCTTAAGCATAATTCCTAGCTACATTATATTGTATCATGTGTCTGTAATTTACACAGACATATTCCTGTTTTGAACAGAATTTATAATTCTGCTGTAATGAATATCTTACTACCTATAGCCTTTTCCATATTTTAGATTGATGTTTTAAATAGGCAGTAATTAAATACTGGCTAGGCATGGTGGCTCACACCTGTAATCCCAGCACTTTGGGAGGCCAAGATGGGCAAATCACTTGAGGTAGGAGTTTAAGACGAGCCTGGCCAACATGGCAAAACCCCATCTCTACTAAAAATACAAAAATAAGCTGGGTGTGGTGGCGCACACCTGTAATCCCATCTACTCAGAAGGCTGAGGCACAAGAATCGCTTGAACCCAGGAACCCAGGAGGCAGAGTTTACAGTAAGCCGAGATCATGCCACTGCACTCCAGCCTGGGCAACAGAGCAAGACTGTCGGAAGAAAGAAAGAAAGAGAGAGAGAGAGAGAGAGAGAAAGAGAGAGAGAGAGAGAGAGAAAGAGACTGATAATCTACAGTCTTGATATATATTGCCAAATCATTTTTTAGAGTTGTACCACTATACTCCTACCAACAGCGTATACAAATAACAGGTGTTCATGTATTTCTGTATTTTTAACACTTGAAATGTTCATTGTTAATTTCAAGAACAAAAACATACCACTTTGAAAGACGAATGGAACTAATGTGTCTTCCACAGCCCTGAGCAAGCTCTGTCTCTGATCCCTGCCTCACTCTGTGCTTTTGTGTTTTCAGGAATTGGGATGGGGATGACAGTCCCTATTTCCTTTGCTGTGTTCCCCAATGAAGATGGCTCTCTGCAGAAGAAATTAAAAGTCTGGTTCCGGATTCCAAACCAATTTCAAAGCGACCCACCAGCTCCCAGTGACAAAAGCGTTAAGATTGAGGAACGGGAAGGCATCACTGTCTATTCCATGTAAGGAGACAATCCTTCAGGCATCCATGGGTGGCGCTTGATTCCCGTACCACTCCTTGCATCACCTCTGGCAAGCATTCGCGTCAAATTTTTATGGTTGCTGAATTAATTTAAGTAGGAAATGCTGAATCCTAACAGTTTCTCATTTTAATTTCTTCAGGCTGCAGCACACACACATTTGCATTTTATCAGAATAAATGCCTTGGCCAGTTGCCAAATTGATGGGACGAGCTTAAGCTTTGCTTAAGCTTACAGTGAATGTCTACATTAGCCATAGCAGGGTTCTAGGAGACTCAGCAAATATCTTAAGTCAAGCCATGGTCTGGATTCGTGGACACATGGGAAGCATAAAGGGCTGAGGAATACCTGATTTCTACCCCACACTCCCTTTGAATGCCAGAGAGCAGGGAGCATTTGCTAGAGCTGGGCTTCCATCCTCCTTGTTGTTCCTGGATGGTAGTCCTTTGAGCAGAGCACACATCTATTCTCTTGTCATCCTGGTCCTGTTTCCAGGACTTCATGTGGGGTCATTTTCCCTTGACTGTAGAGAATAGCAGGTGCAAATGGTTACTAGTTTCTATCCCTTGTGCTCCAAACTGCCCTCAGAAACCAAGTCTTCTAGATCATTGATGACTCCTCACATTTGTTAAAACACTCCCATGTGACAGGCACCAAACCAGGCTCAGGGAAAGACCAGGATCTTCACCAGAAGTAATCATAGGTGGTTTGGCTCCGCTCAGGAGCAACCTCATGAAAAATTCACATACATATAATATTGCACTGGACTGAGTATTGGTCCACTTCAGGGACCTCCAAACTTGGCTGCCCTGCTGCAACCCTGAACCTGATGGTGGGACCATTTTCCCCGGAGCTGTGTCAATGTTCTGAGAATGTGAGTTTCACCGCTGTGTGTAGTCCTAGGCCAGGTGACTGCAGGGCCCTCCAGAGGACAGTGAATGTAATGCAGCTGGGAGCTAGCACCGGAGCCTCAGCTCCTGTGCTTGTCCTGCAGTCCTCATTCAGACTTCCCAGCTTCCCTTCAGAGGGTGTGGAGAAAGCAAATTAACTTAACAATATCTTTTCCTAGGGTGGAGATGCACCTTGGGTGCAGCATTTAAGGAAGCACTCACTCTCACAGCTGTCCAAGTGCAGGATGGGGACTGAGAGTGAGCGCCTCCTTAAATCTTGTGCCCTGGGTTAGATGTCTGCTTGTCTTTTCCATTCTATTTCCTGTGTTTGGGAAGCAGCAGGTATAATAAAATGAACTTGTATTTTATTTGAATTCCAGCTCTACTGCTTACTAGCAGAATGATGCTTGGGAAGTTAGCCACTTTAAGACTTAGCTTTTGCATTTGTTAAGTGCTGATAATATAACCTCCTATATATGATGTGTGTGTGTGTGCATGTAATGTAACCTTATAGGATTATTGTTAAATATCTTTCAGTATTTACTAAGATACTATTTATGTATTACCTAATGTTTATGACCTGAAGCAGGTTTTGGCAATTACCCCTTCTGTCTGTTCATTCTTATTTCATAAGGAATGAGATAGACATGATTGAATCAGTTCACATTAAGACTTCAAGCAGATGGGGCTAGTTTCTGATCATTTGTTTTACCAGACCCTGAGTAATGAGTGGATATAATTTTTTTTTCTTTTGTCTTTAACTTTTTAGTATGGGAATTTTCAAACTTATAGAAAGGTAGAAGCATATAAGATCATGAAATCATATGTGCCCATCCCCTACCTACAGCAACGATCAGCTCAAGGCCAATTCTGTGTCATGTGTATCTTCACAGCATTCACCCAGCCCTACCCTGGATTATTTTTAGGCAAATTCCAGACATTATATTATTTCATTCATAAATATTTCAGGTAATTACTGAAGATTTTTTTAAAATATAATCACAATACCTTTTTTCTGAAATTTCAATAGTACTTCATTAATTTATAATATAAAATATTCAATGCTCAGATTTCCCCCATTACTTTTTTTTTTTTTCCAACGGAGTCTCTCTCTGTTGCCCAGGCTGGAGTGCAGTGGTGCGATCTTGGCTCACTGCAACCTCTGCTGCCTGGGTTCAAGCAATTCTCCTGCCTCAGCCTCCCAAGTAGCTGGGAGTACAGGAACCTGCCACTGTGCCTAATATTTGTAGTTTTTTAGTAGAGACAGGGTTTCACCATCTTGGCCAGGCTGGTCTTGAACTCCTGACCTTGTGATCCACCTGCCTCGGCCTCCCAAAGTGCTGGGATTACAGGCGTGAGCCACCACGCCTGGCCATCATTTGTTTTAATATTTTGTTAGAATCTGGATCCAAGTCAGATTTTGTAGTACTTTCTTTTTGTTGTTGTTGTTAAGAGACAAGGCCTTGCTCTGTTGCCCAGGCTGCAGTGCAGTGGTGTGATCATAGCTCACTGCAGCCTCAAACTCCTGGGCTCAGGTAATCCTCCCACCTCAGCCTCTCAAGTAGCTGGTACTACAGTTGCACACAACCACACCTGGCTGATGGTACATTTTTAAGCTTTTATTAATCTGTGAATTTCTTTACCAACACAACTTTACATTCTTCCTTTCCATCTGTGGATCATTTGTCTTCTTATTATCTGTACTGGATTTTGCTGATTATATTTCCGTGACATTTTACCACATCCCTCTGAGCCCCGTATTGCCTGTAAATTAGTAGTTGAAACTAAAGACTAGATCAGATTCAAGTTTTTGAAGTTTTGGTGAGAATATTTCCTACGTGGTGGTGTTTACTTCCTTCAGGGGCCCACAGTGTCTGATTGTCCCTGATTGAGTGATGTTGGTGACCATAGTTCATCATTGCCTAGATGTCTTGTTCCATTAGAGGCCATAAAACGATAATGTTCTCTGTTTCTCCTTCTTCTTTTATTACCTGCAATATTTCAGTAAAGAGAAACTTCCCCTCGTTTACTATTTGGCTTCCTTTATTTCATATAGAAAAAGCCAGATACATGCTTACTTGATACCTTCTCTTTATTTACCAGTTTTCAGAATGATAATTTCATTCTGTAACATCCTCAAGGTAAAGTGGTCTGCATCTTCGTTTTTTGAGTGTAATTATAAACATATGAATTTAAACATATTTGATACGTTTCAGTTTGTTACAGATATTATTCTTATTGATGCTCTAATTGCCCCACTGTTGGCCAGCGGGAGCCTCTTCAAGTTGGTTTGTTGGTCCTTTTGACACAGCTCCAGTAGTCGTTGATGGCTCCCTGGCTTGCTGGTATAATGAGATGTTTTGAGCACATCTTAGCATTTCTTGCCCTAGAGCTAGAATTAGCCATTTCTCTAAGGAACGCTGGTTTCTTATGGTGGGAAGGGGTATACGGGTACTATCAAAGGCAGGTCGGTGACCATTTCCTTTTAATTCTCTGAAATCTAAACAGCTGAAAGTGCCAAATGTGGTGTCTAGCCTGGCTCCATGGAATTTTTAACACGGAGTTCTCACACAGCATATGATCATTCCTCAACTCGCCACTTGATGTCACTGCATAGTCAAATGAGCATTCAAAATTACCCTGCAGTGGTTTGTGTTATTTCTGATTCTGTTGAAAGCAATGTTAATGAGATGGTAGAAGGCAAATGTACTACTTCAAATGCAAAAGTACTCTATCAAATAATGCAGTGAGTGCATTCAATGACAAAATTAATTCTAAAATGAAAGCCTGGCGTCCTTCATTCAGTCTTCCTTCTTTATGACCTTGTGAAGAGATGTTTACAAAGGGATTATACATTTATTAGCATCGTTAATTACCGGTGCTTTTAGATGAATAGAATGCTGTGAAAAAAAATAGCACTATCAGAATATGTTTAGTATTCACAAGAGGCAATAGAATTATCCTCACACTTAGACCAGCAGCAACATTCCAGACTACTGTCCTTTCTCTATGCACTTAAGTTAGAGTTTGGCCTTTTCAGCTCATTTCAGCACCAGGTTCTCAATAGGGACCAACAGCAGGAGAAGTTTGATGGTCTTAATGAAACTTTCACGGTTTAAATGAAATGTCTAGATATAAAGGAAAAAGTTGGAAACCAGGAGTTTATTTTCAGGGTAACCTATGCTCCAACCCAGTTCATCATTCAGTGGCCATAGGACCTTTGGTATATTGCCAGCCTCACTGTACCTCAGTTTCCTCATCTGTAAGATGGGCATGAGTACCTAGCTTTTATGGTGTTGTGAGGATAAAATATGATAATACCTGTAAATACCTACTCAATCCTAGACATGAGGTAGACACTCAGTAAATGTTAGCCTATTCTCCTCCTCCTAACTTCACCTCCCTTTGAGAATTTGATCAAGTTTTATTAGAATTAACAATAAAAAAGTCAAAGTTACTGCAGATACACTTGGGTTAGAACCTCAGCTCCAATAATTATGAATTTTGTAACTTGCAGCAAGTTGTTTAATCTTTCTGAGCCTCAGTTTTCTCATCTATAAAATAAGATTTCTAAGGCATGATTGCAAAGGCCGGTTTCATTGTGCATTTGAAAGAACTTTGTCAGCTGTCAGCACCTAGGTTGCTGATGTCATTTTTCCCTCTAAATGACCAGGCCCCAATGGAGGCCATTGGCAGCTTGGGAAGTTCCGCCTAGAGAAAGAGAAGTTTGGAAGAAAGAGCTCAACTGCTAAACTCTTAGGGGGTTCCCACATTACCACTTAGGAGATTTACAGACCAGTGTTTGCCCATGTTCCTAGATAATTCAACCCTGTTTGTAACCACAGGAAGTTGGGACCAAGGGTTTTCAGTCTTAGCACCCTGCTTTGCCCCCTCACTTTGATTAAAAGGGGCCTTGTCCAGCCGTTCTATTGAAAATAGCACCCTGTCCTTTTCTGTCCTCTTATCCAGCTTTATTTTGCTTTGCTTCACTTATAATCAATTGCATTATATATCTCTATCTGCTCATTTATTTATTGCCCTCTCCCCACTAGAATGCAAGCTTCCCAAGGGCAGGGCCTTTGGCTAGAATATAACAAGTGTTCAATAAGAAGCTGTTGAATTGGCCATCACAGTGGCTGACATCTGTAATTCTAGTACTTTGGGAGGCCAAGGCAGGTGGATCACCTGAGCTTAGGAGTTCGAGACCAGCCTGGGCAACATAATGAGACCCCGTCTCTAAATAAAAAACAAAAACAAGTTGGTGAATGGATACATGAACAAAAGAGCTTCATCCTTGCCTCTCCTGTGCTTCTCTCTCTCTGCTCTGTCCCATAAAGATCTTGGTCCCCATCATAGCTTCAGCTGTCACCAGTGTGTTGGTAACTTTCCAGCCTAACCTCTGTCTGTCTCCCCTGAATGTCTTGCCATCCCATCAGACTCAGCATGGAGCCTGAGACAATGTGATTTACCCACTCGTTCATTCCTTCATTCAAAAGATAGTGGATTTCTTGTTCACTTACTCTGTACCAGGAACTATTTTAGGTGTCTAACAGTAAAATGGACGTCATGAGGTAATGTCCTTGCCCCTGGAAGAATTCAAGTGCCATCTGGATAGATGGGTGACACTTATGCCATGTGACATTTGCACTAGGTGGGAAGTTTGGTTTGATTTGACAAACATTTATTAAATATCTCTAATATTTAAGCCACCTCATGTCCAAAAGCCTTGCCAATGATAAGATTCTGTGTCTCAGCCTAATTAATCACCATTTTCTCTCCCCCTGATAGCTGTCAGTTATCCCGTAAGTCTTTTATAAACTCCCACCAGGCAAGGGCTTCAGGCTGTTTCTCTGTAGATGATGCCCGGGTCAACACGTCTCATGCTGCCTTCTCTCCTAAGCACCAGCCTTATATTTCCAGCTCCCAGGAGGCATCACCACCTCAAGTATCTCCCAAATCAGCATGTCCAAAACACAACGCAGATTTCCACGCAAAATCAGATCCCTTTCTGTGTTCTCTGTCTTAGTGATGGTCCCCTCCCTCCTCCTACCCACCCTGTTCCAATGTCATTCTGACTCCTTCACTTCTGCATCTAATTATTGGCTCATCCTGGTCAGCTCCCAGCTGTCCCTTCCTTCCCTTCCATCTACACAGGTCTTCATCATCTCTTGCACAAATGATTGCCATGGTATTGGCTTCCAGCTCTCCCATTTCTGACCCTTCTAAAGTGTCCTTTTATCACCACCTGCCTAAGGCACAGGACTGATCACATCGCCTGTCTTTGCTCAGAAACTGAGCCTCCCCAGAGGCTGCTCAGCTCTGGTTGGGGGCCTCAGGCCCATCCAACCAGATGTTGGGGTTTGAACAAAAGCCCAGTTAGTAATGAGATGCTTCATTTCCACTAGGAGAGGGTGGATCAACTTTGGGTGCCAAATGTTTGACCAGGCAGTAAAGCCTAGTAAAAATGCCCTGTGATGGCACTGACCACCCTCCACACATAGCACCACTCCCATGTCAACCTGATCTCAGAGCGTCCCACCCACCACCACCCAACATGCCTCCCACCCCAGACACAACATCCACTTCCAGACCTTTGCTCATATGTCCCCAGCTCCTCTCAACCCTCCACAGCCTCTGTTTGTTGGAAGCTCTGTGAGGACAGAAGGTTGTCATACTATTCATTGCCAGCATCAAGAAGAGATATTGTATTTCCAAACAAGGTCACATACACAAAAAAAGTAGAGATGCTCAATAAATGCTTAATATCACCTCTTTCTTAATACCTTCCCTTCATGTTCTAAGTCAGAACCCATCATTCGCTATTCCTCACCCCCAGAACATTCTGGATGTACCTTCCACCTTCATTCCAGCATTTCCTTCCAGCCAGCATAATCTTTGCATGTGTTTCTCTCCTGACCACACTTAGAGCTCTCGAGGGTAGAAAGACATCTTTATCATCCTTACAGCTCTTATGGTGTCTGGCTTGCATTTTGTGCTCAGTGATGTTCAACTCAATAAGCACAGGTCCAGCCTGGTTGAATGAAACGCTTATTGTGTGAAGCCTCTCTTCCTGTTGCAGTGAGGCTGTCAGTTCCTGGTCTGATACTTCTTTTGCCTAGCACAGGGCTGCATGCATAGCAGACCGTACACCAGTGTGTGCTGATCCATTGATGTTAAAGTTTCGAAGTTGAATGGTCAAGCTCAGAGTCATTCTTCCTCCCTGCATGCCTGCACCAGACACTCCCTAAAAAATAACACATTATGATTTTTTGCTTCCTTGGACGAAAGCCCCACTTCCCTCCACTAGCCTTCACTATTGCTTGTGTCATCTTTCCCCTTTCTAACTCTTCCAGACCTTTTGAGTCAGCTCCTGTTGTGTTTCTGGAATCAGGGGTGTGTGTATGTTTGAGATTCCTCAGTTCCCATGGTAACCAAATTCTTTATTCAGAATACTGAGCTCTGACATTGGGTGAGATAAAACACTGCCCTGGAGGAGAGCTTCTTTCAAGATGAGGCGTTTATAGATAAAGACGTATTCACAGGCTTACAAAGATAATGTATAGACTTCACGTTTCTTTCTTTTAGGGGCTCAAAGCACTTTATGAGCATTTCTTAACTCACCTTCAAGTGCGCGCAGGAATTCGGAGAGCAGTGGGCCCACTGTTATTGTGCTCCATGTCCAGATTGGAAGCTGAGGCACGAACCAATGAGGCAAAGTGTCTGTGAACACAAGCAGAGTCAGCCAGAGCTAGGCTCCCTTCATACACCAGGGGATTCCGGGTAGGGTTCAGTTTCTGGCTTGTTTGTGCAGTTCTGTGATGGGAGTCAGTGTGGTTGGTTAAATTAGCAGAGAGGAGAACTCATGTATCTGTTCCCATAGCCCACCCAGTTTGTTTGTTTTCCAGTAAAAGGATTCTACGATGAAGCAATAGGGAAAATTTTATCTGCATTACCAGCATTTCAGTCTGCCTGGGAATAAATGTAAAGAATTGGGGGTTTTCCCGGAGTGAATTTTAGGACTCCCTGAGTGATGACATTCTCCATCTCACTCTCTGCTGGGTTTCCTTCTGCTTCTCAGCCCCTTCTCACTGTCCTTTGACCGGTCCTCTTTCTTCACCCACCATTTAGATATTAGGATTCTAAGGAGCAAGCTTCTGGCCTGCTGTTTGCACAACATCTCTACCACATGTCACTTCTTACCATGATTATAGCCAGTACCTACCCACTGGGCACTCCCAAGTTTCTGTCACTAGATCCTTCTCCTTCCCAAATTGGTATCTCTGACTCCAGTTCTGTCCCAAGTCTAAGGAGATTTTTACATGGTCAGACACACATTTAGATAATAATTGTTGCATGAATGTATTTCACAGAGGGCCCTTAATATTCATATGCCCCCCAAACTAAATCATGAACACCCCTACAGCTGCCCCTCCTGCCTAATGTTACTCTTCAGCCTTTAATCCCTATTCTGGTTAGCGGCATCTTCTTCTACCCAGAGGCTTAACTGGAAGCCCTGGAGAATCCTCTCTTCCTTCCTCTCTCTTACCTCCCTCCACATACAGGTACCTCTCAAATCTGCCTTTCTCCCACCTTCATCATCTCACACTTGGCTGTTCCTGGGCTCCGGTGGCCCCACATCTCTCAACCCCTTGCCATTTCCCCTGTCCCTCCACTGCCAGCAGAGGGATCCTTCCAAAGCACAATTGGATCGTGCCAGTCCTCTACTTTAAAACCCTTTCCAGGCCGGGCGTGGTGGCTCACACCTGTAATCCCAGCACTTTAGGAGGCTGAGGCGGGTGGATCACCTGAGGTCAGGAGTTTGAGACCAGCCTGGCCAATACGGCAAAACCCCATCTGTACTAAAAATACAAAAATTAGCTGGGCGTGTGCCTGTAGTCCCAGCTACTCGGGAAGCTAAGGCAGGAGAATCACTTGAACCTGGGAGGCAGAGGTTGCAATGAGCCGAGATTGCGCCACTGCACTTCAGCCTGGGTAATAGAGTGAGACTCTGTCTCAAAAAAAAAAAAAAAAAAAAAAAAAAAAACCCTTTCGTAGGTCTACCTGTGCATATAGGATGAGGTTCAAACTCTTTAGCATGGCATTCAAGGCCTTCGCATCTGGCTGCAGTGGATCCACTTCTCCTGTTTCAGTTCCCACCACTGTCCCCTCAGATGTTTATTATGTGAATGAGTGAGTGAAACTTATGTAACCACTTCACTCACTAGGTCCTAAGTGCTGTCATCTTTAGCTCTGTCAGGCTGAAGACATCACTTTCATTGTTTAGCCCAGAATTGTTCATTTAACCAAGGGGTCCAACATATTCAGGCACTGTGTTAGGTGCTCAGTGTACATCAGTGACCAAAAAATAACAAAAATCCTGCCATTGTGCAGCCTATATTCTATCAGAGGACACAAACCATAAACAATAAACTTAATGAGTAAATTATATAGTATGTTAAAAGGTGATAAGTGCTGTTAAAAAAGAAAGAAAGAAAAAGTAAAACATAGGAAGAAGATTGGGATGGGGTTAAAGAATGGGGTTTACAAGGTAACAAAGCATTTTAAGAATAGGCCTAATTGAGAAAGTGAGAATTGTTCATTGAGCCAGTTCATAATATTACTATGGTTTTTTTTAGTTGTATTTTGTGTTTTTGTTTTGGAGACAGGATCTCACTATGTTGTCCAGGCTGGAATGCAGTGGCTATTCACAGATGTGATCATAGCACAGTGCAGCCTCAACTCCTGGCCTTGATCAGTCCTCCTGCCTCAGCCTCCCAAGTAGCTGGGACCACAGGCATGCACCACAACACTCAGCTACATGGTATTTCGTTAGATTACCATCATGTCCCTCACCCTGGAGTCAGGGAATTAAAAGGCTCTTCTGAGCAAACTGCCAAGTAACAATAATAGCTACTGTTTGTTGTGAGCTTACTACGTGACAGGCTCTGCGCTGAGCAGTTTGCATAGTCTTTTCTCCTTTAATCTTTACAGTAGCCTTCGAAGATTGATGTTATCACTATCCCTATTTTACCAGTGAAAAACCTGAAGATTTGAGAAATTTTAGAATTAGCTTAAGACCTAGAAAGGGCAGCACTAGGATTTGAGCACACACTAGCCATTTTGCCTCTAACTGATGAAGGAAGACATTTGAGGAGCACTCCTTTGGAGCTTTCCAAAATCAGTATTTAAAGAGCCAACATTGTCCCTTTTCCTAGAGAACAGTTCAGTGTCACAGCACAAGTAGGGGGTGCAGAGAGCACTCAACACCTGCTTCCACCTCCAGCACTTGATTCATTTCAGACAAATGGTTCTCCAACTAAAGACATGGTTCATAAAAAACTCCAGTGTCTTACAGGCTCTTATTGCCTGAAAAAAGTCTTTCCTGGATGTTCATTGTCTGTCTACTAACCCAGTTTCCTCTCATTTGAACCTCAATGAAGCTAGAGCCCAACTTTCTTCATCTCCCTTATAATCTCTTCAATATATTTGAAGAATCAAGCCTCTGCTATTCAAAATTGGTCTCAGTTTCATCCATGTTCTGTAGCTGTTGTCTAGACATTGGAACAACCAATCCATTACAGAAAACATCCTGGGTGTTCACATCAGTGATGCTGCAATCCACATGCTGAATGCTTGTCCAGCATGACTAACCACTTGTAAAAGAGCAAAGCATGATTCAGAGGACTCCACCAAAAATAATGCATTATTTGGCCTAATCTTGGCCTGGTGCAAATTCAGACTTTTGAGTCATACAGCTCATTAGAAATCGGGATGTACTTGACTCTAATAAAAATTTTAGTGCAACCCAGATTTAGAGTGGTATATTTAGGCTAGGCTACAAGACAAATTTTGGAACAGAAGCACATGACGTAAGGGAGAGAATAATAATCTTGAAAAGAAAGGCTTTATTGCTTCTCTGTCCCCAATTTCTGCCATCAAAAGAAATACCAGATTTAGGAACAGTCTCTTTCCTTACTAGAAAAAGAAGGCTTTCATGATTTGAGCAGAAGAAAGGATTTATGAGAAGTGATTTCTTTATTTGGGGCATGTTTAAAGCTTGTGTGGGGCCCTCCCAAGTCTTCCTTGGGTCTTTGCCTTTGTTAGCTCTGAGATTTTTACTTTTTTAGTTTTGGTTTTTGGTTTGTTTTTTTTTTTTTTTTTTTTTTGACACAGGGTCTTGTGTTGCCCAGGCTAGCCTAGCTCTGTTTTTAAATGAAGCTGCTACAAGTCACTGCTGTGATGAACTCAGTCACTAGAGCTGCTCTGCTGTGGAAGGGGCATTAGCCACCATACTCACTGCAGCTCTGCCCGAAGTCCCCTGTAGACTTCCTCCTTCCAGAGGTGGTGACAGAGCAGCAGAAAAGAGGTACAGCCGGGCAGTAGAGGGAGCCAGAGAAAAGGGTGAAGGCTTGGCCTTTGGGAAAGCAAACCTGCTGTCCCCTTGGGTATTTCAGGAAAGAAAGGGAGGCTCACGTTTATACTCAGCTACTGTTTCAGGCCCCGCATTAGAGTTTTTCACGTCCATTACTGCTTTTAACACTCAAAACTCTAGAGGAAAAAGAAAATATATCTCCTTTTTCAGATGAGGAAACTGAGGCTCAGAGAGGTAAAATCAACCCATCTAGGAAGTGGTGACTCAGTCCCCAGTCTTACCACTCTAGCATGCTTGTCATAATAAACATGGTGAGTGACTTTTTTCTAAAGATCCCCCCTCTCTCAGAGGTCATGTCCTTTCGTAACCAGCCCTTGCTCTTGAACCCCCAGGCAGTTTGGTGGTTATGCCAAGGAAGCAGACTACGTAGCACAAGCCACCCGTCTGCGTGCTGCCCTGGAGGGCACAGCCACCTACCGGGGGGACATCTACTTCTGCACGGGTTATGACCCTCCCATGAAGCCCTACGGACGGCGCAATGAGATCTGGCTGTTGAAGACATGAGTGACCCACTGAACCAAGAACTTACTGGAAGTGTGCCTCTGTGTCTCCTTCCTCGGGGGTAAGGAGGGGACAGTGCTTCCCAAGTTCCAGCTGCAAGTCCAACTTAACCAACTTTCCTTCAAAGTCAGTTACTGCCAATTTTCTGAAAAAAGCATGTTCCATATACTAAGTCTCTTTTCTCACAGTAGGAAATAATACAGCCAAGATATGCAGCATCCTTCTCATTGATGTAGAAAATTCTGCGATAGACCAGAAAAATCCTGGCAGCTTTTCTCCAGGCATCTGGGTCACTAAAAACTGATTTTCTAAAATTATTGGATTTGTATTTTGTTATTAAGGGGGAAAATGTGATTTGTGCCTGATCTTTCATCTGTGATTCTTATAAGAGCTTTGTCTTCAGAAAAACTAAAAATAAAAGGCATTGACTTAAACAGCTGAGACAAATCATAAGTGTAATTATTTCCAAGGTTCTACAGTCCTGAAGGTAATATAGGTATGAGTACTATTGATGGTGTTTACCATTGCAGGAACCCTATATTTAGAGCTCCCAAGTCCTTCCGAATATAAACGCAAAGATACCAGGACACACACCATCCCTAAACTAGACATTTCCCATGACTGTTATGTAGCACTCTGTGATTATAAGTTGAGGATTTTGTTTGCAGCTGTGGTCTGCGAAGGGTTCCAGGAGTCACAAGAGCAGACCAAGAAGAAAAATCATTGCACTATGGTGCACAGACTACCCTGGAGACAGGAGATTTTCCAGGAGGATTGGTTTAGGGGGATGAGATGAGAAGCAGCTGGGGTCCAGTTTCATTAACTGAAGAGGATAGGAAGGAAAGAAAAGGTGCAGTTTGGCCTGCAGAGAAGGACACAGATGCAAGGCTGTGAGCAGGAAGCCGGATGGCAGCTGAGCTGGAGCAGAGCCCGTGAGTGAGCAGGGGAGGATGAAGCTCTCAGTGGGCCCCAGGGCATGTAGGAGGTACTCTGATCCTCATAGTGCATCAGGGCCCCACGCTCTCAGCAGCCCTCCCTACGACAGCTGGACAGGTTTTCAGGGAGAAACCCACCTTAGCACCCACCCACACCCCATTTGCTGTTTCTATAGGAAACAGAAAAATGAGCTTTAATCCTCACCATGAAGAGTTCTTACTGGACATAAAGTGGGGTTTCCTAAGGAGAGGAACAAGAGCTATATGTCATCATCTTTCCTGGAGTCCTTTCAGCAGTCTTCTGAGGGATGGGCCATGACCATTTCTGAAGATCCAGGGTGAAAACCGTCAGCCACCCAGCCTTGACTATCAGACACCATGCCAAGCACTTTGCATGCACTGCCCCACTTATTCCATGGGCAACTCTGTGAGAAAGGTACTGCTGTTCCCACACACAGGTGAGGAAGCTGAGGATTCCACAGGCTCCCACACTTGAGAAGCCTTGGAGCCAAGACAAAAGTGCAGCCACACAGGCCTTATTACATGTCAAGGAGTTTAAGTTTTGTTTTAAGAAAACTGAAAAGTGCATGGGCAGCTTTGAGCAGGAACGTGATACTGTCATGTTTTAGAAAGAAAGTTCTGTCTACAGTATGGAAAATAAACTGAAAAAAGGATATGACTGGAGACAGAGAGACCAGTCACAAGACTAAGAGAAAGATGATGGAGGTCAAAACTAGATCATGGCAGTGGGGATGGAGAGAAGTAGACAGTTTGGAGCAAGAGAAGAGGTTAACAGGACTTGGTGGCTGACTGGTGAATGAGATAAGGAAAAGGTTTGAAGAGGAGCAGAGCATTGCTCCAAACTATGCCACTGTGGCAAATTGGTTATTTTGAGCTGAAGGCAATGGAGAAATGGCAGATACAGGAAGTGCTGTCTGCCCTCCCCTTTTCTACCTAAAAGCAGTATGTAAATTTCCCCTGAGAAAGGTGCTCTCATTCTACTAGGAAGAGGAGAACATGCTTATCACCAGGGATGGGGAGTCAATGCCAAGATGAGTCTGTACAAACCTTATTAAAATTGCCCTTCTCTTCCATCAGTTTCCCCGATATGTTTCCTAGTCACTTTCCCATCCCCCTTCCAGCCCAAACCCCTTTTTCCTTTGTCATGTCTCCACAATGTATTGTTCTTTGTTAAAATGGTATATAATTCTCAAATCTAACTGCTTTAGAGTTTTCACTTTTTTCTGTGAAGTCCTCCATGCCACATAGAAATATTAACATCAGATAAAAATCTATATTTTTTCCTATTAATATTTTTTCCCTGTTAATCTGTCCGCAAAGGTTATTTAGGCCTGCAGAGCATCCAAGTGAGGCTATCTAGTGGACAGTTGAAAGTGTGGGTCTGATGCTACAAATAGAAGCCTAACGTGGAGATGTGTTTGGACATCACAAATATCTAGATGGAGTAGGTGAATTATGAACTCTCCCAAGGAAAGGCCAGGAGTAAGAAGAGAAGAAAATCTAGGTAAGGACTCAGGAACCCTAATATTTACAGACAAGCAGAAGAAAAGAGCCGACAAATATTGTTTAAAAGTGGCTAGTTATATAGGAGAAATGCCAGAGAATAAAAAAGGAAGAAGGTAATCAGTGTGTATCAAACCACTACATCAGTAAGTGCTACTGACCCAAGTCCTAAATCATCTTGAAGCCATCTCTGCTGGTACCATCTTAGGATGTATCACCATCATTCTTGCCTGAAGTCCTGCAACAGCCTTCTAATTGGTCTCCACATTTCTGCTCCTGCCCCCTTGGACACATTTTCTACACAACTTCCAAATGGATCTTTGCTTTAAAATTCTTATTTTGCACTTAGACTAAAATTCAAACTCCATTTTATGACCTGCAAGGCGTTGTGTGATTTGGCCCCTTCTGACTACTTCTTTCTTTCCAATCTCTCCCTTAATACCCTTCTGCCACAGTGGACTTTGAACACACACAGCCCTTTTTTGCCCTAGAGCCCTTGCACTAGCTGTTTTGTCTGCCTAAAACCCTTTTCACTTCCTTTTCAAATGGCCAGGTTTTCTCATCCTACAGATCCTAACTACCTCCTCTTCAAAGAGGCCTTCAATGGCCCCTCTAGCTAAAATAGAGTCAGCCTCCCCTATAGTTCTCCATCATACCATTATATTTTTGCTTTTTTCATAATACAAACCACTGTATAATTATTTTCCTTTTTCTCTCAGATCCCCAGGTAGCCATGGTCTTGGGGAAAACTGTGTCCTCCGGAGTGATCAGAGCCCAGTGCTGGACATCATGGAATGTAATTTTTTAACTTATTCATTTCCTCTTTTTTTTTTTTTTTTTTTTTTTTGTCTCTCACACAAGACTGTAAGTTTGATAAGGAGGAGCCCCATACCTGCTTTGTTCTCCATTGTATGCCCAGCACCTAGCTCAGGGATCTATCATTTAAGAATGCATGAAACTGTAACAGAAAACCAACAGTAGCTTAAGCCAAGAAGGTTTTCTTTTCCCACATAGCAAGAAATCCAGAGACAGGTTCAGTACTCAATGCTGATGTCTCTGCACTTGCCTTTCTCTCTCCCTCAGGGCTGCAAGATGGCTGATGCAGCTCCTGCCATCTCATCCATGTTTAAGGCAGGAAATTAGGGAGATGAGGACAGGCTGTATCAGTTGCATCTGTCCCATTTTATGAAGAAACAGAAGCTTTCCCAAAAGTTTCCCCATCAGAGTTCTACTTTTATCTCATGGGCCAAAACTAACATACAGGGCCATCCATAGCTGCAAGAGAGAGTGTGTGTTGGGTTTTGTAGCCTCTATAGTGAGGAGCAGCAAGGAAGAAGAATATTTAGAATGGCTCTGAGGTAGCTGATCAACAGTGTCTTTTGCAAGGAGACTATGTAAAGATGCGTATACCTGAGGTCAAGAGTTTGGGAAGATGGGAAACAGCTGGAGAGATGGGTTGAGGCCAGATTGCAGAGGATCATAGTCTTCAATTCTATATTCTCACTTCTTTTTTTTTTTTTTTTTTTTTTTTTTTTCTTTTCTTGAGAGAATCTCACTGTGTTACCCAGGCTGGAGTGCAGTGGCGTGATCTCAGCTCACTGCAGCCTCTGTCTCCTGGGTTCAAGTGATTCTCCTGCCTCTGCCTCCTAAGTAGCTGGGATTACAGGTATGTGCCACCATGGCCAGCTAATTTTTGTATTTTTAGTAGAGACGGGGGTTTCACCATGTTGGCCAGGCTGGTCTCGAACTCCTGGCCTCAAGTGATCCACCCGCCTCAGCCTCCCAAAGTGCTGGAATTACAGGCATGAGCCACCACACCCGGCCTATTCTCACTTCTGAACCAAGCATATGAGCTAGTGCTCAGGAGCAGTAGCGGCCTCCCCTCATGATGTCTCCTGCTTCCCCCATCTCTCCTCTCTCCCACTTTGAAAACCCAAAACAGTGGAGCATGGTCAAGATGAGGAAGGGAGGAAGCATCTTCAGTCCCCTACCCACAGCGAAGCCATAGCAAGTGACTGGATGATAGTGATAGAGTGAATTAAGAGAAAAAGGGATTAGGAGCTAGGAAAATGAAGGAAGTTTATCCTTGTTCTGGACTTAAGAATGAAAAACAGAACCAATGAGACTAGGATTTCTAATTGTCCATCTGTGGATTAGTAAAGCAATCTTTTTTCCTGATTCCCAGTCATCCTCTTGTCAGTATCTTTCCCAAAATACACTGATGGAAAAACCCTCTGGCCCCATCTCACTCCTCTCTAGGGCCTGGATTAGAGCATACAGCTAATATTTTAGATTGTAAATTGGAAAGCAGTAACCAGGAGAATACAGATATTAATAAAATCTAAACTGTACTCTAGGTTTAATGCTCAGGACCACAGCCTTAAGGCTGCTGCCTCGGCCAGGCGCGTTGGCTCACACCTGTAATCCCAGCACTTTGTGGGGCAGAGGCGGGTGGATTGCTTGCGGTCAGGACTTCAAGAGTCACCTGGCCAACATGGTGAAATGCTGTCTCTACTAAAAATACAAACATTAGCCAAGTGTGGTGGCATGTGCCTGTAGTCCCAGCTACTCAGGAGTCTGAGGCACAAGAATCATTTGAACTCAGGAGGTGGAGGTTGCAGTAAGCCAAGATCGCACCACTGCACTCCAGCCTGGGTGACAAAGCGAGACTGTCTCAAAAAAAATAAATAATAAATAAATAAATAAATAAAGCTGCTGCCTCTGCAGATTAGCATATATAAGGATGTTTTCCCTCCTCCAGAAGCCATCTTCCCGAGGCATGAATATTCCTTGTATGTTTTGTGAGCCTCACCCAGTAAAATTTGTTCTGGATGTCCCACAGCACAACACCACATTCTCATGCTCATGTGAGTGTTTAAGGGCCCTGGGTGACTGTATATAAATACAGTGGAAGGCCTGGCTGAGCTCAGGGAGTTAGTTGGTCATCACTTGTTTAAGAAAGACCTCCTTAATTACATTTGGCTTCTCCACTCCTGAGTAATGTTACTTTGATCTTGAGCACAGTAATTAAAGTTTCATAGCATGCCGCATTGGTGGGTATATAGTTGATTGAATGCCATGGATCTTGCCTTTGAATTTATATTTCTAACTAGCTCTAGCCTTTTTCCTTAGAAGTAATTTTGTTTCTATAGCAACATTATTCTAGAGGAATTGGGGACAGACCCAAACAATATCCGCAAATTCAGAATCAAGAATCAAACCATGTAAGGTGGAAATGCCAGAATGGGCTGAAGGTATGGCAAAAATTTGTGTAGGCAATGAAGAGCTATTGCATAATCAAACTTCGGGTAAAAAGACCTCCTCTCTCCTTGGCAATGAATTAATTAGACCCTCATCAAAAAGTCTTTTTTTTTTTTTTTTTTTTTGAGATGGAGTCTCACTGAGTCGCCCAGGCTGGAGTGCAGTGGTGCGATCTCGGTTCACTGCAACCTCCACCTCGTCGGTTCAAACAATTCTCCTGCCTCAGCCTCCCGAGTAGCTGGGACTACAGGCGTGCACCACCACACCCAGCTAATTTTTTTGTATTTTTAGTAGAGATGGGGTTTCACTATGTTGGCCAGGCTGGTCTTGAGCTCCTGACCTCAAGTGATCTGCCCACCTCGGCCTCCCAAAGTGCTGGGATTACAGGCATGAGCCACCACGCCCAGCCAAAAAAGTCGTTTCAAGAGTGGGCTCAAACCCCAGCCTCTTCTCATATCCTGCCTCTTGCTCCCTTTTGGGTTCCTTACCCTCCAGCAGCACTGGAATTATTGCTGGTTCCCCTGGCAGCCTCCCCACCGCCCCTCCTTCATGCCTTCACTCACACTGCTCCCATACCTACAATCCCCAATCCCTTTAGAGTCCAGCTCAAACGTCTTTGAATTCTTCCTTGGTCTCTTCAGGAACACTCCTTTTTCTCTATGATTTATAATCCCCACCCCACACCCATAGCATAAAGGATGTGTGCACCATAGATGCTCAGTTGTATTAATGTAGATTGGCTGGAATTTTAAAAAAATAAGAGCTACTGATAGCTAATATTCATTGAGCATTCACCACGTCCCAGGAACTGTGCAAACTTGTTACATGGACTACCTTATGTATTCTACACAGCCCTATGAGGTGTTCACTAGCACTGTCATCTCTACCCCATGTACAGATGAACTGGGGCAGCTTTGGGAGGCTCATTAGCATGCTCCAGGCTACGCAGATGATCCGTGACAGAGTCAGAATTTGAGCCCATGCTCTTATCTGCTCTGCAGTACAACACTAAATGCTTAGTTCAATGGCTGGTTTCCCTGGCTGGCAAGAAAGGAAATAAGACAGGGTGTGAATCTACCAGTGAGTATGCTGGGTGGGTGTTCCCTCATCCCTGTATAATTTACTCCGTGGCTCAGCCAGAGTGGCAGTGAGATAATCCCTGTGTCCCTAGGGTATGTGCCACTGCCTGGAATTTAGATGAACAAACTCCATGAGATCAAAACTCCAGAAGCAGCATAGATACCCAGCAGCAACCTATTTGCCGCTTGTCAAATTAGCAGCCCTTGTTTTCTCTCATATAGTAAAACTCAGCTAAAAGAAATTCTTATGCCACCAATACAAACACAAGACTATTGCCCCTTCTTACATAATGTCTATGACATACTTCTGAATATATAATGTATGTTTGTGATCCTGTTGTCTCTGCTTACTTTTTAGAGCCCTTTCTTAGGGGCTAGCAGATTGTGGATTCACACCAGGGTGTCTGCCGGTGTGAGCAGAATGTGTCTTATGAGGGGGGCCCTAAACTGGAGGCAGAGCCCAGCAAAGCCTCAACCATTCTAAGAATCAAAAGGAAGCTTCAGCACTTGGATGTATCTGCAAAGGCTCCACGGAGGAAGTGGACTTACGAGAGTTGATTTAATTATTAGGAGAAGAGGCTTCTCGGTCATTGGGGAACACTACCCTTGCCTCCTTCCCTCTCTCAGAGGATGAGGTGTCCCACCTTCCATCCAAAGCTCATTGTGTCGTCTGTGCTGGGGGCCAGGTCTCTCACTTGCTCAGGAATTTCATTCTACCATCTACTCTGTCCTTGTTATTTCAGTCTCTCCCTGGTCTCTGCCTCCTCCTTCTCAACACAAATTCATGCTCACATCTCTTTAATTAGAACAACAAAAAACATCTTCCTTCAATCTAATCTTGCTTTCCAGGTACATCTCAGCTCTCTCATTACCTCTATAAATTGTCTTACAAATGACTTTACACAGAGTGTTTACATCCTTCCCCCTCATTTCCTCCACTCATTGACATTTACTTTCTCTGAAACTGATCATCATGAAGTCCAGAATAGTTGGCCTTTATCAGGCTGAACAGCTTCTCTGTACTGTTCAATACTGAGACCTCTCCTTCTCCCTGGTATTCTTCCTCTGGTACCTGTGACCTGCCATTCTCCAGGTGCACCTGCCTCAGACTACCTCCCCACTTCTTTCATAAGCGCATCTCTCCATGCCCAGCCCTAAATGTTGGTGTCCCCAGGACAGGGTTCTCTACCCTCTACTGGCTGCATCATGTCATTGTGCCCACTCCCAACAGCAGGTCATCCATGACCATGAAAATCGTGCACATGGGTTCTGTGACCATCCATGACCTATTGACTCCTATTTATTTACAGCCCATCTCTCTTCTTAATTTTTTTCTTCATCTCATCTCCTTTCAAAATGTCACCCTCAGGTATGCGGAAATAAGAAATGGGTTCACTGCTGAGACATACACTGAACAATTCCTCATTGATACAAAAACGTAACAAAAATTCTGGGTTTTTTTCAGACGGAGTCTCACTCTGTCACGCAGGCCAGAGTGCAGTGGTGCAATCTAGGCTCACTGCAACCTCCGCCTCCTGGGTTCAAGTTAATCTCATGATTCTCGTGTCTCAGCCTCCCGAGTAGCTGGGATTACAGGCACGTGTGCCACCATACCTGGCTAATTTTTGTATTTTTAGTAGAGACGCGGCTTTACCGTGTTGGCCAGGCTGGTCTCGAACTCCTGGCATCAAGCAATCTGCCCGATTAGGCCCCCAAAATGCTGGGATTACAGGCGTCAGCCATTGCTCCTGACCTAAAATAAACATAACAAAAGTTGTAAAAGTGCCATTTGTAAGGGCTTCTAAGGAATGGATAAGATCCACCCTCTTTTTGGGGTCTTTTTCTAGTAGGAAGAGAGATAGGGTCAGGGAAATATTAATTTCTTCTTCAAGTTACACATACTTCACAGTGCATAAATCTCAACTGTTTAATTTACCAGCCCCAATTAGACGTGGTTTTCTTGAGTGCTGATATTTAGTATTATTTATTTTTGTAGCCTCAGTTCCCAGCTGTGTACCAGTATATAGTGAAAGCTTGGTGTATGATTGTGGGATGGATAAATGAATGAATGTGTTTCCCAATTCATGAAATTGCTGAAAGAAAGGTGAGGAATGAGGATGGAGAGGGGTGTCCTGACTGTGGCACCAGCCTGGTACCTGCTTAGGATGCCAACAGGAAGTTGGCACATGAAGAAAAGTACAAAAATGCAGAAATAAATCCAGATGTTCAAGATGCATATATCCAGTGACCTACTTGACATATTCATACAAGGAATTTGCAGATACCTCAAACAGCACGTCCAAAACTGAACTCTCACTGCACACTTTTCCACCCTCCTTTTCATGCCTCCATCTTCCCCATATCTCTAAATAACACTACCATTCAACTACGTGCTCAGATCAAAACACAAAATCACCCTGAATAGACAGACATCTTCCTTGTTAGCTGGACGGCCCTCAGGCATCATCTTTCTCCCCTATGTGACTATCATCTGAGCTCAGAATATTCCTCTGGGCAACAGTGTCATCCCCCTCCTTGGGAACCTCACATTTGCACTTGATCAGGCAGCCAGCTGTTTCCTGTCTCCCCCTAACTTCTCTTACGTAAAGTGGAGGGATGGGTGGGAAAGAGTGGGGATGTCTCCTGGAGCACAAACCTACAGTGCCTCTAGCCCTGCCTGGCCAGGAGTGAGAACTTGGAAGGCCACATGCATTTTGCTGACCCCTGCCTATAATTCCTCCCTATTAACCAGGCTTTGGCCTGCACCTCGTTGTTTGTGGTGTTTGGCCCACCCTCTGGCTTAACACATTCATGATTCCCTCTCATGTTCATTCATTTCACATGTATTGAACCTCTCCTGTATGCCAAGCACTGTCCTAGGCAATTCCGTTTATAAGCGAACAAAACAAAGATCCTTACCCTTGTAGAGTAGGGTATATAGATAACAAATAATAGACATGTAAATTTTAATAGTATATTATATTATATCTTACAAAGTAGTAAGTGCAATGGCAAAATTTAAAAGTAGACCAAAGAGAATGGGCAGTGTTTGGGAGGTCAGTATGGAGGCGGTGGTGTGCAGTTCCTGCTGATGTGGCCAGGGAAGCCCTCCTGGAGAAGAAAGACTTGAAAATAGTGAGGGGTTGGCCAGACGCAACCTGAGGGAAGCCCATCCTAGGTGGCGCAAAGGCTGTCGGACAGGGCGGGCCTGTGTGGTCAAGGAACTTAGAGGTCGGAGGGGCTGAAACAGAGAGCCCAGGGGAAGCACAGAGAGGTGACAGGAGTGGGCAGGTCTGGTAAAGACCTAGAAGTCACTTCAGAGGCTTTGCCTTTTCTTCTGTATAAAATAGAGAAGGCCATTGTAGGATTTCAAGCAGAGCAGTGACAAAATCAAACCCACTGTTGCAAGAATCCCTCTGGCTGCTCTTTTGATCATATACTATAAAGGGGTCGGGGTTGGGGCTGGGGGATGAGGTCAGAAGCAGACGGCCGGTTAGGAGTTTCCTGCAGTCAAGCAGAGAAGAGATGATGGTCACTTGGACTTGGATGGTGTCACTGAAGTAGTGAGAAGTGGTCAGAGTCCGTGGTATTTTGAAGGTAGACCCAAAAGGATTTCCTGGTGGACTGTACATGAAAGAAAGAGAGGACTCAAGATGACACCAAGATTCTTGGTTTGAGCAGCTAGAAGAATGGCTTTGCTACTAACTGAGATGCAAAAAATCTGGGCTGGTGGAGCAGATCTAGGGTTCCAGGAGCCATTCTTCATTCTCTGTCTCCCAACCACGAGCAAGACAGAGATTCCACCTCCAAAGTGTCTCTTGAATCTTATTGTCTCTCTCCATCACTCCACCCAACCCTGGTGGACTAATAACCACCATCATGCCTCACCCGGACTCTTGAGATGGTCTCCTGCTTCCTACCCTGGTCTTTTCTAATCCGTTCTCAATGCCTGGTGTTCCATCGTGCATTAGACAGTCTGAAGCAGATTGATCTTTATAGTAGAAGCTGTCACTTTCTTGCTTAACACCTTTTCACGGTTTCCTGTTGCATCAGACTCCTCTCCCTGGGACTCAAGCTCTCTGTATCATCTGATGCCCACTTCCTACTCCATGCTCATTCTTTGCTACTCCCCTCCTTGCTGCAGATACAGTGGATCTTTCTATTTCTCAAACACACCATGCTCTTTGGCATCTTAGGGCTCCTGCTTATCTTGCCCTCTCCACCTGGAATGCTCTTCCTCCCACTCTGCATGGGCACAGCTGGATCTTTCGTATCCTCTGGGTCTCTGCTTAAATGGTGCCTACTCAGGGAGGCCCTCCTCACCCAACCTGTCAGAGGGACCCTCACTCTATTATTCTCTACCACAACATCTTTTACAGCATTTTCACACTAGTGATTATATATGCACACGTTTTATTTTTCTGTTGGTTGCTCTCCCACCAAACTGTAAGCTCGTTGAGGCCAAGAACTGTGCATGCTTTGTTTACCACTATATCCACAGCATTAAGCACAATGAGCAGCTATGGATGCCCCTAAAAATGTGTTGCGTAAATGAATGAGTGAATATTAACTGTAATGCACTTTATAGCTTAAATACAATAAAGACAGTTACTCTCAGAATAACATTCATACTACCCCTCAAAACAGCCACACCCTCCCTGGATAATCTGGCTACAGGGCCTCCTCCTCCTCTCTCACCTATCCATCCTCCCACTACACTCACCCACTTGTTATTTGGGTAAGAGACTGTGGTCGTCCTTGCTGTGGACATTGTGCAGGCTGCTTCCTCCATCCAGAGCTCTCCTACACCTCACTTGACCTGACTTAGACATTTCTCCTGAAAGGTCTTCTCTGAACCTCGCGCCTATGAACCCACAGAATACGCTGAATGTCTAATGATGTTTTCATTACCTGCCTACCTTCCACCCCACCCAGTAGGTAAGCAACTTAAACACAGGTAGGGGGCCCTGAGTGTTGTTCACTGTAATATCTCAAGCACAAGCACAGCACTCAGCACAAAATAGATGCTCAAAAAAAGTCATTAAAAGAAAGAACAAGCAGATGAATGAACACTAACGATACATTTCTAGGGAGAGAGTCTAAGAGTAAATAAATGGGCTACATTAATATGTAGACTTAACACTTGAATTTAACATAATAATTTGCATGTTGACAATTACATATAAAAATCCTTTGAAATTGTTAGAATCCTGGCTGGGTGCAGTGACTCACGCCTGTAATCCCAGCAATTTGGGAGGCCCAGGCGGGTGGATCACTTGAGGTCAGGAGTTCGAGACCAGCCTGGCCAACATGGTAAAACCCCATCTCTACTAAATATACAAAAATTAGCCAAGTGTGGTGGCATGTGGCTGTAATCCCAGTTACTCAGGAGGCTGAGCCAAGAGAATTGCTTGAACCCAGGAGGCAGAGGTTGCAGTGAGCCGAGATCACGCCACTGCACTCCAGCCTGGGCAGCAGAGCAATGCTTCATCTCAAAATAAATAAATAAATAAAAACAATAAAATAAACTTGTTAGAATCCTTAAGTAAGTTGCACTCTTTCTTAACCTCAGATATGGTTTTTATCATCACTTTGCTTTCAAAACCCTTTAACTCAGCTCAGACCAAATTACCTGAAAACCATCATTGATGGTTTTCCTTTCTGTAAATATGCCACAGGGAAGAGGAAACATTTGTTTAAGTTCAGAAAATCAAGAAACTTGCCCAAGATCAGAGAGCAGGCATCCAAAATTAAGTCAGACTCCAAGCCAGTGCTCATTTGATGCGACTAGTATTTTCAAAAAAAAATTTTCTTTTTTTTTTTTGAGGTGGAGTTTCACTCCTGTTGCCCAGGCTGGAGTGCAATGGCGCAATCTCAGCTCACCACAACCTCCGCTTCCTAGGTTCAAGCGATTCTCCTGCCTCAGCCTCCTGAGTAGCTGGGATTATAGGCATGCGCTACCACACCCAGCTAATTTTTTATATTTTTAGTAGAGAGGGGGTTTCTTCTCCATGTTGGTCAGGCTGGTCCCGAACTCCCGACCTCAGGTGATCTGCCTGCCTCAGCCTCCCAAAGTGCTGGGATTACAGGCATGAGCCACCACGCCTGGCTTCAAAATTTTCTTTTACCCTAGTCCCCAGTCAGAAATAATTTTACATTCAACCCAGGACAAACACACACACACATACATACACATACCCCTCAAACGTTTCACAAAATAATATTTACCATTGCTACCAATGTAAAATAAAAGCAGAGCAAAGCTAATATCACATATTATTTTATTGATATTTATATAGATTATGAAAATCCAAAATAACACAAAACAGAAATGTAGACATGATTTTTATGTAGTGGACAGATATGCTAAAGCATTTATAAATTCATTCTGTGGACTACCTGAGGCAATAAGTACATCTGATACATTGTTCAACCTAGTTTTTTTCTTTTTAGAATCCAGTCAAAGTTGAAATCCTAAAAATTCACACAAATAGGCTGTAGCAATTGTTAACAATAGTAATACACCAGTTATGATAGTAGCACTGAAATTTTTCTTCAATCTTAACCCACATAATATACATGATGTCTTTAAATCATTCTTCAGTATAAGAATTAAATACAGGCCAGGCGTGGTGGGGCACACCTATGATCCCTGCACTTTGGAAGGCCGAGGCAGGTGATCACTTAAGCCCAGGAGTTCAAGACCAGCTTGGGCAACATGGCAACCCTCATCTCTACAAAAAATACATAAATTAGACAGGCATGGTCGTCCCAGCTACTTGGGAGGCTAAGGTGGGAGGATCACTTGAGCCTAGGAAGTCGAAGCTGCAGTGAACTGAGATCATGCCACTGCACTCCAGCCTGGATGACAAAATGAGACCCTGTCTCAAAAAAATAATAATAATAAATTTTAAAAAAGAATTAAATACAATCAGTTATTCTCTTCTTTGTTCACCAGGTTTAATTCAATTATTGATTCAGAGATTTGAAAAGAAAATAGACCTTTTATTGAAATGCTTTTCTTTCAAGCTTCATATTTTCTTCTGAAAAGTAATAATTGTGACTTTGAAAGAAAAATGAGATGTAGCAATATCTCGAATTTTATTTCTCAAACTGATTTTATAATGTTCTCTTCTATGTGTTGCAGCAATGTTGGGAACATACAGCAGCATAATTATGACCTTTATAAGGACAATTTTAAGACTTAGGAATGAACATCCCTTCATTGGAATGCTGGTGCCTCTGGGATTATTTGATCCTATAGGGATATGTGCCTTTGATTTTGACTAGGCTATTTTAAAACTCTGTAGAAATATAAGTCAACATATGGAAAACTGATAGCAATGTGAATAATTCTTGCATACAGACATAAACATAAATTCTGCTCAGTGGAGTTTCAATTGAAGAATTGGAACAAGAGGATTAATTTCCCAGATGGCTTTTCCATTCACGTGCCTGGTGCTTTGTCAAGGATAGCTAGCAGGCTGGGCTCAGCTGGTACTATTGACCAGAGAATCTATATGTGGTCCCTTATGTAGCTTGGGGTTTTCAGAACACAGCAGCTGTGTCCTAGGAAGAGCCTTTGGACCAAGTATTCCAAAAGATCAAAGCAGAAGCTGCAAGGCTAATTTTCACCTAGCCTTGGAATTCACGCATCCTCACTCCCACCACATTTTATTGGTTACAAGAGAGTCACTAAAGCCAGCCTAGATTCAAGTGGAGAGGAATTAGATAGACCCCACCTCTCGGTGGGAGGAATGTGTGATACTTACAGCCACCTTTTAAAATTGCTGCCTTTTAGATTCCTTAAATGTGTTTAACATTTTAAAATGTATCGTACAGCTGAGTGCAGTGGCTCGCACCTGTAATCCCAGCAATTTGGGAGGCCGAGGCGGAATGATTGCTTGATGCCAGGTGTTCAAGACCAGTCTGGCATAGTGAATTTCTGTCTTCACGAAAAATTTTTTAATTGTTTTTGTTTTTAAGACAGAGTCTTGCTCTGTCACCCAGGCTGGAGTGTAATGGCATGATCTTGGCTCGCTGCAACCTCTGACTCCTCCTGGGTTCAAGCAATTCTCGTGGCTCAGCCTCCTGAGCAGCTGGGATTACAGGTGTGCACCACCACACCCAGCTAATTTTTGTATTTTTAGTAGAGATGGTTTTGCCATGTTAGCCAGGCTGGTCTCGAATTCCTGGCCTCAAGAGATCCACCCACCTTGGCCTTCCAAAGCGCTGGGATTACAGGCATGAGCCACCACACCCAGTCTAAAATTTTTTTTTTGAGATGGAGTCTCGCTCTGTCCCAGGCTGGAGTGCAGTGGCGCGATCTTGGCTCCCAAGCAGCTGGGATTACAGGCACCTGCCACCACACCTGGCAAATTTTTGTATTTTTAGTAGAAATGGAGTTTCACCATGTTGGCCAGGCTGGTCTTGAACTCCTGACCTTGTGATCCATCAGCCTTGGCCTCCCAAAGTGCTGGGATTACAGGCATGAGCCACCATACCCAGCCAAAATTTTTTAATTAAAAAAAATATATTAGCTGAGCATGGTGGTGTGCACCTGTATTTCCAGTTATGCCTGAGCCCAGGAGTTTCAGGCTGCAGTGAGCTTTGATAGCAGCACTGAACTCCAGCCCAGGTGACAGAGCAAGACCCTTGTCTTAAAAAAAAAAAAAAAAAAAAAAAGGAAAATAATGCCCCCAAATCAGCTAAATGTGCACTTTTACTATCCAAATACCATGTTCAAAAATATTTGCCAGATGAGATAGTTTTTCAGTTTAACAAAATCTAAATCTTATTTTTGAGTATTTTTCCTCATGGTAACCAGGACTTTGACTACGTGTGGTAAGTGGATATGTCAGCTCCAATATCTGAACAAAATATTTCTACAAGTTTTGCCCACTGGCATCTCGATTTCAATAAATCCATGAAGTTCAGTTAAATTTCTTTAGGTGCCAAAGCCTTATGTTGAATAAACCAGGGCTGTTAGTAGTTTTTTAACAATATTTATTAATTCCGCCAGATTTTCTGGTTGTATTTGTTGTCCACACTCATAATTCCTTTACATTTTTTTCAGTTTAAGTAATATTCAACGTATGGCAATTCCTCAAAGAACTAAAAACAGAACTACCATTGGACCCAGCAATCCCATTACTGGCTATATACCCAAAGGAATACAAATCATTCTACCGTAAAGACACATGCACACGAATGTTCATTGCAGCACTCTTCACAACAGCAAACACATGGAATCAACTTAAATGCACGTCCATGACAGATTAGATAAAGAAAATGTGGGACATATACACCATGGAAGACTATGCAGCTATCAAATGAGATGAGAATCATGCCTTTTGGCGGAACATAGATGGAGCTGGAGGCCATTATTCTTAGCAAATTAACACAGGAACAGAAAACCAAATACCACAGATTCTCACTTACAATGCGGAGCTCAATGATAAGAGCTTCTGAACACGAAGAAGGGAACAACAGGCACTGGGACCTACTTGAGGGGAGAGGGTGGGAGGTGGGAGAGGAGCAGAAAATATAACTACTGGGCACTGGGCTTCATACCTGGGTGGTGAAATAACATGTACAACAAACCCCCGTGACACGCGTTTACCTATGTAACAAACCTACACATGTACCCACAAACCTAAAATAAAAGTTAAAAATTTTTTTAAAAAATGTTCGATAAACAATATACTTTTCCAACGAGGAGATGATATCTAATCCAGTTGAGGCTAAAATAAAATTTAAGGCCGGGTATAGTGGCTCATGCCTGCAACCCCAGCACTTTGGGAGGCCAAGGCAGGTGGATCACCTGAGGTCAGGAGTTCGAGACCAGCCTGGCCAACATAGTGAAACCTCATCTCTACTAAAAACACACAAAAAAAATTAGCCAGGCATGGCGGTGCGCACCTGTAATCCCAGCTACTTGGGAGGCTGAGGCACAAGAATCGCTTGAACCCGGGAGGCAGAGTTTGCAGTGAGCCGAGATCGCACCATTGTACTCCAGCCGGGTGACAAGAGTGAAACTCCATCTCAAAATAAAATAAAGTAAAATAAAATTTAAACACAACAAATTCTCCATAAAAATTGTCTTGTCAGTCACATCTGATCTGACTAAAAGTGTTGGCAACTTACAATATCAGTGCTTTCATTAAGTTGAATCACAAAATCTGTACCATACTGTCATTGCATTCAAAAACACTGCCTGTTATTGTTCTGTAATAGTATAGATTTGATGAGATATTATGGGATACTAAAAGGTATAATTTTTAATTTTTCAGCTGATTTATCATTTTATCATAAAAAATCCTATGTACCATCTCATCCATTCTGGAAGAATAATTTTTGACAGTTGCATGACCCATTTTCTTTTTTGCCCCTAATACACTACTAAATAGGTGATTATATGGCTCTTTCATTAATAGTAGCTGACAACTTATAAATTATTAGTAATCATATGTATTTTTCCTTTGGAAACATTTCTTTGACTTATTGACAAGATATTATGTTGTATTTCCAGGTATGTTTTTTATTTTGAAGGTCCTAAGCTTTCAATTATAAAAAATTTTTTGTAAATAATATGTTGAGTCTGTCATTTTTGTTAAGCCTTGTATATTTTATAAAATCGCATTTAAATAATCTTCACTATCAGGTCTTCCATGTACTTTTTCCTTTTTAGAATGCAACTCAAATAAAATAAAAAATAGGGCTCTCTTTCGGGTTTTGGCGGAGGCAGTTTGAGACAGGGTCTCACTCTGTCACCCAGGCTGGAGTGCAGTGGCGCCATCTCGGCTCACTGCAGCTTCAACCTCCTGGGCTCAAGCGATCCACCCGCCTCAGCCTCCTGAGTAGCTAGGACTACAGGTGTGCACCACCATGCCTGACTAATATTCGTATTTTTTGTAGAGATGGGTTTTGCCATGTTGCCCAGTCTGGTCTTGAACTCCTAGGCTCAAGCAATCTGCCAGCCTCAACCTCCCAAAGTGCTGGGATTACAGGAGTGAGCCACCACACCTAGCCTAGCCCAAAAAATGTTATTAGAGTCAACATTTTTCTCAGTATTGTCAGATTTATACTTCCAGATGCACAACAAATTCTTCATAAAAATTGTCTTGTCAGTCATATCTAGTCTGACTAAAAGTGTTGGCAATTTGCAACATCAGTGTTGTGATTTAATTGAATCAAAAAATCTGTACCAGACTGTAATTCCATTAAAAAAATTGTCTCATATTATTCTGTAATAGTACAGGTGTCAACAAGCTGAACTTGAATATACCTCTATATTTTTATATCATCTGCTTTCTTCTAATAATAAAGCAGCTCTGTATAACAGAATGTATACTAGTTCAATTAAAGTGTTATAATAGCTACAAACTGAAAAAAAAAAAAGTAGAATAACTTCCATTCCAAAAAATATCCTGACATTCTTAAGTGATACTCAGCTGAGAGTCTTGACAATTTGCTGATCAATTGCTACGGCACTTCACAACTAATTCCACATTATATCAACATAAAATTAAACTGGACAGTGTTCACATCCTGATACAAAATTGATCAAACTAGGCATCAAATACCAGAAAACCGAATAAGATGCCCAGGGCCAGCTATATAATTTCTGGAGCCAAATGCAAAACAAAAATACATGGCCCAGGTTGGGTGCCATGACTCACACCTGTAATCCCAGCACTTTGGGAGGCTGAAGTGGGCAGAGTACTTGAGGTCAGGAGTTCAAGACCAGCCTGGCCAACATGGTGAAACCCCATCTCTACTAAAAATACAAAAATTAGCTGGGTGTGGTGGCACATGCCTGTAATCCCAGCTACTCAGGAGACTGAGGCATGAGAATTGCTTGAACTCAAGAGACAGAGGTTGCAGTGAACAGAGATCGTGCCACTGCACTCCAGCCTGGGAAACAGAACTAGACTCCATCTCAAGAAAAAAAGAAAAAGGGAAGAGAGAAAGAGAGAAAAGAGAAAGAAAGAAAGAAAGAAAGAAAGAAAGAAAGAAAGAAAGAAAGAAAGAAAGAAAGAGAAAGGAAGGAAGGAAGGAAGGAAAAAGAGAGAAAGAAAGAAAAAAGAAGGAAAGAGAAAGAGAGAAGAAAGAAGGAAGGGAAAGAAAGAAAAGAAAAAGAAAGAAAGAAGGAAAAGGAGAAGAAAAGGAGGAAAATGGAAGGAAGGAGGAAAGGAAGGGACAGAGGGAGGAAGGAAGGGGAAGGAAGGAAGGAAAAAGAGAAAGAAAGAAAAAAGAAGGAAAGAAAGAGAAGAAAGAAGGAAGAAAGGAAGGAAGGGAAAGAAAGAGAAAGAAAGAAAGAAAGAAAGAAAGAAAGAAAGAAAGAAAGAAAGAAAAAAGGAAAGGAAGGAAGGAAAGAAAGGAAAGAAAAGGAGAAGAAGAAAAGGAGGAAAAAGGAAGGAAGGAGAAGGAAGGAAGGAAAAAGAGAAAGAAAAAAGGAAAGAAAGAGAAGAGGGAAGGAAGGGAAAGAAAGAAAGAAGGAAAGAAAGGAAGGAAGGAAGGAAAGAAAGAAAGAAAAGAAGGAAGGAAAGAAAGAAAGAAAGAAAGAAAGAAAGAAAGAAAGAAAGAAAGAAAGAAAAAGAAAGAAAGAAAGAAATTAAGGAAAGAAAGAAATTGAAGGAAAGAAAGAAAGAAAATATGCAGCCCTGCTTGGAAATGAACAAGTCAATACCCTCTTTCTAAGGGCCTACTGTCCCAACCCATGGCAGAGAGGTGAGCCCAGGTGAGGGGCGGCAGTAATCACATGGCAGAAGCACAAATGGGGAGGCTAGCTGGGCAACCCAGGACACCACATGGTGGCATAGAGTGGGTGGCCAAGAACCTGTCTCAGGAAGGAGGAGAGGCCATGGAAGGCAGGGTGGGGTGTGAATCAAGACTCAAGCCTCAGCGCATGCTTCTGTGTCCTGCCCCACTTCACTTACCAAACACAAATTCAAAGATGCAAGTATTAACAACTTCAATATGGCAACCACAGAGTATTCAATTCCAAGCACAGGGCCCTTCTGAATGGGGTTTCCCATACAACTGCACTGGTTACACCCTCATGACGCCAGCCCTGGAGATGCCAGTGAGCAAAAGAACAAATGGGCCACTCCTGACTGATGCATTCCGTCCCACACAGCCTGTCCTCACACGGCCAGTCATGATAGCTGCAGGATGAAGAATATGTGATGTGCTTTCATATTCTTTTGTGTGTGTATGCCGGTCAAATCATGCTTAAAGGCTCACGTCTCTCTAAAAGCCTGTCCTTATAAGGTGGGAAGAGTCAGGAAAGGCTGCCTGGTACAACAGCAAGAATATGGCCAGGAGACAACAAACCTTGGCTGTCATCTTCAACATTCCATATGGTAAGCACATCCCTTCATCCCTGGGCCTCTGCTTCCTTATTATTAAATTCCTCATGTTGTAACATTGGCTTCCTTATTATTAATCATTAATAGGAGTTAGGCTAGGTAACCTTTAACATTCCCTCCAGCTCTGTTTCTGTGAGAAGGAAACAACATAAATAGGTGTTTGACATAAGATGTTTGGTGTCCTGACTGTTTTATTTCCATTTTTATTGGACTCATTGTAATCAGTGTATTTTGATTAATCAAAGCCATATCTGAGCTGTTTGTTCTGATGTTATTGTAGCACAGAAGCCAAAAGAAATGAGCTGTGAGTAATTTGGATGTGTGTAGGCAAAAAGGCCCCTCATATCCTTAAGGCCTAGCTGCAGATGGGTTAATTCTATAACGCTAGATTTTAAAATAACAATAATTAATACCTGGGACACGTCCTTTTATCTAAGGTACTTAAAGGGCTTTGTGGTCATTAACCCATAAATCCACTGGTCTCAAGCCATCAGGAGCTCAAGAGGAATCTCCTTAGAAGACAAGCACACCAGAAGCTAAAACATCACCAGGAGGAGGAATGACAACCATGACTAACCAGCAGGAAGGGGGTGGGAGGTGCAGGATCAACAAAATAGTACTCCTGGAAGAATTCAATGGAAAATCCTCCTGCAGTTCTGCTGACAGCAGTTTAACCACTCACTATGCTCTTTGAGTGGATGCTCACGGATGTCACATTTCATCATCTGAAAAATCCCTTTACCCTTAACGTAAACATTAGCCTTCACAGCTTCGGAAAGACTGCTATTATACCCAAAGCAGGTAAAGGGGAGCTTAAGGTGTAATTGGATGTAAGAAAATTCTATCATCCCTAGAATCTTCTTCTCTCATAGGAGAAAATGGCTTTTTGAAGTTAAGGAACTCTAAAGATAGAACACCACTTCAGAATGATTTTGTCAAGGGTTTGTTAAGTCTCTCACTTATTTGCAGGTGTTTTCCATTAACACACATCTGTTGAAAAACCACACCACTAAAAAGGACCTTCTGAAAGATCTGGAATTTTATCTTTAGAATCATTCCATTAATTGAATTATCCATCACCCAGGAGGTTCTCCACATAGAAGCAGGTACTATGGGGACATAAAATGTGGAACCTGACCCCTAGACAGCTATAAATCCAATCAGGAGATGAGATTAATTCATATAACAGAAATTGAGACATTTATTATTCATTTATTTCAATTCATTATTACTTAATATGTATTCATAAGTTAACTAATAGGCAGAAAATAGGGTTTCTGTAATTTTGAACAGAACAGACCCCAAGTCTTGTATAGTTCCTGGTGGAAGGTGATCAGCGAGGTCTAGAATGATGAGGGAAGGCAGGAAGAGTCATAGAGGAGATAAGGTGAAGAAAATCCTACAGGGAGGGAATGAATTTGGGTCAAAAATAGGATAAATGGGAATCAAGCACAAGGCAGTTTCGGACAGGGACAGAGGTGAGCACTTGGGAACTTATTTTTTTTGTGAGCCAGTGGGAAAACCAAGGAGGCTAAACCATAGAGCCTGGAGATGTGAAGGAAGTACAGGTGGGTAAGAAAGGGAGAGCCAGATCACAAGCACCTTGAAACCAGACACTGGTTTGGGGTCTTCAGCAGTCCTCTGTCGAAATACATATATTCAGGGGCTGGGTGTGGTGGCTCACACCTGTAATCCCAGCCCTTTGGGAGGCAGAGGCAGGCAGATTACTTGAGGTCAAGAGTTCAAGACAAGCCTGGCCAACATGGTAAAACCCCGTCTCTACCAAAAATATAAAAAACTAGCCGGGCGTGGTGGCATGCACCTGTAATCCCAGCTACTCGGGAGGCCAAGGCAGGAGAATCACTTGAACCCAGGAAACGGAGGATGCAGTGAGCCGAGATCGCGCCACTGCACTCCAGCCTGGGCGACAGAGCGAGACTCCATCTCAAAAAAAAAAAAAAACAAACATATATTCAGGAAGAAAATCAAGGAGTAAATTGGAGGTGGCGGGGTGCGGTTGGTGGGTGTAGGCTGGACACTGTGCTGTGCTGTATTTTGTGTCACCATAGAAGAAAAGGAATATGGTATTCAAGTATCAGCCGGTGACCTTTAATTGTCAGTTCTTTATCTTGGGATAAATTCACAGACTGATTCACAGTTTTGCCTGCCACTGGCCATTTTAATGCCAGTAGTAGACAAAACCACCCTTCCTTATGGCCCAGTGAAACCTCATTACCTGTACTTTGTTGAATGGATGCTCTTTTGAATTAAAATCAAGATGTGGGGGCCGGGCAAGGTGGCTCATACCTGTAATCCCAGCACTTTGGGAGGCCAAGGCGGGCAGATCACGAGGTCAGGAGTCTGAGACCAGCTTGGCCAACATAGTGAAACCCCGTCTCTACTAAAAATACAAAATGTGGTGGCATGCGCCTGTAATCCCAGCTACTCGGGAGGCTGAGGCAGGAGAATTGCTTGAATCCGGGAGGCCAGAAGTTGCAATGAACCGAGATCGTGCCATTGCACTCCAGCTTGGGTGATGGAGCAAGACTCTATCTCAAAAAAAAAAAAAAAAAAAAAATCAAGATGTGAGAAAGTCTCCAGAGATGGCTTTTTAGGCAATAGGTCAGAAGAAGGACGAGGTATCCTGGTGTAAGTCACCTGAGGGCCTTGTGTAGCTTCCCTGAATGTGTTGCAATACACAGGGAGGAAGCCGTCTTTCCTAGATTTATACCCACTTTCAGATTTACACCCGCTCCCTAAGGCCAAGGTGCCTCTGGTCAGCAGTAGAATGAAAAAGAATTATTCTCACCAAGGAAATCTCTGTAGAAAAGTTGCTGTGAAACTGGAATAGGTGTGTCTTTCTGTCCTTCCGGTTCTTTTTATAGATACTGCAGGAACCTCAGTGAGAGCCTACGGTTCTTCCGCCCATTTGGGGAGAGATTAAAGAAGCTGAGGTTGGCTCTTTCTTACTCATTGGCAGTTACAACTTTGCCAGCACTACAGCCTAAGCTTCCAGAGTGGACACGGAGAAGGTAAGTTGGAATTGGGGGGCCATGTTCTCAGCTGTAAACCTGGGTCACTCCAGCCATCTGGTCTGGGGATAACTGAAGGGAAGTAGAGCTAAGGGGTATTCAATTGCAATTGATTTTTTTTTTTCAAATGAATATGTGGGATCTTTTTCCTAGGCTACCTCAGTCAAGACATGGACTTTCGTACTAAACTGTTCAAAAAGGTATTTAAAGAAAGGGACCATTTTGTACAATTCTTTGATGAACACACAATAGGTGTTTAACTACAACCTGCTGCATTGGATTGACTTGAATTAACTGAAAGAAGGAACAGTCATTAAAATTACTGGGAAATTTTATTCCCAGTAATTTATCTGCCTGTCTCCTTCAAGCAGTGCATCAGTGTCTAGAACGATCCAATGATCCATTAATGTTGGCAGTCCTTGTTCTGGAGTCTGATATAACTGAATTCCATCAATCATGCAAACATTCTCATACACCTCCTTTTATGAAAAAGATTTTGTATTAGCTTTCAAAGCCTTGGAAATTAGCATACACAAATGGACATATTATCAAGTGAAGCCTGTTCAGCTTTTCCCAGCAGGATGAAGCCAAGATAGTTTTGAAGGGTTTAGGTTGCCTTTCTCATTTCCTTTACTGACATCCTATATAAAACTGCTATAAATTTGGGGTAATATGTGTGATGGCATTTCCCATCCCCTTAGACTATGTTTGCATATATCTCTGAATTTCTTCCCCCAGGGAAGCTTAGCATTTAGATAAGTATCAGGAGTCAAACAAAATGTAACTCAGGCTCTTGACAGTGTCCTAGGAACAATTTTGGTAAGGACATTTATTTCATATGCCCAGGTGTCTTCATTTCAGAATGAGAGAAATTACAGTGCCCAGCATGGACCACCCAATAGGCATTCTTGTAGGTATTAGGTTGGTGCGAAAGCAGTTGCGGTTCTTGACGTTACTTTTTTTGTTTGTGTGTTTTTTGTTTTTCGGTTTTTGTTTTCAGACAGCGTCTCACTCTGTCGCCCAGGCTGGAGTGCAGTGGTGCGATCTTGGCTCACTGCAACCTCTGCCTCCTGGGTTCAAGCAATTCTCCTGCCTCAGCCTCCCAAGTAGTTGGGAATATAAGCGCATGCCATCATGCCCGGCTAATTTTTTATGTGTGTTTTTAGTAGAGATGGGGTTTCACCATGTTGGCCAGGCTGGTCTTGAACTCCTGACTTCAAGTGATCCACCCACCTTGGCCTCCTAAAGTGCTAGGATTACAAGCATGAGCCACTGTACCCTGCCTTGTTTTTTGCTTTTTGAGACAGAGTCTCACTCTGTCACCCAGGCTGGAGTACAGTGGGGCAATCTCGGCTCAATGTAAACTCTGTCTCCTGGGTTCAAGCGATTCTCCTGCCTCAGCCTCCCGAGTAGCTGAGATTACAAGTGTGCACCACCACACCCGGCTAATCTTTGTATTTTTAGTAGAGATGGGGTTTCACCATGTTGGCTAGGCTGGTCTTGAACTGCTGACCTCAAGTGATCGGCCCGCCTCAGCCTTCCAAAGTGCTGGGATAACAGGAGTGAGCCACCGCACCCAGCCTTCTTGCCATTACTTTTAATAGCAAAAAGCACAATTACTTTTGCACCAACCTAAGAGATGCAGAGTTGTCAATTTGTCTCATCCTTTTTCTGCAGGGCATCAGAAAACCATTCTGGTGAGGTCCACACCCATAAGTCACCATGTACAAGGACTGCATCGAGTCCACTGGAGACTATTTTCTTCTCTGTGACGCCGAGGGGCCATGGGGCATCATTCTGGAGTCCCTGGCCATACTTGGCATCGTGGTCACAATTCTGCTACTCTTAGCATTTCTCTTCCTCATGCGAAAGATCCAAGACTGCAGCCAGTGGAATGTCCTCCCCACCCAGCTCCTCTTCCTCCTGAGTGTCCTGGGGCTCTTCGGACTCGCTTTTGCCTTCATCATCGAGCTCAATCAACAAACTGCCCCCGTACGCTACTTTCTCTTTGGGGTTCTCTTTGCTCTCTGTTTCTCATGCCTCTTAGCTCATGCCTCCAATCTAGTGAAGCTGGTTCGGGGTTGTGTCTCCTTCTCCTGGACGACAATTCTGTGCATTGCTATTGGTTGCAGTCTGTTGCAAATCATTATTGCCACTGAGTATGTGACTCTCATCATGACCAGAGGTATGATGTTTGTGAATATGACACCCTGCCAGCTCAATGTGGACTTTGTTGTACTCCTGGTCTATGTCCTCTTCCTGATGGCCCTCACATTCTTCGTCTCCAAAGCCACCTTCTGTGGCCCGTGTGAGAACTGGAAGCAGCATGGAAGGCTCATCTTTATCACTGTGCTCTTCTCCATCATCATCTGGGTGGTGTGGATCTCCATGCTCCTGAGAGGCAACCCGCAGTTCCAGCGACAGCCCCAGTGGGACGACCCGGTCGTCTGCATTGCTCTGGTCACCAACGCATGGGTTTTCCTGCTGCTGTACATCGTCCCTGAGCTCTGCATTCTCTACAGATCGTGTAGACAGGAGTGCCCTTTACAAGGCAATGCCTGCCCCGTCACAGCCTACCAACACAGCTTCCAAGTGGAGAACCAGGAGCTCTCCAGAGGTACATTCCTGGGGGATTCAGGGAGCAGGGAGGTGCTCCTACAGGAGAAGCAGGAGAAAAATCATGCAGTAGGATGAGCCAAGAGGAAACTAAAAGAAAATGGTCAGATTTGGGGTGGGTGGCTTCATAGTTCAAGCATAGAAATGCAGACTCCCAGAATCAAGGTTAAATTTTTATGAAAAATGAGTTCTTCCAAAGCATAGAG
This sequence comes from Homo sapiens, assembly GCF_000001405.40. NCBI lineage: Eukaryota > Metazoa > Chordata > Mammalia > Primates > Hominidae > Homo > Homo sapiens. The sequence goes on along the minus strand of NC_000012.12, from coordinate 12,949,284 downwards.
CTTTATGGGGAGAGACCAAGACATACATGAATCAAAGGCCCTAAATAAAGAGGGTATGACTCTGAATGTTCACACTGGTTAAAGAAAGGCATCCACTATAAAATGAGTTAACTGGCCCTAAATTAGGCCTGGACCATGCGATTTTGCATGATATCTAATGTTAAGTCCAGATGTATTGGCCTTCAAGTGCAACAGCCGATCCTGGCAGCAGTGATGGACATTTTAAAAATTTGTCTCAAAGCTAATTTGCCCAAACGTAATCTTAAACTGATTCACAGGACTCACCACCTCATTAAAGCCATAAAGCCCAATCACTTCTGGATTTCAACTTTTCAAAACATTTACTATTTAAAATCCTTCAAGGTTTACAAAAAGCGAGAGGAAGAGCCATTATATCCTAATTCTGAGTAAAGACTCAGATGTGTGATCATTAGGAGAAAGAAAGTAACTTGCTTATGTGACATTTTCATAATAATTTCTGGGTCATATTTTGATTCAAGCCACCTGACTCCACTTTGTTAAGGAATAAAATACATTATCCATGGCAACAAGGATGCTTGGACCCCAACAACCTGGGGGAAATAGTGGCTAATTTTAATTATCTGGAAATATGTCAAAACTCATTAATTCCTTTTCTGAAACATCTGGGCTATTATCCAAAACCCAATATCATAGTTTTACATCAATTTTTGTGTCTTAATAGGCATCTGATTTCTCACATTTTATTTCTAATATGTAATGATGATGTTATTTTATATATTGTACAGCACACATAATGTTCACCAGGCTCAAAAAAATTCACATAAGCTTCCTTTTAAGTACATACACTTTTTTTGAGCTGTAATCTGTGGCTAGTTGCGCATTCAAATTAAATCCTGTTCAGATAAATACATCCATTGATTCTTTTCAGTTCAGTTGACCAAAAGTTGGAAATTGATACTACACACTTTTTCCCATAAAAGTTTTCCATTGCTTGTTGGTGAGGCATAATCACATCACTGAGTTTTGTGGCAGAATTGCAGAGTCAATCTTTCCTGAAAATACTTCTCATAGTTCTTACTAGAAGATAAAACTTTTTGTGTTTTCGTTGCTGCTGTGTGTTTCCAGGAAACAAAAGTCAGAGCAAAAAAAAAATTCTTAGAGTTTCACAATAAACCAAAATACACTGAGCTTTGTAATGATCAATATTCCTTACCCCACAAAGTAGCAGGCAAGCATTGAACGGGCTCGAAGGAGTATCTCAGTTGAAGAGCAAAGGCCTGCTAAAATACGATGATCCCTGGTTTGGCCAGGAGTCTCCTATGACTCAAGCAAGGTTAGAAAACCCATCTCTGAGCAGGAAATAGTCTGCCAGTGATAGCCATCATCAATGTAATTTGAAATTTTGTGGAAAAAAAATCAATAGTGTTGTAAAGAACATACAGATTGGCTGGGCTCTGTGGCTCACACCTGTAATCCCAAGCACTTTGGGAGGCCGAGGCGGCTGGACCACTTCAGCTCAGGAGTTTAAGACCAGCCTGGGCGACATGGCGAAACCCCGTCTCTACAAAAAATTAGCTGGGCATGGTGGCACAGGCCTGTGGCCCCAGCTACTCAGGAGGCTGAGGTGGGAAGATCACTTGAGTCTGGGAGGTTGAGGCTGCGGGGAGCCACGGTTACACCACTGCACTCCAGCCTGGGTGACAGAACGAGACCCTGTCTCAATTTAAAATAAAAGAAAGAAGGGAGGGAGGGAGGGAGGGAGGAAGGAAGGAAGGAAGAAAGGAAGGAAGGAAGGGAAGGAATTGCCCTCCAAGATTGGGCAAAATAACCAGAAGCTTAAGCTCAGAAAGTAAAATCAGAATTTAGGTCATCTGGAAGAAGTACAAATATCAAAATTTAGAGGAATGATTAAAACTCAATTAAAAGTGCAGGATTCCACCTAGCTAGGAAAAACATACAAATAGATACGAAATAGGTTAAGAGCTAGAGAAGTATAATAACAATAACTTGAAACGTCCTAAGTGTTATGGTAGGTCATGAGCTGATAGTAGGGAAACAACTTACCACTGTCTTTGCTTTTGTTTGCTCAAGAAACAATCATGGTACTGTATAAACAGATGTGTGGTCAGCAAGAACAACCGTGCCATTGTACCCACAATCGGTCAGTCTCTAGCAAGGATACCCACTGATCCACTAATGAGAAGTGTGGGAAGTTTGGGGAGGCTTGGCAGAACCCAACAAAGATGATTAAAGGGTATAACATCAGACCTGTGTGGAAAGGTGAAGACAGTGAGAATGAGATGGTCATTCTTAAGTTTTATGTGCTTTACCAGACTATCCAAGTTCTCTCTCGAAATTCTGTCCCAAAACACATGTTGTTTCAGTCCATGAGGCATGCATTTGTGATGTGACCCTTCTGACTAATGCTGTTTGTAGCTGTGATTCCAGTCACATAATTATTTAATTTACCACTGGGTTATGAGACCAGAATTATTCAGCTAAAAGGAGAGTAGGACAAGGGATCCCTAGCTGGAAATTTCACAAGTATGGCCGGGCGCAGTGGCTCACACCTGCAATCCCACCACTTTGAGAGGCCAAGGCAGGCAGATCACCTGAGGACAGGAGTTAGAGACCAGCCTGTCCAACAGGGTAAAACCCCATCTCTATTAAAAATACAAAAATTAGTTGGGCATGGTGACGCATGCCTGTAATCCTAGCTACTCGGGAGGCTGAGGCATGAGAATCACTTGAACCTGGGAGGCAGAGGTTGCAGTGAGCCGAGATCACACCAATGCTCTCCAGCCTGGGCAACAGAGCAAGGCTGCGTCGAAAGAAAGAAAGAGAGAAAGAGAGAGAGAGAGAGAGAAAGAGAGAAAGAGAGAGAGAGAAAGAGAGAGAAGAAGAGAGAGAGAGAAAGAGAGAAAGAAAGAAAGAAAAGAAAGAAAGAAAGAAAGAAAGAAAGAAAGAAAGAAAGAAAGAAAGAAAGAAAGAAAAGGAAGGAAGGAAGGAAGAAAGGAAGGAAGGAAGGAAGGAAGAAAGGAAAGAAAGAAAATTTCACAAGTGTGAAGACCTCTCCCCAAGAGGCGGTTGTCCTGTTGTTTTCCATCTCCAACTAAAGATAGTGGGTGGAAATGGACGCAAAGGCATGAGAGATTTAGATTAAAAATGAAAATAAGAGTTGGTAGACAGAAACAGATCAGCAAAGGGGATTAAGAATTTCATTTCCCTGGAAGTCTATCTAAAGAAGATTAGGCTTTATTCCTCCGAAGTGGATTATGGACTTAATTTTAAGATACAAAAACATCTGGATGGAGAATGAAAATGCAATCAGGTGTATTACTGTAGGACACCAAACAAATGGGTATAAATATTATTTGCTCTGTGTTATAAGTGTGTCCCTGAAAAGCTGTATATTGATTGGACTTTTAAAAATCAGTTGGCCTCAATCAAAATCTTGAGCCAAAAATATAGATACATCCTCTCACAGCATTTGATTGAAATTTAACATGCTCAGCATATTGTTAGGTACAGGAAACTTCAACAAAAAGATTAGGGTAAAGAATTTGTGTACATGAAATGAAGCAATTAAAATGCAAAATAAAATAGAGATGTAATTCTGAAATTATTTTGATGTTTAACTACTTTCCATTTACATGATCCTGGGATTATGTTATTTTTTAACATATTCATTAATTAGTTGATGATATAATACTTGTTTTATATTTAATTTGGAGTTGGTAAATTTTGGAATATTTCTCTTCCTGAATAAATGATAACTAACCTTCAAAATAAATAAATAGAATAAAATCAGTAGGTCTTTTAATTGAGAATCTTAAATGTGATATAAAGAGCAGAAATCTTAGAGTAGAATATCAGCTATGAATTGTTTTATGAGTGGAAAACTTCTAACTATTGCCTGCCTTATCTGTTTTAGACTAACAGGAATATTGTTATATCATATTTGCTAACACTAAGACCCATCTGTATTTGAAAGCGTTGGCCCGGCGTGGTGGCTCATGCCTGTGATCCCAGCACTTTGGGAGGCCGAGGAGGGTGGATCACCTGAGGTCAGGAGTTCAAGATCGGCCTGGCCAACATGGTGAAATGCTGTCTCTACTAAAAATACAAAAAATTTGCTGGGCGTGGTGTCGGGCACCCGTAGTCCCTGCTACTTGTGAGGCTGAGGCAGGAGAATCACTTGAACCCGGGAGGTGGTGATTGCAGTGAGTTGAGATCATGCATTGCACTCCAGCCTGGGCAACGAGAACGAGACTCGAAAGAAAGAAAGAGAGAAAGAGAAAGAGAGAGAGAAAGAGAGAGAGAGAAAAAGAAAAGGAAAGAAAAGGAAAGAAAAGGAAAGAAAGGGAAGAAAAGGAAGAAAGGGAAAGAAAGGGAGAGAAAGAAAGAAAGAAAGAAAGAAAGAAAGAAAGAAAGAAAGAAAGAAAGAAAGAAGGAAGGAAGGAAGGAAGGAAGGAAGGAAGGAAGGAAGGAAGGAAGGAAGGGAAGGAAGGAAGGAAGGAAGGAAGGAAGAAAGGAAGGAAGAAAGGAAGGAAGGAAGGAAGAAAGGTGTCACAGTACTGTAGGCATTTTTCCATCCAGTGTTTGGATGCATACAGACAAACCTCATATGATTCTTTTTGAAGGCATTAGATAATCAATGAGTCTATATAATGTAAAAACGGATCAACGAGTATAAAACGAGATGAACCAAGAGAACACTATTCCTGCAAACATAAGCCCTTCTGGTTGTTTCCCTAGCAAACTCCAACTTTTGCTGAACATAGCCCTTTTTGAACATTTTTTTCTTCAAGGCACACTCACCTTACCAGGGGAAATCCAACTTCAATGGTCCCAGGTGGTGTCATGTTTGTTTGTTCTTTCATGGGAAGTTCTTTTTTGTCACCCTCAAATTACAGGTCACAGAGAGAGAACTAGCTTAAAGCAAGGAAGAAGACAGTGGGGTCATAGGCAGGATTTGTTTGGTCTGAGGACAGATAAGTCAAGGATGGTGTCATTCACAAAGATTCAGAGAGCTTAGCTGGACATAGTGGCACACACCTGTGGTCCTAGCTACTCAAGAGGCCGTGAGATGGATCACTTGAGTCCAGGAGTTCAAGGTTGCAGTGAGCTATGATTGCGCCACTGCACACTCTAAAAAAATTACATTTCAATTTAAAAAAACAAATTCAGGGAGTGAGAGCATAATTGGGCAGCAAAGGGCAGTGGAAAGAGTGCAGAATCGGGCCGCATGTGCCCAGGCTCCGAGACTCTGCTTCGAGACCAAACCAAGGTCCTCAAGCCCTAGGAGCCTCAGATTCCTCATCTTTAAATGCTGCTCATCACCTCCCTCCCTGCCTTCTCCACAGATAAATGGAAGGTCTTACTCAACTCGGACTTCCTATCACACAGTGGTGCAGGTTTAGTATAAAAAAACGCTCAGCCTTTTGGTAAACTCATGAACTATAGCTAGAGCTGGAAGAATTAGGCTTTTCTAACTGATGATCTGGTTTGATGAGAATGTTGGCTGAAAGTTGGTTCCCAAGAGACTGAGTGTGAAGGAGCCTTGTTATGACACAAGGAATGAAGTTGAGCCAAGGATTCAGTTTGTTCTGCCATGAAGGAAAGACAAGCATTTCATGTATCACAGCATCAGCCCCTTTAAAAAATAAAAAAAATAAGTAAAAAGCCACTAGGAAGAGGATGTCAGAGCATCTATTATAACTGCAGCACCAGCACCACCACCAATAATCATACACAAAGGATAGCTCTGTTCCAAGGACTTTATATAACATTTTACATAATCCTCAAAGCAATCCTATGAGATAGACTTACTGTTATGACTGTCATTATTCCTCTTTTATTTCCATCAGGAAACAAAGGCAACAAAAGGTTAAGGAACTTGGCCCTAGGTAGGTAACACAAATGAGAGAGCCAAGCAGTCCTTTTCCAGGGTCCATCCACTCAACATGAAACCCCTAAGTGTGAACCCTACTAACACGGTTATGTCTGTGATCATCAAAAAACAACTAGGTATCCAGCAAGTACCTGCTCTTAGAGACAGGCACAGCTCCTGTCTTCACAGAGCTTACAGGCTGGTTGAGGAGGCAGCCATTAAACAAATACCTATGTCTGTGATGATCCTACAACAATATAGAATCGTCTCAAGTGATCTCTTTTATTATGCCCAATTTTAAAAATTGAATTCAGGTGAGACATGGTGGCTCAGACCTATAATCCCAGCACTTTGGGAGGCCAAGGTGGGAGGTTTGAGGCCAGGGGTTTAAGATCAACCTGGGCAAAATTTTTAAATTTTTGAAAAATTGAATTCAAGCTTGTAGAGAATCAAGCCTAAAGGGACTGTTGAAAAGAGTGAGATGCCCAAGGCCACACGGTAATACTGAGAGAGCAAGAACTGACTTGGAGCTAGTGGTCTCCCAACGCCAATGCGCTTCTCCTAAACACTCACACGCTACCCACGCTTTCTACATCAACTTTAAATACACTCCTTTAAATCATAAAGTTTTTCAATAACAGCTACAACTGATTGATAATTCCTCTTATTTATTTATTTATTTAGTCTCGCTGTGTCACCCAGGCTGGAATGCAGTGGCGTGATCTCGGCTCACTGCAACCTCCGCCTCCCAGGTTCAAGAAATTCTCCTGCCTCCACCTCCCAAGTAGCTGGGATTACAGGTGCACGCCACCACGCCCAGCTAATTTTTGTATTTTTAGTGAAGACGGGGTTTTGCCATGTTGGCCAGGCTAGTCTCGAACTCCTGACCTCAAGTGATCCGCCTGTCTTGGCCTCCCAAAGTGCTGGGATTACAGGCGTGAGCCACCGTGCCCAGCCTCAGAATTCCTTTTAAAGAGTGAAGAGCCTGTTTGCAAGCCATGGAGTTTTCCTGTAGTCCTCATGTGCTGTTTCCGATTGACTCTCGGACACTAACCCAGCCCTTCCCTCCTTTGGCTTTCAGCCCGAGACAGTGATGGAGCTGAGGAGGATGTAGCATTAACTTCATATGGTACTCCCATTCAGCCGCAGGTAAATGTACTCGCCTATATTCACCCAGGAGGGACTTAGCAAGCATTCCTTCCTTAGGACAGCCTCAGGCTTCATTTCTAATGGCTTTACTGACCTGAGAGAGGAGAGACAGAGCAGGAGCATCCCTAAAGGCATGTGGAGCTTGAGCCACCCAGATTTAAGCCAGACCAGGTGGCGCAAGACAGCTTTCACCCAAACCCTCCCAGTCTTCATCGCCATCAACAATATAGCATTCTGATGCAAGTGCGTGTCCCTGGAAAGAAAGGGCAGCTTGAAGCTTCTGTGTGAAGGTGAAGAGCAGCAGGCTTACCGAATTTTGCCTCGGGGACAATACAGGATTGTAAATATGTCTGAGTTTGGGGTCAGCTTTTAGTAGCAGTTGTCTGAACCTATCACCTGAGCCCCACTGACTGCCTCTCTGAGTCACTGTCTAGCTCCAGCAGCCCAGGCTGCCCTAAGAACTGGGCAGGGTATGTCATCATCATCTGGATGCCCAGATGGATGAACAAATTTTAATCCTTTCAGGCAAAAACAGAGGGAGCACTGCTGAGTAGTTTGGGGGTAATTCACATTTGGGCTGTGAAGACTTGAAGACATACAAATCTAAACAGCCAAAAACATCACACTGGGACACAATTCTTACATTACGGGGATCAAAAGTAACTAAAGCCCCAACGTGAAAGCCACCCTCAGATCATTTATTCAATGAATTTACTAGGCCACTAACTAAGCTAACCCCTCTGGTATGTTATCTGAGAATTTGCCTTTTCCTAGAATGACACATGGACCAGGCCATAACTATATCATGTGCTTTAATCAACCCTCAGGAGGGCATTTACATAATGAAAACATCTTTATTGTCCCCTCCAAGAGTTTCTTGGATTCATTTCAATTTCCAGTGATCAGCTATTCAAGAACCTTGCTTGCAAAAAGATTCTTGTTCGTGGCTAAGGGGTAGCCTGGTATAGGTAGGCTCAGTATGTTTCTTCTTTTGTTATTGACAAAGAATTAAATGAAGGTGAGATAATAATACTTCAAACATAACTTTAGGGCCTGGCACAGTGGTTCATGCCTGTAATCCCAGCACTTTGGGAGGGTGAGGTGGGCGGATCACTTGAGGTCAGGTGTTCAAAACCAGCCTGGCCAAAATGGTGAAACCCCATCTCTACTAAAACTACAAAATTATCTGGGCATGGTGGTGCATGCCTGTAATTTCAGTTACTCAGAAGGCTGAAGCAGGAGAACTGCTTGAACCTGTGAGGCAGAGTTTGCAGTGAGCCCAGATCACACCACTGCACTCCAGCCTGGGTGACAGAGCAAGACTCTGTCTCAAAAAACAAAAACATAACTTTGGAGAATATCATTTCTTTTGTTGCTCAGAAAGTTGATGATGGCATTTCTTCCTTTCCAGACTGTTGATCCCACACAAGAGTGTTTCATCCCACAGGCTAAACTAAGCCCCCAGCAAGATGCAGGAGGAGTATAAATCTACAGGAAACACAAGTGGAGAAAACCCAGCAGACCGTCCTGGGTAGCATAGCCCTGATAGCCCACGGGGGCCCACAGAGTCACGCTGCCAATGAAGAGTCAGCATCCCACCTTCTGTTTCCTAACCCCTCCATCCACCAGGACCCTCCACCAGAAGACCACCATTTTGAGCATAATTACAATCTTGCTGGCCACCCTACCTTGACTGTGTCTCTTTCTTCATTCGTGTAACTGCAAAATTCCCTTTCTTAGCAATGCTGGAAAAGAATTGGTGCCTCTTATTCACAGAACTGAAAGACCCTGTCTGAAGAAATTAAGGGCATTCTAATGTGACAACGAGGTTAGTAGCAGCTTACTACTGGGTCACATGTCTGGTCAATTTTTAAATTGTGCTAAAAAACACAGAACATAAACTTCACCATCTCAATCATGTTTAAGTGTACAGTTCAGTAGTGTTAATCATATTCACACTGTTGTGAATTCTCTAGAACTTTTTCATCTTGCAAAACCGAGATTCTCAATCCATTGAACAGCTCCCTCCAGCCCCTGACAGCCACCATTCTACTTTTGGTTTCTGTGAGTTTGACTACTTAGATACCTTATGTAATAGAATCATACAGTATTTGTCTTTTTGTGACTGGCTTATCTTTCCTAGCATAATGTCCTCAAGGTCCATGTCACATGTTGTAGCATGTCACAGGATCTCCTTTTCTAAGGCTGAACAATATTCCATTGTATGTCTATACCACATTTTTTTTTATTTATCTGTCAATGGACATTTGGGGTTGCTTTCACCTCTTGGCTATTGTGAATAGAGCTACAATGAACATAGATGTGCAAAAATCTCTTTGAAATCCTGCTTTCAATTATTTTGGTGTATACCCAGAAGTGGGATTGCTGGATCATATGATAATTCTATGTTTAATTTTTTTGGGGAACGTCCACACTGTTTCCACAGCAGCTACAGCACTTTACACTCTTATCAACAATGCACAGAGTTCTACTTTCTCCACATCCTTGCCAACATTTGTTATTTCCTGGGGTGTTTTTATTTTTGGTTTACAGTGGTCATCCTAATGAGTGTGAGGCATCTAGTAATTTTTTTGTAAAGGAACTCAAAATACGATAGGTCCAGAATTGTCTACAAAAGTTAAGGCCAAATCCTCAGGATCACCACAATTGGGCGGTTTAAAGAACACGGACATTGCCATGGACTTGCAAGCTGGCAGGCTTTCTCTCCTGGTGCTACCTCCCTGTGACAGCTACTTGGGCAGCAGACATGGCTGAGGGCATGACCTGCTTTGCTGAGCCAGTAACAGCAAAGGAAGAGACACCCCAGCAGATGCTCATAAAGGATTTTATGTGGTGAACATAAAAAGCATAGTCTGCCTGTCTTGATGTTTCTAATGAGCTGGTGCCTCTGTGCTAATTTTCTTGCCTTTGTTCCTCATCAGCCCCACATTCTTCTGAATGCTTTCATCTGCGCTTAATATTCGTTTGTTATCTATTACAAGAATAAGAGGACCAGAGTCAGAGGTGTGCCTCTAGAAGGGTCCCGGGGTCTGAGTCAGCTCTCTCACCTTGCAGATGAGAGCACGGAACTTTGGAGAACAGAATGACTTACCCAAAGCCACACAGTCATTAGTGGTGAGCCAGATTTTCTGACTCCTAAGCCTGTCTTCTTCCCCCGTCCACTAGGCTCCTCCATGCCCATATTTCTGTATGAGCAAGTAAGGTGTGTTCCCCTTGAGAACAAATGGAATATTTCAGACCCGTGAGTGTTGAGTGCCTGCTAACTGAAAGCCTTTTGAAAAATAACTACAGCTTTATACATGCAACAGAGCCTTTTCTGTGGCCAGTGGACACCATAAGCTGTTCAATAGCAATAAATATTTCCTGAGCATCTGCAAGGTACCAGGAACCATTCTAGGACTCAGCCCCAGACAAGGCGTACAACACTGCTTTAGCAAAGCTTGCATTTTTGTTGTAGAAGATCATACAATGCAGAGAATTTCAGGAACACAGTTCCTTTGTTTTTCACAGACAGGGAGAAGGGACTTGCCCAGTATAACATGGCTTGTTAGCACTAGAACCAAGACCAGAATCCAGGTTTCCAAACCCCTATCCAGTGCTCATCTCTACACAATGTTCCAACGTTTTTTGTTTTTTGTTTTTTTTTTCCTGAGACGGAGTCTCGCTCTGTCACCCCAGGCTGGAGTTCAGTTGTACGATCTCGGCTCACTGCAACCTCTGCTTCCTGGGTTCAAGCGATTCTCCTGCCTCAGCCTCCTGAGTAGCTGGGATTACAGGTGCCCGCCACCACACCCAGCTAACTTTTGTATTTTTTTTTTTTTTTTTTTTAGTAGAGACGGGGTTTTACCACATTGGCCAGGCTGGTCTTGAACCCCTGACCTCAAGTGATCCACCCACCTCAGCCTCCCAAAGTCCTGGGATTACAGGCATGAGCCACCGCGCCCAACCTGTTCCAACACTTTCGTATGTTTTTCTGCTGCACTAAAATTTGCTGCTCTTTTTCAAAATCTGTGCCATAAGCAATATTATCAGCACAACCCAGGACCTAGGTAAATGACAAAAATGTTTGACCTACTGCCCTTATTGATAATGAAAAACGGAGAAAAAATGTTTAAGCATTAAGCAATGCTTTGGTCTATAGATTAGGTGGCATCCACATGAAGACCCTAATTTGAGAGGTAGAAACAAGCCAAAAAAAGTCCACCTGTTGTGAAAGAAAACCATTATAACACATCCTCCTGATGTTTATCCTAATAATCATAATAATACCTTCAACATAATTTTGTTTTGTTTTGCAAGCAGGAGATGTTTCTACAGAGTTGGCTAACAAATTCTTAAAAACTCATTGAAGCCACATACAAGGGCCTAATATTGTCTCCCAAAATGTTTTTTTCTAAAATTGATGAAGGCTAAAATTGAACCTTTTTACCAAACTGCCTCTGAAATTTACACCACAATTTATCTAATTTTAGACTGCCTATTAGTTAGATTTGGGGGGTTGTAGGTTGCAAGTGTCTCATTCAAGCTGTTTCAGGAATGAAGTTTGTTTTGTTTTGTTTTGTTTTTTTGAGATGGAGTCTCGCTCTGTCACCAGGCTGGAGTGCAGTGGGGCGATCTTGGCTCACTGCAACCTCCGCCTCCCGGGTTCAAGCGATTCTCCTGTCTCAGCCTCCTGAGTAGCTGGGACTGCAGGCGAGCGCCACCACACCCAGCTAATTTTTGTATTTTTAGTAGAGACGGAGTTTCACCATGTTGGCCAGGATGGTCTTGATCTCTTGACCTCATGACCCGCCCACCTCGGCATCCCAAAATGCTGGGATTACAGGCGTGAGCCACCACGCCCGGCCTGGAGTTTTATTTTAAAGTTACATATGACGGGGAAACAAAACTTCCTCAGGATACACAGTACAGCCTCTCAGCTGGCCTGACGGAGAGTAAGCACTGTCAGGCACTGGGAGAGGCTTGCTGTCTCCTGCGGTCACTTCTACACTTTCTCTGCTTCTTTTTGTGGGTATTTTCACTTATCCACCCACCGCCGGCTGACTGATTCTCTCACATGCCATAATTCAGCTGTTCTCTTAGGTTGAATCAGCCTGTGGATTGGCTGCCCTTGGGTCCGGCACCCACCACTGGTCCATTCAGCTGTGCCTGGCTTGGTTATGTGGGACAGACCTGGTCACATCTGCCTGCTTCCTCTGTGGGAAACTGTGGACAAAGAAATGTTCTCTGGGGAGCAGGGGAAACCATAACATGCACCATGAGAAACTAATACAGGAGAAATTAATCCTGAAAAATATAAAAATATAATTTTATAAAATTAGAGAATACTTTTTTTTGAGACAAGGTCTCACTCCATCACCCAGGCTAGAGTGCAGTGGCTTAAGCTATCTTCCCACCTCAGCCTCCCAAGTAGCTGGAACCACAGGTGCACCCCACTATGCCCAGCTAATTTTCTATTTTTTGTAGAGACGGGGCTTTGCTTTGTTGCCCAGGCTGGTCTCAAACTCCTGGGCTCAAGCAATCCACCCGCTTTGGCCTCCCAAAGTGCTGGGATTACAGGAATGAGCCACCACACCCAGGCTATGGAATACTTTTGTAAAAATACAATTGAATTTATTTCAAGTTTATGCAGCAATTCACATAAAGCCAAAAACTGTGAACTCTCTAAGTAGAGATCCATGAGGAACCCCTGCTTTTAAAAATAGATTTTTCCAGGTACTCAGGAGGTGGGAGGATTCCCTGAGCCCAGGAGTTCAAGGCTGCAGTGAGCTATGATCATGTCACTGCACTCTAGTCTGGGTGACAGTGAGACCCTATCTAAAAATATAAAATAATAAAATAAAACATAAAACTATTTATGGTTAACATATTGTACTCAATTACTCAATTTGACAAGTATTATTTGAAGATCTAAATTCATTTACTTTTTTTTGTTGTTGTTAATAGAGATGAGATGGCCAGGCATGGTGACTTACACCTGTAATCCCAGCACATTGGGAGGCCAAGGCAGGTGGATCACTTGAAGTCAGGGTTCAAGACCAGCCTGGCCAAGATGGTGAAACCCCGTCTCTACTGAAAATACAAAAAAAATAGCCGGGTGTGGTGGTGGGTGCCTATAATCCCAGCTACTCAGGAGGCTGGGGCAGGAGAATCGCCTGAACCCAGAAGGCAGAGGTTGCAGTGAGCCAAGATAGTGCCACTGCGCTCCAGCCTGAGCAAGAGAGCGAGACTCTGTCTCAAAAAAAAAAAAAAAAAAAAAAAAAATAGAGATGAGATTTCACCATGTTGCCCAGGCTGGTCTTGAACTCCTGGGCTCAAGCAATCCTCCTACCTCAGCTTCCCAAAGTACTGGGATTACAGACGTGAGCCACCATGCCCAGCCATCTAAAATCATTTACTTATATGTAATGGGTTACATAATTTGATAGGTACATATTCTCTAAAATATTTTATTTTTAATTTTTCTTATGGGTGGCTCATTTCATCTTACATCTTAAATATTTTAGGTAGTATCCCTCTGATTTTATTTACTTTATCCAAAAGAAAAGGTATCAATTAAAATTTTTATTTTAAAATGCCTGCCTGGCATAATGTTGCCAGTTAGCTCAGCTGGTTAGAGCATACTGCTAACAAAATACTTGCCTGGATAGAGTTAATATATCCTTCATCTTGATGATATTAATATTTTCCTGATCCAAAGAACATCAAAGATTTATTTCCCTGCATATTAAATTTCATGATCAACCCATAAACTTAAAGGGCTTAGAGTAGTATCTATTCTATATCGGCCAACTTCGTGCCTTCTTCTTCTTTGTTTTCTTCTTCCACAATTAATTCGAGATCTACCTTTTCCTGGAAACTTCCTTTGATGGTCTAGGAGACAGGGCTGTCATAGACTAAGCCCATCCTAAGTTATGGCAGAATGATATAAACCAGATACTTCTGTGGCTGTGGCATCCTCCTCAGATTAAGCATAATCACCTATTTTAAAAGAACACAATTAATGAGAATTAAACTAGAAAAGAGCTGTCCAGTTTCCTTGGTCCAACACCTCATATTTTGCACTTGTGGGAGGTGCTTCTCAATGAACGCTGAACAGTGGCCATATGGAGACCTGGACCTCTGAGAAGATGCACCTGACGTCTGAATAAAGGCAGACTTTTTCCTGCAGCTGTTAAAAATGTCTTAATGGCTCGGGCCTTTAAGAGATCATAACTGCCACTCTTCATCAAAGGTAGCTTATTTAGAATTAAGTGTGGAGCCCTGATAAGTAAACAACGACAAGGAAGGGGTCGCTGGTTGGGGTGGGGGCAGGTGGGGAATATCAATGAATGAATGATTGTTCTGAGAGATGGCTAATCACAAACAACCCGCGGGCACAAGCACCTGCTGGGGGACCTCCTTCTGCACATAACCCCCTCCAGCACAACCCTATAAAACTTCCCTCCAGCCCCTCCCTCTCTGCAGACGGCTCCTTTTCTGCTGTGCTGCCCGCTGCGGCCTTGCAAAGTATTTTCATTCCTTCTCAATAAATCTGCATTCCTTTATGTACAACTGTCTTGATAAATTCCTTTACCATCTGCGCCACTGGCCCCAGATAGTCACCACCTGTGACATTAAGTTTGTCGGGTAACATATATCAGAACTTATTTATTTAAAGGACTTCAAAGTGGTTACATCAGGAGGCACAAAATTGCAGCCATTGTTAAAGTATTATCAGAATGCCTTTCCTGGGGCTGCCTTCAGGAATGTCTCAAGAAAATCCGTGTGACTGGGTTACTGTGATGATGTGACCTCAGAGAGCAAAATAGACACCCCTTTATCAACTAAGATGGACCCTGAGGGTAAAGAAACCAAAATATTACCTAGAGATAGAGGATTCAGGGGCCAGGTGGCATGACAAATTTCTAAATTTCTACAAGCAAAACCGCACTTTCACTAAACCCCCTAACAACAGAAGCTATCAGGCAGATTATCTGAACTCTGGTTTACAACCCAGACCACTACAACTCTGTTGGACAGAGGATCAGCCTTACAAACATTCTCTTTTTTGACAAACAACTGCAGACCTTAAGCCAATTTCAGCCAGCTTGTAGAGGCCGCGCACAAACCATCTTTGAGTCATAAAGTTCACCTTTTGACATAAAGAGCCAAATTCTACCTCATTTTAATGCTAAAACCCCACCCCAAAGTGCACAGGGGATGTATGTTGCATATATGTTTACCCATTGCTCAAGCACAAGGCAGCCTTCATAAATATGTATAGCCTTTCCCCAAACCTGCTGAATATGTATGACTCTAGTGTGTAATACAGACCCTGTGAGGCATAAAACCCAACCATCCTTCCCCTCTTTGAAGAGAGAGCACCTTTGATACACACTGGACACTTTCTCTTCCCAGCTGGCAAAGCGATTATCACCAGTAAAGGTCTTCTTTCTACCTTTTAGCCATCGTGGTGGTCTTTTGGACAGCAATAATCAAACTGTTGGATCAGAGAGGCAAGCACAATGACGATTTCTAATATTCACCTGAATCGTCACTAAAAGAGCTTCCAAGTGCACTTTGGAAGTGCCATCGAATATCTTTTCTGGGTTTTTCTTTTTTTTTTTTTTTGAGACGGAGTCTCGCTCTGTCGCCAAGGCTGGAGTGCAGTGGCGTGATCTCGGCTCATTGCAAGCTCCGTCTCCCGGGTTCATGCCATTCTCCTGCCTCAGCCTCCGGAGTAGCGGGAATACAGGCGCCCGTCACCACACCCAGCTAATTTTTTGTATTTTTAGTAGAGATGGGGTTTCACTGTGTTAGCCAGGATGGTCTCAATCTCCCGACCTCGTGCTCTGCCCGCCTCGGCCTCCCAAAGTGCTGGGATTACAGGCGTAAGCACTATTAGAACTTGAATCATATTTAGTATCTAGTTCAATCAAGTCTAGGTTTGGCAAATGATACGGTTCTTGAGGTAACTGTGTCATCCTAGGATTCAAGATCAACTAAACTGTAGGAATTTCAGTTGCATCTATTATTGCCCACTAATTGTGAGATGATAGCATATATGCTACAACATACATACAGAGGAAGCTATC
Organism: Homo sapiens; assembly: GCF_000001405.40. Taxonomy (NCBI): domain Eukaryota; kingdom Metazoa; phylum Chordata; class Mammalia; order Primates; family Hominidae; genus Homo; species Homo sapiens. Next base: position 12,933,162 of record NC_000012.12, on the reverse strand, counting down.
CATAGAATTGTATATATATTTCAACTTGTAGAACTGACATAATTTTTTACTCACATGTTTTTTTATATGATATTAATGCACTGAGGGAGAACATTATGCTTTTTTAATTACTTTCTATTTTATTTACATATTTTTTAGAGACAGGCTCTCACTATGTCACACAGGATAGAGTGCAGTGATGCAATCATAGCTCACTGCAGCCTCAAACTCCTGGGCTCAAGCATCCTCCCACCTCAGCCTCTTAAATAGCCAGGACTACATACAGGTGCACACCACCGCACCTGGCAATTTTTTTTTAAGAGACAGGGTCTTGCTATGTTGCCCAGGCTGGTCTTGAATTCTTGGCCTCAAGCAATCCTCCCACCTCGGCCTCCCAAAGTGCTGGGATTATAGGCATGAGATGCCACACCTAACCTAACTTTTTAATGTGCAATTCACCCCTTAATTATTCTGTTTTAAGAGTTTGGAAATTTGCACATCTTCCTAAAACAAGACCCACCTACATGTATTGAGGGGGCTGAACTTTTTAAAGTATATGCTACAAATGGAACATTTCGTTGTAGTTTCCACCTGGGCTTTATTTGTATGTAGAAGAAATTTGTGTAGACTTTATCTGTAACTAATTTTTAAATTTCTCAATGTTTGGCCAGACGTGGTGGCTCACGCCTGTAATCCCAACACTTTGGGAGGCCGAGGCAGGTGGATCATGAGATCAGGAGTTCAAGACCAGCCTGGCCAAGATGGTGAAACCCTGTCTTTACTAAATATACAAAAATTAGCCAGGTGCGGTGGCAGGCACCTATAATCCCAACTACTCGGGAGGCTGAGGCAGGAGAATTGCTTGAACTCGGTGGGGCAGAGGTTGCAGTGAGCCGAGATCATGCCACTGTGCTCCAGCCTGGGCGGCAGAGTGAGACTCCATCTCAAAAACAAACAAAAAAAAATTCTCAATGTTTAATTCAGTGGTATTAATCACACGGCAATTTATCTCCAGAAAAACTGAGTTTTTCAGTTTTGTTTTGAGTATATATAGCCACCACCATGCGGGCCAGGCGTGGTGGCTCACGCATGTAATCCTAGCACTTTGGGAGGTCGAGGAGGGTGGAGGGTGGATCGCCTGAGGTCAGGAGTTTGAGACCAGCCTGGCCAACATGGCAAAACCCCCGTCTCTACTAAAAATACAAACTTAGCTAGGCATGGTGGCGGGAGCCTGTAATCCCAGCTACTTGGGAGGCTGAGGCAGAAGAATTGCTTGAACCCAGGGGACAGAGGTTGCCAAGATCATGCCACTATACTCCAGCCTGGGCAAAAAAGCAAGACTGTCTCAAAAAAAAAAAAAAAAAAAAAAAAAAAAGGATGTTCGCTATAGTGCTGCTATAATTAGAGTTTTGTTTTAAAAGCAAAGGAAAAGAAATGAGTATATACCTAAAGCAGAATAAGATCTTAGATCATAAGTGTCCAATGATGACCCTATGATGAGATGCCTGATCTTTTAGGGTAACAACAATTTTTTTAAATAGTGCTTTGCTTTCTATTTTATAGCTCTTTACAATTTACAAATAATTTTCACATCCACCATCTCATCTGATCCATTGGATGGATTAGCCAATGCTTTTCAATTATGAAATACACACATACACACACACACACACACACACACACACAGAGACATACATATATTTTATAATATATATTTTACTAAGATGCTAAGACTCTCACCTAATAAACTGCATTTGGGCCACTATCACTCTGCTGCTTTTTACAGCATAATCTGAGCCACCTCTATAACATAAAACAGACACATACCGCATGAGAATCTTTACTACTGGCAGAGATGTCACTGCATGATATTCAAAAAAGACTGTGCTTTCGGTTTTTAACTGCAGTTGTTACTGCTGTGTCCTGCTGTTGACAACTCATTTTTCTAGACACCAAAACAACTACTAGGGGTGGTTATTTAGAAAATTAGGAAAATCTGTCAACTTTATGGAACGTGCCACTGTGGTAGTCATAACTGTTGTTTTCCAAATATTTCCAAACTCTCTTGTCTTCTGGGTACACTGCCAGTTTGCACTTTTGCACCTTTTGAGGTTGTGGGGGATGATGACACTAATTCTGCCTTACAAGTTGAAAGCAGAAATGATGTCACTTCCAAGTCCCAAGCAATTAATTGTTGATGCAAGACCCTTGTGGGCTTTTTCCTTCCTCCCATGGTGGTAAGCAATATTCCACATAGCAACTGCTGCATTCATCTGGGTTCCATGATGAACATGCAGCGTGTGCAAGAAATAAAGCTTTGTTGCTTTATGCCACTGAGACTTGGGGCTGTTTGTTATGTCAGCTAACCCAGCCCATCCTGACTGACATAGACACTGAACCAGTTGTTTGGTATCCTGAGGTAAAGCAAGGAGTTACTTGTCTGAACATTTTACTTTACCATCTGTTATTCTAGTGTTCTTCAAAGACATTCTTAGATCAAAGAAGAACTGCCCTGCTCTTGACTGATGCATGCCAGACTGCTCTGCCAGCCATGTGGCTCCGTGCTTGTCCACATAATTACAATTCACAGAGATAGCTTGCTTCCATCATAAAAACATGTAGAAGGTCACCCTGTGTGCAGCAGAGGGCTGGTCTAAGGTGGAGCCCTCGAAGTGTGGCCTCCAGACCTGGGCCTGGTCGGCTGATGGTTTGTCACTAGTCTGCCACAAAGTAAGTATAGAACTCAAGAGTAAGCACTTAGAAACTTCTGTCTCCTAGACAAAAAGCAATTCTGTCTAAGAGACTGAGAGCAAAATAGACTTCACAGAGGAGGTCAAAAGCTCAAGCTCTGTCTTACACGAGGTTGATGGGGGGTAGAAATTCCCTGAGCAGATGATGTTGGGAATGGTACTCAGAACAGCCACACACAGGGAGACTGTGTGTGAGTTAGAAACATGTGCCCCCTCTGAGTGGATGAATTTGAAAATGTGCCCCCACCCCAAAGGATGTGACCTCAGGCCAGCATCCAGGGCTTGGCCAGCAGTGAGACTGGATTCCAACCCCACCCCAACCATCTCAGCTGGGTGCCTTTGAGCAGTACAAAAAACCCAAACTAGTCAACTGACAGCATTGGACCAGGTATGCAGGTCAGAAAAGTCTGTCTGAAGGTGAGGCTGCAAGGAAAACCAAGGCTCATTCAGCCAGCTGCAAGCCCTCCTTATGCTGGAGCAGAGATAGACAAAGAGAGAAGCAACGGGAGAGGTTGGCTCTGCCCCCACAGGGCTTCCATCCCGAAAGGAGGAATCTAGACATGGTCTGTGTGTGAAGAGCACTGGAAGGAGAGGCCTGATCATCAGTGAGCACTGCTGTGCTAGGCCCTCTTGGAGCCCGAGACAGAAGGAAACGTGTGTGTCCCTATATGCGCTTATCAAAATATCTTCCCATGCTTTGAACCAAGTGGAAAAACGTCATTTAAAAGTCTCCAATCAAAAAATTAAGCCTCAGCCGGGCACGATGGCTCACGCCTATAATCCCAGCACTTTGGGAGGCGGAGGCAGGTGGATCACTTGAGGTCAGAAGTTTGAGACCAGCTGGGTCAATGTGGTGAAACCCCATCTCTACTAAAAATACAAAAAAATTAGTCAGGTGTGGTGGCATACACCTGTAATCCCAGATACTAGGGAGGCTGAGGCAGGAGAATCGCTTAAACCTGGGAGGCAGAGGTTGCAGTGAGCCAAGATCGCACCATTGCATTCAAGCCTGGGCAACAGAGCAAGACTCCATCTAAAAAAAATAAAAATAAGAAATTATATATATATATATATATATATATATATATAAAGCCTCCTTCCCCCCATCTCCCTTTCTTCTCTCTTTTAAAACAAAAATAAAAAGGCCAGGTACAGTGGTTCACACTTGTAATCCCAACACTTTTGGAGGCCAAGGCAGGATGATTTGAGCCCAGGAGTTCAAGACCAGCCTGGGCAACACAGCAAGACCCCCATCTCTACAAAAAAAAAAAAAAATCTAATAAAAATATCCAAGAGGCTGGGCATGGTGGCTCATGCCTGAAATCCCAGCACTTTAGGACGTTAAGACGGAAGGATTGCTTGAATCCAGGAGTTCGAGATCAGCCTGGGCAACATAGCAAGGCACCGTCTCTACTAAAAATCAAAAAAATTAGCTGGCCGTGGTGGCACGTACCTGTGAACCCAGCTACTCAGGCAGCTGAGGCAGGAGGATTGCTTGAGCCCAGGAGGTTAAGACTGCAGTGAGCTGTGATTGCACCGCTGCACTCCAGCCTGGCAACAAAGCAAGACCCTGTCTCAAATATTTTAATAAATTTTTTAGAAAGTACCCAAGAATGGTGGCACACACCCATAGTTCCAACTACTCGGGAGGCTGAGGTGGGAGAATTGATGGGGCTTGAGAGGTTGAGGCAACAGTGGGCCATGATGGTGCCACTGCACTTTAGCCTGGGCAACAGAGCAAGATGCTGTCTCAAAAAAAATTTTTTAAGCCCTCCCTTTCTTTCATCTTTCTTCCCTCTCAAAATACAAACAAACTATATATATGTGTGTGTGTGTGTGTGTATGTACATATATACATATATACATATATGTGTGTATATACACACATATACATATATGTATATATGTATATATTATATATACACATATATGTGTATATGTGTATATATGTATATATTATATATATACACATATATGTGTATATGTGTATATATGTATATATTATATATATACACATATGTGTATGTGTATATATGTATATATTATATATATACACATATATGTGTATGTGTATATATGTATATATTATATATATACACATATATGTGTATGTGTATATATGTATATATGTATATATATACACATGTATGTGTGTATATATGTATATATGTATATATATACACATGTATGTGTGTATATATGTATATATACACATATATGTGTATATATGTATATACACATATATGTGTATATATATATTGCCCAATTTGTTTGTACCCCATTGTCAACCCTCACAGATCCATGGCAGGGACACAGCAGCCACATAAGCCCAGGATCCAAAGCCTGATTGGAAACGGCTCCTCTCTTGCAGTAACGCAAGGTCGTAAAACAAACCAAACAGCCTGCTTTTATAAAATTTTGATATGTTGTTTATCATGGGCTTTTTGGTATTGATTTTGTTTTAAAAAATATTGTGGTAAGGCAGGAGTGACTGAGGCAAGTATTAGAGCAGGAATGAAAGTTTATTAAAAAGTTTTAGAGCAGGAATGAAAGGAAGTAAAGTACACTTGGAAGAGGCCAAGCGGGCGACTTGAGAGATCACCCACTGGACAGTCTGACCTTTGACTTACGGTTTTATACGCTGGCATGCTTCCGGAGTCTTGTGTTCCTTCTCCCCTGACTCTTCCCTTGGTGTAGGCTGTCCACACTTGCGCAGTGGCCTGCCAGCACCTGGGAGGGGAGCATGCGCAGTGTGTGGCCTGCCAGCACCTGGGAGGGGAGCATGCGCAGTGTGTGGCCTGCCAGCACCTGGGAGGGGAGCATGCGCAGTGTGTGGCCTGCCGGCACCTGGGAGGGGAGCATGCGCAGTGTGTGGCCTGCCAGCGCCTGGGAGGGGAGCATGCGCAGTGTGTTTGTACGCATGCAGGAGTTGTACACATGCTCACGTGAGGCGTTCTTCCCTTATCAGTCGAATGTCCCTAGAAGGTCATATACCAGTTAAACTCTGGCATTCTGCCTGTTAGTGCTCATGCTTGAGTACACTCGCCCAACTGCTAAGATCTTACCGGGAAGCTGCTTATCACCCGTTTCAGGTGTTTTCTATCTACTGGGAGCCTGTCTTTCCCTAGCACCGGCTGCGACCAATTATTATTTTAGAGCGACAGACTAACAGCCGCCTGACCATCACCTGATGGTCACCTGAGGTTCCTGCTATTGGAACAGACCCTCTCCTGCCCTGCTCATACCTGACAGCTACCTACTGTAACACACCTAGGCAGATAAAGATGAGATTGTGGAGTTCCAACAGAAGCAGACATTAGGGAATGAGCTGAAAGGTGGAGGTGGAAGTTGTTCAGGGAGATGAGATTGCGCGGGGTACGTAAGAAGAGAGCCTCAGTAGGCTTCGCGGTGGAGCAGGCTGTCCCATCTCCAGCGAAGCTCCCCCCATGCCTCTGTCTCCATATGGAGTTCCACTGTTAACCCTGGGCATCTCCAGCAAGATCCCTACGGGGAGAGGGAACGCATCTGAGTACTGTTTGCAGAACCACACACGACAGCTCTGAATGAATAAGCCAAGACAACACCCCGAGATTCTTCCTGCGGATTTGGGTTCCCAGGCCGGGAAGGAGCTGTTGGAGCCTGCATGGAAGATTAGTGGATCTGCAAAAAGACAATGTGGATGACTGGCCGACGCCTTGTCCCAACCCTGTCCAAGCAGAAGAATCGCCGGGATACTTGCTCTGGATACAAATTCTTGGACCCTGACTCAGACCAACTAAATCAGAACCTCTAGGAGGCCTCCAGACACTGCATTTTTAACAAATTCCCATGTGATTTTTAACGCAGTATAAGTTTAGGAAGCGCTGCTCTGTTGACAAGGAAAGGCTCTGGTCTGGTTTGTAGCAGACTGTCCAGGCTTTCCCAATTTGGTCCAAAAAGGCAGAAAGTGATTGGCTTGAGAGGGCAGAATCAATGGAAAAAGTTTATGAATTCCTGCCCCTGGGAACATTCGTCTTTCACTTTTCATCTTCTTCCCCACCCCCACCTCTTTGGGGTATAGTCTTCCCCATGCCCCAGTTCCACATCTGCTCTGACCTGGGGTTCCCACCCAGCCTCCATCCAGAACACGCTCACCCTGTTTTTGTAAGAGAAAACATTGTCAAAATCAGCTTATGCCTGAAAATTCAAGAAGATAAATTCCTCCTGAGCCCATTTGCTGGCATTCTCATCTGTTTCCAGTTTGGTGTATATCATCTGAAGGGTCCTTGTTCATCCATTTTGGTTCAAGTCAGTTTAGAAAAGAAATGCACTTTACACTGGGCACAGTGACTCACGCCTGTAATCCCAGCACTTTGGGAGGCTGAGGCGGGTGGATCACTTGAGGTCAGGAGTTTGAGACCAGCCTAGCCAACGTGGTGAAACCCCATCTCTACTAAAAATACAAAATTAGCCAGGCATGGTGGTGGGCACCTGAAGCTACTTGAAAAGCTGAGGCGGGAGAATCACTTGAACCCAGGAGGTGGAGGTTGCAGTCAGCCAAGATCATGCCACTGCACCTCAGCCTGCGTAACAGAGTGAAACTTCATCTCAAAAAAAATTTAAAAAAGAAAGAAAAGAAATGCGTTTGGAACACAATGCAATCGATCTTTGGAGAAAATCCATCTAAAATGCTTCTCTTATTGTTTTTGGGGGTTTTTTTTGTTTTGTTTTGCTTTGGGGTGTGCTTTTCTCTTTTCTCATATTTAAAGTTTGTTCTTGTGTGGTTCTCCTAGGAAACAGCACTTTCCCAAGCTTGACAAAGAAAAGCCTCAGGGAAATAAATTGGGATGTGATGAAATGTATTCAGCCCAAGAAGTAAAAAATTCCTTTCCTTTCTTCCAAGCCTCGGGCTTGTAAGTTGCTTTTATCACACTGGATTTAAGTGTTCTTATATGGAAACACACACAAAAATCTGATGGTTGATCAGCTGAAATTCATCAAAATTATTTGAAGACAAATTGGCATTCAAGACACCAGAATAGACAAGAGAAGAACCTGAGGGCTGTGTTCTCTGAGTGAAAGGACATCATTCTAATTAGCCTGTGACAAAAGAAAAAAAAATACCCTTCTCCCAAAAAGTTTATTCATTTTACCCATGTGTACAGGCACTGTCCTAGGCTCAGGGAATACTGAGAAAAACAGAACAAATTTCTGTCCTTCTAAAGCCTATATAATAGAGAAAAACACACAAACCAACAAATAAATCTAAATTCGAAATTTCAGTACCCTGAAGACTTACCACTATGGGAGCCCAGCATTAAACTGCCTGCTCTAGCCGGGCACGGTGGCTCACGCCTGTAATCCCAGCACTTTGGGAGGCTGAAGTGAGCAGATCAAGAGTTGGAGATCAGCCTGGCCAACATAGTGAAACCCCGTCTCTACTAAAAATACAAAATTAGCCGGGCATGGTGTACAGCCAAGTAGCTGTAATCCCAGCTACTCGGGAGGCTGAGGCAAGAGAATCTCTTGAACCTGGGAGGTGGAGGTTGCAGTGAGCTGAGATCGCGCCACTGCACTCCAGCCTGGGCAATAGAGAGTTCGTTTCAAAAAATAATAATAAAAAAAATTAAAAACTGCCTGCTTATATCTGGGCCAGCTTGTAGTCCCAGCTACTTGGGAGGCCGAGGAGGGATGACTGCTCGATCCCAGGAGTTCAAGATCAGCCTGGGCAACATAGTGAGAACCCATCTCTACAAAAGATAAAAGGTAAATAAAAATGAAAGATCGTGAAAATCAAGGTCACAGGGATGGATCACTCACCGTGAGTTAGGGACAGTTGGTGACATGCACTGCTTTTCAGCCACACAATCGGCAACCCTGTTTTGCTACTGCCTTGAATGGAAATGTGTTTTATTTGGCATGACAGTGTGCACATACACATACGGTGATAGGAGGCAAGGGCACTGGTTTCATCTCACGTGTAGAAATGACTCTCCATACCTTAGGCTTACGGCCAATTGGTGTATACAGGAGTGGACATGGATGTGGGTGGATGTGTGGGTGTGTCTGTACACACAGCCACCAGCCGGTACCCCACACATACCAGGAATTTCTGAGATTCTCACAGACTACTGAAGAAGATGTCTGGGGAGCATGAAAGCTTCTCCACAGCCAGCCATGGTGACTGACACCTGTAATCTCAGCACTTTGGGAGGCCAAGGCAGAAGGACTGCTTGAGCTTGGGAGTTCAAGACCAGCCTGGGCAACATAGAGAGAGCCCCCCCACCCCCGCCATCTCTATAAAAAATCAAAAAAAGCTAGGTGTGATGGTGCACACCTGTAGTCCAAGTTACTCAGAAGCCTAGGGCAGGTAGATTGCCCAGCCTGGGTGACAGGGCAAGACAAGAAAGAAAAGAAAGAAAAAGAAGAAAGAAAGAAAGAAAGAAAGAAAGAAAGAAAGAAAGAAAGAAAGAAAGAAAGAAAGAAAGAAAGAAAGAAAGAAAAAGAAAGAAGGAAGGAAGGAAGGAAGGAAGGAAGGAAGGAAGGAAGGAAGGAAGGAAAGGAAGGAAGGAAGGAAGGAAGGAAGGAGGGAGGGAAGAAAGAAAAGGAAGGAAGGAAGGAAGGAAGGAAGGAAGGAAGGAAGGAAAGAAAAGAAAAGAAAGAAAGAGAAAGAGAGAAAGAGAGAGAAAGAAAGAGAGAAAGAGAGAAAGAAAGAGAGAAAGAGAGAAAGAAAAGGAAAGAGAAGAGAGGCCGGGCACGGTGGCTCATGCCTGTAATCCCAGCACTTTGGGAGGCCGAGGCGGGCGGATCACAAGGTCAGGAGATTGGGACCAAGCTCGCTAATGCGGTGAAACCCCATCTGTACTAAAAGTACCAAAAGTTAGCCGGGCGTGGTGGCAGGCGCCTGTAGTCCCAGCTACTTGGGAGGCTGAGGCGGGAGAATGGTGTGAACCCAGGAGGCGGAGCTTGCAGTGAGCCCAGATCGCGCCACTGCACTCCAGCCTGGGCAACAAAGCGAGACTCCGTCAAGAAAGAAAAGAAAAGAGAAGAAAAGAAGGAGGGAGGGAGGGAGGGAAGGAAGGAAGGAGGGAGGGAGGGAAGGAGGGAAGGAAGGAAGGAAGGAAACCTCTCCATTATGCAGAATATATAAACAGCCATTTTTCTTTCTAAACTCTAGTTTTCTTTTAAAGTTAAATGCAACACCCATGCATGCAGACTGTAGCCCTGATGATCTGGGAAAAATATACAGGTACCAATTCATCAATTCATTGTTTCTGGCACTGCCGCCAGGTTTGTCAGAGAAAGGAAAGGACAGAGGACTTGGCCAGGGCCTTGGGGGCGGGGAGGGGACGGCCAACATAATCAAAAGAACCATCTCTGAGCATGCCGGGTTCTGTGCATTTAGCAGGCTGCTCCTCCTCACCTTGTCCCCCGTCTTTCATGAAGCCAGGGCGTTCTAGAAACGTAGAGGAAAAACTGGAATGACGTTCTATGATGAGGTCAAACCCATCTGCCCAATTTCACACACAGGTCTGACCCTTTGGGAATTGTAACAATATTTTCCTGAATTCCTGATTCTCTTTTTTTTTTTTTTTTTTTTTTGAGATGGAGTCTTGCTCTGTCACCCAGGCTGGATGGAGTGCAATGGCATGATCTCAGCTCACTGCAACCTCCACCTCCCTGGTTCAAGTGATTCTCCTGCCTGAGCCTCCTGAGTAGCTGGGATTCCAGGCGCATGCCACCACGCCTGGCTAATTTTTTGTATTTTTAATAGAGACAAGGTTTCACCATGTTGGTCAGGTTGGTCTCGAACTCCTGACCTCGTGATCTGCCCGCCTCGGCCTCCCACAGTGCTGGCATTACAGGTACGAGCCACTGCACCCGGCCAAATTCCTGATTCTTAAGTCCTTAATTTTAACTTTAGTGTAACATTCTTTTATCTTCATTACTTTGCCAGGCCTCTGATTTTACAACTCTTCCTCCTACTTATCGGCTCTCACTCCCCATCCCCTCACCCTCACTCTGACGCTTTCTTCCCAAGGAAGCCCTGGCACCCCACCCCTTCCTCTGCCTCCCTCTAATTCAGTACAGTCAGATGCTCCCTTGGGCCCTCATTCTGGCTCCCAAGTATCCAGAGGTCATGGGTTTGTGATTCAGATGACTAAACTCATGCTACCCAAGTACAATGCACAAGCCTTTTTGATTCTGCTGAGTAACACGAATCATGGGGTTCTTTCTTATGCAATTAATCACCCTCAAAGACAACGTGGAGTAGTTTTTTGTTTTTTTGTTTTTTTTTTTTTTTTTTTTTTTTTTTCTTAAAAAGACAGTAGTTTTTGTCTAAAGAACGAAATCAAGCAATAGTTCAGACATTGACTACATGTATCTGGAGTGGGAGAACACAGTGGTGTTTACAAAATTCAAGTGCCTTTGCAAAGGATTTTAGATCATCACCGTGTCCGCAATAAAGTCATATTAACATAGCATGAGCTCTGTTCCCGTGGCAGCTCCCATTCTAAAGCAAGGCTCTGAACAAGGGAGTAGTCCTGCAACACACAGCCCCCTTAATTTTAATCGACACCCAACCATAACACTTACTAAAAGGTGAGGGCCCATCCCAAGAGTGAAGAGCATTTCCATTTTCACCTGAAGGGCAAAGGAAGTGTTTGGGTTGGAGGTATAGGGAAAGAAAACTGTCCAGGAAAACTAACAATCTAAGAACTCTCCATGGCTCTTAGATTCAAATATGAAGAATAACAACTCAGCCAGTGAAAGTCTAAACGCTAAGAGTTACAAGCTGCCTCAAGCTTATCGAAGGCCTTGCTCCAGACAGAATTCCCCACATTGTCCCCAGCAGAGCTGGAGGATGTGTCCTCACCTTTTAATAAGTGTTATTATTGGATGTCATTGGTAGTTGTGTGTTACAAGACAATTCTCTGCTTCATAACTTTGCTTTAGAATGCAAGTTGCCTTAGGAATGGAGCGCATGCTATTTGAATAGCATTGAACTGATTAGTTCATTGAGCTTAAACATCACCAGCCAAGAGAGGACCCGCTATTTTGCAGGAAGCTCTTCTGGAATCTGCTTGCCTAAAATTTCTAACCACAGAGCCACCTGTTAGGCAATCGTTATTAAAGACGGTTGGGAGGCAGCAGGGAGTTATGGATAAGAAATCTGGAGGCACCCCACCCCACCCTGGCTCCCAGTCAATCACTTGACAGCTGTGTTGCCTTCGGTGTTACCTAGCCCCTGGGTGCTTCAGTGTCTGCAGGTGTTAAATAAAAAAGGGATAACAATAGTAATAACCCCAGCCAGGCGCGGTGGCTCACGCCTGTAATCCCAGCACTTTGGGAGGCCGGGGTGGGCGGATCACCTGAGGTCAGGAGTTCGAGACCAGCCTGACCAATACGGAAAAAACCCCGTCTCTACTAAAAATACAAAATTAGCCAGGCGTGGTGGCGCATGCCTGTAATCCCAGCTACTCGGGAGGCTGAGGTAGGAGAATTGCTTGAACCTGGGAGGCGGAGGTTGCGGTGAGCCGAGATCACGCCATTGCACTCCAGCCTGGGCAACAAGAGCTAAACTCCATCTCAAAAAAAAAAAGTAATAACGCATGAGGTTTTTATACATATTAAATTATATTATACATCTAAAGTGCTTAGGCCGGGCACAGTGGCTCACGCCTGTAATCCCAGCACTTTAGGAGGCCGAGGCGGGCGGATCACCTGAGGTCAGGAGTTCGAGACCAGCCTGGCCAATATGGTAAAACCCCGTCTCTACTAAAATACAAGAATTAGCCAGGCATGGTGGCGGGCACCCGTAATCCCAGCTACTCAAGAGGCTGAGGCAGGAGAATTGCTTGAACCCGAGAGGCAGAGGTTGCAGTGAGCCAAGATCGCGACACTGCACTCCAGCCTGAGTGACAAGAGCGAAACTCCATCTCAAAAATAAATAAATAAACAAACAAACAAATAAATAAAGCACTTCAAACAGAGCCTGGCACGGAGTAAGCGCACAGTAAATGTTAGTGATGGTGATGATCATGCCCCTGCAACATCTCCTCCTCTCCGGATTAACTAGCTCCAGTCCCATCAGCCATTCTGCAGGTCATGAAATTCCAAAAATAGCTTCTCTGTTAGAAGCTCCTCCTCCATTAGAGTGAGCTGCAAAGATGTGGATTTTATGCTGTGATGTGGTACCTCAGGGGAACAGCACATGCCTTGACTTGGACTTCACAAATGTGTCAGTGCTGCCTACGATTGCTTTGACTTTCTGGCTGTTGTCTCATCACTGGTCCTTCTCAGTTTTCTAGACACCTCAAACTACCAAGTCTTTTTCATAAAAACTACTGTCAAACCAAGTCTTTCCAATTTGTATTTATGTAATTTACTTTGACAGCACAAATACATTTACATCTATTAAAGTAAATTCTTGTCTTGGGATCTTCATTCCAGCTTATTGCAACATATTTGTATTCTGGTTTTATTATTCAGTCTTTCCTAATTTTGTGTCATGTGCAAAACTTGATAAATGTGCTTTATCTTTATCCAAGTGATTGATGAAAACGTTATCCAAACAGATGCAAAGACAGAGCCCTGTGGCACATCACTAGAGACTTCCATCTAGTAAAGGATCTCTTCTTGAATGTTTCAGTTATGACTCCATCTAACTCTATTATCATGATCTCTGCTTTTTTCCATTGTTCATAAGATATCATGCTGGTCAGGCGCAGTGGCTTATGCCTGTAATCCCAGCACTTTGGGAGGCCAAGGCAGGCGGATCACCTGAGGTCAGGAGTTCGAGACCAGCCTGACCAATATGGAAAAAAACCCCGTCTCTACTAGAAATACAGAATTAGCCGGGCGTGGTGGCGCATGCCTGTAATCCCAGCTCCTCGGGAGGCTGAGGCAGGAGAATCGCTTGAACCCAGGAGGCAGAGGTTGCGGTAAGCCGAGATCGCACCAGTGCACTCCAGCCTGGGAAACAAGGGCGAAACTCCATCTCAAAAAAAAAAAGAAAAAGAAAAGAAATCATGCTAAAAATTGGCACGTGCTTTTTCTCTTTCAATTCCTGGTGGGGGAAAAAAAAAAGTTGGCCTGGAAGCATTTCTTCTTAGAAAGAGAAAGGTGGTAGTCAGGAAACATGGTGCTAGCCCCTACAATCACGTCCCAGAGCTCACAGCATGGCTACATGGGCTTGTCAGAGGAGTTTTCTGAGTTGAGTTGATACAAACCCAGCAGGATTGACAGATCATCACATGGAAGGGGGTTGCACTAGAAGCAACTGGAACCAGGCAATTTGGTGTGGCATATGCCGCAACTAAATTTCACTAACATGTCATTTCTTTTCTGCTGAAGACCACGATTGGATTGGACTTGGATTGAATCACTGGGCTCGGGACAAACATCTTGGCTGAGTCATTACAAACACAAGTTGTCTGCACGGATCTCCAAGGACTACCTCTGCACCTGCTCTCAGAAGCTGCACGGGGAGGGAGGGCTCTTCCAGGTGTGGCACTTACTCCCTGAAGGGAGCCAGAATTCCATGCAAAGAGAAAGAAGGGGGATGGGTGTGGGTTTTTGGCTCACTATGGGCCTCAGGGAAGTTGAAGGAATCAATAACACAAACAAGTGAATAGGAATTCACTGTTGGTTGGGGGCATGGTGGCTCACACCTGCAATCCCAACACTTTGAGAGGCCACAGTGGGAGGATTGCTTGAGCCCAGGAGTTCAAGACCAGCCTGGGCAATATAGTGAGACCCCATCTCTACAAAAAAAAAAATTTCAAAAATTAGCCAAGCGTGGTGGCGCACGCCTCTAGTCCCAGCTACTTAGGAGGCAGAGTGGGAGGATCGCTTGAGCTCAGGAAATGCAGGTTGCAGTGAGCTGAGATCACAGCACTACACTCCAGCCTAGGCGACAAAGCAAGACCCTGTCTTAAAAATAATAATAAAAATAAAGAATTAACTGTTTACTGGATCCTGAGCTTTCTTGTAAGAGTGGCTGAATCTGGTCAATTCTGAGATGAGTCAAAAGATGAATGGAAAATAAAATCTCAGGCTGGGCATGGTGGCTCATGCTTGCAATTCCAGCACTTTGGGAGGCGGAGGGAGGAGGATCACTTGAGCCCAGGAGTACAAGACCAGCCTGGGCAACATAGGGAGACCCTGCCTCTACAATTTTTTTTTAATTAACCATGTGTGGTGGTGTGCACCTGTGGTCCCAGCCAGTACTCAGAAGGCCGAGGCAAGAGGACCACCTGAGCCCAGGATGTCGAGACTACAGTGAGCCGTGATCGCACCACTGCACTCCAGGCTGAGTGACAGAGAAAGACCCTATCCCAAAAGAAAAAAAAATTACTTTTAAAATTTTTTAAATTTTTTTTTTAGAAAAAGAAAATCTCAGTAAAGGGGAGCATGTAAGAACCGGTTGAAACCTTGAATACATTATGATATGAAACCAAGTATATCAAAAGATGGTGCTTGAAAACAACAAATTTTACCACCTGACTCAGACTTCTTTGTCGTTGTTTTATTTAAAATGTTATTGTCTCTGATTAGAAAATACAGTCATGAGGGCTAAAAACTGAAATGATGTGAAAAGGCATCCATTAAGCAGTGTTGCCCCACCACCCTTTCCATCAGTCTTGTCTCATGGGGATGGGGAAAATGAAGACAGAACGCTTTGCCTTGCTTTGCAATCCCTCCTTTGAAGGCCTTCTGTCCCAGGAAGCCAATGTTCATTTGATGTGGAAGAGGGACCTGTGTTTAACCAGAAGCTGTCCTCCCTCATCCCTTTCCCATGGCTTACACGCAGAAGGGAGAGGAGATGACCAGAGGAGAAATCAGGGGAAGAAAAGGCAACAGGGGAGGCAAAGGGAAAGGAGAGGAATGCTTAAAATATACAGTGAAATTTGAGTAGGATTCTCTACTCAAAGACTTCTCTGGGAAGTGTCCAGAATTGACCACACAGGTGCTGACGGTAGAAAGAACACAGACCCAAAACCCTGATCTAGTTGCATTAACTCCATTAGCCCTGAGTTCCTCTGTAAAATGAAGACTGTGGAGGCACCAACTAGAGGATTTCTGTGACCTTCTCAAACTCTAAAATTTTTGGCACTGGACTGTTCCACTTTGAAGGGTCAAGAAAGAAATCTGGAGGTTGCAGAAATCAGGGTCAGGCGCACATACACGCACGCACGCACACACACACACACACACACACACACACACACACACACAGATCCAGCAGCATCCTTGGAACATCCTGAAGTCAAGAAAGGCACAGCACTGTCTGCCCCGATAGAAGGAATTCCAGAAAACAGCCACGAGGTTGGGCCACAGAATTTCCAAAGAGAGCAATCTACAAACTGGGGGTTGATTTCCCAGTTCCTGGATCTCAGCAGTCAACACACGAGAAGGATTTTTTTCTGAAGCTGCCACCTCCAATTCTGAAATAATCCCATGTTTCAGACTGGGGCCGGGACGGTGGCAAACCTGCAGACCCTGGCAGCAAGATGAGGGCAAGGAAGGGAAAGGTCAGCTGGGCACAGTCCAGTTCTCAGCAGTAATGACAGAAATGAAGGAAGGAAGCTCAGAATGAGTGCACGGGGGAAATGGGTTTTGCTGATGCATTTCCAGGGCCGGCCGTACTCTTTGTTTTGGCACACTTTTCCTGACAAACAGCCAGTGTTCTCAACACATAAATACTAGTCCACGTTAACAACAATAGCATATGAGACCGCTCTCCGTAAAGATGCCAGATTGGATGCAAATGGACTGGAAATACCTTGGAGGGTTTCACAAAAATAAGACAAAGGGCAAAGGAACTTTGCCAAAGGAGATGGAGAGCAATTCTTTAAAGTTAGTGGGAGGGAGGAAGCAAAGAGCTCATAAATACAAGCCTCTTAAAATGGGACGCATTTGCCTCGCGCCTACTGGGTGTCTGCAGCTCAGCTTGGTGCCCCACACAGGACACCGACTTTAAGTGGCTGCCTTTGCAAGGCTGAGAGGCCATGAGGGTTGATGCCTGAAGTGTCAGCGCCATCTAGTGGAAACATGGGGCATGGCCGCTTTGGACGGCCTCAGCCTAAAATGAGAGGCAGAGAGACACGCTCTATTTCGCATCTCACAATGCAAGATGAGAGAAAGGCTGTTGAGTTTTATTTCATCATCGCCCGTTTAGGTCAAAGGAGATGCCACTTTGGCTCCCAGTCATCAATCAACTGGCAACACCCAAGGACCAGGCTGGGCTACATTTGCACATTCCATTTCAGCCCAGGTAGAGATGGAGACACTTATAAGAACGGCTTCGGAATGTTCTCCAGTTTGATTCTCAGATGTCAAAGCCTGTAGGCCATGAGAGGTCCCTACTTAAACAGAACAGCTATCCTTTGGTACCCTCTCCAAAGAAAAGAAAGAGTAAAAAAATAATAACTTTTAAAAATAGCTTATTTATGTGCAGAAGGTGTGAGACCTGAAGATGAGTTAACAGCCGCAGCAGTGGGAGGAGGGGTGACAGGTACTGCTCAAATGAGCAGCAACCTTCTGCCACCTGGCAAGAACAGGCGTTCAGTGCAGGGCTGGCCTGCCCCTGCAGGCTTCAGAGACCACTGCGTTTCTTAGAAGGGAAACAACGGGGCCGGGCGCGGTGGCTCATGCCTGTAATCCCAGCACTTTCAGAGGCCACGGTATCCCAGCACTTTCAGAGGCCAAGGTAGGTGGATCACGAGGTTTGGAGTTCGAGATCTGCCTGGCCCATATAGTGAAACCCTGTCTCTACTAAAAATACAAAAATCAGCCGGGCATGGTGGAGGAGGAGGAGGAGGAGAAGGAGGAGAAGGAAGAAGGAGAAACAACAGTCCAGAGATGATGCCATTTCCGGGGAAAGAGGTTGACTTGAGGAAGGCAGCCATGGGAATAAAAGCTCCCACAGATCCTTTTCACTAAAAAGAAAGCAGGCCGGGTGCAGTAGCTCACGCCTGTAATCCCAGCACTTGTGGGAGGCCAAAGCAGGAGAATCTCGAGTTCAAGACCAGCCTGGGCAACAGAGCAAGACCCCCACCTCTACAAAAAATATATTTTGTGTGTTTTTCAACAAGTGATTCAAATTGCTGCTCAGATTTTAAAACTTACTGTAACTATCAGTGTAAAGACCCATGCCTGGATCCTGTTTCATTTTTATATCAACTTGGTAAAAATGCTGTTCTTGACACCCTGTCCTCTCTATCCTCCCTCAAACCACATGTGATCTCTGAAAAAATAAAATTAGCCAAGTGTGGTAGTGCACGTCTGTGGTCCCAGCTACTCAGGAGACTGAGGCAGGAGAATCACTCGAGCACAGAAAGTTGAGGCTGCAGTGAGCTATGATTGTGCCACTGCACTCCAGCCTGGGCCATAGAGCTAGACCCTGTCTCAAAAAAAAAAAAAAAAAAAAATGCCGATCCAGAGTATTTTGTGATTTTACCTTTTACTCCTCCTCCCTTGCTTGGTTGGTAGTATGAAGACCAGAGAAGGAAAGAAAAGATGGAAAGGAGGCTGGGCATGGTGATTCCCACCCGTAATCCCAGCACTTTGGGAGGCCAAGGCGGGCAGATCACTTAAGATCAGGAGTTCAAGACCAGCCTGGTCAACATGGTGAAACCTCGTCTGTACTAAAAATACAAAAATTAGCCAGGCGTGGTGGCGCACGCACGCCTGTAATCCCAGCTACTCAGAAGGCCGAGGCACGAAAATCGCTTGAACCCAGGATGCGGAGGCTGCAGTGAGCTGAGATCATGCCACTGCACTCCAGCCTGGATGACAGAGTGAGACTCTATCTCAAAAAGAAAGAAAGAAAGAGAGAGAGAGAGAGAGAGAGAAAGAAAGAAAGAAAGAAAGAAAGAAAGAAAGAAAGAAAGAAAGAAGAAAGGAAGGAAGGAAGGAAAGAGAGAAAGAAAGTGGGGGGGGAATATGCATTTCTTGAGTCCCTAGCCTATGATAGATAATATATGTGAAACCACATTGCTTTATTCTCACAACAAACCTCATTAGGTCACACCTCCTGGGAAAGACCAGAAGGATCTGTGTCACTATGTGTCCTTCCCCCTTTTCAGTACAAAGCCAGGCTAATCTTAGCGCGAAGCCTACCAACCAAACCTTTGCGGCATATAAACATCCCTAACTCAGCACATCATCCACTCACCTCCACCTCCCTCGCCTCTGCCTCACGCTGGTTTTTCCTTTTGATGAAAAGCAGAGCGTCAGGCTCTTAGGAAGTAACTCCCTGACTTAGCTACACATTTTTACATGTCACTCAGTTTCTATGTAGAGGGATTATTTTTTTTCCATAACGAAAGAGAGATTTCCTATTGCTCTGCCCTACAGAGCTCTTTCTTGGATTAAGTCAATTATCATGGTTAGGTGTCACATGTTTTTGCCAAGAGACATTTGTGAACTAATTCTGTCAAACAGGGGATCTGGATTTGTCCTCTCCCACAATTAGACCTTGGGTGAAACATGAAACCGGCTTTGAGCTCTCCTCCCTGCCTTTCCTGGGCTGCCAAACCCCAAGCCAAGGTTGCCACTCCTCTGCTTTTCTGGAGTAAAACCTCAGGCCCCGTGATGATCCTGGCTCTCACACCATTGACAGCCTCAAAAATGAGGGGAAACACACTTGTTTTAGAGGGAACGGGAGAGACACATGAAGAAGGGTCAAGTACAAACCCAAAGGAAGTGAACCTTGAACTTCAGCTCCAACATGAAGCTCTCAGGGCAGCCCGTGTTCTATCCCCCAGAGTCTAATGCTCATTACTGGTAACTGCTGCCACCACCATGAAAGAGTGGCCACCACATCTTTATTGCATACTCAGGTGAATAACTTATTATACAATGAACACTCCTCCATTAGGAGACCATGCCCACTTACAGAATGCAGCCGTAAATGCGGTAAATCTATTTACAGAGGTTGGGGTGCAAGATGAGAGAAGTATCAGCCCCAGGAATTTGAAGTGAGAATGATCTACAAATTCTCCTGACAAGGAGCAACCGGGCTTGTGCTAGTGAGGTCTGAAAGAATTCCTGGCAGAGCGTAGGGGGAGATTAGATCTCGGAATTGACAGCAAGTTTGGGGACAGTGCAAGAAGAGAGGGGTGACCTGTGAATTGGTGCTGGGGAGCTGCTGAGGCCCAATGTGAGGCAGCACTAGAGAGATGAGTAAATTTAGGGTGATCTTTAGCCTCTCCTACCCAGGCAAGAAGGGTTGGGGAGCGGGGGTGCCAGCAAGTTGGCTTCCAGTGTAGATTCAGGCCAGTGGGCTGAGAGAGGCTTTTGCTATTTTTGCTCAGATATGCAGGTCTGCTCTGGGCCACAGAGCCTCACAAAACCCACTGTGAGTTAGAGGAGCAGGCCCCTAGAGCTGTGTGAGCCAGCGTGAGCTCAGATGACCAGACCTTTAGTCCATGGAAAATAACAGCAAGATTAAGGGCCTAGGCTGGGAGCTGTGGCTCACGCCTGTCATCCCAGCACTTTGGGAGATGGAGATGGGAGGATTGCTTGAGCACAGGTGGTCGAGGCTGCACTGGGCTGTGATCGCACCACTGCACTCAAGCCTGGGTGACAGAGCAAGATCCTGTTTCAAAAAACAAACAAAAAGAGTAAGGGTCTAAACTTGAGTTGCCTGAGACTCCCACTTAAAAGAAGTATCCAAAGGATGAGACAAAAAAAAAAAAATACTACAGCGCCTCTAAGAACTGGAGTCTTACTAGCCCACATCAGCCCCAGCATGGAAGAATTGTGGTTGAGGCTGGGAGGGAGGCAAACTGTTCCCGTAGTGTCTTGTACAGTTTTCTCAGAAGACTCAAGATTTCGCCCACATCCCTTTGAGCTCCCGCTAGATCTGCCGCCCGGCTGCATTTGTCCCACTCTTCAGGACAGAGTTAGCTGCCCTCTTTCTTTACTTCATAGTCTTTGTAAGGGCTCGGCCAAGCGTGGGCCCGTGGGATGGAGAATTCCTTTTGGGGAGGCTGGTTCTGAAAAGGAAACAGTCATATCGTGAAACCCACTCCAGTTCCTGCCATTTCAACAGGTCTCCAGTCTGGGCAGAAGTCTCATTTCCTTCCCTTTCTCCCAGGCCTCCCACCCCCAAGTCCTCTCTATGCCAAGCACTCATTCTTACCCACTAACCCCGTGAGGCCGCTTAGAGGAAAGAAGACCCATCATTCCTTCAAGTGGCCATCTAGGGGCCATGAGAAAGGTAACATCGTCTGTTTCCAAAGGATCAGTGTTCCTGAGGTGCTAATGCCTTTGATGAAGAGGGAGAAAAAAATCACTTACCTGCAGCTGAAAATGTGTGGAATAGGGGGCATAGAGCGTGTCCCCTGTCTCTTCAAAACCTGAAATGGAGGAACAGGAGAAATTAAACCACTGGGGCCCCCACCTATGTTCACCCCATTGTATCACTTATCACAGTGTGACATCTTGCCCATTTAATTGCCTGTCTCTCCAGCAGACCTTAAGTTTCTTGGAGGGACAGAGACTAGGTCCTCAAGCCTAGGACCAGGCACAAAGCAAACACAATATTGGTTGAATGAATGAATAACTATGATGACTAGGGACGCCCCTTTTCAGAACTTCACCAGAGCCCCACCTCATCCTAGGACCACTTCAAAAGCACATTTGAAAAGTCATGGGCTGGGCATGGTGGCTCACGCCTGTAATCCCAGAACTTTGGGCGGCCGAGGTGGGCAGATCACAAGGTCAGGAGATCGAGACCATCCTGGCTAACAAGGTGAAACCCCATCTCTATTAAAAATACAAAAAATTAGCCAGGCGTGGTGGCGGGCACCTGTAGTCCCAGCTACTCGGGAGGCTGAGGCAGGAGAATGGTGTGAACCCAGGAGGTGGAGCTTGCAGTGAGCCGAGATCGCACCACTGCACTCCAGCCTGGGCGACAGAACAAGACTCTGTCTCAAACAAAAAAAAAAAAAAGAAAAAGTCATAAAAACCAGTCATTTCAGATATAGATCTGGCCAGGGGTGTACCTAGAGTGAATCTCACTGGGGATTTACCTATTTCAACTGCCTGACAAGGAAAATATGTATATATTTGTATCATTTTCATTGGGAAGAGGCAGGATTGATGAGCAACTGTTTTCTGTGTATTTGGGGAAAACCAAAGGCTTGGGAAACAAGGATAAACACATGCAATCATCATGAATGCAGTTCAAAGCAATTCATTTATTTCCCACCAAATTTATGGGCCCAATTTGCTGAACAAACACTTAAACGCCTTTATTTAAGAGATCGTGGCTGGGCACGGTGGCTCATGCCTGTAATCCCAGCACTTTGGAAGGCCTAGGCGGGCGGATCATGAGGTCAGGAGTTCGAGACCAGCCTGGCCAAGATGGTGAAACCCCGTCTCTACTAAAAACACAAAAAAATTAGTTGGGCATAATGGTGCACGTCTGTAATCCCAGCTACTCGGGAGGCTGAGGCAGGAGAATTGCTTGAACCTGGGAGGCAGAGCTTGTGGCGAGCCAAGATTATGTCCCTGCACTCCAGCCTGGGTGACAGAGCGAGACTCTGTCTCAAAAAAAAAAAAAAAAGAGAGAGATGGTGAAGCACATAAAGATTAACCAGAATGATCCCTCCTTGCAGCTGACACTGGAGAGTAAGGAACATATGACAGGTACATAAATAACAGTGCAATGAGACAGACCCTGATAAGAGCATTTCAAAGTCCTACAGATGCACAGGGTGGAGTGATTACCAGGGGAAACTGGGGAATGCCTGATCCTGGAGAAGGGCAGAAGAGGGAGATGGTCACACCAGGCAGAGG
The DNA here is from genome assembly GCF_000001405.40 of Homo sapiens. Classification (NCBI taxonomy): domain Eukaryota; kingdom Metazoa; phylum Chordata; class Mammalia; order Primates; family Hominidae; genus Homo; species Homo sapiens. The sequence goes on along the minus strand of NC_000012.12, from coordinate 12,910,639 downwards.
ACAGACACACCTGGAGCACAGGCACAGGCAGGAAAGCACAGCGACTTGGTTCATCTGGACTGCGAGCAAAGCTTCAGAGGTTGTTGGTTCCAACTGTGGAAGGGCTCAGGAAGGATTTGATGGGATGGGGTGGCTCAGGGGACCCAGGGAGGAAAGTGAGCAGCAAAGCATGGAGGCCAGAGAAGCATTTTAAGGGAGAAAGCTGACAGTGGCCCTTGAAATGAATGAAGGAAGGAAGACTCATCAGTGAATGAGAACAGGAAGTACAGGAGTGAGGTGATGGAGTGAAGCCACGGAACGGACAGGAGGGGCTGGGTGGTTAAATAACCCCTCCTGCCCTCCTCCGCCTCCCTTCAGACTTCCAAGTGCCCTAGACAGGGACCATAGCTGCAGTGAGTAGCACCAGGAAGTTCCACACCTCAGGCTTAAGAGCAAAGGAAAGACCTATTTTTAGCTGGAGCTAAGAACATGGCCTTGGAGGTTCCTCATTCCTATCCCAAAACCACCCACCCCCTGTGATTAGACTTAAAGGTCAGTGTAAACCCTGGAGACCAATGAATAGGTCCCTATGAGCAGGAGTACTTTCTGGCCATCAGTTTAGCCTCTTTTGCTTATGAAAACAACACGAGAACATCTGGCTTGTCTCAACTCCAGATAAGAGCAAAATCACTTGATTCTTTTTTTTTTTTTTTTTTTTTTTTTAAATAGAGATGAAGTCTTGCTATTTTGCCCAAGCTGGTCTCAAACTTCTGGGCTCAAGCAATCCTCCCACCTCAGCCTCCCAGAGGGCTAGGATTACAGGAGTGAGCCACCATGCCTGGCCTGAATCATTTGATTCTTGTATGTCAAATATGATCTGTTCCTTCCCATGGGCCCAGAAACATACACAAAAAATGTGGTTCTTCACACTAAACCAGAATCCTTACCAATTTTACAGAGACTTCCTGCTGGTTTGTGATAAAAGGGCTTTCTCCCTTCTCTGCTCTGTGATCACTGCAGGAAATCATGGCTTGGTTTTATGCACTGAAATCTACAAAGGCTCCACATTTCTGGAAGGAATGCCTCGTTATCTTTTATAAAAAACACAACCTCATCTACTTATTGCTGGGAATTTGTCTCGTTATCCTTTTTCCATGTCTTTGCTGCATCTTATTTTGATGCACAGAAACCTCTGAGGTGTTCTGCCCCACAGGAAATTACAGCACAAGAAAGGGGAAGTGAGGAGGGCTCTCCCAGTCTACACCAATTGTACAAAGTACTCAATAAAGACTCCAGAGGCCAGCTTCGTGTTCTACTTGTCTCTAACAGGCTGGACGACTTTAAGCAAGATCTGAGCCTTAAGGAACTTATCTATTCTATCAAGGGTATAATCTGGAAAATCTTGCATGTTCCTTACAGTTATAATATCCTATGATTCTCCCCCACCTTTCTACAAGGGATTCTCTGCCTAGCCAGGCTGCATCTGTACCTTGAGTGATTTCCTCTTGAGAGTAGGCTCTGTTCTCCACACCATAGCTCTTCTTCACGAGTTGAGGTTTACAGAAAGCATCCTCAACAGGATAATCCATGGGGTTTCGTTGCTTTGTGAGCAGCCAAAACTCGGGACTAACATAAGCCAACAGGAACACCCAGCCATTGGCAGCCAAGGCGGAGCTGAGGATGGTGTCATCCCACCTGCGGTCAAAGTCAGGAAGCATGAGCAGGGTGATCCAGGCCACCCAGATGGCAATGGAGAGGAGCATCGTGAGGTAGATGTGGGCCCCATGTCTCTTCCAGCCCGTGAAGGAACCACAGAAGGTGAAGGAGGACATGAGGAAGGTCAGCGCCATCAAGAAGAGGACGTAGGTGAGCAGGAGGACAAAGTCTTCATTGCGACGAGGAGCGGAAAGCTCAGAAAAGACATTGACGTTGGTCCTATTCATGGTCAGGACAATATATTCAATAGCGATAACATCCTGGACTAGGCTGAAGCCCACGGCCAGACCCAGAATCACCAACAGGGAAAGGGGCTTCCTCCCCCGGACGAGCTTGGTCAGACTGACAGCATGAGCCAGCAGGCAGGAGAAGCAGATGGAAAAGAGGATCCCAAAGAGGAAGAAGCGTGTGGGCCCTGTGCTCCCGTCCAGTCCGATGATGAAGGCGAAGGTGAGGCCAAAGATGCCCAACACACCCAGGAGGAAGAGAAACTGAGTAGGCAGCATTTTTCGCCTGTTGGAGTCCTGCACCTTGCAGACGAGGATCGGGAGAGTGAGCATGAAGGCCACCGAGGTCACAACCCCGGCTGTGGCCACCGTTTCTAGGACGATGCCCCAAGCTTCAGCCTTATCACAAAGTCTGTAGTACTTGGATTTCAGGCCATTGCGGCAACCATCAGGGACTGTTGTAGCCATTCTGGACCTGCAGAAAAGGAATGTTGGAGTGGGGAGAAGGTATTGAATCTCCTAACACAGTCCTCAGACACAGAAGACTAAAAAAGGATTAGGAAACCAATTTTGCATGTTTAGCCAGGGTTTTGACTTTGAGCTTACTACATTAAGTAAAGCTACTAACTTTCCTCTACCTCCTGTAGTAAATTCTAAAACCTGTTGAAGAACCAGGAAGAAATCCCATATGTCCCTTCCCCCAGTTTAACTATATTAATATTTACCTTAAAGCCAGAGAACCTAACACTCTGAAGAGGTATTTTGAAGCCTAATCTCAAAAAACTTCACAGGGCTGGACGTGTTGGCTCATGCCTATAATCCCAGCACTTCAGGAGTCTGAAGCAGGAGGATCATTTGCTCTCTGAAGTTTGAGACCAGACAGGGCAACATAGCAAGACTCCATCTTTATATTAAAAAATTAGCTGGGCATGGTGGCACGCACCTGTAGTCCCAGCTACTCAAAAGGCTGAGGTGGGAATATCGCTGGAGTCCAGGAGTTCAAGGATGCAGTGAGCTATGATCACGTCACTGCACCCCAGCCTGGGCAACAGAGCAAGACCCTGTCTCTTGAAATATATATACGTGTATATATTACAAATAACCTGCCAGGGTTCCTGATATTTTTTTACTAGTGTTTTCTTAGGAATTAGTGAACATGGAACTATCTAAACTTGAAGTTAACACTTTAATCATAACGTTGCAGCCTCTACCTTTGGCCCTGATACAGTTATCATTTGTAAGCATCCTATTCTCTCATGGATAAGAGGAGTTATCTGAATGGTAGATTTTTCTTTCTCTCTCTTTTTTTTTTTTTTTGAGACAGAGTCTCGCTCTGTCGCCCAGGCTGGAGTGCAGTGGCACGATCTCGGCTCACTGCAAGCTCCGCCTCCCGGGCTCAAGTGATTCTCCTGCCTCAGCCTCCAGAGTAGCTGGTACTACAGGCATGTGCCACCATGCCCGGCTAATTTTTTTTTTGTATTTTTAGTAGAGACGGGGTTTCACCGTGTTACCCATGATGGTCTCTGAATAGCAGATTTTTCTACAGAAGGCCGAGCATTCCCTTCTGAGCCAGCGGCTGGGTCCTCTTCTTAGGCTCTGTGGTTCAGAATTATTCTGCCCCTCCTCCTTAAGATTTGTTTTTGAGTTTTTGTTTTTTTTTTTTTAGACGGAGTTTCGCTCTTTTTGCCCAGGCTGGAGTGCAATGGCACAATCTTGGCTCACCGCAACCTCCGCCTCCTGGGTTCAAGCAATTCTGCCTCAGCCTCCTGAGTAGCTGAGATTACAGGCACGCGCCAACATGCCCAGCTAATTTTGTATTTTTAGTAGAGATGGGGTTTCTGCATGTTGGTCAAGCTGGTCTCAAACTCCCGACCTCAGGTTGATCTCAAACTCCTTCAGCCTCCCAAAGTGCTGGGATTACAGGTGTGAGCCACCGTGCCCGGCCTCCTCCTTAAGATGTGTAAAGATGGCTCCACTAATTCCGAAAAGTTATGAAAGGGGTCTTGTCTGTCATAACCAGCTCTAAATTGGCTACCTGTAAAGAGGAACGTCCTGGATGGCACATAAATAGCGGGTAATCCAACAAAAAATAATCTTCATAGCTAACATGTTCATTTTTAGTATTGCTCCAATTTTTACTCCTTTTTGGGGGGATGGGGGGAACAGAGCCTCGCTCTGTCACCCAGGCTGGATCTCGACCCACTGCAACCTCCACCTCCTGGGCTCAAGCCATCCTCCCCCGACCTCAGCCTCCTGAGTAGCTGGGATTACAGGCGTGTGCCACCACACCCCGCTAATTTTTGTATTTTTGTAGAGATGGGGTTTCACCATGTTGCCCAGGCTGGTCGCAAATTCCTGGGCTCAATTAATCCTCTTGCCTTGCCCTCCCAAAGTGCTGGGATTATAGGTGTTGAGTCACCCCGCCCAGCCTCGAATTTTTACTTCTAATCACTCTATATATACATTACTTACTTCATTTCATAGCAACCCTATGAGGTAAAACTATTATCCTATTTTACAGATGAGGAAACTGAGGCAGAGAAGTCAAGTTACATGCCCAACATCATACAACCAGGAAATGGCACAGCCAGGATCTGAATCCAGGTTGTCTGGTGCCAGGACCCAGGTTCTCAAGTACTCTACGTGTCTCCTCTCAAATTAGCCTTAAAATGAGATCTGAGATATCCTTCTCTCTCTCCTCCTCTCTACGTCTCTTTCTCTCTCTCCCTACCCCTCCCCTCATCAGATGCCTCATTATGACTCTGGTTCCACTCTCCTAGTTCAGCCCCAGGAGGATAGGAGATCCCAGGTAACGGACCATCCACAAAGTGAGAAATCTACTTACTCATTCGGATAATCAGGAAGCCACTAGCTGTATTACAGTTTACTTCCCATATATCTGTCCTTTGTCAGGAGAAAGGCTTCTTTCTCTGCCCCTACAATCTTCGTGTGAATTTTAGACCCAGCTCCTTGACCATACCCCTAGGAAATCTAAGTCCTCAGGATTCAGGGCACAAGTGGGAAGATAAATTGGGAAATCGAAAAAGAGAAAGGAGTGTCCCCATTTCCTCAAAACAGGTGGCTCACAAATTCCAAAGTCAATGTCGAATAAGATGTTGAGATTCAACAAGGCTAGACATAACTATAGTCCAGTTTGTCAACAATTTCATTCAAATTATTTTATTGCTTATTTAAGTGTCTTCTACACTATTCTTTTTGTTGTGTTCCATGCTTTTTGGGCATGGGATTTTTTTTCTTGAGTTTTTTGTTTCCCAATGAGATTGTTCACGTGGCAATAAAAAGTTTTGAACGGACTAGAAGAGAACTATGTTGCAGCAGGAAAGAGGCCAGAGTTAGAGGAAGGGAAGGCTCGCAGAGGTCACCTCCAGCCCTAAAGAAGGACAGAGATGATGCAGCAAGAAATCCAAAACAAGAGGAAGGACTCGGGTTGGGAAGCAGGAAAAGATACAAAGCATCCCCTGAATCCTGCCTCTTTCCTTAGAGCAGAAAAAACAGCTCGGAAAAAACAACCTTCTTGGCCGGGCACAGTGGCTTATGCCATTCCAGCACTTTGGGAGGCCAAGGCGGGCAGATCACCTGAGGTCAGGAGTTTGAGACCAGCCTGGCCAACATGGCGAAACCCTGTCTCTACTAAAAATACAAAAATTAGCCAGGCATAGTGGCACGCACCTGTAATCCCAGCTACTCGGGAGGCTGAGGCAGAAGAATTGCTTGAACCCGGGAGGCAGAGGTGCAGTGAGCGGGGATCATGCCACTGCACTCCAGGCTGGGTGACAGAGAGAGATTCCATCTCAAAAAAAAAAAAAAAAAAACCACAAAATTTTCTTTTCCACTAGAAGAGATAGTCATCTTACCAAAATTATTTAATTCATATAGCAAGTAGGAAGATTGTACATATGTATATATGCAATATATACATATACATACATATGTATGATACATATGTGAATATCATGTGAATATATATTATCACGATATTATGTATAGTGTGTTAAAGTGACACCAGATATAGCTTAAATCGATCTTCCCGAATTTTAATAAAATTTGGCTCTCCAATCTCAACTTTATTTTATGTAGTCATTCATTCAACAAATATTTACCGAGCACCACTATGTGCTGATCACTGCTCTAAGCACTCCATGGTAAAGCCAGAAACAGACACGTTTCCACTTCTACCACAGTAGAAGAGAGAGACGGATGGCACCTGTCACTATGGCCATGGGCCTCCCACCGCCTTCCCTCACAGTGGGTCTGTCACCTAAACACTCTACCCTCCTGGAAGCTACACCACAGCCATCGCTACCACAAGCAGAGCACAAAGAATGGGCTATACCTCTACAGGGCAGTGCAGAATGAGAAATAGGAAGAAAAAGGCAAATGAGGTTCAGATATAGACAGCCCCTGCAATCCAAGCACCCAAGTCTGATCCGTCTTGCCTACAAATGTCCCCTCTTTGGTCCCCTCTTTGACATAAGAAAGAGGAAGTATGAGGGCTCTCCCAGGCTACACCGTGAATGTGGAAGAGGAAGACCCTATTTCCTTCAAGGGCGGCGAGCGGAAGGAACTCAGGCCCTGTGCACTTCACTGTGTCTCTCCACACCCCGGCAGATTAATCACCAGGGTGTTGTCTAGCAGGAAAGGTATTTCCCTCTTCCCTTTGATCTCTCCCTCTCCCTGCCCCTCTCTGCCAATTGCTCCTTCCCCACCCATCAGGTATTACTGTTTGTGGACAAGTAGTTGTTTTCATAATTACCTGATTGTTATGAGGGACAGGATCGTTATGAGGGACTTTGAACCTGATGACTCTAAATCTTGACAGAGATTGATGTGGTGTTTGCCTCAAGAACAGTTCTGGTACTGGACAGACAGGAGGGAAGGCAGAGCCCCCATCTAGAACCTATAGGCTCCTCTTCCAGCGCAGCTGCGCAGGAGGGTGCTGAGTCTCAGGGCCTTATAGAACCCACAGACCAGGATCCAACAAAAGTAATGGCAGTGGGTGTAAAGAGAAGAAAAAACCAGTTTCCCCAAATGTCACCTCCACCTCCCACCTCCCAATCATGCAACAGGGAATGGAGAAATAGTTCTTGAAGTTCCTTTTAAACATTATTTAGGCCAGCCGCAGTGGCTCAGGCCTTTAATCCTAGCACTTTGGGAGGCCGAAGCGGGCTGATCGTTTGAGCCCAGGAATTCAAGAGCAGTCTGGGCAAGATGGTGAGACCACTGTCTCTAGAAAAATAAAAATGTAAAAATTAGCCAGGTGCGGAGGGGCACACTTGTAGTCCCAGCTACTCGAGAGACTTAGATAGGAGAATTGCTTGAGCCCAGGATTTCGAAGCTGCAGTGAGCTGTGATCACGTCACCGCAATTCTGCCTGGGAGATAGAATAAGACCGTGTCTATTTTTAAAAAATTAAAAATTAAAAAAAAACTTGTTTTCATTATAGAAAGTTTTATAATGGAGTCCCATGTATCCAGCACTTCATTTCAAAAAATTATTACTATATGGCCAATTTTGCTTCGTCTGCATTCCCCACCCCACTCCCTAGACTATTTTTAAGCAAGTCTCAGACATCATGTAATTTTATCTATAAATAGTATGTGTATTTTTTTTTCTTTTTTCTTTTTTGTTTGAGACGGAGTTTCACTCCCGTTGCCCAGGCTGGAGTGCAATGGCGCGATATCGGCGCCCGGCAACCTCCACCTCCCAGGTTCAAGCGGTTCTCCTACCTCAGCCTCCCGAGTAGCTGGGATTACAGGCATGCGCCACCATGCCCGGCTAATTTTGTATTTTTAGTAGAGACAGGGTTTCTCCATGTTGATCAGGCTGGTCTCAAATACCCGACCTCAGCTGATCCACCCACCTCAGCATCCCAAAGTGCTGGGATTACAGGCGTGAGCCACCGTGCCCAGCCCTTTTTTTTCTTTTTGAGATAGATTCTCACTCTGTCACCCAGGGTGGAGTGCAGTGGTGTGACTGTGGCTCACTGGAGCCTTGACTTCCTGGGCTCAAGGTATCTTCCCACCTCAGCACCCACAAGAAGCTGAAACTACAAGCGCATGCCACCACACCTGGCTAATTTTTTTAATCTTTATTTTTTTAGAGATGGAGTCTTGCTATGTTCCCCAGGCTGGTCTTGAACTCCTGGCTTCAAAGGATCCTCCCCCTCTCGGCCTCCCAAAGTGCTGGGATTACAGGTGTGAGCCCCCATGTCCAGTCTAGAACGTCTCTCTAAAAGATAAAAACTCCTTCTTAACCACACTTTAATAACTAACAAGAATCCTTTATTATCAACTATCTAGTTAGGATTCATATTTCCCAATTCTCTCACAAATGTCTTTAAAAAAAAAAAACCATCTTAGTCTATTTTTTTTAATCTGGATGACTAATTAGTTTGGAATTATCATTCTTAATTCACCTCTGTTAGCCTCCCCCACCCCATCCCTAAGCTGATAGGGATTGCTCAACAAGTCTAAAATGTTCTGAGTACTTTGAATTTAGTAAGAGGAAAATAAAACTCACTGGAGTTATTAATAAACAAGTCTGCACTGAAAGGGTGCCATGTTGCCCAGAGAATGACCCAGGTAAGGGAAAGACACCAGGGGATTGGAAGAGATGGACAGGGTTCTGAAAAACTGAAAATGATTTCTAGAAAGCAGCATTTGAGAGGGAAAAGAGAAGTGATCAGCATTTAGGAATATGAACTGTCTGGAGCTAGAGAAACAGCCTGGGAGAGGAGCAAAGGGCTAGAGCAGGAAAGAGAAAAGAGAATGAGACTAGCGGTGGTTTGGATATTATTTGTAACCAAAGTCAAAGGACGGGAGATCTAGAGTCCAGCCAACAAAGAACTTGCTCCTATAAAAACCAAATGGACCCCACCCTTCACTTGACGTAGAGGTCCTTTCCTCCAGGATGGTTTTTTTTTTTTTTTTTTTTTGATGCCCAAGTCTGATGAGACACACATCTCATAAATTCTCAGACACTCTCAGCTTTTCCTCCCGTAGCACTTATTACACAACCCAGCCTGTCAGTAAGTCTGTGTCTCCCTCTAGACTCAAAGGCTCTGTGCAGGCGGAGACTGAGTCATTAAACGTTGTCTCTCCCCAGCCACTTGCCTAGCACCTGATGCTCAGTAAGTACCTAACCAGAATAGATGAGGCAGCAAGAGAATGGCGCTCGGTGTGTGGGGTAAGGGGAGTCAGGAGGAGGACGGGCTGCTCGTGAGACAGGGTAGGATGGGCTGTGCCTGGTTTCCTCTCAAGCCCCCAGGCTGCTACCCTTGGTTCTAGCCACCTTTCCTCCCACCCTCCTTCTCATGCAGGCTGCCAAAAATTGCACTTTGGGTCTGAGATTAGGAGCGCCTGGCCATGTCTGAACCCCGCTCCTATCTTAGTGGCCGCAGGTGGCTCCCAGGAAAGCATGAATCCTGAGGTTTTACTGGTAAGCTGGGAGGGATTAACTGGGATCCAGTCATGTGCTCCACCCAGTACTCAGTGACTAAACCCTGCACTTTGGAGGGAGATGGTAATGTTTCAGCATGAGTAGCCTCTGGCCTTGGGCATGAGCAAAGGACTTTGAGTATGAGGACGAGACCCTCTTCACTTATTCCAGCTGCTAACAATTAACACACAGCCATCCAGTAACACAAGGATGCCCACAGCTGAGATCCTGGAATCACTTGTTGCTGTCTTAAACCTTTTTGGAATGAATCTAGGCATGAAAGAAAGGGGTTTTTGGTTCTTTTGTTTGTTTGTTTTTTGGGTTTTTCTGGGTTGTTTTTTTTTTGTTTTTTTTTTTTTTTTTTTTTTGAGACGGAGTTTTTACTCTTGTTGCCCAGGCTGGAGTGCAATGGCATGATCTCAGCTCACTGCAACCACCATCTCCCAGGTTCAAGTGATTCTCCTGCCTCAGCCTCCCGAGTGGCTGGGATTACAGGCATGTGCCACCACACCCGGCTAATTTTGTATTTTTAGTAGAGATGGGGTTTCTCCATGTTGGTCAGGCTGGTCTCGACCTCCCGACCTCAGGCCCGCCTCGGCCTCCCAAAGTGCTGGGATTACAGGCGTGAGCCACTGTGCCCGGCCCCAAAAGAAAGGTTTAGAAAAACCAGTGGGGAAGAGGGAGAGGGAAGGGAAGAATAAGAACAAGAGGAAGAGGGAGGAAAGGAAGAGGAGGGCGAAGTCATTTCTTGGGTCAACTCCAAGCCCTCTGTTCCTCCTCCCCTTTAGGGAGAAGGGGTTTCAGCTGCCAGGCTGTGTGAACAAGTAAGTCACTTGACCTCTCAAAGCCTCCTCTCATCTATAAAATGCAGGACACGCTGCTGAACTACGTGGTCTGAACTCATGTTCAGCTCCACCGTTCACCCACCTGGGGAGCTTCATGTACAAAACTTCCAGATGTCTTTCTTTCTCCCCCTCATCCTCATTCTTGCCCCATCTCCTGTCATTAAAAGAGTATGTGCCACAAACTCCTACCCAAACTAAAAGCCAGGGCTAGAGGTAAGGTTGAAGGGTCTGAAGAAGAGACACAGCAAGGGACTGCCCACCTGAAGGACAAAGCCAGAGGCTCCTGGAGCAGCGCTGACCCTAGACATGGCCTTGACTGACACACAGCACTGACCACTGTGCAGGGAAAAACGTGAACATGTGATGAGTCTCCCGCTTTGGGTTTCTAACCTGAGACTCCTCTTCGCAACCAGAGAGATGGGGAAAGTGTGTAGAGTTGCTTGTGACTAGGCCTGGAAGTTTGCCCATGCTTATTCTACGCAGTCCTTCCCAGAGCATCTGAGAATGAATCATCTGGGGCCCAGAACCTTGCAAAGACAAACTGACTTTGTCTTCCTTCCTATGAGATTTCTCTCATTCTGTCAAAATGTGTCTTCGCGCCAGCCCAGCCCTGAAAATGTGTGACTTTCTAGCATTTTCATTTTTTCTCTATTCTCGAATTGCTACATTCAGTCAGTAGTAATAACAGTCATGATGTAATTATGAGTAAGAATAATGACAGCTACTGTCACCTCCTGAGTCCTATTATGAGTCAGGCACTATGCTGAGTAGTTATGTATTTTTACACATATTCTCTCATTTACATGCTTTTACATCCATTACCTCATTTAACATTCCTACAGCCCATTTTATAGGTGAGAAACCTAACAGAGTGAGGAAGGTACATGTCCAGTGTCACATGGTCAGAAAGAATAGCTCTTTATAAGTAGTCATAATCATAATTCAATCCTCCTTTTCACCTCTAAATCACTGTCATCATCTCTAGAGCTTTTCTCCCTGACCCCAACCTCTCTCCATTTAAACCACCATATATTCAAGCATTGGCTTGCTGAGAAGTCTCCAAAACAAGCAACCCTGGCCGGGGGCAGTAGCTTACGCCTGTAATCCCAGTACTTTGAGAGGCCGAGAGATGGGAGGACCACTCGAGCCCAGGAGTTTGAGACCAACCTGGGCAGCATAGTGAGACCCCCGCTGTACAAAAAGAAATTAAAAATTAGCCGGGTGCTAATTTAGCCAGGATCACACCTGTGATCCCCCTACTCGGAGGGTGAAGCAAGAGGATTGCTTGAGCCCAGGAACTCGAGGCTGCAGTGAACTATGATCATGCCATTGCACTCCAGCCTGGGCAACAGAGTGAGACCCTGTCTCAAAACAAAAAACTAAATAAATAAATATAAAATTGTGGCCACTGCCCTTGGAATGAATAATAATCACACTGACATACAACTAAGAAGTTATGGAATACATTAGGAATGCTGAGGGCACATGGAAAACAGTGACCCATTCTACCTAGTGGGGTTTTAAAATAATTATTTTTAATGTTTAATGCTTTAGGGAAGAAAGCAGGGAGATGAAACATGAAAGATGAACAGGAAATGGTAGGAGATTTTTATGAAGGTAGAAGAGACAGGGCTTTGGGAATGGAAAAGCCCAGGTTAACTCCCAGATTTCTGGCTTAGGCAACTGAGTGGCACCACTGTCAGAGCCTAGAAATACAGGCTTGAAAGGAGAGATGCTAAGTGTAGCTTTGTTGGCTCTTTGATAAATATGCGACCTGCACGTGGAGCTATCCAGGAATAACAAGTCAAAAGACCCAAGTCCTCTTGAGAGTTTCCTCTGAGCCATATATGGTTTCCTTTCTTTTTTCTTTTTTTTTTTCTTTTGAGACAAAGTCTCTCTGTCGCCCAGGCTGGAGTGATGCAATGGCACAATCACAGCTCACGGCAGCTTCGACTTCCTGGGCTCAGGTGATCCTCCTACCTCAGCCTCCTGAATAGCTGGGACAGGTGCGCACCACCACATCTAGCTACTTTTTGTATTTTTTGTAGAGGTGGGGTCTCGCTATGTTGCCCAGGCAGCTCTTCAACTCCTGAGGCTCAGGTGATCTGCCCGCCTCGGCCTCCCAAAGTACTGGGATTACAGGCACAAGCCACTGCTCCTGGCCATATATGGTGTTATTTAATCCTCACAACAACCCTATTATTATGCCTTCCTTTAACAGCTGAGGAAACTGAGGCACAGAGAAATTACATAACTTGCCCAAGATTACATGACTCTTAAAAGCCAGGCTCCTTGACACTGGGTTGTGCTGTCTCTGCACCGTGGGCATATGGGTTGGTGCTCAGGAGAGGTTTGGGCTGTAAGCACAGACTGGCAGTCATCACCTAGAGTGGTATCTGAAGCCTCAAGAGGAGACAAGATCACATGGGAAGCCAAGGACAGAACCATGTGGAGCACCATCTCATCTAGGTAGGAGTCCGCAAAGGAGGTTAAAAAGAAATTATCGGCCGGGCGCAGTGGCTCACACCTGTGAGCCCAGAACTTTGGGAGGCCGAGGCGGGTAGATCACCTGAGGTCAGGCGTTAAGAGACCAGCCTGGCCAGCATGGTGAAACTCCATCTCTACTACAAATACAAAAATGAACCAGGCATGGTGGCTCACGCCTGTAGTCCCAGCTACTCAGAAGGCTGAGGCACAAAAACCGCTTGAACCCAGGAGGCAGAGGCTGCAATGAGCTGAGATCACGCCACTACACTCCAGCCTAGGCAACAGAGTGAGACATGGTCTCAAAAAAAAAAAAAAAAAGAAGCGTATTCGCTCCTTTTTGTCTGTCACGGCAGATCCAGCCCCAGTTTGAGCTTCAAGGCCTTTCTCCAATTAGTCCTCCCACCTATCTCCTCCTTCCTCCCTAACTCCCGTCTCCACCTCCGTGCAAGGCAAGCAAATCTTCCTAGAGTTCTGTATTTTCCATCTGGAAGGGAATTTGGGTTCATTTAAGGTCTTCTCATGCTCTTTGCCTCAACACATGAATTATTCTCCTAACCAGAAAGATCCTCTCCCTCCTATTTATGATCCACTTACCATATTTCTGCAAAACTTTGCCCAAGATTTAACCTCTATCATGAGTTTTTTAAATTATTATCATTATTACTATTAATCCTATGGCCTTTTTTTTTTTTTTTTTTTTAAGACAGGGTCTTGCTCTGTACTCCAGCCTGGGAGTACAGTGGCATGATCTCAGCTCACTGCAGCCTCTGCCTCTCAGGTTAAAGCGATTCTTGTGCCTCAGCCTCCTAAGTAGCTTGGATTACAAGCATGCGCCACCACATCCAGCTAATTATTATATTTTTAGTAGACGCAGGGTTTTGCTATGTTGGCCAAGCTGGTCTCGAACTCCTGGGCTCAAGTGATCCACCTACCTCAGCCTCTCACAGTGCTAGGATTACAGGCGTAAGCCATCACACCTGGACTTGAAATCCTATTGCACTCTAAATGTGTCGATCTCTTCATGGTTTTTACAATTAAATATTTCTTGGCACTCAAGTTTTTCCATATCTTTGTTATATATTACAAATTAATATCACTGCTGAGCTGCCTATCAGACAACAAGCTTCTTTGTGGCATCTATCTCCTAGGAAGATAGGAAGGTGGCGTGAGGCACCGTGCCTGGCCAGACAACAAGCTTCTTAAGAAAATAGAGCAAACTTCTATTTGTTGGTATCCCCCTTACTCTGTACTCTACACAGTGATTGCTGAGCAAATGCTTTGGACTAAGACTGAGTGCTGAATATTTACCCAAAGCAAGTTATTTATTGGCAAGTGTGAGTAATGGGGAGGAAAATTTTTTGGAGATGAATATGTGCTGATGTTAATCCTCGTATTTCTACCCAGGCTGAGTTCTTCTAAGGGAGAAGTCCTACAGAAATCCCTCTGCCCTTGATAAAGGATTATTTATAAATGCAAAGCGTCTACAGGGAAATCTCCAGGATCCCCTATTCTGGGTAGCCATCCCAACTCTGATGACATAAAAGTGATGAATCATGGCAATAACTTATGAATAACATCTGAATAACATCACTGAATTGAGTTTCTATGCAATAATGAGAGAAAATAAGTCATCATAGCACCACAGGCAGATCAAAACAAGTATAACCACGGTGTTCATCCCAATTTCTACACTTCCAGATAGTTCCCTGGGCGTATTACCATCTTCCTGTTACTCTAAACGAAACATGTAGACTTGATTAATGTGAATATAAAATGAAATACTGGAAATCATCTTTTTAAATAAAGCTTAATATTTGAGTGAAGCTTCTAAATCTCTTATGCCCGAATTCAAAGAAATGAAATTTCCAGAAAATAGGAAAATAAAGTGAAGTCCTCTACTAGTATACTATCCTTTTTTTTTTTTTTTTTTTTTGTGAGACAGAGTCTCACTATGTTGCCCAGGCTGGAGTGCAGTGGCGTGATCTCGGCTCACTGCAAGCTCCACCTCCTGGGTTCACACCATTCTCCTGCCTCAGCCTCCCGAGTAGCTGGGACTACAGGCACCCACCACCACGCCCGGCTAATTTTTTTTTTTTTTTTTTTTTTGTATTTTTAGTAGAGACAGAGTTTCACTGTGTTAGTCAGGATGGTCTTGAACTCCTGACCTCGTGATCTGCCCGCCTCAGCCTCCCAAAGTGCTGGGATTACAGGTGTGAGCCACCGCGCCGGCCCTCTACTAGTATACTATCTTAAGGCTCTCAAAGATCCCTTCATTTAAATATCTTATTCTGATACATAAGGGTAATATTCACTGGATCCAACAAGTTCAAAGCTAAACTGATCACCTCTCCTTACAAGCCTATCTTTCAAAGCCCTGAGAATGGCACTACCATCTACTCAGTTGCTAGTAGATCTAAAAATATGATATGATATATACTGTCTAATGCAGAAGGAGATGGAGACAACCAAACCATATAGCCTAAAATTAGATGACAATAACAAGTAACTATTATTACAAGAAATGTAAATGGTAACTATTTTGAAAAAAAAAAAGACTAAACTATATCATACCTAGAAGAACCTAACCTAAAACAAAAAGATACACAAGAGTTAAAAGCAAAAGAACAGAAAGAAATGAAAATAAAAAGAAATACTAACATAATATTTATTTAACAAGTATTATGTGTCAGACACAAAGTTAAGTAAGTTGTTCAAGGTAAAATAATTAAGTAGAAGTTAAGGTTTTAATATCATACAAAGTTGTAATCAAAGCAAAAAGATATTATATTGACCAAAAGGCTTGTTTTATAATAATTAGGGATGCTCTACACTGAAGATAAAACCATCCTGGGCCGGGCACGGTGGCTCACGCCTGTAATCCCAGCACTTTGGGAGGCTGAGGCGGGCAGATCACGAGGTCAGGAGATCAAGACCATCCTGGCTAACACGGTGAAACCCTGTCTCTGCTAAAAATACAAAAAATTAGCCGGGCATGGTGGCGGGCACCTGTAGTCCCAGCTACTCAAGAGGCTGAGGCAGGAGAATGGCGTGAACCCGGGAGGCAGAGCTTGCAGTGAGCCGTGATCGCACCACTGCACCCCAGCCTGGGTGACAGAGCGAGACTCTGTCTCAAAAAAAAAAAAAAAAAAAAAAAACCATCCTAGACTTTTATGCACCAACTAATATAGCACCAAAATACGTAAAACAAAAAGTACTGAAGGCTGGGTACAGAGGCTTACACCTATAATCCCAGCACTTTGGGAAGTGAAGGCAGGAAGATTGCTTGAGCCCAGGAGTTTGAGTCAAGCCTAGGCTACATGGCAAAACCCCATCTCTACAAAAAATTTAAAAATTAGCCAGGTGTAGTGGTGGGTGCCTGTAGACCCAGCTACTCAAGAGTCTGAGGCAAGAGGATCACTTGAGCTTGGGAGGTGGAGGTTACAGTCAGCCAAGATTGTGCCACTGCACTCCAGCCAGGGCAACAGAGCAAGACCCTGTCTCAAAATAAATAAATAACTGCTGAAAATACAAGGAGAACCCAAAGGCAATACTATAGTTGCATGAGACTTTCATACTTCTTTACCAGTCCTTGGCAGATAAAATATACAATATGAATAAGAACATGGTAAAATTGTGTAAATGTTCTATGGATACTTAAATAGAAATATTCTCTATCTTCATATCTTATTAGATCTCCATTACTAATCATATAATTCAGATCCTCTATATCAGTGATCAGCATAGATTTTCTATAAAGGGCCAGGTTATAAGCAATTTAAGACTCTGCAAGCCACACATTTGTAGCATGAAAGCAGCATAGATGATACATAAACATATGAGCATTGCTGTGTTTTAGTAAAATAGTGGATTACAGGTTGTGGCTCATGCCTATGATCCCAGCACTTTGGGAGGCCGAGGCAGGCAGATCACCTGAGGTCAGGAGTTTGAGACCAGTCTGGCCAACATGGTGAAACCCTGTCTCTACTAAAAATACAAAAATTACCCAGGCGTGGTAGCGGGCGCCTGTAATCCCAGCTACTTGGGAGCCTGAGGCAGGAGAATGGCTTGAAACCTTGAAACCGGGAGGCAGAGGTTTCAGTGAGCCGAGATCACGTCACTGCGCTCCAGCCTGGGCAAGAGCGAGACTCCATCTCAAAAAAACGAAAACAAAAACAAAACAAAACAAAACAAAAATCACTTTATTTACAGAAAGAGGCTATAGGCCATATTTGGTCCATGGACCATAGTTTGCCATCTCTACTCTATTATGATTGCTTAATAGGAACTATGGTCCATGGTCCAAATGGAACATTTGCCAAAAATGAGCATATTTAGAATACAAAGACAAATCTGGAATTAGAAAATAAGAAATGTGCAGACCATATAGTCTGACCACAGTGCAATAAAAATGAGAATAAAAGAAGCAAACACCCTGAACTACTCAGGAAGTCAAAGATTCCTCAAGCAAAAATACTCCTCAATTTATTGTTTACTATACCACCATATTAATTCCTCAGCTTAATCTTGGGACTTTAAATAGTAGTGGACCCAGAATGAGAAGAATAAAATCACGCCGTCAAAATTGTTCTTCATACCCTGTTGTCTTCGATTACCATTCAAGACTAGAATACAAAAAAGCCAGTTCTAAAGGGAACTTCCAAGGCGACGTGTGCAGATGGAGAGGGGCCAGAATCGAAACACAGGAGGGGAAACTGGGGGCCTCCCCAAGACCCCTATGAGGAACTCAGGCCCAGCCCCTTGCCTGATCACAGTTCCATGTTCCTGCGGAGCTGGGAGGAGAAATCAGTCTTCCTGACTCAAGGTTGAGAGCTCTTCCCGGGAAACCAAAGGGTTCTGCTCATTCCATTCTGCCCTTGAGGCACTCACCTCTCCACGCCCTTGGAGAGGTCCCTTGTTTCCCACGTAGCGCCTCTCCCGGCCCTTCCTTCCCCTCATTCCTTCCCTCACCTAGCAGACACCGGCATGCAAACCTGGAGGGTGTGTGCCCCCTCCGCCCTCACCCCTCCCGTGGTCCCTAGCCCATTGTGTCTGAAGTAGCTGAAGTGTTCCCCTTCAGGAATGAACCCACAGCAGTGGCTGATTCGGCCGAACCCTTCAACAGGTGTGGTGTTTACACAAGCCTCTGAGGAGACAATCAGGAATGGAAAGAAGTCAGGAATGGAAAGTCCTTCAAATTCCTTGATTCTGAGCAGGTTTCAGCTGTTAGCTAGCCTTTCCCATGGATGTTTAAAGCTATCTGTGGCCGGGCGCGGGGGCTCACACCTGTAATCCCAGCACTTTGGGAGGCTGAGGCGGGCAGATCACCTTAGGTCGGGAGTTTGAGACCAACCTGACCAACATGGGGAAACCCCGTCTCTACTAAAAATACAAAATTAACCAGGAGTGGTGGTGCATGCCTGTAATCCCAGCTACTCGGGAGTCTGAGGCAGGAGAATCGCTTGAACCCGGGAGGTGGAGGTCGCGGTGAGCTGAGATCGCAACATTGTACTCCAGCCTGGGCAACAAGAGTGAAACTCCATCTCAAAAAATAAAATAAAGCTATTTGCCAGCCTTCCCCATGGATGTTTAAGGGACCAGATGGAACAGCATCTATGCTATTCCCAAATCCTATCCATAAAGTCGGTAGTGGAAGGTGCACTCTCAGCGCACATTCAACTTTCATCTGTCCCAGGTTTCTGAGCAACTCAAGGCACACCAGAGTGGAACTGACCGCCCACACATCAAGAGAAAAGGGATGGGCTTCTAGATCTAATTCCCAAAACTCAGAAGGGCTTTTTGCAGCATCTGGGTAAAATAGTAGCTGTCACCGTGTCCTCCCTCCTGCCCCTGCCCCTTGTTTCCCACTCCCCCTCCACTCCCAGTACCTTCGGGTCCTCTGAGATCTTTCTCCCTCTATTCTTTTCCTGCAGAGTGATCCCAGAGCTGCTCACCTCCTGCCTGGCCGGATTCCATCTACTCAAAGTTTGTAGAATGTGTCCGAGCAGAAACTATTACCCTGATTATCTCTTTGCTCTCTGCCTCTATCTTAGCCTAGGAAACCCGCAAAGGGGAAAAAAAAAAAAAAAAATCTGAGTTGTTAAACTAGAGGAACTGTTTCCTAGGGAATTTTTTTCTCATAGCCAACTGTATTCCATTACCAGGATTTCTCTCCTCTTCTATCCCACCCCTCCCAACGCCCCGCTCTCCCCAGACGATTTAAATCCGGAGGCCCCAGCGCTCTGGGCTCCTGGCGCCTCACTTACCCTAGTGCCAAGGCGTTGGCCGTGAACTTGGTGCTGCTTCCCGCGCGCAAGAGGGCAGCAGGCGAGCTCCTCAGTGCTGGGGGAGACCTTGGACAGCTATCCCGCCCTCGCACTCTGAGCAGTTGTTATAAAGGCGGCCCTCGCCGGAGGGAGGGAACGAGCGAGGGGTGAGCAGAGGGACAAGGAGGGGGAGGGTCGAGGGAGAGGACACGCCTATTCCAGTTCCACGGCACTTCATGCTGTTATGAAAATAAAGTCCCCGTGCCAGGGAATGACCCAAAAACCGTCTGACGTCAGAGGCACAGTCACCCCTGGAAGCTGGGCGGGGGTGACCACCCGGCCCTGCCCAGCGCATCGGACTCCTCCGAGACGTGCTCACGCGCTGGTCCCAGGGCGCCGGCTACGAGAGGGGAGCCGGAGCAGACCAGCTCCTTACGGGCCCCGCCAGCTGTCACCTCCCGGGGGAGCCACACCCGCCTCCCCGCAGGCACTCGGGTCCACCCGGGGCAAGGGCCCAGCCCGCGAGATTGCAGCAGCTCCGCCGTCAAGTCCAGCGGGACAAGCCAGCCTTCCTCCACTTTCTTTGACCTTAGCTTAGCCTTTCTCTCCATCACTCTCCCCCAGCCACTGCCGTATGGGAAGCCAGGCTTCAGAAAAAGGAGGCAGCCACCTTCTCAGGGCTCCCCAGCCAAAGCCACGTGAAAGCCAAGGAAAACTTCCCCCACCAGGTCCGTAGTTAGCTCAGCAGCTCCACCTGTCAGAGTCTAGACAGGCACCATTAGTGCTGCCCTGGGGCTGAGAGATCAGTATCTCTCCTTTCCTAACTGCCTCTCCTAAAGCCTCGACAATGCAGGCTGATTGAACGGGGGCGCCAGATGAAATTATGAAATGAAGGAATTTGCTTTGGTGCCTGGTTTCCCCTCCCTCCACTGCCCACTCCTCTTCCAGGATCAAGCCAATCGGACCGAAACTCGTCTTTGTTTACGTGTGGAACGATCCTGGAGTGGCTGCCCGCCTGTGTCGGGGCTCAAGCCAGGTTCTACCCCATGCCACGGGGAGGCAGGAGGGACTCTGTTTTTAAAGTGGTTATCAGCGCGCTTGGTAAACTAATCTGGATTATTCTGCATATGAAGAAATGGGGGAAGGCCCAGGGCTCCCCAGCTTTCTCTTCACTTCTCCCCACACCCCAAGTCTCCAGAGCCTAAAGTGCTTTTAAAATGTGACCTACTGGAGACTGTGACCCCACCATTGTTAGGTTTTTATTTCACTCCCAAAAAACCACAGGCAGTGCCTTGAGTGTTGGAACACTTTGAGGTATGCAGCCCAGGGGTCTGTGAGTCCACCCATTTCACACCTAAGACTCCCAGGGGTGTGTGTGGCAGAGTGGGGGTGGGTACTGAGAGACTGGTGGGACTGCAAATGACAGTGCTTTATAGTGTGTGCCATCCGCTAAGTCAGGGCTTCTCTCCGGACCCCAGCGTTCTCGTCTGTTCAAGAAGTTGAACTAGACTACCATTGTACAATAGAACTATAATTCAAGCCACAAACATAAGCCACATTTGTTTTTTATTTTTTGTGTGTTTTTTCTTTTTTAGACAAGGTCTCGCCGTCACCCAGGCTGGAGTACAATGGCACAATCGGCTCACTGCAGCCTCAATCACCCAGGCTCAAGCTATCCTTCCACCTCAGCCTCCCAAGCACCCAGGACCACATGTGTGCATTACCACACCTGGCTAATTTTTTTGTTTGTTTCTTGTTTGAGACACTCTCACTTTGTCACCCAGGCTGGGGTGCAGTGATACCATCATGGCTCACTGTAAGCCTTTACCTCCCAGGCTCAAGCAGTCTTCCCGCCTCAGCCTCCCAAGTAATTCTTTTTATTATTTATAGAGACAAGGTCTCGCTGTGTTGCACATGCTGGTCTCAAACTCCTGGGTTCATGCCATCCTCCAGCCTTGGCCTTCCAAAGTGCTAGGATTACAGGTGGGAGCCACCACACCTGGCCCACATATGTCATGTTAAATTTCTAGCCACATTAAAAGAAGTACAAAGAAACAGGAAAATTAATTTTAATAACACTGTATATTTTTTACCCAAATATGATCCCAAATATGATCATTTCAACATGTAATCAATATTTTTAAAAATATTAAGGGGCTATTTTACTTCTTTGGTTTCCAACTATATCCTCAAAAACCCAGTGTGTCTTTTATATTTAAAGCACCTGTCAGTGTGGACCAGCCACATTTCCATTGCTCAAAAAGTGTGTGTGGCTTGTGGCTACCACACTGGATAGTGAGGACTAGTTGTCCCTGGTGGCTCTTCCAGCACGGAGTCTGAATCACCATGTCTAGGGTGAGTTTCATGACATCGAGCAAAAGACGTCAAGTCTGAGGATGGTGAAAGAACAAAGATGATGTGGTTTTGGGGATCCTACCCTATCTCTACACCCCCTCCCCAGGACCACATTCCCATTAGGTCCTCCTAATGAGAATGTGATGAGTGTATTTGATCTTTCCTTTGTTCACTGTTCTCTGGATGGTATCTGTCTGGCAGGTCCAGGGTGTGTGAGACAGAGAGCATGTGTGGGGATGCTTGTTCTGAACCTGTCTTCAGTCATTGCTCTTCACTTTGCTATTGGCTTTGTTTGTTGTTGTTGTTATTCTTAGAGACAGTGTTTCACTATGTTGCCCAGGCTGGAGTGCAATGGCTATTCACAGGCCACCATAGCTCACTACAGCCTCCAACTCCTGGGCTCAAGCCATCCTCCTGCCTCAGCCTCCTGAGTAGTGCCATTGACTTTGGATGTCCCACCTTGTCCTCTTAGTACTCTCTTTTCTACTCTCCTCTTAACCTCTTGGTCTCCTCCTATCCCTTTATGGAGACACCTGCCTGCACAAAGCCAGGACTAGATGAGGCCAATGAGGCAACCAGAGCACAGATTTCAAGGAGGCACTCCACAACTTTAAGAGTGAGTGCCCCTTTAAATCCTGAGCTCTAGTCCCCTTGCTTGCCTCTCCCAGTCCCGGCCCTGCACCTGTGTCCCTGGGGGCTGGCTCTCTGGAAGAAGACAGGGAGGACTAGGGCAGGTGGAATAGCTGAGTGATTCTGGGGTATCTGAGTGATTTTGAGATGCCCCAGAGGAGAAGAAGGACAGGACCAGTAGATGGAATCATTCACTTCCTAGGTCTCTCATCCTATTAAAATGGTCTGCAGACCAAGGTTGAGGGTTCTTGGGAATAAATGAAAGAAACAGTAGGACGGGGGTCTGGAGACCCATGTTTCACTCCCAACTCTAGTTATCATCCTTAGAGTGTCACCCGGTTGAAAGTGATGGGTAGCTTTGTTGAGCAACACAGAAGAAAGCTCACCAGACTGGAAATGAGGAGAGGAGAAGAGAGAGCCCCACAATAAGGGCGCCATGTTCCCCCAAAAAGAGAGGCTGATCTGATGGTGTAGAGGACCTTCATTCAGCTGCAAGGCCAGCAACGTGTGGGCAGGGGTTAGGGGGCCTATGGCCCAAGATCACGGGCCTGGGTCTGCCTCATTCAGGAAGTCCCAGAACTCAGTCCCTGCTGACCCCTTCCCTTCTGATGTCCACCAACCATCACCACCGAGATCCCCACTCTTGATTGCAGGAAGGAAGCAAGAAAAGAGACGGCTCTGCCAGTGCCCTGATCCTGACCCCCTTCCTAATGCCGCCTTGGAATTCCCGGCTGCAGGACCTCAGGCCTGGGGCTTCCCCTTTCTCTCCCTTTGCTTTTTTACTGGCAGGATGGAAGGTGCTACTTGTTCCCTTCCCTGACCTCAATTAAATCTCATATAAGAAGTACCTGAGTTGGTTGGAGGAAGGCGGAGAGGAATTCCATTTCCTTAGGTTATTACTTTATTGGAGCTGCTAGTGTCGGTGAACCACAGCTCCTGCCAGGTTCCTGCTAATAGTGGTTCTTCCATTCAATCACTGGAAGCATTTGAGAGCCACCTAAGCACCATGCATTGTAGGGAATACAACAGAAGTACGAGAAAGACCATACTCGATCTTTATCCTCTGAAGGGAATGTCCGTTTATTGAGTGAGTCATTTAGCAACTATAAATGGTCTTCTATGTAACTCTGCTGGAGAATCAAAAGAAAACTGCATTTAAGAAGCTCAGTGTGGGCCGGGCACGGTGGCTCACACCTGTAATCCCAGCACTTTGGGAGGCGGAGGCAGGTGGATCACCTGAGGTCAGGAGTTCAAAACCAGCCTGACCAACATAGTGAAACGTCGTCTCTACTAAAAATACAAAAAAATTAGCTAGGTGTGGTGGTGCATGCCTGTAATCCCAGCTACTTGGGAGGCTGAGGCAGGAGAATCACTTGAACCTGGGAGGCAGAGGTTGCAGTGAGCCAAGATCGTGCCATTACCCTCCAGCCCGGTCAATAAGAGTGAAACTCCATCTCAAAAAAAAAAAAAGAAGAAGCAGCTCAGTCTGGTGGAGAGATGGGCAGTAATCAAACAAAAACAATGCATTGTGGGCCAGGCGCGGTGGCTCATGCCTGTAATCCCAGCACTTTGGGAGGCCGAGGCAGGCGGATCACGAGGTCAGGAGATCGAGACCATCCTGGTTACCACGGTGAAACACCATCTCTAATAAAAATACAAAAAATTAGCCAGGCGTGGTCAAGGGCGCTTGTAGTCTCAGCTGCTACTCAGGAGGCTGAGGCAGGAGAATGGCGTGAACCCGGGAGGCGGAGCTTGCAGTGAGCTGAGATCGTGCCACTGCACTCCAGCCTGGGCGACAAAGCAAGACTCCATCTCAAAAAAACAAAAACAAAAAAAAACCAAAAAAAAAAAACAATGCATTGTGTGAGGTGTCACACCAGAAAAAATGCACAAGGACCACGGTCAGGCACAAAAAGCTGCAGTCAATACTCACCCCGGAATTCAGAGTAGGCACTACTGAGGCAGGGAGGCTTAAAGGATGAGTTAAGGCTTTTCAGATGGAGAAGAGAAGAGGGGCAAGGATCAGGAAGGGCATTTCATGCAGAGGGGGCAGAATGCACAGAAGCACAGAGGCATGTGTCAGCCCTGCCTGTTAAGAAAGTGTGAGCACACACCGGGCATAGTGGCTCATACCTGTAATCCCAGACTTTGAGGCAGGAAGATTTCTTGAGTCCAGGAGTTCAAGACCAGCCTAGACAATGTAGTGAGACCCTCCTCACTACAAAAATTAAAAAAAAATTAGCCAGGCCTGGTGGCATACACCTGTAATCCCAACTACTCAGGAGGCCAAGGTAAGAGGATCACTTGAGCCCAGGAGGCTGAGGCTGCAGCGGGCTATAGTGGTGCCACTGCACTCCAGGCTGGGCAACAGAGCGAGACTCTAAGAAAAAAAAGAAAGAAAGTATGAGCACAACCTGTGGGCAAGAGGAGAGGCATCTGGCCAGTGTCCAGTGGCCAGCTTGAGTCTGGAGTCCCAGACTCAGAAGCAGAGGGGCACTGAAGGCATGAAGTAGGGATGGTCACAATGCCATGTGTGAGAGGAAGAGCCATTCCTGTGGCCCTAAATCCAATAACTGGTGTCTTTATAGGAAGAGAGATACAGAGACACAGAGGAGACAGACACACAGAGAAGGCCTTGGGAAGACAGAGGCAGAGCCTGGAGTGATGCTGCTACAAGCCGAGGAACCCAAGACTGAAGGCATGGGATGCTTCTCCTTCAGAGCCTCCAGAAGGAACCTACCCTGCCTACACCCTGATCTTGGACTTGCACCCTCCAGAACTATGAGGCAATACGTGTTTTTGCTGTTTTAAGCTGCCCTGTTTTTTGTACTTTGTTACAGCAACAATACACCTTTGAAATGTACACCTTTGAAATTTTTGCATATGCCAGCATGTGACATGCTAAAAAGAGTCCACCTAGCACAGCAGGAGTCTCTAGGGCTTCATCTCCAATGCCTTGGTTTCATCCCCCGCCCCTCCCTGCCGCCCCCCCGCCCCACACCCAGTCCCCAGGTGGAATGGAGACAGGAGTGGCACGTGCAGAGGGCAAACACGTGCCTGCTGAGTGAGAGATGACACCTGAAGCCCCGGAATGCAGTCTGTAGGGAACCCTTGCGGTCAGGAGGCTGGCCAGCCCCAGCGCTGCCTCTCAGGGGGCCTCTCATTGTTATCAGGCTATTTTAAAAACTTCCCCACCTTCTCTGGGATGGACTTTAAGATTGCACTCATTCCCAGGGTCTTAACTCCAAGGAAATTCATAAACCGAAGCCCCTTCGCTGAAACCAGAGAGGTGCTACCAGTAACCCCACGGCTGGGTTAGAGAATCCCATTAAGTACGCAGGCTGGTTCAGTGACATGAAACCCAGCGCAGTTGTGGGATTCTCCTTCCCACTCCATGAATCTCCTCTGACTTCTCTCGCTCTCTCTCTGAGGCTGTCTCAGGGCAGGGAGGGGAGCCAGTGGCTAGGAAGGCTCATACCTCAGCCTCATTTTTGATCAGGCCTCATAAATCAGTCTGTTCTTCTGGTTCTTGCTGCTTAAAAGCCTTTGCCTGACCTAGAGGCAGTAATTGGGAGTGAACTTGAACATTGGAGTTAGGAAGAACTGGCTTGAACCCTACTCAACAGCATGATGGTCTTTTTCCTCATCTAAGGAAAGGGCACTCACCACACTGAATTCACAGGGTTGTGGTGAGCATCAGATGTAATTTACATCTAGCACTCAGGAGATTTTCAGTAACATTTACTCACCCGCTTTTGGATTTCTGACATCAAAGGCAAGAAGGAAGGTAGCTTCGTGAATCGGCACATAAAGACAGGCGGTGGAGCTGGCAAAACTGCCTTCCAGCCTCTCCCCTTGGTCAGGCCTCATCCTCACTTCCTCCTCCACAAACACTCCTATGCTTTCTTTTTTTTTTTCTCGCTCTGTCACCCAGGCTGGAGTGCAGTGGCGTGACCTTGGCTTACTGCAGCCTCCACCTCCCAGGTTCAAGCAATCCTCCTGCCTCAGCCTCCCGAGTAGCTGGGACTACAGGCGTACGCCACCACGCCCAGCTAATTTTTTGTATTTTAGTAGAGATGGGGTTTCACTGTATTGCCCAGGCTGGTCTCGAACTCCTGAGCTTAGGCAATCTGCCCACCGCTGTTGTGATATTGTAAAGGCTTATGGGATCAGTTTTGGGGTGAATATTTGAAACTGGGATGATCCCTTAAAATGTTATAATCTCTTACTTTCCCCAGCAGAATTCTGGAAGTGCTTTCTCATTAATTCTCTTTCCTACTTCACGGTAAAATCACTCGTGCTGGTGCGGCTGAGTGGGATGGAATGGAACACCCTGACGGTGAGGCAAGAGTCTGGTGACACATCAGGTGTTAGGATATAGAAGTTAACATGAAGTTTGCCAATCCCCAGAGGAGTTTAGAATAAATCAATCATCATTTATCCAAAAAGGGAAAATATCACAGAAGCACAAATGATAATATTTTCTATCTCTTTTTTTTTTTCTTTTTTTGACAGTCTCGCTCTGTCACCCAGGCTGGAGTGCAGTGGTACAATCTTGGCTCACTGCAACCTCCGCCTCCCAAGTTCAAGAGATTCTCCTGCCTCAGCTTCCCGAGTAGCTGAGACTACAGGTGCACGCCACCATGCCCGGCTAATTTTGTATTTTTAATAGAGACGGGGTTTCATGTTGGCCAAGCTGGTCTCGAACTCCTGACCTCAGGTGATCCACCCGCTTCGGCCTCCCAAACTACCGGGATTACAGGCGTGAGCCATCCCATCCTGCCTCCATCTTGTTTTTATCCTCTATGGCACCATCTTGCACAAGTTTGAAGTCATAGGCTTTTTTCACAATAGTTCACAGGTGAGATGATTCACTTAGAGTTCCAGTATAGAACACAAATTCCTTGCTCTGCCTTCAAGCCACAACATTTATCCCCCAGCAAATAAAAGAAGGTGAGAGAAATGAAAACACTTCTACTCTCATTGACTGGAACAATCCAGAATTTCAATATAGGGTGACAAGGAACACCTTCACTTTTGAAATTGTTCTCAAATAAACTTGCTTTATTTGCTCTCAGATCTTGCTCTCAGATCTCCTGTATCCCTAAGGGGCTGGGCTGGGCTAAGACCTGTAAAAAGAAAAGTACATTGTCTGAAATTTACTTGATGAGTCAGTGGAACACAGAAAAGCATTTCTACCAAGATAAGAAGGTCAGTAAACAAAGTTAATTCTCCCCCGAGCATAGAGGAAATATTTGGCTTTTCAGTGCAGACTGGCCTGAGGTTTTTAAATATGTTCTTTGTTGTTTTTTTTTTTTTTTTTTTGAGACAGAGTCTCGCTCTGTCGCCCAGGCTGGAGTGCAGTGGCGTTTTCTTGGCTCACTGCAAGCTCTGCCTCCCGGGTTGACACCATTTTCCTGCCTCAGCCTCCTGAGTAACTGGGACTACAGGCACCCGCCACCACGCCTGGCTATTTTTTTCCATTTTTAGTAGAGACGGGGTTTCACCATGTTAGCCAGGATGGTCTCGATCTCCTGACCTGGTGATCCGCCCGCCTCGGCCTCCCAAAGTGCTGGGATTACAGGCATGAGCCACCGCGCCCGGCCTTAAACACGTTGTTTAATACAGCCTCACTCATGGTTTCCTGAGGCATCTGAAGAATGAAACACCTCAGGGAAGACAGAGGTAAGAACCAAGTATTGATTGAAGTCGTACTGTGTGCTAGCTCTCCTTTTGAGTACAAAAGGACTATGGAGAACTGTTCATGTATTCTCTCTACAAACTTGTATAAACCAACTACTGCATGCCAGGTATGGCTAGTGTTTTAGATGAAACTGAATCAGTAAATAAACAAACAGGCCACCTTCAAATAAAAAAAAATCACCTTTGCATCAAAGTGTCCTTAGTCTCCTCTCTTGGGTTAGAAAATCCGATTACCACCTTGTGCTGCCTGTTCTTTTGGTTGCTAAGTTTATTTGGTGTGTTGGTAGGGGAATCCCAAGGAAAAAAGTCAAAAGGGATAGGGGTGGGAAGAGACAGGCTCAGTCTGCTCTCCCAGGCCATGGCTGAGTCTATTCTAGCCTTGTCCCAGATATGGGCCAGTGGCGCCAGCAGACACAAGATATTGCCTGGGTTCTTTAGGTTTTTTTCCCTACCCCGAGATGGGGTCTCACTCTGTTGCCCAGGCTGGAGTGCAGGGTACGATCATGGCTCACTGCAGCCTCGACCTCCCAGACTCAAGCAATCCTCCCACCTCAAGCTCCAGAGTAGCTGGGACCACAGGCACCCACCACCACACCCAGTTAATTTAAAAAAAATTTTTTTGAGACGAAGTTTCACTCTTGTTGCCCAGGCTGGAGTGCAATGGCACAATCTCAGCTCACCATAACCTCTGCATCCCAGGTTCAAGCAATTCTCCTGCCTCAGCCTCCCAAGTAGCTGGGATTACAGGCATGCACCACCAGGCCAGGCTAGTTTTGTATTTTTAGTAGAGACGGGGTTTCTCCATGTTGGTCAGGCTGGTCTTGAACTCCTGACCTCAGGTGACCCACCTACCTCAGCCTCCCAAAGTACTGGGATTACAGGTGTGAGCCACCATGCCCGGCCAATTTTTTAAAATTTTTAATAGAGACGGAGTCTCCCAATGTTGCCCAGGTGGTCTCAAACTCCTGGGCTCAAAGAATCCTTCCTCCTCCACCTCGCAAAGTGGAGCCACCGTGCCTGGCCTGATATCTTCTGTTTAACGGGCTCATTCCAAAGACAACACAGACCCCAACCCAGAGTGAAACTCCTGCAGAGAGACTCTAGGCTGCTGCTAAGGAAACACCCCAGAGCCCCACCATCAGGGACACACTGCAGTGGCAACTCCGAACCACCCTGGCCTGCGGCAGGGGGGCGGCAGAACAAGGGTGCCATTGGACTCTCCACTCACCCACGAGTCATTTCCTTATTTCTCTTGTACTACGCAAAACCACGACTGCCTGAAATGCCTTTTCAAGAAATTGATGGGTGTGGCCTTGGGAGGGAACAGTGTAAATAGGGCCTGACAAAGGTGGGTATTGAGGAGAGAAGAGATCTTACGGGGAAGCGGGAGAAGACCAAGCCACCTTCATCTTGCTAAAGATGAGGGCCCCAGAAGTATGACCACTTGGTTTCCCATAACCAAGGCACGTCTAGATCCCCTGAGAAAGAATTTTTGAATTGAGACCTATGGGAATTCTATTTTCCATTGTAAAGAAGTATGGCTGTCTTCCCACAAAATCATAACAGTACGTGTGTGTGTGTGTCTGTATGCAGAGAGAGAGAATGTTTCATGGTTTTCAAAAGATTTTCTACATGGTGTCCCGTGTAATTCTCACAGCATAACCATAATGTCAATACAACCATATATAGCAAGAGCCTGGAAGTTGGCTGAGCCTGGAGTTGGCTAAGCCTGAATGCCAATTGCAGCTCATTCTTTAAATAGTTATATGACCTGGGGCCAACTATTTAACCTCCTCCTTAGCTGTAAAATGGGTATAATAAGACTTGCTTTGCAGTAATATTAAACACATCAGCAATTATATTGGGGGTGGGGGAACAGGGAGGAAATAGCTTAGTGTCTGGCTCATGATATGGCATCAATAAGTAGTAGCATTAGATGGGAATAAGCTTGACCAGTGAAAAAACTGAAGTTCAGAGATACGGAATGATGTGTCTTAGGTCCCAATTCGGGTTGACTGGGGAGGCAGGACTAGAACCCAGGTCTCTAGACTCTTGTTCCTAGCATCCAGCTGCTATAGCACCCTAATTCCCACTTTAGTACCTGCCCAAGGATAACATTTTAGATAGCAAACTCTGCCATCCTGCATTTTGTTTTCTTTTTCTTTTTCTCTTTTGAGACAGGCTCTCGCTCTGTCACCCAGGCTCGAGTGCAGTGGCGCAACCTCAGCTCACCACAACCTCAGCTCACCACAACCTCAGCTCACCACAACCTCCATCTCCTGGGTTCAAGCCATCCTCCCGCCTCAGTCTCCCTAGTAGCTGGGACTACAGGCTTGCGCCACCACACCCAGCTAATTTTTGTATTTTTTGTAGAGTCGGGGTTTCATCATGTTGCCCAGCCTGGTCTCAAACTCCTGAGCTCCAGTGATCCACCCACCTCGGCCACCCAAAGTGCTGGGATTACAGGCATGAGCCACCGCGCACGGCCTAATTCTGCATTTCTTTTCTTTTCTTTTCTTTGGAGACGGAGTCTCGCTGTATCACCCAGGCTGGAGTGCAGTGGTGCGATCTCAGCTCACTGCAAGCTCCGCCTCCCGGATTCTAGCAATTCTCCTGCCTCAGCCTCCCGAGTAGCTGGAACTACAGGCACACGCCGCCACGCTCGCTAATTTTTTTTTTTTTTTTTGTATTTTAGTAAAGATGGGGTTTCACCAGATTCTGCATTTTTTTAGTCCTGCATTTTCTGCTTTCACCCAAAGGAAAAAAAAAATGAAAGAAATGTTACACTTGAGCTCAGAGACCAAGGCTCCCTATCTTCTGTAGTGCAGGGTTCATAACCTGGTGCCAATGACTGAATTGTGCCCCTCTAAAATTCACATCTGAAGTTTCAACCCCCAGTGTGATGGTATCAGGAGGTAGGGCTTTTAGGAAGTAATTAGATTTAGATGAGGTGATAAGGGTAGGATCCTTATGATAGGGGTTAGTGCCCTTAGAAGACACCAGAGAGCTTCCTCATTCTCTCTCTCTCTCTCTCTCTCTCCCTCTCTGTCTCTGTCTCTCTCTCTCTCTCTCTCTCCATATATATATATATCGTCCTTCTCATGCAAAGAAGAGGTCACGTGAACACACCAAAAAGATGGCCATTGTCCATGAGCTGGAAAGAGAGCCCTCACCAGAACCCAGCCATCCTGCACCCTGATCATGGACTTCTAGCCTCGAGAATTGTGAGAAAATAAATCTCTGTTATTTGACTACCTGTGCTATGGCATTTTGTTATTGCAGCCCCAGCAGACTAAGACACCTAGTGTCCATGGACCACACACACACACACACACACACACAGAGGGACTCAAGGATGGGCCTCAAGTTAAGAACCTTCTCCCTTGTGGTCAGAAATATATTATTTGAGTTCCGGAAATCCAGACAAGTCTGGACAACATAGCAAGACTTCATCTCTACTAAAAATCAAAAAAAGCTAGGCCGGGCACGGTGGCTCACGCCTGTAATCCCAGCACTTTGGGAGGCCGAGGCAGGCGGATCATGAGGTCAGGAGTGTGAGACCAGCCTGGCCAACATGGTGAACCCCCATCTCTACTAAAAATACAAAAATTAGCGGGGCATAGAGTCATGCTCCTGTAGTCCCAGCTACTAGGGAGGCTGAGGCAGGAGAATGGCGTGAACCCAGGAGGCGGAGCTTGCAGTGAGCCAAGATTGTACCACTGCATTCCAGCCTGGGCAACAGAGCTAGACTCCGTCTCAAAAAAAAAAAAAAAAACTAAAAATCAAAAAAATTAGCTAAGTGTGGTGGTACATACCTGTGGTTCCAGCTACTCCCAAGACTGAGGCGGGAGGACCACCTGAGCCTGGGAGCTCAAGTCTGCAGTGAGCTGTGATCATGCCACTGCACTCCAGCCTAGGCACAACCCCAAGAAAGAAAAGAGAAGAAAAGAGAGCATTTTCCATGCCCATGGCTTTCATCACGTTCTCAAAGGAATCCATAGAGAGTAAAAAGGTTAGAAGCACTATGAACCTGTATCCCTTCACCTGTGTACCTGCCAGCATAGGCCAGGTTTGCCTTAGAAGGTGCACCTGGCTGTTGATGTTAAAGGCTGCCTCTCCAGGTGACACAAAGGGGCTGGTAGGGATAGGCCAACACAGGGCAGAGGAAGACAGGGCCCATCCAGGGGGAAAAACATTTCCCTATGTCAGTTTTTGTTTTTGTTGTTCGTTTGTTTAGACAGAGTTTCACACTGTCCCCCAGGCTGGAGTGCAATGGCATGATCTCAGCTCACTGCAACCTCTGCCTTCCCGGTTCAAGCAATTCTCCTGCCTCAGCCTCCTGAGTAGCTGGGACTACAGGCGCGCACCACCATACCTGGCTAATTTTTGTATTTTTAGTAGAGACGGGGTTTCACCATGTTGCCCAGGCTGGTCTGGAACTCCCGACCTCAAGTGATCCTCCCCCCTCAGCCTCCCAAAGTGCTGGGGTTACAGGTGTGAGCCACTGTGCCTGGCCCCTATGTCAGCTTTTTATCGGAAGCCTATTTGCTTACTGCAGGAAAAAATATATATATTTTATCTATAGACAGTAGGATTTTTTTTCCCTTTCACTAAAATACACCATGGAATAGTCATCAGAAGGAAACTTTTGTTTTTAACCAGTATTGTTTCTCTTTCATGATAATGACATCTGATATCCAGAGCTTTTACAGTTTCCAAAGCCCTTGTGCTTGCTTTGTCTTGTTTTTAATCTTTACAGAAACTCTGCAGAGCAGATGCTATTAGCCTCATTTTATAGATGAGGAAAGAAGCTTGGAGAGGTTAAGTTACCATTAGAAAGCGGTGCGGCACCACCCGGCCCAGCCCTGACTGCAGAGCCAAGTAGTCTTTGCTGCATCCCTCTGCCTCCAGAGAGGCCCTCTGGCCCTGCAGGTGGCTTTAACATTAGAGGCTGTGGCCCCTGCCATCTCTCCCCCTAGAGAACTGTGCGGAGGCCCCCGCCCTGCTGAGCTCATTTGCAGCTAATGTTGCCCTGAGGCCTTGGTAAGTTACACAGTCTGCTTTTTAGACTGTTAGGTTTGGCAGGGACTGCGGCTCTGCCCTTAATTTCTCTTTCCCAAGTGAAAATAGCTGATGAATTGACTTCGCTGAGCCGGGCTGGCATCTCTTAGCAAATGTCTCCATTCACAGCTTGTTTTCCATAATTCATGTTTGGTGCTATTATTGTATTTCTACCCATTCCGAGATGTAGAACAGAACTATCAAATGGCCGTGTCTTTATTTGCTATTAGTCAGGGACTTCATTTCTCGGGATCCAGCTCACCTGTAATCTCAGGGCTTCTGGCAGGCAAGGCTACTCTTGTCTAGAACAAGCTGGGAAGGAGATGCTCTCAGTGCCAGGCCTCCTGCTCTCCTCCCCAGTTCCACCCCACTAATTCCAAGTCCTTCCCCATATCTCCTCTGTCCTCTGAGCACCTTCTTCTCACTTCTAACCTGCTCTTGTTTACACTAACAACTTCTGTTGAGCACCTTCCTTATTCCAGCGCTTTATAGTCATTATCCAAACCCATTTTATGCTCCCAGGAAGAAGCTGATAAGCATATTCATGGCAAGGTTTATAAGACAGATAAGGTTTAATGGGCTAAACCCAGGGCACTTTAGAGGAAACCAGAGACCTTCCAGCATTGTAAGCCAGGTGAGGAAAGAAATGTATGCCTCGGTTTAGTTTTGGTTGACTGGCAGTTTCTTCCTATAAGACCTTGAATTGTGTTAAGGATTCACCTGTTCCTCTTTTGCAAGACTGTCTGGCAAGTGTCACTACTCATTTCAGTTCAGTGCAGTGCTATATATTAAGCATCTATTATGTGCAGGGCATTGCACTAATGTGGCAATACAAAGATCTCTGCACAAAGGAGGCTCCCGGACTCCTGGAACTAAGGAAAGGTAATAATGACATTTTTCAGAGGAGATTTTGTTTGTTTCTTTGTTTGTTTTTTGAGACGGAGCGTTGCTTTGTCGCCCAGGCTGGAGGGCAGTGACACGATCTCGGCTCACCACAAGCTCCGCCTCCTGGGTTCACGCCATTCTCCTGCCTCAGCCTCCCGAGTAGGTGGGACTACAGGCACCCGCCACCACGCCCTGCTAATTTTTTGTATTTTTAGTAGAGACGGGGTTTCACCATGTTAGCCAGGATGGTCTCGATCTCCTGACCTCGTGATCCACCTGCCTCAGCCTCCCAAAGTGCTGGGATTACAGGCGTAAGCCACCGCACCCGGCCCAGAGATGTTTTAAGGGCTTCTTCAACTCACTACAGGTTCAGAGTGACTGCTTTACAGACTTAAGTTATAAAATAAGCCCAAAGATAAGACACTAGAAAAAAGAATGAACATACAAATGGAACTAATTTATAAACATATACAAAAAGTTAAGTCCCCTCTCTCGGTTACTGTAACCACTCAAGGGGTTCACCTTGCCCGCTACATAGACAGACCAATTCATCAAGACAGGGAAATTGCAATAGAGAAAGAGTAAATCACACAGAGCCAGCTGTGCAGGAGACTGGAGTTTTATTCTTACTCAAATCAGCCTCCCTGAGCATTTGGGGAGCAGAATTTTTAAGGATAATTTGGCAGATGAGGGGAAGCCAGTGAGCCAGGAGTGCTGATTGGTTAGAGATGAAATCGTAGGAAGTCGGAGCCGTCTTCTTTCAGAGTCAGTTCTGGGTGGGGGCCACAAGATCAGATGAGCCAGTTTATTGATCTGGGTGGTGCCAGCTGATCCATCAAGTGCAGGGTCTGCAGAATATCTCAACCACTGATCTTTTTTTTTTTTTTTTTTTTTTGAGGAATTAACAGTCTTTATTGGGCTCAGACCAGGAGTCCGTGGGTCTTGAGGACTTCTGTGTATTTGTCAATTTTCTTCTCCACGTTCTTCTCGGCCTGTTTCCATAGCCTCATGAACTGTTTCTTCTTCCGGTAGTGGATCTTGGCTTTCTCTTTCCTCTTCTCCTCCAGGGTGGCTGTCACTGCCTGGTACTTCCAGCCAACCTCGTGAGCCAGGCGCCCCAGATAGGCAAACTTTCTTGCAGGCTTCAGACGCACAACCTTGAGGGCAGCAGGAACCACCATCCGCTTTTTCTTGTCGTAGGGCGGTGGGATGCCGTCAAACACCTTGAGGCAGTCCAGAGCGGCCTGGCCTGGCTTGGTCTTGTGGGGCGGCATACCTCGCATGGTCTGCCAGAAGATGCGGCTGGGGGCCTGGAGGGGGTAGGGGCCTCGGGAAGGGTTGCTGTTCATCCGCTTGCGGAGGAAAGCCAGGTACTTCAACTTGTTTCTGTAGAAATTGCCAGAAATGTTGATGCCTTCACAGCATACAACCACCACCTTCCGGCCCAGCAGTACCTGTTTAGCCACGATGGCCGCCAGGTGGCCCAGGAGATGGCCTCGACCATCAAGCACCAGGACCTGTACCTCCGCCATCTTCGGCAGCCGCTTGGGAAAGAAGCACTGATCTTAGGAGCAGTTTAGGGGAGGGTTGGAATCTTGTAGCTCCAGCTGCATGACTCCTAAACCATAATTTCTAATCTTGTGGTTAATGTTCATCCTACAAAGGCAATCTAGTCCCCAGGCAAGAAGGAGGTCTGCTTTAAGAAAGGGTTGTTACCGTCTTTGTTTAAACTATAAACTAAGTTTCTCCCAAAGTTAGTTCGGCCTACACCCAGGAATGAATAAGGACAGTCTGGAGGTTAGGAGCAAGAGGGAGTCAGTTAAGTTTGATCTCCTTCACTGTCTCAGTCATACTTTTCCAAAGGCAGTTTCAAGCTGATTTTCCGCTGTGAGTACTTCCTAAAGGAGCCTGATCTCTCACTGGTACGAGTGACCAGAGGAGGCCCTGCAATGGCAAGCAGGAGGGGGAAAACAG
Source organism: Homo sapiens (assembly GCF_000001405.40). NCBI lineage: Eukaryota > Metazoa > Chordata > Mammalia > Primates > Hominidae > Homo > Homo sapiens. The sequence continues at coordinate 12,875,056 of NC_000012.12, read as the reverse complement.
AAAGGCCTAGAAAATCAACTCCAACTGTTTGACAGCGTTGCTTTGAGATGCAGGAAATGAAGAGTGATTGGAATGGCCCGGTGTGATGGTTCACGCCTATAATCCCAGCATTTTGGGAGGCTGAGGCGGGCAGATCACTTGAGGTCACGAGTTTGAGACCAGCCTGGCCAATATGTTGAAACCCTATCTCTACTAAAAATACAAAAATTTGCCGGGCATGGTGGTGCGTACGTGTAATCCCAGCTACTTGGGAGGCTGAGGCAGGAGAATCACTTGAATCCGGGAGGCGGAGGTTGCAGTGAGTCGAGATTGCACCACTAACATTCCAGACTGGGCCACAGAAGGAGACCCTGACTCAAAAAAAAAAAAAAAGAGTGATTGGCAAAGCGCCCTGCAGTGCCTGATGTTATTATTAGTTCCTCTTTCACATTCCTCTCTCAGGCCTTCAAATTCCAGTAACCAAAGCTGTCATTCACCTCATGCTGTGATGAGGACTGGGCATGCATTTTCTCATTCAATCTTGATAGCAACTGGATGAAATGGACATTATATGTATCCCCACATTATAGGGAGGAAACTGAGACTTCATAAGGTTAATATCTGGCCCAAGAGAACCAGAATCAACTCCAAGTTTCTCCAGCCAGAGACTAGGCTGGTCATCACCACTTTAGATGGAGGCTGATGCTCACTGCCTCCAAGGGTTTCTGTGGATTGTAAGTGGAGCTCTGTGCCATGGAGGAGAGACAGAAAGGAGGCCCCAACCCTGCAGGGCTGAAGAGGCTCCCCAAGACTGACGCCTGCTCACTGTCTCCTCCCAAAGGGCTTTTAAAGGAAACCAGGAAGTAACATTGTTCCCCATATATGGGGTCTGATGGTGTCACTTTGAGTAGAGAAGAGGCTCCTATGAGATCCCATTCTGAAAGGGAGCAGGCCAGCCTGGCCTTTGCAGGGAGGCAGTGCATACCTGGACTAGAAGTTAGCTTTATCACCAGCTCTTTATTCTTTTAACATTTGGTTAATAATCATTCATTAAACATCAACTATGTATCAGGTTGTGTGCTAGGTCCTGATTAAAATAAAAAGTATTGTTCCTGCCTTTAGAAAAGGTAATAGTCTAATTTGCAGAGAAGGCAAGTAGATGAAGCTGTAATACAATGTAGGAAGTGCTGAAAATGAGAAGCAGTTAGGAATAAGACTGGGTTTAATTCTGAGTTTGACATGTAAGTGCAGTGGAGTTATTTAAAAACTGTAAGCTTCAATTTCCTCAGCTATGAAATGGGGATAATGAGACCTTCTACCTCTTAGGCTTTGTTGAAAGGATTAAACAACAAATGTATGTAAAATGTTTAACTCTAGGACTGTTCCTGGTTATCTGGTGAATAACTGCCAATTCTCACAATCTTGGGCAGGTGGCTAAACCCTTCCTCTTCGGCTTCCCAATCTGTAAATTCAGGCTGACACATCTTCCAAACTTCTGGATCTGTCAATCAACAGAGGTCACCTAAAAACTCTGAGAGGAGTTACGAGAACATAGAAGGAATAAAAAGCCCTCAGAAGGGCCAGGTGCGGTGGCTGACGCCTGTAACCCCAGCACTTTGGGAGGCTGAGGTGGGCAGATCACTTGAGGTCAGGAGTTTGAGACCAGCCTAGGCAACATGGTGAAACCCCATCTCTACTAAAAATACAAAAATTAGCGAGGCGTGGTAGTGCGCACCTGTAGTCCTGCTACTCAGGAGGCTGTGGTAGGAGGATCACTTGAGCCCAGGAGGCAGAGCGAGCTGAGAGCATGCCACTGCACTCCAGCCTGGGCAACAGAGACCCTGTCTCAAAAAGAAAAGGAAAAAAAAAAGCCCTCAGAGGGCTTCTAGAAAAGCTGGGAGACTAAGAGGAGCAATGCATTGAACACAGAAGTGAGTCAGTGTGAGCTGTATGGTGTCTACTCTTCCCTCTGTGGTTCTTCAAAGGGAGTAGAGGGTGGGTGATGGGGGTGACTCAAGAATGCATAGGACTTTATCAATCAAATTCCCATACGGAATCAGAACAAGCCTGGCAGGTTCATGGACCAGCGAAGAGATTAGAGCAGATCCTTTCAGGGATCATTTAGATTATCATCATAGACCTTCAGGGTCGCCTAACTGGGTGGATGAGAACACCGCTGGGCTCATGCTTTGCCCACAGTCCCAGCAGTCACCCTGCTGACTCAGATGTCTTTCCTCAGAAGCTCTCTCCTGCAAGCGGCAGCTGCTGGGGTCACCTGTCCCCAGGTGCCTCATCTCATCTGGCTCCTCAAAACTCCTCCGCTCCACCCATCAGCCTGCACCTTCCAGGAATGCAGATGCCATGACCAATCTGCGTCCACAGAGAATGTTTGAGAAACACAGCTTGAAAGGCCAGTGATGCCCCCACAGAGTGGCCAATCACATCTTGCTAGAGTTTTCTATGCCAATAAAACCAGAAAAAGCAAACAAACACTTTCAGCCTGACCCAAAGGAGAACAAATGAGGCAGTTATAAGAAGGTAGGGTGTGACCCTATACACATAAACCGGTAGAGCTGGAAAAAACTCCTTCAAAGAGAATGGCTCACCTTGCTCCATTTCCCTTGCAGCGATTCCTGGGGCACGTCTATTATCAGCAATTGCAGGCATTAGTAATGGAAATGAAATCCATACCTCCCAGCTAACCATCCCTGCCCAGTTACTTGTAGTTACTTATCTGTTTCTATCAAGTAGCACATATATTAAATTCATGCCTAAATAAACAAGAAAAAAAGGCTAATTTCCTGGCAGGAAATTCTTATGTAATTAGTCAACAGCTCCCGCCCCTGGTCCGTCACTAACCAGCACTGTGACCTTTAGCAGGTCCACTTCTCTTCATCCCCCTCAGCACAACCTCAGGCCCAGCCCCCACAAGCCTCTCCTGGACCACCACAGTGGCTTCCAGCTGATCTCCATGTCTCTAGTTTTTCTTCTCTCCAAAGCATTCCCCACTCTAGAAGCCTTTTGTGTAGAGATCCTCCTAAAACCCCAAATCTGCTCAACTCTCCTCAAAATCCATAACCTCTCAGCCTGGCCCAGTGGCTCACACCTGTAATCCCAGCACTTTGGGAGACCAAGGCGAGAGGATCACTTGAGGCCAGGAGTTTGAGACGAGCCTGGGCAACATAGTTAGATACCATCTCTACAAAAAATAAAAAATTAACTGGGCATGGTGGTGCTCACCTATAGACCCAGCCACTCCGGAGGCTGAGTGGGGAGGATGGCTTGAGCCCAGGAGGTCGAGGCTGTAGTGAGCTGTGCTCACGCCACTGCACTGCAGCCTGGGTGGCAAAACAAGACCCTATCTCAAAAACAAACACAACCTCTCTTCACTTACTCTAGGACAAGTTCAGAAAACCATGTATGGCTTACAAAGTCATTCGTGATCTGGCCCCTGTTTACCATTCCAGAATGATATCTCTCTCTCCATTCACCCTCTTTTTTTTTTTTTTTTTTTTTTTTTTTTTTTTGAGACTGAGTCTTGCTCTATCGCCCAGGCTGGAGTGCAGTGGCACAATTGAACCTCCTGGGTTCAACCAATTCTCCAGCCTCAGCCTCCCAAGTAGCTGGGATTACAGGCACACGCCATCATGCCCAGCTAATTTTTGTATTTTTAGTAAAGACAGATTTCACCATGTTGGCCAGGCTGGTCTCGAACTCGTGACCTCAAGCGATCCGCCCACCTCAGCCTCCCAAAGTGCTGGGATTACAGGCATGAGCCACTGCGCCTGGCCTCTCCATTCACTTTCTTAAATTCTATGTTCCAGCTGTATATTTACATACCCACGGCTCCCTGTATAATACTAATAATAGCAACAATGACCATCATCTATTGTTTCCTATGTATCAGGTTTGTTCTAAAAAACTCTTCCTTCTGGTTCAAGTTGGTGTTTGAAAAAGAAAGACAAATAAAAATAGATTAATAAAATACTTTCTGCATTAACTTATTTAATATTTACAACTCTACTAGATATTAACTATAATTATCTCCATTTCGCAGATGAGAAAACAGAAGTGGAAAGGTTAAATAACTATCCAAAGTCACTCAACAAGTAAATGATATAGAACCTGAATACAACCTGCTTATCCTGCCCTCACCCCTTCTATCTGGGTCTTTGTACACGAGGCTCCTTCCACCTGGAAGACCCTTCCTTTCCTCCCCCATTCTTCACTTGGCTAACTCCTCCTCCTCGTCCGAGAGTTCCCCTGTAAACATCTCCTCCTCTGAGAAGGTTTCCCTTGCCAGGCTGCTATCTCCCCTCAATGGTAGTTACACTCCAAAGACAGCACCCACTGAATGATGCCTCCCATAACCATGGACTTACGTAGTTCTCTCGGATATTGAATCTCAGTTGACCCTGTGACTCACCGTGGAATACAGCAGAAGGGATGCTGAATAAATTCCAGGGCTAGGTCATAAAAAGCCTTGCGAATTCCGTGCAAGTCTCTTGGAAAAGTCACTCTGGGGATCTGTAAGGAACTTAAACAATTCAACAAGCAAGAAATAAACAACCCCATTAAAAAATGGGCAAAGCATATGAGCAGATACTTCTCAAAAGAAGACATACATGTGGCCAACAAATATATGAAAAAATGTTCAACATCACTAATCATTAGAGAAATGCACATCAAAACCACAAGGAGATACCAACTTACACCAGTCAGAATGGCTATTATTACATATATGTATTTTTTTTTTTTTTTTCAGACAGAGTCTCGCTCTTGTCACCCAGCCTGGAGTGCAATGGCATGATCTCGGCTCAGTGCAACCTCCGCCACCTGGGTTCAAGCGACTCTCCTGCCTGTCTCCCGTATAGCTGGGATTGCAGGCACACGCCACCACGCCTGGCTAAGTTTTTTGTATTTTTAGTAGAGATGGGGTTTCACCATGTTGGCCAGGCTAGTCTCGAACTCCTGACCTCAGGCGATCCACCCGCCTCCGCCTCCCAAAGTGCTGGGATTACAGGCATGAGCCACCGCACCCGGCAGAATGGCTATTATTAAAAAGTCAAAAAATAGCAAATGCTGGCAAGGTTGCAGAGAAAAAGGAATGCTTACACACTGCTGGTGGGAATGTAAATTAGTTCAGCCACTGTGGAAAGCAGTGTGGAGATTTCCAAAAGAACTTCAGAACTGCCAGGCATGGTGGCTCACACCTGTAATCCCAGCACTTTGGGAGACGGAGGCGGGCAGATCACCTGTGGTCAGGAGTTCGAGACCAGCCTGGCTAACATGGTGAAACCCCGTCTCTACTAAAAATACAAAATTTAGCCGGGTGTGGTGGCATGCGCCTGTCATCCCAGCTGCTTGGGAGGCTGAGGCAGAAGAATCCCTTGAACCCAGGAGGCGGAGGTTGCAGTGAGCCAAGATTGCACCACTGCACTCCAGCCTTGGCGACAAGCGTGAAACTCCATCTCAAATAAATAAATAAATAAAATAGTTATAAAGATTAAATTAAGTACTGTTTATAATGTTTATCAGTAGCCTACTGTATGGTAACATTCTCTACCTAATATATATATCTCTATATATCACATGTGACTAAATATATTTCTAGCTAATTATAGAAAGAGAATCTGGTCTAGTAATAATCAGGGCTTGTCAAAACTCACGCCAAACTACAACAGAAAACATGTCCCTCTAGATATGTGAGCTTATTTCAATGCTTTACATTGTATAATTAAGTTATTAATTATATTTCTCTTACTTGAAAGCCCATATCCTTCTATATATTAAAAAATGAAGAGGGGGACTGATTCTTACACTTCGGCTTGTACTAAATAGGAGACTCAACTGGCCTCTCCGTGAGGGCAGAAAATGCGTCTTGTTCATCCTCATATCCCCATGCTGATAATAGCACCTGTATATGGTAGCTGCTAAGTATGAAATGAATGAATGAATGAATGGGTGAATGAATGAATGAATGAATGAATGAATGAATGATAGAAGAACTCATAATACCTGAGCACATACAAAGTGTCAGGACTAGGCTGAGCATTTTATCTAGAGAATCTCATTTACTTTTCACAACTATCCTATGATACTGGGAACACAGTTGTTCCTGACAGAAACCATTCTCCTGTATTCAACACTTTGTTCAACATTTCCTATAACACAAACACAGGGATGATCTTTTTCAGAGAGGAGAAGTGTGGCTTGTCTTACTGGCCAGAGAGAAGGCTCTTACAGCCACACAAAGTTTGTCTTCAAATTGCTACATATATACGTGAATAACCTTTGAAAGTTTAGATCAGCTGGTGGAGGAAATAGAGCTGAGACAACCATCCAGTAACTGGTGCAGAATGGGAGCCACACATCTAGATCCCTTCAAGGCCATTACTGGATATTTGCAATTCATGGATGGCAGGAATTTCAACTGGGGAGATCAAACCAGATGTCAAGAGACTTATTCAAATAAACTCTCTAGTTCTTTGAGGAAAGTCTTTGCATTTCTTCTTTGAGAAGTCCCTACATTTGTGCTTTCTGTCAAAGAGAGAATATACCTGTGTCAGTCTGGGTACAATCAGGAAGCAGAAACCACATTTAATTATTTAAATTAATTAAACCACATTTAATTTAAACCACATTTAATTTGAATTAAATGGGGGACATCTAATTCAAATAATGATGAAGCTAGGATAGGAGCATAACTATAAGATATGAAGAGAATGCTAAAGGGAACTTCATGGCTGAGGGAGAGTATCCAAGGAAAGACATACTTAGGGGGAAGGCTCCCTCCTAAGACTGAGGTTCAAATCTCTTTGGAGAAGGTGTGGTTGCAGCCCACTGGATGGCAGAGAAGTTGCCCAGGCCAGAGGTGGTCCACAGTCACGGGGTAATCAGGAAACAACCCTCCAGGGGCAGGTGAGCTGAACCTGGGGAGCAGGTGAGCTGAGCCTGAGGGGCAGGTGAGCTGAGCCTGGAGGGCAGGTGAGCTGAGGCTTGGGGGAAGGTGTGCAGGAGGAGTCAGGGCACCAATGCAAAGGCAAGGCCTGGAGCTTGCAGCATCCTCATCAGAGCGCCAGAGGACGGTGGTCTTTGGGCCCGGGTTGGTGGTGCATGGTCACCGAAAGACTGCACATTTTGGACATGAAGTGGGGTCAGTGCACCATTAAATACCCTCACAGACCCGAACCACTGATCACCATGCAGGAAGAGTAACAAAAAGAAAAAATGCAACACACCAGAACTAAGAAGAGAAGCCTGCAATTTCCCTCCATTGTCTTCTACTGAGACAACTTAGCATCAATCTCACCACAGAGGAGAAATGCTTAGCGTCCAGTCCATTATCGCAGAACAAGTACTGAAGGGTAAATTTGGGGCTGAGGGGCCATAAATTGATAACGAGCACAGTACCTACATATGAAAGGAAAGCATACTAAGAATATTCTTTTTTTTTTTTTTTTTTGGAGATGGAGTCTCGCTCTTGTTGCCCAGGCTGGAGTGAAGTGGTACGATCTCGGCTCACTGCAACCTCCACCTCCTGGGTTCAAGTGATTCTCCTGTCTCAGCCTCCCGAGTAGCTGGGATACAGGCGCCCGTCACCACACCTGCCTAATTTTAAGAATATTCTGGCCGGGCACAGTGGCTCACCCCGGGTGAGCCTGGTAATCCCAGCACTTCGGGAGGCCGAGGCGGGCAGATCACCTGAGGTCGGGAGTTCAAGACCAGCCTGGCCAACATGGTGAAACCCCATCTCTACTAAAAATACAAAAATTAGCCAGGCGTGGTGCCATGTGCCTGTAATCCCAGATATTCGGGAGGCTGAGACAGGAGAATTGCTTGAACCCAGGGGTCAGAGGTTGCAGTGAGCCGAGACTGCACCACTGCACTCCAGCCTGGGTGACAAGAGGGAGACTCCATCTAAAAAAAAAAAAAAAAAAAGAATATTCTATGTGGAGAAAAGAATAAGCATGTACTCTTTCCCTCCTACACCAAAAAAACAAAACAAAACAAAATGAAAATTATTGTTGGTAAGACTTTTATATCAGGGCTCTGTACTCCGTATCTGACAGAGTACAAAGAAGTGGGCATGGATTTTAGGTACCCACGTTTACCCTGCCTAGCAGCAACCTTAAAGTTGGAAGACAGATCCCAGAATGTCCTAGCTCTCCTCAGTGATTTCATATGGTTTTGTCATCACTGTTCTACCTACCTGCTTTATCCAGCTAAATACAATTTCAACCTAAACTACCTTCTACTTCTCCTTGAGTATTTCTTAGTTAACCCAAACATAAGTATCTATATGTAGCAATGCACCTTACAAAAATTGTACACTCCAATGTCAAGAGTGTCTGCTATTTCCAGAGTCTATTTTGCCACTGCACCTAGTTTTCTTTGCTGTATTCTACAGAAACTTGGTAAATAAAACTGGGTCTCTATTTGTATCCTAGATGATTTTTCCTATCTGAGCTTCAATGGTAACTTTTCCTTCTGAGAGCATGGATCTAGCTGGCTGTAGTGGTGTACGCCTATGGTCTCAGCTACTCAGGAGGCTGAGGCAGGAGGATCACTTCAGCCCAGGCGGTCGAGACTGCAATGAGCTGTGAGCACACCACTGCACTCCAGCCTGGGCAACAGAACAAGACCCTGTATCAAAACAAAAACAAAAACAGAGCAGAGAGTGTGTTTGTTTCCTAGGGCTGCAGTAACAAATTTATCACAAACCTGGATGGCTTAAAACAATATAAATTAGTCTCTCACAGTCTGGAGGCCAGAAGTCAAAAATCAAGGTGTCAGTGGCCTATGATGTCTCTGAAGGTGCCAGGGGAGGCCCTTCCCTTGCGTCTTCCTGGCTTCTGGTGGCTGCCGGCAAGAACTGGCGTTCGTTGGCTTGTAGATGCATCCCTCCAGTCTCTGCCTTTGCCATCACATGGCTTTGTCTTCTGTCTGTGTCCAAATCTCTCTCTCTCTCTCTCTCTTTTTTTAGATGGAATCTTGCTCTGTTGCCAGGCTGGAGTGCAGTGGCAGGATCTCAGCTCACTGCAACCTCCGCCTCTCAGGTTCAAGTGATTCTCCTGCCTTGGCCTCCCAAGTGGCTGGGATTACAGGCACATGCCACCAAGCCCAGCTAATTTTTGTATTTTTAGTAGAGTCAGGGTTTCACCATGTTGGCCAGGATGGTCTCGATCTCTTGACCTCATGATCTACCTGCCTCGGCGTACCAACAAAATCTCTCTTAGAAGGACAGCAGTTATTGCATTAAGGCCCACCCTAATTCAGTATGACTCCATCGTAAGTTGGTTACATGTGCAAAGACCTAGTTCCAAATGAGGTCACGTTCACAAGTACTGGGGGCTAGGGCTTGAACATTTATTGTGGAGGGGGGCACAGTTCTACCCATGACAGAGCACAAGATTGTGCTTCGTTTCCCTTAAGCAAGAATAAACCCTGTGCAGCACCTACTTCCTCACCAAGGACTGGCTGGGAAGTGGGAAAGCTAGAGACCCAGAACTTCCAGGGTTCTTTTTCCTTATTTATTTATTTAACTTTTTTTATTTTTTTGAGACCCAGAACATTCTGGATGTTGGTACCAGCCTCCAGGTCTTGGTTGAGGAGTTGTCTACACATTTCAGAAGTGGCAAAGGAGAATTTCTGCAAAGGCATTTCCTGAGCAAAAGCAAAATTTAGTGAGCGGTTATCTATATGTGGAGATGCCTTTAGCAATGAATAGAAGTGTGGGGTAGGCTAACCAACTCAGCAGGCACTGTCACCATTTCTATGGGTCTATGGACTGCCGCTTTGGGGGTTTGTTTGTGTTCAGCTCATTTACACTGCAAGATCACTTACAAGTAGCCTCATTGGTTTCGTTTCCCTCTCTTGAATATCTCCTCTTCCCTCCCCAGCCCTTTCCTATCTGTAGCCCCCTTCATGTTTTAGATCTTCTGTCTTTACTTATTCCTCAGTTTATTCCACAAATGTTCATTGAGTGCCTATTATGTGTTAGGTACTTTGCTTGGTGCTGAAAACACAATGATGAGTAAAAATAGATTCAGTCTCATTCCTTTTTTTTTTTTTTTTTTTTTTGAGACGGAGTCTCGCTCTGTCGCCCAGGCTGGAGTGCAGTGGCGCGATCTCGGCTCACTGCAAGCTCCGCCTCCCGGGTTCACGCCATTCTCCTGCCTCAGCCTCCCAAGTAGCTAGGACTACAGGCGCCCGCCACTACGCCCGGCTATTTTTTGTAGTTTTAGTAGAGACGGGGTTTCACCGTTTTAGCCGGGATGGTCTCGATCTCCTGACCTCGTGATCCGCCCGCCTCGGCCTCCCAAAGTGCTGGGATTACAGGCGTGAGCCACCGCGCCCGGCCCAGTCTCATTCCTTATGGGGCTTATAATCTAGTGAGAGTAATAGATATCAATCAAAGAACCAGACAAATATAATACTGTGACAAGTGTTATAAAATACAGATGCAGCGTGTGGTGATAGCCTCTAAAAGGAGGATTTGACCCCATCAGCGATGTCAAGCAAACCTTCCCTGAAGAAGGATATGCTTGACCTGGGATCTGAAGGATGAGTAGAAGTTGCCTAAATAAAGAGGGCAGAAGAGCAGAGGAGGTAGAAAAAATAGCATGTGCAAAGTCCCTGGGGTGGGCAGGAGCTTAAAGAGTGAAAGCAGCCAGTAGGGAAGGAAATGCAGGAGAGACAGGAGCTAGATAGGCCTGTGGCACCATGCAGAGCCTGCCAGGCCATGCCTTTCTCCAAAGATCAACAAGAAGACACTGAAAGGGTGGATGGGTGGTGAACTGGTTGCTGGTTTGTCTTTGAGGGTAGGTAACAGGACAAGTTTTGTTCCACCTGATGGGGAACTCTGAAAAAAACACGAGAATTTGTGGCTTACCTCAACGTAAGCTGACATTAACATCTGCCACCTCTGAACTCATTTATTATGTTTTTGTTTTGTTTTGTTTTTGAGACGGAGTCTCTCTGTTGCCCAGGCTGGAGTGCAGTGGTGCGATCTCGGCTCACTGCAAGCTCTGCCTCCCGGGTTCATGCCATTCTCCTGTCTCAGCCTCCCAAGTAGCTGGGACTACAGGCGCCCACCACCACGGCCGGCTAATTTTTTTGTATTTTTAGTAGAGAAGGGGTTTCATCGTGTTAGCCAGGATGGTCTCGATCTCCTGACCTCGTGATCCACCCACCTCGGCCTCCCAAAGTGCTGGGATTACAGGCGTGAGCCACCGTGCCCGGCCTGAACTCATTTATTATGTAATATGATTTGTATTTGTGTCCCCATCCAAATCTCATGTTAAATTGTAATCCCCAGTGTTGGAGGAGGGGCCTGGTAGGAGGGGATTGGATCATGGGGGCGGATTCCCCTCGCCCCCATGATCTCCTGATAGTGAATGAACTCTCATGAGATCTGGTTGGTTTTTTGTTTGTTTGTTTTTTGAAATGGAGTCTTGCTCTGTCGCCCAGGCTGGAATGCAGTGGCATGATCTCGGCTCACTGCAATCTCTGCGTCCCGGGTTCAAGAAATTCTCCTGCCTCAGCCTCCTGAGTAGCTGGGATTACAGATGCCTTACACCACACCTGGCTAATTTTTGTGTTTTTAGTAGAGATGGGGTTTCACCATGTTGCCCAGGCTGGTCTCAAACTCCTGACCTCAGGTGATCCGCCTGTCTCGGCCTCCCAAAGTGGTGGGATTACAGGCGTGAGACACCACACCTGGCCTTATCTGGTTGTTTGAAAGTGTGTAGCACTTCCCCCTTCGCTCTCTCTTCCTCCTGCTCTAGCCATGAAGAACATGCCTGCTTCCCCTTCACCTTCCGCCTTGACTACAAGTTTCCTGAGGCCTCCCCAGCCATGCTTCCTGTACAGCCTGTGGAACTGTGAGTCAATTAAGCCTCTTTTCTTTATAAATTACCCAGTCTCAGGTAGCTCTTTATAGCAATGTGAGAATGGACTAATATACTACGTATTGTCTGTGTTCCATCTTCCTCGATTTACCAGCTGTGTGATCTCAAGCAAGCTACTTGTCTGGATTTTAGCTTCCTCTTCTGAAAAGGGAGATGCTAATAGTAGCTACCTTAGAGGACTCTTGTGCAGATTGAATTAAACAAATCATGCATATAAAGCACTAAACAAAGCACATAGCACAGGCTATGAAATATTAGCTCTTATTTTATTATTACATCTTAAGTATCAAATCATTATTGGTTTTCTTTAATTACTTATGCCATATAATCATCACTCCACTTTAATTTTTTGAGTTATTCTTTAATTGTGCACTTCTTAATTGTAACTCTCCAAGTAAGACTGAAAGTTCCTTAAAGGCAAGAGCTGTTAGATCACTAGCCATCTAACGTGCTGCTGATGCAAATATTGGTTGATTGATTAGTTCTTCAGAGCTCAGTCTGCATCTACTTTCACTTTATTTATTTATTTATTTATTTAGAGACAGAGTCTTGCTCTATCCCCCAGGCTGGAGTGCAGTGGCATGATCTCCGCTCACTGCAAGCTCCGCCTCCCAGGTTCACGCCATTCTCCTGCCTCAGCCTCCCGAGTAGCTGGGACTACAGGTGCCTGCCACCACGCCTGGCTAATTTTTTGTATTTTTAGTAGAGACAGGGTTTCACCGTGTTAGCCAGGATGGTCTCGATCTCCTGATCTCGTGATCCACTCACCTCGGCCTCCCAAAGTGCTGGGATTACAGGCGTGAGCCACCGCGCCCGGCCCACTCACTTTATTTTGAATGATGGAGGCAGTATAGAAGGTGGGAGGATGATCTGAGCAAGTGAAAAGATGTAGAATAAGGGAATTTGGTTTTGATTACAAACTTTGACCCTCAGCATTGAGTGATCCAAAAAGCAGGTACCAGGGTACTCTCATAAATTTCTCAGGACTGACAGGGCACCGGTGCCTCACGCCAGTAATCCCAGCACTTTGAGAGGCCAAGGTGAGCAGATCACTTGAGCTCTCGAGTTCAAGACCAGCCTGGGCAACATGGTGAAACCCCATCTCTGCAAAAAAAAATACAAAAGTTCACCAGGTGTGGTGGCGTGTAGTTGTAGTCCTAGCTACTTGGGAGGGAGGATGGCTTGAGCCTGGGAGGTGGAGGTTGCAGTGAGATGAGATCATGCCACTGCACTCCAGCCTGAGCAACAGAGCCAGACCACGCCTGAAAAAAAAAAAAGAAAAAAAAAGAAAGAAATTTCTCAGGATGAAGAAACAGAGATCATCATCATCCTCACCATCGTCATCAGAGTTAGCATTTACTGAGTGTCTACAATTAGTACAGCTGGTCCCCGACTTAACATGGCTTGATGTGGGATTTTTCTACTGTACCATGAGTTTCTCTGAATGCAACCCCATCATAAGTCATGGAGCAACTATACATGAATTAACTCATTTAATCATCAGAATAACTATATTTTACTGTAAGCGAAGGTACACGGTGAGACCAGCTTGGCCAACATGGTGAGAACCCGTCTCTACTAAAAATACAAAAATTAGCCAGGCGTGATGGGCGCCTGTAATCCCAGCTACTCAGGAGAATCACTTGAACCCAGGAGACGGAGGCTGCAGTGAGCTGAGATCACGCCACTGCACTTCAGCCTGGGTGACAGAGTGAGACTCTGTGCCCCCCGCCAAAAAAAAAAAGCAGAGAGCTTAGCTTACCCACCTACTGTGATATAGTCCACGTGGAGTACAGTCACATCATCAAGGACTTTTGGGTTCTGCCATCACCCTTGGGACTGAGCAGGATCTCCCTAGCCTTGTCTCAATTCCTCTGAAGTCTCCTGCACATCACCCTGCACCACAAGCAGCAGTGTGCTACCCAGGTCAAGCAAGGGTGTGTTGTACTCCACCTAGCTAATGGCTTAAAACAAATTTCCTGAATTCCCCATTTGCTATCTCCTAGCTAATTTGAAAAACAAGAGATGAAAAGAAGGGGCCTTCATCAGAAATCTACACTTCCATGATGTAGAGTGGCTCAGTGTCGCTGTTCTGCATAATAACCTCCTCCCAACCATTGGGATTGTATCATACATTTCCCTGGGTTTTGCTGGCTTCCACATTCCCATTGCAACCCCTGTAGCTAGAGACTCTGCTTAATGCTGTGCTTTGTACAGTACTTTGTGCATTTTGGCATCTGATAAAAGTTAAATTAGAAAACCCTAATGTGGCATCACTGCATTTGTTTTGGCATCTATCTTGCAGGATGGATCCTCATTTTATGATAGGTCTCATATGCGTTAGTGTTTTTCTAAATCAGGGTATTAAAAGGAAATAGAGCCAAGCCACTCCAAGGTGAAATGGCAGAGAGTTGGAGGAGAAGATAAATGAGTATTGTTAGCATCAACTTCAGTAACTCTTCCAGAGGAAAGTGAGGGGATCACACACCATTTAACATGTTGGCAAATTCCAGGCTCAGCTTCAATGCCAACCAATTTGTCTCAGATTTACAAGGTGTGGCAAAAGAAGATGCCACCAACCTGAAGACCTGAGTTGAGAATATCAGTATGAATTCATGATTCTTTTTCCCCCTTAAAAAATAATACGGCCAGGAGTCATGGCTCACGCCTGTAATCCCAGCACTTTGGGAGGCCAAGGCAGGCGGATCACGAGGTCAGGAGTTTGAGACCAGCCTGGCCAATATGGTGAAACCTCATCTCTACTAAAAATACAAACAAAAATTAGCCAGGCATGGTGGCGCACGTCTGTAGTCCCAGCTACTCGGGAGGCTGAGGCAGAAGAATCGCTTGAACCTGGGAGGTGGAGGTTGCAGTGAGCCGAGATCATGCCACTGCACTCCAGCCTGGGTGACAGAACGAGACTCTGGCTATATATATATATATATATATATATATACATATATATATATACACACACACACACACACACACATATATATATATACACACATATATATATATACACACACACACACATATATATATACACATATATATATATACACACACACACACACATATATATATATATACACATATATATGAGGCTGGATGCAGTGTGTCACACCTGTAATCCCAGAACTTTGAGAGACTGAGATAGGAGGATTGTTTGAGGCCAGGATGACACCACCCTGGGCAGCATAGCAAGACTCATCTCTATTAAAAAATTAAAATACAGCCGGGAGCAGTGACTCACACCTGTAATCCCAGCACTTTGGGAGGCTAAGACAGGCAGATGGCTTGAGCCCAGGAGTTCCAGACAGGCCTGGGCAACATGCCAAGACCCTATCTCTACAAAAAATACAAAAATTAGCCAGACATGGTGATGCACACCTATAGTCCCAGCTACTCAGGGGGCTGAGGTAAGAGGATGGCTTGAACCCAGGAGGTTGAGGCTGCAGTGAGCCATGATTGCACCACTGCACTCCAGCCTGGGTGACAGAGTGAGACCCTGTCTTAAAATAAATAAATTAATTGAATAAATAAATAAAAACTAAAATACAAGAGACCTGGGTGCAGAGCCTGTACCTGTAGTCCCAGCTACTCAGTAGGCTGAGGCAGGAAGATCACTTGAGCCCAGGAATTGGAGGCTGTTGTACACTATGATCGTGCCTGTGAACAGCCACTGCACTTCAGCATGGTCAACACAGCAAGACTCCATCTCTAAAAAAAAGAAACGGAAAAAGAAAAAAATCAAGAAAAGGCAAAACAATAAGGACAGAAAGCAAATGAGCATGAAGAAACTTTTTGGTGTGATGAAAATGTTCTAAAACTGGATTATGGTGACGGCTGCATAAATGTGTTAACACTCTTCAAACTGTACAATTAAAATGGGTAAATTCTATGCTACGTAAATAATACATCAGTAAGCTGTTAACCTTTTTTTTGTTTGTTTGAATTAAAACAAAAACAAAAACACAGCAACTGAATAATTCCCAGATCCGAAATGGCAAAGGGGTCCGGGCGCAATGACTCATGCCTATAATCCCAGCACTTTGGGAGGCTGAGGCAGGCGGATCACTTGAGGTCAGGAGTTTGAGACCAGCCTGGCCAACATGGTGAAACCCTATCTCTACCAAAAGTATAAAAAAAGTAGTTGGGTGTGGTGGTGCACACCTGTAATCCCAGCTACTCAGGAGGCTGAGGCAAGGACAATTGCTTGAACCCGGGAAGCAGAGGTTGCAGTGAGCCAAGATCATGCCACTGCACTCCAGCCTGGGCAACAGAGTGAGACTCCATCTCAAAAAAAAACAAAAAAAAAAAAAAGAAAGAAAGAAATGGCAAAGGGTAGGATGGGAGGCAAAGGGATGGGGAGGAGGAGCCTGCAAAAAAACCAATGTCAGCCTTATGTCCTGAAAAAAAAATCAGTAAAAATTGAAATGCCCCAAACCATTAGGAAATGAGTCATATTATATAATTATATAATACATACATTATACCTAAATAATAAGCCATTTGTAGGCCGGGCATGGTGGCTCATGCCTGTAATCCCAGCACTTTGGGAGGCAGAGGTGGGCAGATCACAAGGTCAGGAGTACGAGACCAGCCTGGCCAATATGGTGAAACCCCCGTCTCTACTAAAAATACAAAAATTAGCCAGGTGTGGTGGCAGGCACCTGTAGTCCCAGTTACTCGGGAGGCTGAGGCAGGAGAATCGCTTGAATCTGGGAGGCAGACGTTGTAGTGAGCCAAGATCGTGCCACTGCACTCTAGCCTGGGCAGCAGAGCAAGACTCCGAAAAAAAAAAAAAAAGCCACTTGTGAGATAGTGGCTTCCAGGTTTTTCATCTCTGATATAGCAATTATCATTGCATCAATTACTTTGTAGTAATTTTCATACTTAACTTTCACTCTCATCAGGTGGTCATCCTCTTAAGGGTAGAGACTGTGATTAACCACCTGTTTATATACTCCAAGTCCGCTAGCATGGTGCCTAGTTAACTGAGCATATTCAGTCAATGAAGTACTTTTATATTTTATATATATGTATATATATATATTTGATAGGTAAATGTATTCACACTGTTCAAAACTCAAAGTTACATAAGGATATATAAAGTCAACAATTTCCCTTCCTTAGCCCACTGAACACCTGGTTTCCCTTCCTGGAGGTATCAATGTTACCTGTTACATAGTTCTTGTGTAATTCTTGAGAGATATTTCATGAATATTCAAACAAATATTTTGAATATACTCCTTTTTTTTTCTTTTTTGAGACAGGGTGGAATGCAGTGGTGCGATCATGGCTCACTGCAGCCTTGACTTCCCAGGCTCCAGTGATCCTCCCCTTCAGCCTCTGGAGTAGCTGCAACCACAGGCTCATGCCACCATGCCTGGCTAATTTTTGTTTGTTTGTTTCTTTCTCTGTTTGTTTGTTTTTGAGACGGAGTTTCCCTCTTGTTGCCCAGGCTGGAGTGCAATGGCATGATCTAGGCTCACCATAACCTCCGCTTCCTAGGTTCAAGCGTTTCCCCTACCTCAGCCTCCCGAGTAGCTGGGATTACAGGCATCCGCCACTATGCCCGGCTAATTTTTTGTATCTTTAGTAGAGACGGGGTTTCACCATGTTGGCCAAGCTGATCTCGAACCCCGGACCTCAGGTGATCCACCCGCCTCACCTTCCCAATGTGCTGGGATCACAGGTGTGAGCCATGTACCCGGAGAAATTTTGTATTTTTTGTAGAGCTATGGTTTTGCCATGTTGCCCAGGCTGGTCCCAAACTCCTAGAATCAAGCGATCCACCCATCTTGGCCTCCCAAAGAGCTAGGATTATAGGCATGAGCTACTGTGCCTGGCCAAATATACTCGTTTTAGCACCATGATAGCATATTATACACTGTTCTCTAGGTTGCTTGGACTTCAGGTAGTAACTGAAGTAAAAAAGGATATAAGGCAGGATGGGATTAATCCTAACAGTCTCTATGAGAAAATTGTTAAACAGCTAATAGTTCTCTGGGGAGGTTCAAGGTGGTGAGGCAGGCAGAATTATGGCTTGAGGTTGGGGGTGATAATAATAATAATTATTATTTTTTGAGACAAAGTCTCGCTCTGTCACCCAGGCTGGAGTGCAGTGGCACAATCTTGGCTCACTGCAACCTCTGCCTCCTGGGTTCAAGCAATTCTCCTGCCTCAGCCTCCCGAGTAGCTGGGATTACAGGCATGCACCACCACACCCGGCTAATTTTTGTATTTTTAGTAGAGATGGGGTTTCACCATGCTGGCCAGGCTAGTCTCAAACTCCCAACCTTGTGACCTGCCTGCCTTGGCCTCCCAAAGTGCTGGGATTACAGGCGTGAGCCACTGCGCCCGGCCAGGGATGATAATTATACTAGAAATATGGAACTGGGTGACTTCCCTTAAATCTTAGTGTCATGGCTAGAGGAGGGATAGGATGGTTAAGCCAGACTTGCAACTAATCCTAACAAATTAGCATGTAGCAGCCAAGAGGTAATGGTCACCTCAATGGTCAGCACAGGTCCTGGCACATAGTAGGCACTCCAGAGGAGTTAATTAATTATTTTGTGAATAACTGCTCTCAACCCATCTCAACTGGATCTAATCTAATGATATAATTATTGCCTTTCATCTCTAACACTATAATATTGTCTCATATATACAACCAGGCATGGGATTGGTTTCGAAATTCAGACTGGGTGAAGAGGGTATCCCCACAGGAGAAGAGCCCTAATATTGAGTATTGAAGCCCATGCAGAATTAGAAGGATGTCCCTGAATCATGGCGGCCCAGAATGGCAAGTCTAAGCCTGAAAGATTGGGAAAGCATCCACAGAGGGATGGGAGAAGGAAGAAGGGAGGGATGGGCCAGCCACAGGAGTTGGAGCCCAAGCATGGCAAGGAGGGCATGCACAGGGGGGATTGGACCAGCACAGGCTGCTGGAGCCCCAGAATATGAGGAAGGTGTCCCACATAAGGGCAGCATGGTGTGAAGTGTTTGAGTGAATGCAGGGTGATGGGGGCATATGTGTGAGGGTGGACTGGCATGGGATGTTGGGGCCCATGCAGGAGAGGAGGATACCCATGCTATGGGACAGCCTGGCACAAGACGTTGGAGTCTAAGCAGAGTGATAAAGATGTTCCCATAGAAGGGTAGCCTGGAGTCAGGTACTGGAGCCCGAGCAGGGAGAGCAGGGCCACACCTAAGCAGCCCGGGGTGAGAAGTCAGAGAGGAAATGGGGCGAGCAAGGCATCCCAGCAGGGAGGCAGCCCAGGATGGTGTGTCAGAGCCCAGGTAGAGTGGCAAGACCATCTATGCAGAAGTGGGGGTAGTAACAACTATTGGTTATGTAGACAGGGATTGATCAAATAAAAAAATACAAAGGATAATAATAAAAACCATCATTCTTGGAGAAGAGAGTTAGGAAAGGGGAGAGGAAGAAAACTGGAATAAACCCTGGGCTGTTTAATTGGAATTAGAACTATTAAAGCTATGTTTTCCAGTATAGAGAGATAGATATAAAAATAGGTAAATGTAAATATATGTACACATGTATGAATGTATATTCATATGGACACAAACACATACATACATTCCGTAGCTCTGTCCACAAAGAGGGCCTAGGAGCAGTAACACTCCAATACCAACGACAGGGATCGCCATGGTTTGTAAAACTGGTGGCTAGATAAAAAGCATAAGGAGATCTCTGTGCTCTTGCAGGTGTCATATCCTAAGCTTTGCTGAGGAGAACATCTTGATCCCGCTGTCAAAACATCTGAAGCCCATGGTGATCGGAATCTAACTAAAACTGCAAAAAAAAAAAAAAAAACCAAAAACACAAAATACCCCAGGCTCACTTTAACTTCAGATTATACTTACTCAGCTTCCTGTAGGATGGTCCTTTGTTGGGAGCAAATATTACTTTAACCTCTATTTTCCATTTTATGCAATGTCCAGCATAAATTTAAAACTACAAAGCATCTAAAGAAACAAGAAAATATAATCTATTATCAAGAGAGGAAATCATCAATAAAAGCTGGCCCCAAGTAGGTCCAGATTTTGCAATTATAAATGGGCTTTAAAATAACATTAACAAATATGACAAAGGACCTGGTGAAAAGGTAAACATCTTCTATGAACAAATGAGAAATTTTAACAAACAGTAGACACTTAAAGGATGAAAATACTAGGTCGGGCGCGGTGCTCACGCCTGTAATCCTAGCACTTTGGGAGGCCGAGGCGGGCCGATCACGAGGTCAGGAGATCAAGACCATCCTGTCTAACATGGTGAAACTCTGTCTCTACTAAAAATACAAAAAACTAGCCAGGCGTGGTGGCGGGCGCCTGTAGTCCCAGCTACTCAGGAGGCTGAGGCAGGAGAACGGCGTGAACCCGGGAGGCTGAGCTTGCAGTGAGCTGAGATTGCGCCACTGTACTTCAGCCTGGGCGACAGAGCGAGACTCCATCTCAAAAAAAAAAAAAAAGATTGAAAATACTAGAAATAAAAAACATATCAGGCCGGGCATGGTGGCTCACGCCTGTAATCCCAACACTTTGGGAGGCTGAGGCAGGCAGATCACCTGAGGTCAGGAGTTCGAGACCAGCCTGCCCAACAGAGTGAAACCCCATCTCTACTAAAAATACAAAAAATTAGCCGGGCATGGTGGCAGGTGCCCGTAATCCCAGCTACTTGGGAGGCTGAGGTGGGACAATAACTTGAATCCAGGAGGCGGAGGCTGCAGTGAGCTAAGATCATGCCACTGCACTCCAGCCTGGGTGACAAGAGCGAAATTCCATCTCAAAAAAAGAAAAAAAAAATATCAGAGGCCGGGCACGGTGGCTCACGCCTGTAATCCCAGCACTTTGGGAGGCTGAGGCGGGCGGATCACAAGGTCAGGAGATTGAGACCATCCTGGCTAACACGGTGAAACCCCGTCTCTACTAAAAATACAAAAAATTAGCTGGGCGTGGTGGCAGGCGCCTGTAGTCGCAGCTACTCGGGAGGCTGAGGCAGGAGAATGGCCTGAACCCAGGAGGCGGAGCTTGCAGTGAGCCGAGATCGCACCACTGCACTCCAGCCTGGGCTACAGAGCAAGACTCTGTCTCAAAAAAAAAAAAAAAGATCAGAAATGAAGAAGTAATTTGATGTACAGTAGACTGGACACAGCAGTGGAAATGAACAGTAAACTTAAAATCAGATCAATAAGAATATGTCATGCATTGCTTAACAATGCGAATACATTCTGAGAAATGCATCATTAGGCAATTTTGTCATTGTGTGAACATCATAGAGTATATTCACACATACCACACAGCCTACTACACACCTAGGTTGCTTGGAATAGCCTATTGCTCCTAGGCTACAAACCTGCACAGCATGTTACTGTACTGAATACAGCAGGCAATTGTAACCCAATGGTAAATATTTATATATCTAAACAAATCTAAACATAGGAAAGTTACAATAAAAATACACCATAAAAGATAAAATATGGTACACCTATATAGGGCACTTACCATAAATGGAGCTTACAGGATTGGAAGTTGCTCTGGGCGAGTAAGTGGTGAGTGAATGTGGAGGCCTAGGACATTACTGCACACTACTGTGGACTTTATAAACAGTGGACACTTCGGCTACTCTAAATTTATTTTATTTATTTATTTATTTGTTTATTTTTGAGATGGAGTTTTGCTCGTTGCCCAGGCTGGAGTACAGTGGCACAATCTCGGCTCACCGCAACCTCCATCTCCTGGGTTGAAGCGATTCTCCTACCTCAGACTCCCAAGTAGCTGGGATTACAGGCATATGCCACCATGTCCAGCTAATTTTGTAGTTTTAGTAGAGATGGGGCTTCACCATGTTGGTCAGGCTGGTCTTGAACTCCCAACTCCAGGTGGTCCACCCACCTCGGCCTCCCAAAGTGCTGGGATTACAGGCATGACCCACTGCGCCTGGCCACTAAATTTGTTTATTTTTAAAATTTTTCTTTCTTCAATAATAAATTAACCTTAGCTTACTGTAACTAAATTAACTTTATAAACTTTTTCATCTTTTAGCTTTTTGACTCTTTTAATAACACTTAACTTCAAGCACACATTGTACAGCTGTACAAAATATTTCCTTCTGTATATCCTTATTCTTTAGGCTTTTTCCTTTTATTTATTTATTTTTTTTTTTGAGACTGAGTCTCACTCTGTCACTCAGGCTGGAGTGCAATGGCACGATCTCAGCTCATTGCAACCTTTGCCTCCCAGAGTCAAGCGATTCTGCCTCAGCCTCCTGAGTAGCTGGGTCTACAGGTGTGCACCACCATGCCTGGCTAATTTTTTGTGTTTTTAGTAGAGATGGGGTTTCGCCATGTTGGCCAGGCTGGTCTCAAACTCCTGACCTCAGGTGATCCACCTGCCTTATCCTCCTAAAGTGCTGGGATTACAGGCATGAGCCACCATGCCCAGCCGCTTTTTTCTATTTTTAAAATTTGTTATTTATGTTTCTGCTTGAGGTTGTTTTACAGTCAACTTTATACATATATATATAATGTAATGTTATATATATGTGAAGTACATTCTAAAATAATGATAAATGTATACTAAATACATAAACCAGTAACATAGTCTTTTTTTGTCATTATCAAGTATTATATACTATACATTATTGTGTGTGCTATACTTTTATACAACCGGCAGCACAGGTTTGTTTACACCAGCATCACTACAAACACAGGAGAAATGTGTTGCACTACAACTTTATGATGGCTACAACATCACTAGGTGATAGGAATTTTTCAGCTTTATTATAATCTTATGGGGCCAACATCATATATGTGGTCTGTTGTTGGCTAAACTGTCATTATACAGCACGTGACTGTAATCCAACTAAAACACAAATAGAAAAATGTTGGGGGGATAAAACAGAGCATCTATGATCCTTAGGATGATAGCAAATGGTTTAACATATTTGTAATTGAAGTCCCATAAGGAAAAGAAAGAGTGAGACAGAAGAAATCTTTGGAGAGATAATAGACAAGAATTTTCTAAAACTAATAAAAGAAATCAAGTCACAGATTGCATCAGCTCAGTGAACTCCAAGCAGAATAAATACAAAGAAAACCAACCTCAGGTACATCACAGTCAAAGTGTTGAAAATCAAAGATAAAAATAAATTATTAAAAGCAGCCAAAGAAAAATTATGAATGATGGGTAATTTCTCATCAGAAACAGTAGAGGCCAGAAGACAATAGAAAAGCTTCCCCATCCCCTAATATGGTTTGGCTGTGTCCCCACCCAAATCTCATCTTGAATTGTAGCTCCCATAATTCCTACATGTTGTGGGAGGGACCCGGCGGGAGGTAACTGAATCACGGGAGTGAATCTTTCCCATGCTGTTCTTGTGATAACGTCTCACGAGACCTTATTTCTGACTGGACTCAGACTTAGATGTAGAAGCTCACAGAGAGGAAAGTCTGTGTCTCTTCGCAATTTGTTCCTGGCGCTTCTCTTTAGCCTCCTTCATTCCCTTGCCTAAAAGTTTAGCATATTCTGCAGCCTCTTCCTTATTTTTCTTAGTACACGGCTTCTTCAGAGCAATATGCTGCCCTTTGTGCTGCAGGAAATGTGGAGTAACAAGATGCTGAATCTTGGGTGCTTTGGTCCTAGGTTTCTTACCTCCTTTGTTTGAGGGCTTTCTTACAACATACTGGCGGACATCATCTTCTTCAGAGAGATTGGAAAGTTTGCAGATTCTGCTAGCTTTTTTGGGCCCCAGGCGACAAGGCACCATAGTATCAGTCAGTCCAGGAATATCCTTCTTTACTTTTTTTTTTTTTTTAACAATAATCAAGTTGAGAATGCTCAGATTGGCATCCACTATGCAACCACGAACTGATTTTCTCTTTCTTTCTCCAGTTCTCCTTGGTCTGTAACAGGAATGCCCCTTACTCAGTAGCAGGTGGACACGGCCATGGGTCAAGACACCCTGCTTCATGGGAAAACCTTGTTTGTTGTTCCCACCACTGATTCGGACCACATAACCTTTCCATTCTTCACCCAGAGTGTCAGCAGCAACTTCTGTGGCCATAAGCTTCTCATAAAAAGTACGAAGTTTGCATTCATCATCCACTTCAATGAGTTTCTGGCAGCCAGTGACCGGGAAGGAGATGTTCAGCTTCATCTTGAAGCAGCTGAATGCCTCCAAGACCTGATGGCTTTCTAAAGGGAGTTCCCCTCTACTTCTCTCTTGCTTGCCACCATGTAAGACATGCCTTGCTCCTCCTTTGCTTTCCACCATGATTGTAAGGCCTCTCCAGCTATGTGGAACTGTGAGTCCATTAAACCTCTTTTTTTCTTTTTCTTTTTGTTTTTTTAGTAGAGACGCGGTTTCACCATGTTAGCCAGGATGGTCTCGATCTCCTGACCTCGTGATCCACCCGCTTTGGCCTCCCAAAGTGCTGGAATTACAGGGGTGAGCCACTGCGCCCAGCCAAACCTCTTTTTCTTTATAAATTATCCAGTCTCAGGTATGTCTTCTATTAGCAGCATGAGAACAGACCAGTACACCCCACACCCTCCCCCCCAAAATAGAAAAGCTTTCTTAAATAACTGAAACAAAAAAAAGCAAAACCTGTCAGCCTAGATGTCTATTTATATTTCTTTCTTCTTTTTTTTTTTTTTTGAGACAGAGTCTCACTCTGTCTCCCAGGCTGGAGTGCAATGGCATGACCTCGGCTCACTGCAACCTCCAACTCCCGGGTTCAAGCAATTCTCCTGCCTCAGCCTCGCGAGTAGCTGGGACTACAGGCGTGTGCCACCACGCCCGGCTAATTTTTTGTATTTTTAGTAGATAAGGGGTTTCACCGTGGTATCCAGGATGGTCTCTATCTCCTGATCTTATGATCTGCCCACCTCAGCCTCCCAAAGTGCTGGGATTACAGGTGTGACCCACCGCGCCCGGCCACGTCTATTTATATTTCAACCTAAAGGTAAATAAGGATATTTTCAGAAAAAAGGAGAAATTCATTTCCAGAAAACCTGCTCTACCAGAAATGATTAACAGAAATAATGTCAATGGAAGCATAGATCTGTAGGAAACAATAAGAGACCCAGAGAGCATAAATATGAATCTAAATAGAAAAGAGAGCTATACTTTTTTTTTTCTGTTTAGTTACATGATCTCACTCTGTTGCCCAGGCTGGAGTGCAGTGGCATGATCATAGCTCACTGCAGGCTTGACTCCTGGGCTCAAGCAAATCTCCTGCCTCAGCCTCCCAAGTAGCTAAGACCACAGGCACATGCCACCATCCTTGGTTAATTTTTTTATTTTTCTATTTTTTAGAGAGAGGGTCTTGCTATGTTTCCCAGGCTGGTCTCAAACTCCTGACCTCAAGCAATCCTCCCACCTCAACCTCCTAAGTAGCTGGGATTACAGGCATGATCACTGCTCCTGGCTTATCTACACATTTTAAAAAGACAATTGGCTGCCAATATAATAACAATATATTTCAAAATATATAACATTTAGAAGTAAAATATAGGACAACAAGAGCTCAAAGAATTGGAAATGGGTAAAAAGAATTGGAAGTGGGTAAATAGAATTAGTGTTAGAATCACAAAAGGAGAATAATTTGAAGGTAGACTGTTAAAGATATTTGTAATCTCAAGAAAAACTACTCAAAATAAAAGATGATTAGCTAAAAAGTCAATGGTATATTTAAAAATACTCAATTTATTGAAAAGTGGGCAGGAAAAGAGAAACAGAGTGTATTCGTCCATTCTTGCATTACTATAAAGAAATACCTGAGACTGGGTCATTTATAAAGAAAAGAGGTTTAACTGGCTCACAGTTCTGCAGGCTGTACAGGAAGCATGGCGGCATCTGATTCTGGGGAGGCCTCAGGACCCTTTTACTCATGGAGGAAGGCAAAGCCGGAGCAGGCATCTTACATGGCAGAAGCAGGACCAAGGATAGAGGGGTAGGACAGAGCGGCAGGTGCCACACACTTTTTTTTTTCTTTTTTCTTTTTTCTTTTTTGAGACAGAGTCTTGCTCTGTCGCCTAGGCTGGAGTGCAGTGGCGCAATCTCGGCTCACTGCAACCTCCGCCTCCCGGGCTCAAGCAATTCTCCTGCCTCAGCCTTCCAAGTAGCTGGGATTACAGGCACCTGCCACCACGCCCAGCTAATTTTTGTATTTTTAGTAGAGACGGGGTTTTACCATGTTGGCCAGGCTGGTCTTGAACTCCTGACCTCAGGAGATCTACCCACCTCGGCCTCCCAAAGTGCTGGGATTACAGGGGTGAGCCACCGTGCCCGGCCGGTGCCACATACTTTTAAATGACCAGATCTCATGAGAACTAACTCATTATCATGAGGACAGCACCAAAGGGGAAACCCACTCCCACGATCCAGTCACCTCCTAGCAGGCCCCACCTCCAACACTGGAGATTACAATTTGACATGAGATTTGGGCAGGGACACAGACCCAAGCTATATCACAGAGAAACAAACAACAGATGGAACAAGTAGAAAAAAATGTTATGGGTTTTTTATTTGTTAAAAGTAAACCTAAAAATACCAAAAAATCATGTTAAATACAAATGAGACAAGCCTGGGCAATAAAGTGGGATCCCATCTCTACAAAAAAAGTTTGAAGATTCACCAGGCATGATGGTGCATACTTATAGGCCCAGCTACTCAGGAGGCTGAGGTGGAAGAATTGCTTGAGCCCAGGAGGTCGAGGTTTCAGTGAGGCATGATGGTGCCACTACACTCCAGCCTGGGTGACAGAGTGAGACCCTGTCTCAAAAAAAAAAAAAAAAAATGCTAATAGACTAGCCCCTCCAATTAGAAAACAGAGAACAAAAATCTCAGGTTACTTTGTTTACAAGAAACATCTTAGAAATATAAAGACACAACCAAGTTGAAAGTAAAATAGTAAAAAAGTATATATTGTACAAACACTAAACTTAAGAAAACAATATTTGGGTTGGGCACAGTGGCTTACGCCTGTAATCTAAGCATTTTGGGAGGCCAAGGCGCACAGGTCACTTGAGGCTAGGAGTCTGAGACCAGCCTGGCCAACATGGTGAAACTCTGTCTCTATTAAAAATACAAAAATTAGCCAGGTGTGGTGGTACACATTATAATCTCAGCTACTTGGGAGGCTGAGGCAGGAGGATCACTTGAACCTGAGAGGCAGTGCTAGTAGCAAGACAAGATTGCACCACTGCACTCCAGCCTGGATGACAGAGCAAGACTCCCTCCCAAAAAAAAAAAAAAAAAAAAAAGCAATGTTTGGCTTGTTTATAGCTATATTAATATCAGATAAAGCATCTTTCTTTCTTTCTTTTTTTGAGACAAAGTCTTGCTCTGTCACCCAGGCTGAAGTGCAGTGGTGCGATCTCGGCTCACTGCAACCTCTGCCTCCCGGGTTCAAGCAATTCTCCTGCCTCAGCCTCCAGAGTAGCTGGGATTACAGGCCCCTGCCACCGCACTCAGCTACTTTTTGTGTTTTTAGTAGAGACGGGGTTTCACCATGTTGGCCAGGCTGGTCTCGAACTCCTGACCTCCTGATCCGCCCGCCTTGGCCTCCCAAAGTGCTGGGATTACAGGCGTGAGCCACCACGCCCAGCCCAAATAAAATCTTTCAAGCGAAGAGTATTCCAGAGATAAAGAATATTTCTTAATACTAAAACGTTTAATTAGTTAAGACATAAAAGTCCTAAATCTGTATACACTTAATAAGAGAGCTTTAAAATATGTAAAGCAAAAATTAACAGACTAAAAAGAAATAAATGAATCCACAAACATATGGAGATTTTAATAACCCCTCTTAGTAACTGTTAGAATAAGTTGGGGAAAAAAGTGACATCATAGAAAATTTGATAGCATTACCAATTAGTTTGACTTAATTGACTACAGAATATCATACTCAAAAATTGCAGAGTACACATTCTTTTGAAGTGCTCAAGGAATATACACTGAGATGCGCTATATGCTAGTCCATAAACAAGCCTCAAAAAATGGCAACAGATCAAATTCATTCAGGTTATGGTTTTTCTTTTTTCTTTTTCTTTTTTTTTTTTTTTTTGAGACAGAGCCTTGCTTTGTCACCCAGGCTGCAGTGCAGTGGCACTATCTCAGCTCACTGCTACCACCACTTCCTGGGTTCAAAAGATTCTCATGCCTCAGCCTTCTGAGAACCTGGGATTACAGGTGTGTGCCACCACACCCTGCTAATTTTTGTATTTATAGTGGAGACGGGGTTATATCATGTTGGCCAGGCTGGTCTCGAACTCCCAGCCTCAAGTGATCTGCCTGCCTCTGCCTCCCAACATGCTGGGATTACAGGTGTGAGCCACCATGCCCAGCCCAAGTTATGTAATTAAGTAAAATGTTTTTAAGATCTTCAAATATTCTGAAATTAAGCAACACTCTTCAAAATAACCTTGAATCAAAAAAAATCACAAAAGACAATAGAAAGTATTTCAATCTGAATGATGATGAAAACACAGTGTATCAGTATGTGCAGGATGCAGGCCAAGTGTGCTGGCTCATACCTGTAATCTTGGCACTTTAGGAGGCCAAGGCAGGAGAATCACTTGAAGCTAGGAGTTCGAGACCAGCCTAAGCAACCTAGCAAGACCCCGACTCTACAAAAATTTCAAAAATTATCCAGGTGTGGTGGGAGGCACCTGTAGTCCCAGCTACTCTGGAGATTGAGGTGGGAGGGTCGCTCCCAGGAGGGAACCCAGGAGGTTGAAGCTTCAGTGAGCTGTGATTGTGCCACTGCACTCCAGCCTGGGTGATGAAGCAAGATCCTGTCTGGAAAACAAAAAAAGAAAAAAAGAAGAAGAATGATTTAATAATTAAAATCCCAAATCCAAATGGCTTCACCGTTCAATTCTATCCAACATTTAAGGAAGAAATAACAGCAATTTTACACAAACCAAACTCTGGTCAGCATGATCATGTGGTGTGTCAGAGTGGGTGGAAAAGAAAAGTGCCTGAAAAGAGAAAAAAGAATGCCCCAAAGGTGCTCAGCTGACTTGAAAGTATTCTCAAAGTAGACGCAATGTTTTAAAGAAAGATGTTCAAGAGACAGCAACTGTGGTGATGCCAGACACTGCCAAGAGGAAATGAGTGTGTGGTGAAAGATGAAAAAGATGACACAAAAATGGAGGCTGATATTAAGAGGAAAAAAAGGTTTTCTAGACCAGTATGGGCAGTAACCAGTATGGAAGAAGTAGAGGTAAAGAAAAAGGCTGAGGCCAGGGGCGGTGGCTCACGCCTGGAATCTCAGCACTTTGGGAGGCCAAGGCAGGCAGATCACCTGAAGCTAGGAATTCGAGACCAGCCTGGCCAACATGGTGAAACCCTGTCTCTACTAAAAATACAAAAATTAGCCGGGTGTGGTGGTGCAAGCCTATAGTCCCAGCTACTTGGGTGGCTGAGATATGAGACTCACTTGAACTCCAAGAGGCAGAGGTTGCAGTGAACCAAGATAGCACCACTGCACTCCAGCCTGGGTAATAGAGCGAGACTCTGTCTCAAAAAAAAAAAAGGAAAGAAAAAGTCTGAAGGCAAAATGAGAGGAAAGAAAGGAGAAGAGCAAAGCAAAGGTGGTAAAAGCAGTGAAGTGTTTAGACTGGTAGACTCTTAAAAATTTGGAAAATGCCACATGGCACAGATGTCTGATTAGAACGCAAATATTCATTTCAGCTCCTACCAAATAAAAACCATCTGCTTTCATATTTTAACTTGGCCTTTTGCTTCCATTCAAACCCAACATACTCAAGTTTGTTTTGGGAACTTGAGTAAAATACTTTATTTAATGCATGAAAGCTATACTGATGTTTTAATTGGATGCTGTCCAATATCCAGGTATTATCAGACATCAAAATTCTGCCAAGAATGTGGTTGTAATTTTTTGTTTTTACAACTTGGTAATCATAGTTAGTAAAGATAAAACGAGGCTGGGCATGGTGGCACACGCCTGTTATCCCAGCACTTTGGGAGGCCAATGCAGGTGGATCACCTGAAGTCAGGAGTTCACGACCACCCTGACTAACATGATGGAACCCCATCTCTACTAAATACAAAAAAATTAGCCGGGCATGGTGGTGCATCCCTATAATCCGAGCTACTTGGGAGGCTGAGACAGGAGAATTGCTTGTGCCTGGGAGGCAGAGGTTGCAGTGAGCCGAGAACACACCATTGCACTCCAGCCTGAGCAACAAGAGTGAAACTCCGTCTCAAAAAAAAAAAAAACCATCAAATTTGAGTGAACTCAGATTTAAAGAAAGCTATTATGTAATCATATTATTTAAAAATATAACATTAGTGGATCTTATAAACAGTACTTGTTTGAAGTTTTTTGTATAATTCAGAATGAAAAATCTTTTGTGTATGAAAAATATTTTGTTTATAAAAAAAAATTTTTTTTTTTTTTGAGACGGAGTCTCACTCTGTCGCCCAGGCTGGAATGCAGTGGCATGATCTCCGCTCACTGCAAGCTCCACCTCCCGGGTTCACGCCATTCTCCTGCCTCAGCCTCCCGAGTAGCTAGGACTACAGGCACCCGCCACCATGCCTGGCTAATTTTTTGTATTTTTAGTAGAGATGGGGTTTCACCATGTTAGTCAGGATGGTCTCGATCTCCTGACCTCATGATCCTCCCGTCTCGGCCTCCCAAAGTGCTGGGATTACAGGCGTGAGCCATCGTGCCTGGCCTTATAAAAAAATTTTTACACAAACCTTTCAGAAAATAGAGAATGGGCTGGGTGCAGTGGCTCATGCCTGTAATCCCTACACTTTGGGAAGCCAAGGCAGGAGGATCACTTGAGCCCAGGAGTTCAAGACCAGCCTGGACAACATGGTGAAACCCTCTCTCTTAAAAAAAAAAATGCAAAAATTAGCCAAGTATGGTGGTGCACAGCTGTGGTCCCAGCAACTTGGGAGTCTGAAGTGGGAGGATCACTTGAGTCTGGGGAATTGGAGGCTGCAGTGGACTGTGATCTTGCCACTGCACTCCAGCCTGGGTGATAGAGCAAGACTCTGTCTCAAAAAAAGGAAAGGCCGGGCGCGTTGGCTCATGCCTTTAATCTTAGCACTTTGGGAAGCTGAGGCGGGTGGATCACCTGAGGTCAGGGGTTCGAGACCAGCCTGGCCAAAATGGTGAAACCCTGTCTCTACTAAAAATACAAAAATTAGCCGGGCATGGTGGTGGGCACCTGTAATCCCAGCTACTCAGGAGGCTGAGGCAGGAGAATCACTTGAACCTGAGGGGCGGAGGTTGCAGTAAGCCAAGATCAAGTCACTTTATTCTAGCCTGGGCAAAAAGTAGAGAATGAGGAAACTTTTTTTTTTTTTTTTTTTTTTTTTTGAGACGGAGTTTCACTCTTGTTGCCCAGGTTGGAGTGAAATGGTGCGATCTTGGCTCACCACAACCTCCGCCTCCCAGGTTCAAGCGATTCTCCTGCGTCAACCTCCCAAGTAGCTGGGACTACACTACAGGCATGAGCCACCACACCTGGCTAATTTTGTATTTTTAGTAGAGACAGGTTTTCTCCATGTTGGTCAGGCTGGTCTCAAACTCCTGACCTCAGGTGATCCACCCACCTCAGCATCCCAAAGTGCTGGGGTTACAGGCGTGAGCCACTGCGCCCAGCCGAGGAAACACTTCTTAATTCATTTTATAAGGCCAGCATAACCCTGATACCAAATCTTGCCAAAGACATTACCAAAAAAGAAAAGTATAGACAAATTATGATATATCCATGTAATGGAATACTACTGAGCAATAAAAAGGAATGAACTATTGAAACACACAACATGGATGAAACTCAAAATAATTATCCCAAGTGAAAGAGGTCAGATTTTAAACAGAATACACTGTATTTAGCCAGGTGCTGTGGCATGCATCTGTATTCCCAGCTGCTTGGGAGGCTGAGGCAGGAAAATCGCTTAAGCCTGGGAGGCAGAGGTTGCAGTGAGCCGAGATCACACCATTGCACCTCAGCCTGGGTATCAGGAGTAAAACCCTGTCTTAAAAAACAAAAAAGAAATGATTCCATTTATACAAAACTCTAAAAATGCAAACTACTTTGCATATTGACAGAAAGCATATCAGTGGTTTCCTGGTGTCAGGCAGGGAGGAGGAAGCAAGGAAAGGCAGGAGGGAGGGATGACAAGGAGCATGAGGAAACTTTGGGGATGATGGATGTGTTCATTATCTTCATCGTGGTCACAGCTTCATGGATGTATATATATGTCAAAACCTATCAAATCCAGTATGTGTATGGGTTTTTTTTTTTTTTTGAGACAGGGTCTTGCTATTTTGGCCAGGCTAGTCTCGAACCCCTGGCCTCAAGCGATCCGCCTGCCTCAGCTTCCCAAAGTACTGGGATTACAGGTATGAGCCACCACACCCAGCCATGTTTTTGATACCTCAGTAAATCTGCTGTGGGGAGGAGACAAGGAGAGAGAGAGAGAAAGAAAGAAAGAAAGAGAGAAGTCAGCAAGAGAGAAGGAAAGAGAGAGACAGAGAAGGGTGAGGGAGAGAGAGAGAGATTTTCCATGGGAAAAAATTTCCACAGTGAAGAATAGCTAAAATCAAAAAGCCTGACAACACCAAATATTGGAAAGGCTGGAAGCAACTGAAACTCTCTTACCTGCTGGCCCTGGCATGTCCCAAGCACAGAAGGGAAAGCTGGAACATTTTGAGAAACACACTCCAAAGTGCAGGGATTCCTGAGGAGCAGGCCTGGGGAAGGGTCTCACTTGCCCAGGTCTAAAGTTGGTGCTGTTCAGGGGCTATGGGAGGTGGTGTTCCCCACTTTTCCTCCCGCAGAACTCCCTCACAATAGAAGGGGGTTGGGACCCAAGTCAGGCCCCAAAGCAGCACTTGCCCACTCCACACTCAGGCCGTAACCGCACATTCTGATCAGCATGAGAGGACCACTCCAATTTCCTAACATTTCTAACGAATGCAAAACACTTGACCTTAAAGTTGACCTGTGCAGGCTTATTTGGGGTAAATAGAAGGTTTCTATTAGGCTCTGGAAACAGTGAAAATAGCTCACACACCTATAAACTCTCAAGGAACTGGAGAATCATCCTGGTTTGAAACCAGAATTTGAAGGCCCCACTCAGTTTGAACGTGGGAGATGGAGGTTGCAGTGAGCCAAGATTGAACCACTGCACTCCAGCCTGGGCAACACAGTGAGACTTCACCTCAAAAAAAGAAAAAAAAAAAAAAAAAGGCTGGGCTTGGTAGCTCACACCTGTAATCCCAGTGCTTTGGGAGGCCAAGGTGGATGGATCATGAGGTCAAGAGATCGAGACCAGCCTGGCCGACATGGTGAAACCCCATCTCTACTAAAACTACAAAAATTAGCTGGGCGTGGTGGCGCACACCTGTAATCCCAGCTACTCAGTAGGCTGAGGCAGGAGAATCGCTTGAACCGAGGAGGTGGAGGTTACAGGGAGCCAAGATCACGCCACTGCATACCAACCTGGTGACAGAGTGAGACTCTGTCTCAAAACAAACAAACAAAAAAAAGTTGGGCTGGGCACGGTCCCTCACGCCTGTAATCCCAGCACTTTGGGAGGCCAAGGCAGGCGGGTCATGAGATCAGGAGATCGAGACCATCCTGGCCAACATGATAAAACCCCGTCTCTACTAAAATACAAAAAATTAGCTGGGCGTGGTGGTGCACTCCTGTAATTCCAGCTACTCAGGTGGCTGAGGCTGGGGAATCGCTTGAACCCGGGAGGCAGAGATTGTAGTGAGCTGAGATCACACCACTGCACTCCAGCCTAGGGATAGAGCAGGTCTACATCTCAAAAAAAATTTTTAAAAAGTTAATTTCATAATGAAACATAAAATAATGCTTTTAAAGACTATTGCGGGCTCAAACCTTCGCGCTGACATGGCTAAATGCACCAATAAAGTTGGAATTGTCAGTAAATACAGGATCCGCTATAGTTAGTTAATTTCATAATGAAAAGTTAATTTCATAATGAAACATAAAATAACGCTTTTAAAGATTATTGCGGGCTCAAAACTTTGCACTGACATGGCTAAATGCACCAATAAAGTTGGAATTGTCGGTAAATACAGGATCCGCTATGGTGCCTCCTTCCAGAAAATGGTGAAGAAAATTGAAACCGGCTAGCACGCCAAGTACAATTGCTCTTTCTGTGACAAAACCAAGATGAAAAGACGAGATATGGGGGTCGGGCACTGTGGTTCGTGCATGAAGACAGTAGCTGGTGGTGGCTGAACCTACAATACCACTTCTGCCGTCACAGCAAAGTCTACAGTCAGAAGACTGAAGGAATTGAAAGACCAGATGTTTCTCCACCATTGGAGACATCACTAGCCTTTAATAAATGGGTTAACTTATGTAATAATAAAAAAGGACCATTATCAGCATAATTCCCTAGGGCTATTGTCCTAAACTTACTTACTTTTTTTTCTTTGAGACCGAGTCTTGCTCTATTGCCCAGCCTGGACTGCAGTGGTGCCATCTCGGCTCACTGCAACCTTCACCTCCTGGGTTAAAGCGATTCTCGAGCCTCAGCCTCCAGAGTAGCTGGGAATACAGGTGCCCACCACCATGCCTGGCTAATTTTTGTATTTTTAGTAGAGATGAGGTTTCACCATGTTGGCCAGGCTGGCCAAACCTTCTTGATATGCATCCTATTCAACATAATATCTTTAACATACTTGCACATATGTTAAACAATTACATACATAATAAATATATACAAATATGCCATATCCATACATATTTATTATGAATTGTTTACAGCAAAACTTTACACTATAACACATAAAAAATATAAATTAGAAATGGATGGGTTAAATACAGATAAAGGTTCTAGTGTCTTCCACACCCCAACAGACCGCCTTGTAATATGTTGTCCCTGGATGCCCGTGCCCCAGGGCACGGAAACAACTTCTTTAGGCCATAGAGAAGAGAAATGAGCCCTGGCTGCAGGCCACTGGCCAAAGAGTGACTCAGGGACTCTGGAGAACACAGTAGGAGAAGGGGCAGGAAATGATTACATGGCTGAGTACCATAAAACCATGAAGTTTATGGACAGGCTGTAAATCTGAACATGACACCCTTCTCCCCTTTCCTCTCTCTCCCAGCAACCCGCCCAGGTGGGCCACTCTTCTGTCATTCCCACATAACCCTCTCAGTCAGAGACTTGTCCTTGTAGGGCCCTCTCGTCCCCTTCAAGGCTGCCCTTGGTGATCACACATAATTCTGAGTTCACCCAGACATAGATGCTGAAGAGGTGAGGTACAAAGTGTGACTTACCCACACGCCGCACTGACAATAGACCCTAGTGCCTGGTTAGGGGCATCACTGGCATTTATTAGGAAAATGAGTTAGGCTAGCCAGCCTTCTCTAAAGCATACTTCTGTCGCCTAACTACTCCCACTACTCTTCTCTTTTTTTTGAGATGGAGTCTCACTCTGTTGCCCAGCCTGGAGTGCAGCGGCATGATCTCGGTTCACTGCAACCTCCACCTCCTGGGTTCAAGTGATTCTTCTGCCTCAGTCTCCCGAGTAGTGGGATTAGCAGGCACGAGCCACCACACCCAGCTAATTTTTGTATTGTTAGTAGAGACGGGGTTTCACCATGTTGGCCATGCAGGTCTCGAATTCCTGACCTCAAATGATCTGCCCACCTCGGCCTCCCAAAGTGCTGGGATTATAGGCATGAGCCACTGCACCCAGCCCCCACTACTCTACTCAAAAAGGAGCCTTCAGTCTTCAAGACTGAAAAGCAGGGCCTGTTTTTTCTCAGGCAGATATTATGAACAAAATTCCACTGAACTTTTTTTTTAATTGAGGGAGTCTTTAGTGTCTGTCTTAAATGGCTAAGAGCTTGTGGGCACACTCTAAAACATATACAAACCTGTAAACATACACATACTTCCTTTAAGTATCTTCAAAGGAAAAATGAACAGATTCTGGTGATCACCAACATCCTCTCTGTCTTCACATGCTGATTTTATGTGAGGTTTCACGTGAATCTTCTGGCAGTCCAAAGGTCACTTTTATTTTCTGGAGATTTAGTAAAAAACACAAAACTATGGTGCTCAATTTCATTTTGTCAGCATAGGCTCACCCTGCAAAATTCCTGAATACCCTTGGATGAATTTAAGAAATCACGGAAGACAGAATAAAGAATAACTACGCTGCGCCGGGTGTGGTGGCTCACGCCTGTAATCCCAGCACTTTGGGAGGCCAAGGCAGGCGGATCGCCTGAGGTCGGGAGTTTGAGACCAGCCTGACCAACATGGAGAAAACCCGTGTCTACTAAAAATACAAAATTAGCCGGGCATGGTGGTGCATGCCTGTAATCCCAGCTACTTGGGAGGCTAAGGCAGGAGAATCCCTTGATCCTGGGAGGCAGAGGTTGCGGTGAGCCAAGATCACGTCATTGCACTCCAGCCTGGGCAACAAGAGCAAAACTCTGTCTCAAAAAAAAAAAAAAAAAAAAAGACTAGGCTGCAGTTTTAAAATATGACAAACAAGCTTTTCTGATCTGCAGTTTCCTCGAGAAATGACTCATGACCTCCAGTAAAAGAAATAATATATGCCAGTCACCTGGCAAACTCCTAACACACAGGAGGCTCTCCTCAGCCCTATTGTAAAGAATCACTTATTTACTATTTACCTTTTAGAGACAGGGTCTTACCCTGTCACCCAGGCTAGAACGCAGCAGCACAATCATAGCTTACTGCAATCTCATCCTCCAAGACTCAAATGATTGTCTTGTCTCAGCCTCCCAAGTAGCTAGGACCATAGGCGGGGTCCGCCATGCCCAGCTAATTTTTTATTATTTTTGTAGAGATGGGGTTCTGCTGTGTTACCCAGGCTGGTCTCAAACTCCTGGCCTCAAGCAATCCTCCCACCTTGGCCTCCCAAAGTGCTGGGATTATAGGCATGAGCCACCATGCCCTGTCCAAGAATCACTTATTTAAAACCAAACCAACAACCATTACAAATGTACAAATAGACGTATGTCAAATAAGAAATCTTTGGATAGTCCCCACTCTTGACCCACCCAGAAATCGCGACAGGGATGTTGGTTTTAAGTTGGCACTGGATTTAATAGCTTGGGTAAGAGAGTTTCTAAGATATCAGGAGTTACCAGTGGACTCCTCCCCCAAAAGAATGTGTGAGGACAAGAGCCAGCATCACATCAGTGAGAGCTGGCCCAGTATAAATGACCACCATGCTTGATTGCTGCTACTACTCTTTTGGACCCAGAAGGACAACTCCCCATCACTTTGGGCTGAAGGACATGTCTCTAGGATAAAATGAACGAACAAGCAGCTCACAGGTTACCCAGCACCAAGCTTATTTGATACAGGAGCACGGGCTGTGGACCAAGCCTACTGGATGGATACGCAGTGAGGAGAGAGGGAAGCAGTGAGGGGGGTCGGTGGCTCACAAACAACGTGTATTGGGATAGGCGGGGGAAAGAGTATTCCTGACTTACAGACTGGGGTAGGGGGTGGGGAAAGGAGCAAACAAAGCAAGTGGCTTCATCAACATCCCAGAGGGAAAGGCAGGCTTTGGAAAAGAACCAAGTGTTTGGAAGTTGACGAGGAGGGTCCACAGCCAGGGACCGCGCAGTAGAGACGACAGAGGAACGCGACCTTTTTTTCTAAGTGCATCTGAACTTGCCTTTACTTCGGGGCTCCCAGTCCCCATCCTCTGGGTCAACCTAGCAGATCTTCTTGAAGGCTGACACCCTTCACATACCTGTAGGTAGTTCTCCTCCCCACCCTGACCCCTGACCCCTAGTTCCAGTGGGACTGTCCTCCACTGTAGTCATACAAGGAGTCTGCCTCATCTGCCCCTGTGCCTCAGCCACAGCCCACTGTGAATCACTCGGCTCCAAATTAAAACTCCTTCCCTCTCCGGAGTGGTCTTTTCTTCCTTCTGCCATCTACTGGTGAAAACAAGAATGTCTTATTTTCTTACCTGCCTGTTGCCAATTTGAAAATAGCTTGGAACCTGAAAGTTCATTTGCATAGTACTTACTTGTTGTGTGGAACATACTGCATGAGTAATATGGAATTACACATATATACATACACACACACACACACATAACAAACAGTGTATTTAGTGTAAAGGGCAGAGGCTTGGAATCCAATTTGGCTTCAAATTTTTACTTAGCCCTTTACCAGCTGTATGATCTGGGTACGCTGCCAGTCTTCATCTATGCTAAAAGCCACAATTAATGATCATTATAATGACTAACACTTACTGATTGTTATCATGAGCCACAGTATAGTTCATTTAACTTCACAATGCTGTACTATAACTGTGTGTCTTCAGATAAGAAGGTTGAAACACAGGAAGGTTTAACAACTTGTCCAAAGTCTCACAGTTAGTCAGGGGCCGATTTGGCAAACTGGCTCCATAGCTCATATTGGGAACAATAATATCGACTGTTCGGGATTGTTCAAAGAACTAGAAATAATACAGGTCAAGCCGCCTGACACATCTTAGGTTTCAGAAAATGACAGATATTGAACATTTACTGCGTATGGGCCCTGTATGATATTAGTAATATCCACAAATTAGGCGCGGTCCCTGCCTAGTAGGAAGCACAATCACTATACAATACTAAGGCTAAGTTCAGCAAAAATAGCATCTGACTCTTTTTTCAGTATTGGTTTCCTAGTATCTGGCACACTGGCTAGGATATGGTGGACACTGGAAGGGAAGGAGGAAAGAAACAGAATTTTAAAAACTAGGTTCGAGATTCTGTGAGGCAGGCCAGGTGTGGTGGCTCACACCTGTAATCCTAGAACTTTGGGAGGCCGAGGCAGATGGATCACCTGAGGTCGGGAGTTCGAGACCAGCCTGACAAACATGGCACCCTGCCTCTATTAAAAATACAAAAATTAGCCCGGCATGGTGGCACATGCCTGTAATTCCAGCTACTTGGGAGGCTGAGGTGGGAGAATTGCTTGAATCTGGGAGGTGGAGGTTGCAGTGAGCCAAGATTGCACCATTGCACTTCAGCCTGGGTGACAGAGACTCCATCTCAAAAAAAAAAAAAAAAAAGATTCTGTGACAGAGATAGGCTTGACGGTCTTCTTTCCATATTAACAAATGAGAAAACTCAAGGTTCAGAGAGGTTTAGTAACTCCCACAAGGTCACACAGCAACAGTGAACAGTCCGATGACTTACACTTTCCCCACCTGTTCCTTTCCCAATTCCTCCTGCTCCTTCCGGCCTCTTTGACGGCACTGGCAGATGATTGAAGGGTGACAGTGACAGGAGACATCCTTTGTGTTTGGATGGTATAAGGGGATGGATGGCTACGAGCAAACAAAAGCTCCAAGACTCTGAGCAGACCTTGGGGCCCACCTCCTAGAGACTGCATGGTTCCAGAGGAGCCCATTTTCTTCCTGTCTCCTTTCCACTTGGCACCAATCAGCTCTTCACTTCAGGTGAGACTGTTCAGTGCTATTTCCCAGACTTCAAGTTTCTGCAGTTATTTTTAGCGGTAGTTTTAGTGCATACCTGGGATAGGTGAGGCATGAAAAGGAATGCGGGTGTGGGTAACCCTTCAATCTCTAGAGTTATGGTCTGAGTCTCTTGTCATTCCAGCTAAAGAGGGGTGACTCACACCCTGATTTCTTACCTGCCCAGAGGCTAGATTTCACCCTAAGAACCATGTGGATTAGAATGTCTTGTATATTCTCTTAGTTTTAAGGACACAGTTTCTTGATGTTGCTTTGTTACCCACTTTTGATAACTTGGATCCTTTCATTTTCTGTAACCAACACCACAGCCTGTGGTTCTTTCTGGTCCTATTTCCCAGGGTTTTGAGGGACCCAAGGTAGATAAAGTCTCCAATTTAGGTTTGTGGATGCCTCTGCAGGCAGAAAGCTACTTGGAAAACACTCTGTCTGTAAGCAAGATGTCCTTAAAGAGCCAGCCAAGTTCTGGGATATTCATTGCATTTTTTGAGAGACTGAGAAAGAATAATCATGATCTAGTTGGTCTAGGCCCCTCTTAGCAACTACAATCCCCTCAGAGTGCCCTCAGAGAACCTGCTTCATGGTTCCCTGGAATTCTGGGCCTGCTTTAAGCCTGAAATAGCCTATCCAACTGAAACCCTCTCACTAGGATCCTAGGACCCCTTCATAAGATAGAGAGGTGTTTTCCTCATTCTCACCCTCACTCAGCTCTGTACAGAGGAAGTAAAACTAGGCTAGCCAGTACCATGAAGCCATTGTTACTGCAACTGCATACAATGAATACTATATAAATCAGTTTTATAATTCAGATGAGAAATAAGAAGACATTTTCTCTGGGCTGATATCA
The DNA here is from genome assembly GCF_000001405.40 of Homo sapiens. Classification (NCBI taxonomy): domain Eukaryota; kingdom Metazoa; phylum Chordata; class Mammalia; order Primates; family Hominidae; genus Homo; species Homo sapiens. Next base: position 12,834,776 of record NC_000012.12, on the reverse strand, counting down.
TATGACTATTCCAAGATACTCCCTTTATTAAGTCATAAAAGTTAGATGTATCTGTTTACAATTAGGGTGGGAGAAGATTGTTTTGAAGCTCACAGTTTCTTTTTTTTTTTTTTTGAGATGGAGTCTCGCTCTGTCGCCCACGCTGGAGTGCAGTGGTGCGATCTCGGCTTACCGCAAGCTCTGCCTTCCGGGTTCACGCCATTCTCCTGCCTCAGCCTCCCCAGCAGCTGGGACTACAGGCGCCCGCCAACACGCCTGGCTAATTTTTTTGTATTTTTAGTAGAGACAGGGTTTCACCGTGTTAGCCAGGATGGTCTCAATCTCCTGACCTTGTGATCCGCCCGCCTCGGCCTCCCAAAGTGCTGGGATTAGAGGCGTGAGCCACCGCGCCCGGCCGGCGAAGCTCACAGTTTCTTAAATCAGGAATGCAGAACTAAGGAGTTGTACCAAGAAGGGAATAGCAGAGGGGTCAGGGACCTCGTTCCCCACTCCTAATCTAGAGCTTTTGGTATCTTGACTGCAAAGGCAATTTACATGTATTTAAGAGAATGACATTTTAACGTTCTTCTATACTCCTATTAATACCTAACCAAATACTTCTGAAGACCCATCTCCTGTCTTCTCCACACTTTGTAACTAGTTCTCCCCACCATTTTATTCCGTAATTGCAACCTTAAACCCCGCAGAATGTAGCAGAGTCCACAAAGATGCCTTGTACTGGGCTGAATAGTATCCCACGAAAAGTCATGTCTACCCATGTATTAATCTGTTTTCATGCTGCTGATAAAGACATACCTGAGACTGGGTAATTTACAAAGAAAAAGAGGTTTAATGGATTCACAGTTCCACGTGGCTGGGGAGGCCTCACAATCATGGTGTAAGGTGAAAGGCACGTCTTACACGGTGGCAGGGAAGAGAGAATGAGAGCCAAGCAAAAGGGGAAACCCCTTATAAAACCATCAGATCTTGTGAGACTAATTCACTACCATGAGAACAGTATGGGGGAAACCGCCTCCAGGATTCAATTACCTCCCACCGGGTCCCTCCCACAACACGTGGGAATTCTGAGAGTACAATTCAAGATGAGATTGGGGTGGGGACACAGCCAAACCATATCAACCCAGAACCTCAGGTGACCTTATTTGGAAATAGGATCCTCGCAGATGTAATTAGTTAAGATGAGGCCAGGGTGGATTAGGGTGCACCCTAAATCCAACAACTAGTATCCTTCTAAGAAGGCCTTGTGAAGACACAAAGATATATGGGGCAGAAGGCCATGTGTGGATGGAGACAGGGATCGGAGTCATGTTGCTACAGCCAAGAAACACCAAGGACTGCAGGCAACCAAGGGGCAATGCTGGCTAAGAAGCCAGGAAGGACTCTTCTCTAAAGGTGTCAGAGAGAACATGGCCCTGCCCACACCTTAATTTTGAACATCTTAAAATCCAGGACCATGAGAGAATAAAGTTGTTATTGAAAGTCACCCAGTTCCTGGTACTTTGTTTCAGTAGTCCTAGGACATTAAAACGTACTTCTGTAAGGGTATCAGCAGCACGACCTATCTCACCTTAGAGGACAGGAGAGCACAGGAATGACTGACTAATAGAGCAAACCTACATGTCTTGTTTTTACTTACTGGTGGATCACGTTCATTTCTGCGCCTCCTGCCTTTTGCAATGGCATCTGTGCATTTTCTGCTGGGGACTCCATGCTCTGGACCTGTTAATATACCTGAAGACACACCCGTCCACATTTCTTTCACTAGTGTCCTTTCTTCCCATCCTAGCAAAGCATAATTATGCATATACATTAGAGATGGCAGTTAAGCTTTCGAGTAGTGGTTTTTAACCTTTTTAGTCTCCCCAAAAATATGCATATTCCTCAGTGGTCCACAAACCCAGGCCAGAGACCACTGCCTATTTGGAAAGTTCAGACATCCTTGAGGATGATTCCAATCTCTCCTTCTTACCCCCTACTGGTACACCAATTCCATTTCAGCTTGCTTCTGAAGTCCTCCACTGAGCTGAAACAGCATCCATGGGCTGACTCGAAGAGAGCTGCTATCCTAAGCCACCCTGGAGAGTCCCATCGAGAAAACACAATGTTAATGGAGAATTAGCCCCAAGTGGGAGGCACAACTCATAACAAATAGGAACAGGTACGGCCCTGCTCAACCATTTGCCTCCCGATTCTGGTACCCCTTTCTCCTTTCCTTTCCCTTGTATCTCCTACCTCCTCTAAATTATCCTTCACACAAAGGTACCATAATAAGCAGCAATGAAATTCAGAGCAAACAAAACAAAAAGTAAGTTATGCACTGTATTTCAATTCATTGCTAATGCCTTGCCCACAGGTGCCCATTTTAAAATGCATCTGTGGTAGAAAACCCCCCGCCCCGATATTTGCAAAGATCTTCCTGCAGTGAACAGTCCACCCCGGACCATCACAGAGAATTTTATTGCCTTGTACTCTTTTTTTTTCGAGACGGAGTCTCTCTCTGTCGCCCAGGCTGGAGTGCAGTGGCGCGATCTCGGCTCACTGCAAGCTCCGCCTCCCGGGTTCACGCCATTCTCCTGCCTCAGCCTCCCGAGTAGCTGGGGCTACAGGCGCCCGCCACCACTCCCGGCTAATTTTTTGTATTTTTAGTAGACAGGGTTTCACCGTTTTAGCCAGGATGGTCTCGATCTAACCTCGTGATCTGCCCTCCTCAGCCTCCCAAAGAGCTGGGATTACAGGCGTCAGCCACCACGCCCGGCCTGCCTCCTACTCTTTACTCCTCACCAGATACTCTGACTTAGATGGATAAGGAAAGTTTCTTTTCAGCCAAACTTCATTCCAATCTTAATCCATCAAAGTGATTATTTAGACGCTCTTTACCTTGGTTCTGCCACTCCAGACACACTCTTCTAATAAAACTGTTATAGACAACAAAAAGTATTAGGCATCTTCTATGTGTAAACATCCTCAGAACATGAGACTGTTTGTGATTGGGAATTTCCAAGTTGTTTCTGAATTTCAGTAACCCTCCCCCAACAACCAGCCCCTAGAGTGCCAATGCCTACCTCCTCCCCTGGAGCTGAGGCCCCAGCTCTACATCTCCTGCATCGCCTAATAGATGAGGACAAAAAAGATGAGTGGCCAGTGGGCACTAATGACAAGTGGATGAAATTAGGTCTCAGAATTATACATTTCTGAGGCATATTGATTTTATTCTTGTCACCTGGGGAAAAGAATCTACATAAGAGGCAGAGTGGCCGGGTGCAGCAGCGTACACCTGTAATCCCAGCACTTTGGGAGGCCGAGACAGGTGGATCACCTGAGCTTGGGAGTTCAAGACCATCCTGGCCAACATGATGAAACCCTGTCTCTACTAAAAATACAAAAATTAGCTGGGCATGGTGGTGCGTGCCTGTAATCCCAGCTACTTGGGAGGTTGAGGCAGGAGAATCGTTTGAACCAGGGAGTTGGAGGTTGCAGCGAGCTGAGGTCGCACCACTGCACTCCAGCCTGGCAACAGAGCAAGACTCTGTCTCAAAAAAAAGAGGCCAGGTACAGTGGCTTACACCTGTAATCCCAACACTTTGGGAGGCTGAGGTGGATGGATCTCTTGAGCTCAGGAGTTCAAGGCCAGTCTGGGTAACATGTCAAAACCCCATCTCTACAAAAATACAAAAATTAGCTGGGCATGATGGTGAGTGCCTGTAATCCCAGCTACTCGGGAGGCTGAGGCAGGAGAATCGCTTGAACCAGGGAGTCAGAGGTTGCAGTGAGCCAAGACTGTGCCACTGCACTCCAGCCTGGCAACAGAGCAAGACTCCATCTCAAAAAAAAAAAAAAAAAAAAAAAAAAAGAGGCCGGGTGCAGTGGCTCACACCTGTAATCCCAACACTTTGGGAGGCCGAGGCAGATGGATCTCTTGAGCTCAGGAGTTCAAGGCCAGTCTGGGTAACAAGCCAAGATCCCATCTCTACAAAAAATATAAAAATTAGCCAGGCGTGATGGCATGTGCCTGTAGTCCCAGCTACTCAGGAGGCTGAGGTGGGAGATCACTTGAGCCTGGAAGGTCAAGGCTGCACTGAGCTGAGGTCATACCACCGCACTCCACCCTGGATGACAGAGCAAGATTATCTCAAAAAAAAAAAAAAAAGAGTCTATGTGAGAAACCAGTCTTCCTAACCACCTGCTTAATTGAGGGAATGAAGGAAGTAAATCTATTTAGGGATTTTAAAGACCTCTGCTGTCTTACTGATAGACTTTGCTCCATCTGCAAGAAAAACACAACCTCCTTTTTTAAGTAGAACTTCTCTTTTTTTTTGAGACAGAGTCTCGCTGTTGCCCAGGCTGGAGTGTGCAATGGCGCGATCTAGGTTCACTGCAAGCTCTGCCTCCCGGGTTCACACCATTCCCCTGCCTCAGCCTCCCGAGTAGCTGGGACTACAGGCGCCCGCCACCACGCCAGGCTAATGTTTTTTTTGTGTGTGTATTTTTAGTAGAGACAGGGTTTCACGGTGTTACCAAGGATGGTCTCAATCTCCTGACCTCCTGATCTGCCCATCTTGGCCTCCCAAAGTGCTGGGATTACAGGCGTGAGCCACCACACCCGGCTGGGGCTTCCCTTTCAAAGCCATCCATCATCTCGTTTCCTTGTTGATTTTTTTAAGTAATAAATATTTATCTTAATTAGGACAACCAATGAATTTGCCATGTAATCAACACTGTCAGGTTCTTACCTATTAACAAGATCTTACTTAAATCTATAAGGCCCTTTAACACCAAGGTCTTTAAGGAGTTAGAATCTTTTAAAAATAATATTTAAATTTATTGTTTCACATTAGTTTGAATAAAGCACAAGCCAAGATGGTTTAAATATCATTTGCAGATGTCCAAGCTTCTTTACAATTACAGGTCATGGGCATCATCAACCTAGTCCTTGACTTGCAGCTAAAAAAGGCAAAAGGTCTGTGTGAAGTGACAGAAGAGCACACCCTACTCATGTCATGAGCAAGGAATCAAAGTCGAAGAACAGTAACAGTCTTGACATCAGCACTGTAAGAATTACTCTGCAGTAAACTCCAACCCAGAATGGGGAAGAATACTGAATTAGCTGAGCACATTCTGGACACAATTCTGACCAATTTCAGTCTCATGATCTCTGTTGGAGCAGGTTTCATTCTCCAATTCTCTTTTACAGAACAGCAGAACTCGAGCCTTCATAAAAGTGATTAACGGCCTTTCCGCTTCTTCATTTTTCCTCCAGCCACCTTGTTCCTGACACCAATAGCACCCTCTGTGTCATCATTATCTCCAGCATCCTCTCGCGAGCGTTTCTTCTTTTCTCCATGCTCCCTTAACTCCTGCAAGAAAAAAAGAGAGGATGGGATTGAAAATGAATTACTGGCACTGAAGGTTACTCATTCTAGTCCCCTCTCCTTAAGATCAAGTATCAAGTAACTTGCTGATGCCTGACATTAGCAAAGGAACAAGACCCAACTCCAAATATACAAAGATGTTAACCTTATTAGTAATCAAAACGTGAACACTAAAGTAAGGTTTTATTTTCACATGGCAGATTGGCAAAGACTTAAGAGAAGGGTAATCCCCAGTATTGGCCAAGGTGTAGAAAAATTCACATATACTCTCATTTATAGTGCAATCTGCTATAGCTTTTCTTGGGGCGGGGGACAATTTGGCATTCTGTATGAATTCAAATTTTAACTGTGTATGTCCCTTGGCCCAACAAGTGTACTTCTAGGAATTTATTCTAAGGAAGTAAATATGCAAAGCTGTACAAAGTAGGGTGTTTAACACTGTACCAAAGTAGAAAGAAACTGGAAAAAAGCGTAAGCATCCATGAATGTAAGTATTTCATACACATGATGGAATTCTTTGTAGCCATTAAGAAACGATCACATGAATCTGTATTTGTTGAAACAGAAAAATGTTAATCCTATATAATTAGATAAAGTCTAATTATGGCTAAAGAAAGAAAAATAGCCAAATGTTATCAATGGTTTTCTGTGGGGAATGGTTTACCTTTTCACTTACTACTTTAATCCTTTCTGTATTTTTTGAATTTTTTTCCCAATGCACATGTAATACTTTTACAAACAAAAAAATCCCATGTGGACAGAATAAAAACCAAATGTGCACCTCAGCTACTCCAAAAACAAACTATGGGCAAAGTTTCTCCATCCCTCAGACCAGAACTCCAGAAAGCAGGCAGCACTTCCAATGGTTTTCCTCTAGAATCTTCTCATCACCACTATTACTGTTACTACTACTTACAGGGTGAGTATCCCTTATCTGAAATGCTTGGGACCAGCAGTGTTTCGGACTTCAGATTTTTTCTAATTCTAGAATATTTGCAGATACATATGAGCTATCTTGGGGATGGGGCTCAACTCTAAACACAAAATTCACTTGTTTCATATATACCTTATATATGAAGGTAATTTTACACAATATTTTTAATTGTCTGAAGGTAATTTTACATCATATTTTTAATATTTTTGTGCATTAAAAACATTTTGACTGTGTCTTGATAGCAACCTGTCACACGAGGTCAGGCATGGAATTTTCCACTTGCGGCAATCCTTTTCGCACTCAAAAAATTTTGGATTGCTGGGCACAATGGCTCAAGCCTGTAATCCCAGCACTTTGGGAGGCCGAGGCGGGGGGATTACCTGAGGTCAGAAGTTCGCCTGACCAAAATGGAGAAACCCCATCTCTACTAAAAATACAAAATTAGCTGGGCATGGTGGCACATGCCTGTAATCGGGAGGCTGAGGCAGGAGAATCGCTTGAACCCGGGAGGCGGAGGTTGTGGTGAGCCGAGATTGCACCATTCGCTCCAGCCTGGGCAACAAGAGCAAAACTCCATCTCAAAAAAAAAAAAAAAAAGAAAAAAGAAAAGTTTTGGATCTTGGTTTTGGATTTCAAATTTTTGGATTAGGTATGATCAACCCCTACTAGTAACTATGTAGTTTATATTGGCTTCTCTGGTGCTCATAAAACCCCATAAGGTATTCAGGCAAGTGTTATTCCCAATTTACAGGTGAGAAACTGATTCTGATTCTGAGAAATCAGGCAAATTTCCCAAGCTCACACAGTTCACAGCTGGATCTTCTGACCTCAAGTCTGATGAACTATCTCACCACGTGCGACACATGAACAGGTGCTGTGAATGTGTGAATGTCAGAATGAGGCCAAACCTTGATTCAACCATTTGGTTGTATGGTCTAATGCAAATTACCTACCATCTCTGCACCTTAGTTTGCTCGTCTTAAATTTGGAATAAAATAATACCCAGCTTCTGCAGTTTAGTATGAGGGTTAATATAATAAAGTGGCACACAGTTAACATTGTTTGCACAGACACTGGTGAGAAAAGAAAGATGCATACCATTCGGGCAAACCTTTGGGCTTCAGCGACGCGTTCTGTCAGCATCATAACCTCATCATCCTGTGTTGGAAAACCTGGTAGTTTCTTCCCAATTAAGTGTTCTATGCGCTGGAAGAGTTCCACATCATACCTGAGGAAGGAAAACTGCACAGCTCTGGTTGCCTGGTAACGCAAATGCCTGTCCATTCCCAAACTATTATTATATGATACAACGCAATAGGAACCATAGGTTTAAACAATATTGAACATATTATTTCTTTTCTAAATATGGGTTAAGTGCAATCTCTGTGCATAGCCCATTAGAAAATCACTCAAGGGAGGCCAGGCATGGTGGCTTGCACCTGTAATCCCAACGCTTTGGGAGGTCAAAGCAGGAGAATCACTTGAGACCAGGAGTTCCAGACCAGCCTGGACAACACAGTGAGATGCCATCTCTATAAAAAATTAAAAATTAGCCAACCGTGGTGGCATGTGCCTGTAATCCCAGCCATTCAGGAGACTGAGGTATGAGGACTACTTGAGCCCAGGAGTTTGAAGCTGCAGTGAGCTATGATCAAGTCACTGCACTCCAGCCTGGTCAACAGAGTGAAACCTTGCTGCTTAAAAAAAGAAAAAGAAACAAAAATCGGCCAGGCAGGTGGCTTGTGCCTGTAATCCCAGCACTATGAGAGGCTAAGGCAGGTGGATCGCTTGAGCTCAGGAGTTCAAGACCAGCCTGGCCAACATGACAAAACCCTATCTCTACTAAAAATATTTTTTAAAAAGCCAGGTGTGCTGGCATGCACCTGTGGTCCCAGCTACTTGGGAAGCTATGGTGAGGTAGGAGGATTGCTTGAGCCCAGGGGGTGGAAGGTGCACTTAGCCAAGACTGCACCACTGCACTCCAGCCTAGGCGACAGAGCGAGACAAATACAAAAAAAAAAAGGAAAGGAGGGAGGGAGAAAATCCCTCAAGGTATTTATTCACAGAACAGCCTTGGGTACATAAAAATTTGTTTCTTTAAAAAAAACAATTGGAAATAGTTATTCTAATACTTTCTGAGTTGACACAAAGGCAATTGCTCTCCAGCTCTAGGTACCATTCTACATGCCAAATACTATACTAGATCTTTTACATATATAATCTCCAATTTTCACCAAAACCCTGCTAGATAGGTATTATTATTCCCATCTTTCAACTCCTTCATCCTGGTTTTCAGTATGAAAGTGATTAGTGTAGTAAATGGTAGTGTCAGGTTCTCAGCCAGTGGCTTGAAAGTTCTGCTCTTTTCTCTACATTGCTCGGCCCTAAAGCTGATTTACTTACTGTGTGACAAAAGTAATAGCCTTTCCGGAGCGCCCAGCTCTAGCTGTTCGACCTACTCGATGGATGTAATCCTAAAACAAAAAGGGTAAATAAATTCAAGTTATATGGATTATAAGTTTAAAAAAAACTACATATGCAAAGTCCTGCTGCAAAACCTTTGAAAGAAAATAGATTCATTTCGTAACATGGAGAAAATAAATGGCCGGGGCAATTTGTTGAGACAAATCTACTTCATCTTTTTTGTTCTCCTTGCAGCACAAAATTGATCCAATGCTTTCCCTTCTTTCACAGACAGATAAATCTACAAAGCATATCTACATGGTCGCAGGCTGCATGGTATTTTAAAAAACAGCACTGGATCTCGAGGCAGAGCTGGATTACAGCTCTGATCCTTCCCATCTGCCAGTTACACAATTACCTGCAAATCACATAACCTCTCTGAACCTTGGTTTCTATCTAGTGAACAGGAATAGAAATACATGCCCATATTACAGAGTTGTTATGAAAATCAAATGAGACAGCATCTTGTCTACAGCAGTTAAATACAAAGACAAGAGACACAACAGTTCTCATCCAGGGGTGATTCTGCCATCCTCAAGGGACACTGGTAATGTCTGGAAATATTTCTGATTATCACAGGTGGAAGACTGTGTGATGCTGTTATCTACTGGGTAAAGGCCAGGAATGCTACTAGGAATCCTTCAACTCAAAGAACAACCCCCACAACAAGGAATTCGAAAGCTTAAAATGTTAATAGTGCCAAGGCTGAGAAACCTTGAGATACACTAAGCACTACAAGCTGTAGGCCGGGCACGGTGGCTCACGCCTGTAATCCCAGCACTTTGGGAGGCCGAGGTGGGCAGATCACGAGGTCAGGAGATCAAGACCGTCCTGACTAACACGGTGAAACCCCATCTCTACTAAAAATACTAGCCGGGCGTGGTGGTGGGCGCCTGTAGTCCCAGCTACTCGGGAGGCTGAGGCAGGAGAATGGCGTGAACCCAGGAGGCAGAGCATGCAGTGAGCCAAGATTGCGCCACTGCACTCCAGACTGGGTGCAGACTCCACCTCAGAAAACTCAGAGCGAGACTCCGCCTCAAAAAAACTACAAGCTGTCATTCTCAAGAAATGACAGTGACAAGATCAGTATGTGGCGCACCAGCCCCTTCTATGAGCATCTAATAACTCTCCTTGGCTACCTCTTTCATATGTACTAATGTTACATACACAGGCCTGTGCAAGATGATGTGAATGAACTAACCAAGGGCTTTCTTGTTTTTTGATACTTAATTAACCAGGAACAAAATAACTGCTGTAACTAAGGAAAGACAGAAGACAGTCCATTAAGAAATACACTTTAGGACTAGAAAGGTAAGTTAGCAATAGGACTCACCTTGGAATGGGTAGGAATGTCAAAGTTGACAACCACATCTACATGAGGTATGTCCAAACCTCGGCTGGCAACGTCAGTTGCTAGAAGAATGGAACGGGCCTTGGCCTTAAACTTATTAAGGGATCCTAGGCGCTTACTCTGAGGTAATGAAAAAGAAATGTTGGAAAACTTAACCTATGTTTTGGAATACAAAACACAAAATAGACAAACACGAGAACAAACAGACATAAATTTTTTAAAGGTTTTTCCCCCTAAGTTTTGAATGGGGCTTCACAGGTCAAAACAGAAATATGGAAGCAACAAAAAATTAAAAAAATATATATGATACAAAATAAGGGTAGTTTGACACGATAGAAAGGTAACTGGGAAATAATTTATTAATGTTTTTAGAGGCCAGAGTCATTATTACCACTAGGGCTGAATAAATCAACTCAACAGCTTGCAAACCAGACAGGTACATATGAAATATTCTAATGGGAGCCTCTCGCTACCCTGAAAGGAGAAAGTAAGTATCTAGAGCAACACTTCAAAGCCCATAAAATTACAACAATTATGGAAACAGGCATCGGTGCCCTATGGCCTTATTGTACAAACCTACTGTTAGGAGGTTTATCTCGCTCACGCCACCAGTGCATGGCTGATGATGATGATGAATCCTTACCTGACTCATTTGTCCATGGAGGGGGATGGCAGTGAAGCCAAGATTTCGCAGTAGCAAAGCTGTTCTCTGGGTATTATTACAGGTGCTGCAGAATATCATAAAGGAGTTTCCAGCCAATTCATTTAGAATATAAACCAGGTAGGTATCCTAAGTTACAAACCCAAAACAATATATGTCATTGAACCTGGGAGACAGGATTGGAGACCTGGCATATACATAAGGTAAAGACTAAGCCTATAGTCGCTTTTCAATTATCCAGACCTCCAGCTGCCAGCTTTGCATTCCTTAACCAGCATTATCATCTCTGTGAACCACATATTCCCCACTTAGCCTTAAGGCAGGCAGGAGATCTGTACTCAGCAAACAGGAGAAGTCCTTATATCAAAGCACAAAACCAGGGGCTTCATCCTAAATAAAAGCCACATAATAAGCAGACAAAGGAAAAATTACCTCAAGGATGGGGATGGGAAGGAATTATATGATTACATCATGACCTCAGTATTGTGATTTAATGTGTTGTGAATTCCTGGCATGTCTGGCTTATCGGTGATAATATAAGCACGATATGCACTCTAAAGCAAACAGACAGGATGCCAATCTGCATTACAGCTCTTACCTAATCAAGAGTTGACACATTTTCAGATGCTTTGGTGAAAAGAAGAGGGAGAGGCAGGAATGATCAAAGTAAACATTTTACCTTGAATTTAGAGGGAATAAAAATATAATATTGCTGTAATTTTTCAACTGTCTGGTATTTAGAGGAAACGGCACATTTCACAGGATTCTTCAGAGCTGCTCGCTGAAGTTTTTGAACCTGAAGGAAGAAGATCCAGAATAGCACACTGATGCCTAAACACTCTTTATTTATGACATGGTTTGGCTCTGTGTCCTCACCCAAATCTCATGTTGAATTGTAATCCCCACATGTCACGGGAGGGACCTGGTGGGAGGTTATTGGATCACAGAGGTGGTTTTCCCCATTGCGGTTCTCATGATAGTGAGTTCTCACAATTTCTCATGGTTTTAAAGTGTGGCACTGCCCCCACCTCCTGCCTTGCTTCCCCTTCACCTTCTGCCATAATTGTAAGTTTCCTGAGGTCTTCCCAGCCATGTGGAACTGTGAGTCAATTAAACCTCTTTTCTGTATAAATTACCTAGTCTCAGATAGTTCTTTATAGCAGTGTGAAAACGGACTAAAGCAATTTATTTTTCCTTATTGTTATTACTATTTACTTTATGTATCAATTCTCATAAAGAAGAAACAAAAGTCCTAGCAAATTTCACCTTCTTGGTCATGGTGGCAGAGAAGAGGAATGTTTTCCGATCTCGAGGAATCACTTTGAGGATCTTGTCAACCTAAAGCACAAAGAGGAAAAGATGCCAATATGATATTCAGACTGGAAGAGCTGCAAATCCTCTAGGTAGTGAAGGAGGTAGACACTAACAAACTAAATATATCACTGTGAAGATTTGGGACTCGAAAATTCAATTTGATTCAGCTAAAGTTTACTGAATATTTACTATCTGATACCCTACCAAATACTATTAAAAAAAATACCTTTCTGAGAAAAGAACAGTTTAAATTAGTAGACCAGAGCTGATTTAAGAGAAAAGTCAAGAAAAAGTATTAATCAACTAAGTAAGCTGGGATTAGTGGGTCATCAAAGAAAATAAAGATATTTCAGGGTGTATGTCAAGGTCTAAATTAAACGAAAGGGAAAAGAAAATCCGGTTTTGATATTTCCCATTTCTGAAGTCAGAGTCAGACTATATTCTAAAGATAAAAGGGTGCTGAGAAACTGCAATTTGAAGAATATCAAGAATGAAACTGATACTAATGCAATGTTCTACATGAAACAAGTGGGCAATGAACCAAATTTTGAAACAGGAACCTTGAGATGCTCTAAGAGGAGGAAAGAAATTGAGAGCTCACCTCTGTCTCAAAATCCATATTCAGTATTCGGTCGGCTTCATCCATGACCAAGTATTTGAGAGCTCTCAAGTTGAAACCTTTCGTATTTTCCAAGTGGTCAATCAGTCGACCAGGAGTTGCTACCAAGAAAGGTTGAGGAGAAACAGTGACATTTCAGAACAGGACAAAAAAAAAACAAAACAAATAAACAAATAAAGTTATCTGCCCCACCCCACAGCTCTCCACCAAATTTAACTTAAGAAATTAAAAAATTTAACAGGGTTACAAAATCTGTTTCTCAAAGTCTTTCTATCCAACACTGGTAGATTTTCTCCAATTCATCACTGCCAGTGTCTTTTACCTTTGTCAGTTACTCACCTATTATTATATGTGGTTTTTTTGCAAGGGCCAAAGATTGAGACATTGAATCAATTCCACCTACAATCACAGCTACAGAGAAAAAAAGAACATAGAGACGAGATCCTTAATTTTTTCCACAGTCCACTGAACATCTTTTAAAGCCAATGCCAGATTTCTACTTAGATTTGTTCTTCCCTTACAATTAATACTCTTCCCAAAGCTCAAATACAACATTAGCTCTTTAGGTCAATAAATTATGCTAGCAATACTTTCCTCCATTCTCCTTCCTCCACACTCATTCTTCACTTGTGATGGCAACCTAGGATCCCTTCCCTCTCAGACACTTACCACTCTGCACTCCAATAGAGGACCCCAGGGCTTCAAACTGCTCTGAGATCTGAAAGGCCAGCTCCCGAGTCGGGGTAAGAACTAGGGCAAACAAACGCTGCGGGGTCTCCAGCAGTGCGTTTAGAATGGGCAAAGCAAAGGCGCCTGTCTTTCCAGAGCCAGTTTCTGCAAGCCCAATGATATCACGACCTAAAAGAAAAAGAAATTCAACAGCCAAGTAATCTCTTTGCGCTATTTCTGTGTTTTCTACAATGACACAATGCTGGGCACAAAGTAGACGCTTAATAAATATCTGATGAACTGGGGAGAGAGGAAAGTTGAATAAACAGAAAAGACATGGCCTCTCTCTTAGATAAGCTCAAAACCCAGTGGTGAGACAGACAAATATACAAATGCATTATAATGTGATAAGAGTTTTAATATAAGCCCCTGCAAAATACAGCGAGAACACAAGGAAAAGTAACTACTGCCCAGAAGAGTCAGAAAAGGCTAACAGAGGTGATAAGTGAGTTAAAACTGGAAGTAAGCAAAGAAGGGAAGAAAGGATATTCCTGTAAGAGGAAAGAGAATTAAGGCTTTAGAGAACATAGCATGCTGGCTGGGCATGGTAGCTCACGCCTGTAACCCCAGCAGTTTGGGAGGCCGAGCCAGGCAGATCACCTGAGGTTGGGAGTTCGAGACCAGTCTGACCAACAAGGAAAAACCCTGTCTCTACTAAAAATACAAAATTAGGCGGGCATGGTGGTGCATGCCTGTAATCCCAGCTACTCGGAAGGCTGAGGCAGGAGTATTGCTTGAACCCGGGAGGCGGAGGTTGCGGCAGCGGTGAGCGGAGATCGTGCCACTGCACTCCAGCCTGGGCAACAAGAGCGAAACTCCATCTCAAAAAATAAAAAGAACATAGCATGCATAGTTAGGCTGAGAAGTACAATGTGGCTGGAACACAGAAGTGTTAAGGGAGAAAGAGGGAAGAATGAGGCTAGAGTTTTGATGTTTTCCTATAAGAAAGAATTAAAGGATTTTAAACAGGGAATATCATGATCAATATTACTGTTTAGGAAGATAAACTCTAGACCTGATGGCATAAGGAGGAGCCAAGGAACTTAACAGTGCATGCCAGTTACTGCTCCTTCTGAGGGAAGAATGCTCTAAGTAATTCTTTAAGAACAGGTCACCACTGTTTGCTATCACCACTCAAGCCACAACTCATAAGACTTGGAAATTAACTCCTGAGTTGAGATCACTATCTCCGAGCTGGCTGTAGCCCATGAGGTAGCTATGCACTACCACAGTGGCCAGTGAGAATGCTCCCTATTAAATCATGACCCCTACAGTTGCTGCCCCTGTTCTGACTGTGTAACTGCTGAGAAGTTTTCTTTACCTAGAAGATAATCCTACAATAAACAAATCTCTTTTCCCTGACATAACCTGAACATGACTTACAATCAGAAATGACTTAAATGACCAGAACAGGGAAAACAAAGGCTTAACTGGGACATTGGATGTAATTCAGGGGAGATATGATGGTGGCCTGAACTGAGGCCAGGAATGAGCACAGGAATGAGATTCAGAAACTAACAAAAGGAAATGTGGGTGACTCACACATTTTTAGTACGGGACACTCAAAAGCCAAAAACTGCAATATAGGCAACAGAAAAATTAGTCCTGGTGAGGAAAATAAGGACTTTGGTTTCCACACAGGGAACTTGGAACTTAAGATTCCTATAGTAAACTCAAAGAGATATGTCTAAAAACCAGTTGGACATACTTGTTTAGAGATATGTCTAAAAACCAGTTGGGCATAATTATTTGGAGGTATGTCTAAAAACCAGCTGGACATACTTGTTTGGAGCTCAGGAAAAAAGTGGGGGTTAGAACAGACATGGGAGCCATGAGTATCCTACCACTGGTACTTCCTCAGGGGCAGATGCTTCAGAATAATCGATGAGACTTACATATATATATATGCCCGGTCCCATGCCTGGAAATTCTGATTCAGTAGGTCTTGGCTGGGACCTAGAAATCTCTATTTAAAAAAAAAAAAAAAGCTCCATAGATGATTCTGAAGAATACAGACTCACTGATGCAGACAGGGTTTAAGCTTGAGGACTGAATGAGAAATGTTATGTAGTATTTCAGAGTAAGAAAAAAGGGTAAAGACAGAATCAATATTGTAAGGCAAAGGGAAAAGAACCAGAAGAAGAGACTGAGAAAGAACAGCTAGAAAGACAGAAGAAAATGCTGTCTTGAAATTAAGGAGGAAGGCAGCTTCAAGAAAGAAGAGTGATCAGTGGCGTTCAATGTCACTGATCAAGTAGAACAGACCTGTAAGATCCACCTCTTAAACATTAATCAGTTAAACCAGGATCTGCCATGCCAGATCAGACAACAGTGTGATATGGTTTGGCTGTGTCCCCACCCAATCTCATCTTGAGTCGTACTCCCATAATTTCCACATGTTGTGGGAAGGACCCAGTGGGAGATAATTTGAATCATGGAGGTGGTTTCCCCAATACTGTTCTCATGGTAGTGAATAAATCTCATGAGATCTGATGGTTTTATCAGGGGTTTCTGCTTTTGCATGTCTCTCATTTTCTCTTGCCGCCACCACGTAATAAGTGCCTTTCGCCTCCTGCCATGATTCTGGGGCCTCCACAGCCACACACAGAACTGTAAGTCCAATTAAACCTCTTTTTCTTCCCAGTCTCGGGTGTGTCTGTATCAGCAGTGTGAAAAAGGACTAACATACAGTGTATCCTAGTGAATTCTATTCTTTAGCCTTCTTTTCATTAACATCAGTGTTTTCCATTCAAAAGCATATGCACAGATGTGAAATACAAGTCAAACCAGACAATGGGACTGATTTTTTTTTTTTTTAGACAGAGTCTTGCTCTGTCACCCAGGCTGGGGTGCAGTGGCGAGATCTCGGCTCACTGCAAGCTCCGCCTCCTGGGTTCATGCCATTCCCCTGCCTCAGCCTCCCGAGTAGCTGGGACTACAGGTGCCCGTCACCACGCCCTGCTAATTTTTTGTATTTTTAGTAGAGACGGGGTTTCACCGTGTTAGCTGGGATGGTCTCGATCTCCTGACCTCGTGATCCACCCGCCTCGGCCTCCCAAAATGCTAGGATTACAGGCGTGAGCCACCACGCCCAGCCAATGGACTGATTTTTTTAAAGATTACAGACAAATGACAATCCAGGGATAAAATGTCTCACTCATCTACTTATTTTAATGTTCCCAGTGGCAGGGTAGGTAACAATGAATTGCAACAGCATCTACCTATCTGAGAAATAAAGGTCAGTGCAAGCAAATGATTCCCAAAGCTTTTTATTCCTCAACTCCTTGGGGATACTGCCGTCCCAGCCTGTGTAACACAATACACCTTCGGGAACAGCAGGCGGGGGAACTAGGATTTGTCCTTTTTTTGTCAAGGGAAATCTTAACATTTCAGAAGAAAGGAGTACATAAGAAAGATTTAGGGAAGTAAAGGAGCTGAAGTCGCTTAGTTCATGAAGCAATAAGCACTGCTCACTGCCTACAGCTGAGGCCTGCACTGCTTTCAGTTTTTTAGTAAGTCCCTCACAGCAACCCTCAGTTTGTGAAACTGATATATTTTTCTACGTCATCTCCTTTCTTCATCTCTGAAGAAACCGCTAAGCCTTTTCAGTGTTTATACCTGTAGAGAATATACCAGAATGCATAAACTCCATAAGAGCAGAATAGATTTTGTCATATAGACCTGCCACATTGCTGGCACCGAACATAAGCGCTTGCTATATGGCAGCCACTAATAAATTGTTTGAAATTCCTTGAGGACAACTTTAAGTGATCTCTGAAACAGACATAAATAGATGGTGTCTCAATGTGTTACCCAGGCAGGTCTCAAACTCCTGGTCTCAAGCAATCCTCCCACCTCAGCCTCCCAAAGTCCTCGGATTACAAGCATGAACCACCATGCCCATCAAACAACTTTTGATCTCTTGATAGTAACAAACTTTGATGCAGGTCCATTAATAGAGGTTTTTTGAGCTATAAGATTCTATGTTCAAATTCAGGCTCTAGCAATAATTAGTTAGGTGACCTTAGCCAAAGGACTTAACTCCCTGAGTCTCAATTTCCTCACTAATAAAATAATTATCCGTAACTACCATTCAGCATTGTTATAAGGTTTAAGAACAGCGGACAATCTGGGCTCAGTAACTTTGCAGAAACTGAAAACGTCAGTAGTCCCAAATTCAAATTTAGAAGTTATTTTCACCGAATAACAACAGCAACAAAAACAAACAGATTATTTGAATCATTTCTATAGATTCAAATGAAGCATTTATAAACTATTCATTAGAATGAGACAAACCCAAGAATAAGGATAAAGACATTTCTATGGTGATCATTTCTGTCAGTTCCTAGTAATCTTCCACTGACCCCTCCCTATTCTTTTCTGCATCAAATTTAAACTTATGGCTGAAAACATCAGAATAATTTTAGGATTACTGCCAGCTATTTTGACTCCTTCTCACCTACACTGTAGGGCAAGCTGGAAAAGTTAAAATGCATGAACGCTTCTTGCTATTTAAAAGTAACACTGGGCCGCTGATAGTTCTTTCCCACCACTGGCCTTTATACGGTCCTTATCCTCCAAACTTCTCTGCACAAGTTTGAAGTGTTTACTAATCCCTCCTTGAAACAGTTTCCCTTCCCTAATTTGTGTGAAACTATACTCTCATGATTTTCAACCCTCTATTGAATCTTCCAATTTTCCTCTGTCATCTTTGCCAATCTAATCCATTTCCAATCTCAGCTATAACCGCTCTTTGGATACAGTGTGTATATCCAGCTCTGGCCTCTCAATCAAGTTCCAATCCCAGGATTCCAACTGGGTATTTTTTTCCTTTTTTATTGTCCCCCAGTTTTGTTAATTGACAAAAAATTATACTTATGGTATACAATGCAAAGTTTAGATACATGTATACTTTGTGAAGTGATTAAATCAAGCTCATTAACATATCTGTCACCTCACATACTTGTCATTTTTGTGGGGAGACCATTTAAGATCCACTCTCCTAGCAATTTTCAAATACACAAAACATTATTCACTGTAGTCACCATGCTATTCAATAGATCTTCAGAACTTATCCATCCTGGCTAACTGAAACCGTACCCTGAGCAACATTTCCCCATTCCCCTCCCACAAGGTCAACTCTATCTCATTGATATCCAAAATCAATTACTTCCAACTGAACTCATCTTTCCTGCATTTTTCCCCCGTTCCTTTTTTGTATCAGTGGTACACCAATAATATGCCCTAAACATACAGCCTAGAAACTTAGATTTTCCCCACCCCTTCCTTGCCTTCCACTTGCTTAACTGGTTGTAAAATCATAATGATTCTTTTTCCAACATTTTCTTTTTCATTCTACCACCACCCTACCCATTATTGATTGCAAAAATCATTACAAAGACCTACTAATTGGTTTCCCAGACTCAGTCTCTTGTTTCTAATGATCTTTCACAGCTATGAGATTAATCTTCCAAGAGTACAACTCTAAATCCTTCATCTCCAAAAATGCCCCACTGCCTATGAAACGAAGACCAAATTCCTTGACCCAGCACTCAAATCCTTCATAATCCGGCCCCAATCACCTTACTAAACTTTTTCACCACTCTGCTAAGTACTTGCAAATCTCCATACATGCCCATGTTTTCCAGTTGGCTTTTTTTCATGCTGTTCCCTATGCCTAGAAAGTCCTCCCCTCCCATCATATCTGAATGTCTAAATCCTTCTAAAGTCAGTGTTCAAGGTTCAGCTCACATGTCTTCCCAACCTCCCCAGCCAAAAATAAAATGAAATAAATCTTCTCTAATCCATCCTAATTAGAAGTAATCTCTTCTCCCTCAGTGCACTCTGAATGTAACTTTCTTAGGTCCCTGTTCAACTTGTAATAAATTTATAATTATCTCTTTAATAGATTATAGACTCTTGGAGAGGACAGACTGTTAACCTCCAGTGCCTTACATTTACAACAAATAGTAACTATTTATGGAAAGAGCAAATGGAATTTTGTAGAGTAAGTCTAACCCCTTTTCCACATGACAGCTCTTCAAATCATTAAATCTTTCAATTATTATCAATAATAATCACTACATTAATTACTAATGAGTAATAATTATAGCTTACATTAATCACTAATAATATAGTAATACAGTAATAGCTACATTAATACTAACAATAATTAGCCACATTACCCCTCTTATAACAATTGCTATGATTACATTCACTCTCTCTGAGGATCTTAATAGATTTCAGTTAACTAAGACCTCTGGGCCTCTTTTATCACCCACCCTAATCCTGTAAAGTTGGTACTTTAGGAATCTAAGAGCAGGACTTTACTTCTACTCCTATTAAAGTTCATCCTGTTACAGCCAGATGTGGTGGCTCACACCTGTAATCCCAGCACTTTGGGAGGCCAAGGCAGGTAGATCACTTGAGGTCAGGAGTTCGAGACCAGCCTGGCCAACATGCTGAAACCCCATCTCTACTAAAAATACAAAATTAGCCGGACATGGTGATGCGCCTGTAATCCATTACTTGGGAGGCTGAGGCGGGAGAGTTGCTTGAACCTGGAAGGCAGAGGTTGCAGTGAGCCAAGACCGCACCACTGCACTCCAGCCTGGGCGACAGAGCGAAACTCTATCTCAAAAAAAACTCCATCTTAAAAAAAAGATCTCAAAAAGAAAAAAGTTCATCCCATTAGTTTCAGTTCCAGTAGCCATCAATCTGCTTTAACCACTGTTTTACAAATCTGATAAACATGGCTCACAGCAAGAATTCTCAACTCCTCAAGACACACATATGTGTTCCAGGCATCCTTCCCTAAGTGTGCGCCCACTGATGCATAAAGTCTACCAAGATTGTCGTTAATATACTTTAACTTTAACCTAGGGCTTCCTTAAAGTCAGCATCTGTGGCAGAGAACAAACCCTTTCAGCTATTAAGACAGAAAGTAAGCTCAGTAAAATTGGAGAATGACATTTTCAAATACCATTACCCAAACTTTGTACCTTTAGTGACCATATCCTTATTTCACTTGAAGTATGCAAGCAACAGCTTTCAAAAGGGGTATCTAATTGAGATAACTTTATATTAAATCTGTACGAAGTCATACAACCTACCTTGTAAGGCCAAAGGAATAGCTTCAATCTGGATCTTGGTGGGTTTTGTCCATCCCAACTGGTCACAAGCTTCACACAACACATCTGTCACACCCTTGGAATTCAGAAAAATATACCTTAGCCAAGAACAGCACACCCCTACCTCCCTCCTACTTAACTGACTGTCAGACCCATCATGTACAACCATTGTATTTGATTTAAAAGGTATTTACTGTGCATCTCAGAGCCTACTCTTTAACTATACCATGAGACAGTAGCTCAAGACTTAACGAACACTTTCTGCTCACCAAGGCCAAGGCCAGGTGCTTTACATGTATCATCTCATTTAATCGTCACAACAATTCTGCGAGGTAAGTACTTATTACTATCCCCAATTTACAGATGTGGAAAGAGAAACACAGAGAGGTAACAACTTGTCCTCAGTAAGAGACTGTGTCAAAATTCAAATCTGGTTGGTTCATCTGACTCCAAAGCTCCAGTTATAAAGAGACCAATTCCATTCCCCATATGTACAACCTCCTGGATGCACATACAAACGTTGCCACACTAAAGTGGCGAATAGGGCAAATAGGGGGTCTCAGGGCCCAGCAGCCCTCCCACCACCCAAACTCAGAGCACGTCCGAAACCCAGCCCTCTGAAATTCTGGGGAAAACCCAAGCTAGGCCCCAAGATGCTTTTGTACACTATCAGAGCGGGATCTAAGGTACCTGGGGTCTCCCTGAGCCTAGCACCAGAGTACATAAAAGAAGCCAGCGTCATCCATTCTCACCAGGTCTTTAAATGTTTTAGTTTCCTCCTCTTCCACAATCGGCTGGGACGCTTCGGTCGGAGAATCGTGTTCCTCGGGTGCCGCCATCTTGTGTGAGGTCTCCGGAAGTGGGTCTGCGGCGCGCGGGATGCTGGGAAATGTAGTTTTAGTTCTCCCCGGACGACGTGCTCTGCGCGCCCCCTGCGGGCTTGCCGGGGATTGCACCCGTCCGCTAGGCAGGTGGGGCCCAGTGAATATGGGCGCGTAGGCTTGCGGAATAGATCCGAGTGCAGAAGGGGCTGATCACCAGGGACTCCAGTTGACCTTTAGGTCCCTTTTAAAGAGCCTTCCCTACGTGTGTCGCCAGTTATGTTCCCCGCTTTTCTAACCATAGAGTTTGGAACGGATTGATATTACAATACTATTTTTTTATTATGTCATTACTTTATTCAATAATGTTGAGAACCTACCATTTGCTAAGGCTATGCTAGATGGCTGGTGAATAGGACAGCGACCCCTGCCCTCGTGAAGAAAAAGAAGACAGATCATAAATAAGCTATCACAGAGCATTTCAAATTGTGAAAAGTAGCTGGGTGTGCTCACGCCTGTAACCCCAGCACTGTGGGAGGACGAGGCGGGCGGATCACTTGAGCCCAGGAGTTCGAGACCAGCCTGGGCAACGTGGCGAAACCCTGTGTCTGCAAAATGCAAAAATCAGTCAGGCATGCATGGTGGCATGCGCCTGTAATCCCAGCTATTCAGGGGGCTGAGGTTGAGGGATCAGTTGACCCCGGAAGTTGAGGCTGCAGTGAGTGGAGATGGTGCTACTGTACTCCAGCCTGGGCAACAGAGTGAAACCCTGTTCACATAAAAATTACAGAGTAACCTGGGGAGGGTGGGTTGTGGGGATAACTGTGAGATTGGGAAGGCCTCTCTGAGACAGTGATATTTGAGTTAAGACCTCACTGTTGAGCAGGAGAAAACGCTTTAAGATCCCAGGAGATAATCATTCCAGAGTGAGAGAATTCCAAGTACCAAGACTGTGAAGCTACTAAGGCTATTCTGGAAAGCAGCAAATTCAGAGCTGTATGTTGCATGCCCCATGGCCAGCGAGTGCCCTCCTGTGGCCTGTCACTTGGGTCTCACACTGCGCAGGGTGCTCGTTGCAGTTTTATTCCTGAGGATGGGAAGTTGGGGGCAATCTGGTGTCCGTCACTGGGAAAATGCATAGTTAAAATGTGAACATGGTGTCTACAAACATGCCCTTAACAATATGATTAGATCTGAAAAACCTAGTGCTTAGTGAGAAAAGCATAAAATATATCAAGTATATTAAAATATAGGCCCACAGATATCACATTCTGCTAAAACACATCCAACAGAAGATACACTTGAAATATTTTAGAATGGTTGCCTGCAGAGGGAGAAGAATTAGAATAAAACTGGGAATTGGGAATAAAAGAATTAAGTGTATAAGACAATAGGCCGGCCGCGGTGGCTCACACCTGTATCTTAGCACTTTGGGAGGCCAAGGCAGATGGATCACTTGAAGTCAAGAGTTCGAGACCAGCCTGGTCAACATAGTGAAATCCAGTCTCTACTAAAAACACAAAAATTAGCCAGGCATGGTGGCCTGTGCCTGTAATCCCAGCTACTCGGGGGGCTGGGGCAGGAGAATTGCTTGAACCCCGGAGGCGGAGGTTGCAGTGAGCTGAGATCATGCCATTGCACTCCAGCCTGAGTGACAGCGCAAGACTCCGTCTCAAAAAAAAAAAAAAAAGGATAATAAATACACAAAGCAAGAGAGGAGACTTGTGATGCCAGTGTGCTTGACCTGAGAATTGTGAGGAACTCAACTCAATGTGCCTGCCGACCTCCCCACCACCACAACTAAAAAAGGGCCCTGATTTAGGCATCACAGCAGTGTCTCAACAACAAAAAGGGTAGGATGTGGTCAGAGAATTGGGCTCAGCTCAGACTCTGCAGGACCCTGTTGTAAAAGGTCTGGGGTTTTGGATGTTATCCTAAATGCAGAAGGAAGCCACTGGGGGTTTAGAGCAGGGAAGAGACATGATCTACACATTTAAAATATTACTCTAACTCTATATGGAGATAGGCTGTAGAAAGAGTGAGAAAAGGAGACCATCTAAGACAGCGGTCCCCAACCTTTTTGGCACTAAGGACTGGTTTCGTGGAAGACATTTTTTGCACAGAATTGGGGCGGGGATGGTTTCAGGATGATTCAAGCACATTACATTTATTGTGCAGTTTATTTCTATTATTATTACATTGTAATATATAATGAAATAATTGTACAACTTGCCATAATGTGGAATCAGTGATAGCCCTGAGCTTGTTCTCCTGCAACTAGATGGTTCCATGTGGGGGTAATGGGAGACAGTGACAGATCACCAGGCATTAGATTCTCATAAGAACCACGCAACCTAGATCCCTTGCAATAGGGATTGTGCTCCCAAGCGAATCTAATGCCGCAGCTGATTTACCAGGAGGCGGAGCTCAGGTAGTAATGCTTGCTCACCTGCTACTCACCTCCTGCTGTGCAACTCAGCTCCTAACGGGCCACGGACTGGCACCAGTCCATGGCCCAGAGGCTGGGGACCCCTGATCTATGTTGGGAAAAGGGCTTGTGGGGTGCCTGCATAAACGGGCCATAAAAATATGGGACAATAAGTTGTGGCAAGTCACAAAAGGCCTCTGAGGAGGAAAGCCTTCTTATCGCCATTATGTTCCCATGCTCTGAGCGCAACCTGCTCTCTTATCTATAAACACTGTGTTCAAGGAGAAAGACACTCCTTTGAAGCATTGAAATGTGGACAGACGTTCAGGCTCCTAGTTAAGCCCACTCCCACTAGCTACTCTTCGATAAGTTAAAGATATGCTGTTTGAGAACAAAGGAGACTCATTTAAACAGCCATTGCTATAGATTACGCCTATGACATACTGCCTCCCTTTCACTGTTTCACCCTAAACATCTGCTTCTTAGATCTAAGGGATTGTACTCAATAAATAGAGTGAAGACCAGAACTCTGGGCCTTTTGCAGCCTCCATTTTGCAATTGGCCCCCCGGCCCCCACTCTTTATGCACTCTTAACCTGTCTCTTCTCATTCCTTTGTTGCCACCGGACTTTGGGTACCCTACGGGTGGTGTTGAGGCTGGTCCCCAACAATCTAAGAGACAAGGGATGATCTTCATACCCCTGGCTCTAAGCACAGGCCCTGGCAAGAAGTGGATGCTCTGGAAATGCTGCCTGGCTGAAGTAAAACAGCAAAGCATTGGGATCAGGAACCATAGCAGACCAGAGAGGACTTCACTCTTTGTTTTTTAGGGAGTGAGGTTTTTCCATATTTAAGATTACATTCCTGGCCGGGCACAGTGGCTCACACCTATAATCCCAGCACTTTGGGATGCCAAGGCAGGTGGATCATTTGAGGTCAGGAGTTCAAGACCAGCCTAGCCAACATGGTGAAATCCTGTCTCTACTAAAAATACAAAAATTAGCCAGGCATAATTGCGGACACCTGTAATCCCAGCTACTTTGGAGGCTGAGGTAGGAGAATAGCTTGAACCTGGGAGGCAGAGGTTGCAGTGAGTCGAGGTCGTGCCACTGCACACCAGCCTGGGCAACAGAGTGAGACTCTGTCTAAAATATATATTTTTTAATTTTATATATATATGTATATATATATATATATACACATATATATGTAGTAAAAAAAGATTACACTGCTGCAGAATAGGCTGGGGACTTTGGTCTTTTTACATTAGTTCACTCCAAGTTACAGGAAAGGAGAGAAAATACACACTGCATAAGACAACAGGTCACCCTGAAATTGATTCTATTGGGCAGTCACAGGCATACAATTATGCTAGCCCAGTCTAAGGCATTCCATCTCTCTATTTAGCCCTCCTCATGGCTACCATCTCATTCTCCTATGACTTGGAATTGGGCCACTCTAGATGGTCTCCAAAGTCAATACATATGCTTTGGGATAAGGGGAAGTCAACTTCTCCCAAAGAGAATCTACCCAGCTAAATTGGGCTCTTCCTCTTCCTCTTCTCTGTTACATAGACCGGCTGGGGAGTTTGTATTCCTCTTTTGACAGAGGAGGAACTCTAGTCCCAGAGAGTAAAGAGACACAAGAGTAAAGAAAGAGTAAAGATCACAAGAGACAAGAATAGAAGCCAAGCCTCTTAGACTGGGGGCAATGGTTCACACCTGTAATGCCAGCAATCTGGAAGGCTGAGGTAGATGGATCACCTGAGGTCAGGAGTTCAAGACCAGCCTGGTCATCATGGTGAAACCCCGTCTCTACTAAAAATACAAAAATTAGCTGGGTGTGGTATTGTGAGCCTGTAATCCCAGCTACTCGGGAGGCTGAAGCAGGAGAATTGCTTGAACCTGGGAGGTGGAGGTCGCAGCAAGCCGAGATCATGCCACTGCACTCCAGCCTGGGCAACAGAGCAAGACTCCGTCTCAAAAAGAAAAAAAAAAAAAGCCAAGTCTCTTGAGACCAGACCAAAACTTTTACCAAAGAGAGCATCATCTTACATAATCGAAAGCAGCTTTCTTCTTCAAAAGCAGCCACACAGACTTTTCTGTAAAAACAAAGAGAGAAAGCAGCTGCAGTATTTATTTTGCTTCCCCTTGACTCATCCTGTGATTGCATTTAGGAGAGTGGAATGGGAAAGAAGAGCTGAGAGGAGAGGATCCTGATTGGGGAGCAAGGGGAAGCAGAGATAAAAAGCCTGAAAAGGGGACTCAGATGGAAACAACTGGAAGGTCTATAAATTTGCATATCATATACCTTCTAAAGTTACCTGAGTTTTGTTCGAATGCGTTACAGAAAAGAAAAGGAATCACCCATAAGATGTCTGGGGGTGCCTGCTGCTTTAAAGAGAACCGATTTAAGCCTTTCAACTGCAGTTGTAACATCAAACCCTGTTGATTTTAGCCAAGCAAGTCTTTTCTGTTTGTTCTTGGATAATTCAGACACAGGCTGTTTTTAAAACTTCCTCTGGTGTCAGTGTCCCCAGGGTATCGAGGGCCGTGAAGAGGATGTGGCATGCAGTGACAGCAGCGTCAGCGCTGCTCAGTTCTTTAGTCTGTTCCTGCCAGCAAAGTTTGGGCCTTGGAACAGCACCTACCCCAGTGACCAGATTCATGTCAGACTGACAGGATGACCATAGGTGGGTTCCAAAGAGGAAAGCCTGCAGTAGCCGAGATGATTGTCTGCTTTTGACTATTCCTATCAGGTTGAAGCAGTTTGGATATTTATACTCTGGGAATGGAAATAATAGAGGTCCATTCTAGTCACTGAGCCACGTCATATCCTGTACTTTCAGAACAATGAGAAAGGTTAAAGAGGAAATCTAAATAAACACTCTAAATGATGAGGGAGGAAAAGCAAGCCCGAAACAATATATGGGCTCCAGAAGGAGAGGTCGAAGGGCCTGACCCCATCTTACTCAAAGGTTTTCATGAGCCCCAGACTCCTTTGCCTTCATGCACCTCTTCTTCCACAAAAAAGTATTAAAAATTATATTTTACAACTGCATTAGTATACAGATAAATATATTAATGTTATGTATTAAAACTTGTTCTCCGAGTTAACAAATTTTTTTTTTTTTTTTAGTTTTTAGAAACAGGCTCTCTCTGTTGCCCAGGCTGGAGTACAGTGAGTTCTGATTGTGCCACTGCAACCTTGAACTCCTGGACTCAAGTGATCCTCCCACCTCGGCCTCCCAAAGCACTGGGATTACAGGTGTGAGCCACCTGGCCCCCCCTCCTTTTTTTTTTTTTTTGAGATGAGGTCTCACTCTGTTGCCCAGGCTGGAGGACAGTGGCATGATCTCAGCTCATTGCAACCTTTGCCTCCCAAGTAGCTGGGACTACAGGCACGTGCCACCATGCCCAGCTAATTTTTGTACTTTTAGTAGAGGTGGGATTTCACCATGTTGGCCAGGGTAGTCTCAAGCTCCTGATCTCAAGTGATCCACCTGCTTCAGTCTCCCAAAGTGCTGGGATTACAGGCATAAGCCACCGCGCCCTGCCCTGGCCTTCTTTTGATTTTGAAAGAAATGAAAACCTGTTTTTGGAGATATGTAAAAGCATTGTGGCTCTAGGCATTCTGTCTACGGCACCCCACAGATAAGGGAAGGGTGTGAGGAACGTGGAGGAAGCCTGCCCAGGCCAGGAACCCAGGACCACTGTGGAGGTGAGCAGGCTGGGATGTTGGTGGTTCCTGGTGCAAAAGTAAAGTGAGCCCCCAACTTAGGGACAAGAGTTCTGTGGAGGACTCAAACAAAAACTGGTTATCAGTTTCCACACGAAATGGCCGAGAAGTTGCATACCCAGAAGTCTATTTTGGAGGAAGCTAGCTCACTTATGACAAAGTGCCCTTTATTCAAGAAGGAGCCCATGCAAAATGTAATCAGTCAGGAAATTATCTTTAGACTTGTGAGTGGTAACTTGTTATGAATATGTATGTTCAGATGAAGAAAGGACATACACAGATGATGTAATAATGCAGGCAGAGAGAGAAGACAGCAGTCTACATAAAATCTAGAAAAGAGACAGTTCAAGTACAATTTACTTAGTTATCTAACCAATTCTCGTCGAGAGAGAAAAAATAACTAGTCCTTGTTATTTGTTGATTTCTTTTTCTTTTGGCTTTTAATTTGAAACATTTTCTTTTTTTTAATGTTTGTTTGCTTATTTGTTTGTTTGTGTTTTCGAGATGGAGTTTCGCTCTTGTTGCCCAGGCTGGAGTGCAGTAGCGAGATCTCGGCTAACTGCAACCTCAGCCTCCCAGATTCGAGCGATTCCCCTGCCTCAGCCTCCTAAGTAGCTGGGATTACAGGCACGTACCACCACGCCTGGCTAATTTTTGTATTTTTAGTACAGACGGGGTTTCACCATGTTGGCCAGGCTGGTCTCAAACTCCTGACCTCAGGTGATCTGCCCACCTCGGCCTCCCAAAGTGCTGGGATTACAGGCATGAGCCACCATGATCGCTCTTTCCTGTGACTTTTAAACTGAGACTTGAAAGTTGGGCAGCACTTACTAGCTGCGTGGGGTGTAGGGAGTGGTCTACAGATAGAAAGAATCTTCCAAGTTAAGCCCCTACAGTGGAAAAAATCAAATGATGGTTATAGAAATTATAAGGCAGCGATTTATGATAAAGCTGGAAGTACAGTTAGGGACCTGACTAGGACGTGATAGAGCAGGTTAAGGATCTGGGGATGTGGGACTTTATTCTAAGGACAATGAATAGCCGTGGAAGAAATTTCAGCATAGAAGCATTTGAAAAGATTCCTCACTCAGCCGCAGTGGAGAATGGTTTGGATAGTGGAGTGGGATGCAGGAAGATCAGCTAGCAGCTGTTTGAGCAAAAGATGATGGCGTTTTGGAGCAGAGAGGAGACGATGGGGTTGGAGAACAGTGGACACTTAAAGGGTGTATACAGGTTAGATAAATCCTCATGATTGATTTAACATGGAACGTGAAAGCCAGGAATGTGTCGGGGATTCCCAGATTTTTGGCTTCAGCAGGTAGCAAAGTGGCAGAACCATTCACACAGCTAGGAAACACTGGAGGAGGGGCAAATATGTGGAAGGTAAGAGGTCATGTTCAGAAGGTAGTGGCTGTAGTAGGAACCAGGACCTACACTCAGGAGTCCGGTCCAGAGCTCTCTCTTATCACCCTCCCATGCCATCCATCCCTAGTGTGGGCTTTGGGGGATTCTATTTTGTTTTTTGTTTGTTTGTTTGTTTGTTTTGAGATGGAGTCTAGCTCTGTCGCACAGCTGGAGTGCAGTGGCGTGATCTCGGCTCACTGCAACCTCGGTCTCCCGGGTTCAAGCAATTCTCCTGCCTCAGCCTCCCAAGTAGCTGGGATTACAGGCACCTGCCACCACGCCCAGCTAATTTTTGTATCTTTAGTAGAGACGGGGTTTCACTGTGTTGGCCAGACTGGTCTTGATCTCCTGACCTCGTGATCCGCCCACCTCAGCCTCCCAAAGTGCTGGGCCAAGTGTGAGCCACCATGCCCGGCCCTGGTTTGTTATTGTTTTTGTTTTTATCAAGACGAGGTCTCACTGGGTTGCCCAGGTTGGTCTCGAATCTATGAGCTCAAGTGATTCTCCCGCCTCAGCCTCCCAAAGTGCTAGGATTACAGGTGTGAGCCACCATGCCCGGCCCCAAGTCTGTTGATACTACATTGTCACTATGCTATCCCCAGTATGATAAGTGGAAATATCGGTGATAGGCTCGTAACATTTTCAATTAGCTTAAGCCAATTTGTTTTGTCTCCTGCATAGTCTATGCACTTCAAGGGGTGTCTCTTCTGTGGGTAGTTTGTTTTGAGACTCAACTTAGCCATATCTCCCAATCAACATGAAAACTTTAGCATGTGGATTTCTCCCCAACACTTTCTTTTCTCTCCATCTTCTTCATCTCACCTGTTTCTTTCCTGCAGGCTCCACATCAGCAAGTCTTATAGACTCCGCTGCCAAAATTCATCTGGAGTCCCACTACTTCTCTTCCTTTTCCATCACTACCATCATAGTTCAAAATGAATTTTACTGTTGTTTGATTTCCCACCCGACAGCAAGGGTTACCAGAACAGTGACTAGAACACGTCTGTGCTGTGCACTAATGCACTTCCCATTGCCTAGCATAGAATAGGAATTCAGAAAATACTTGCCCAGTGGGTGAGTGAGACTGGTTTGTAGATTAGTCACCTGTGAGTGTGCTTAGCATGAATAAATCCCCAGAGCCTATTTATTTACTAATCATAGGGGTCATAGGGAGTTTCTGAATCTGGGGAAAAAAAAAAAAAAAGAGAGAGAGAGAAACCGACCTAGGAGTGTGGTAATTTAATAAAGCTGTGGCCACTTCCACGGTGGACACCAGCCCGTAGGCAGTGGTTAGGAGCAGCACAGAGGGGCTGGGGTTGGAGGGTGGCAGAAAAGCCAACTTTCCTACCAAACCTGCCGTTTGACCCCTTGAGCTCCTAGACCCACTAGGAATAACAGATTTTTATGTCTAGTGCTCCCAAAAAAATCTGGTGTCTCAGACTGAGAACTAAACTGAAGAGGACAAATGATGTTCCATAATGCAAATAAAATTTATAAGGAACGAGTTTAACCTACAGTCAACAATAAGCAGGAAATTCAAATGCTATGTTACAATCTTACGTAGAAAGCCACGGAGGCTAGGGTTTCAAGGTCAGTTCATGCTATGGGCCAGGTAGTAAAGGAAAGGGCAGCTTTGAGTCATTTCCTGGTTTCCTTGTATTCCCTTCATACAAGTGAGGTTTTTTTTAATGTATACACAATTTTTTTTTGAGACAGTCTCACTTTGTCACCCAGGCTGGAGTGCAGTGGTGCGATCTCAGCTCACTGCAACCTCCACCTCCCGGGCTCAAGAGATTCTCGTGCCTCAGCCTCCTGAGTAGCTGGAATTACAGGCGCGCACTAATTTTTTTTGTATTTTTAGTAGAGACAGGGTTTCTCCACGTTGGCCAGGCTGGTCTCAAACTCCTGGCCTCAAGTGATTTGCCTGCCTCAGCCTCGCAAAGTGCTAGGATTACAGGCATGAGCCATCATACCCAGCCTTAAATGTATACACAATTAAAAAAAAATTACTAGAAATGGAGGTATTTATAAAGTTCCTTGGCAATCCTGATACCATGGCCACAGTGAAATAATGAGTATAATACACAGCAGCTTCCAGCTACACTCAAAATAGAAGCATGTGAATTTCATATAGTAAGTTTGAAATCTAAATGTTTAAAATAAATAAAACGTTAACTGCTATCCTGGACATTTCTCATGCTTGATGATAACCCAACATCTTTTAATTATCTTTTCCAATGATTGGCAAATTTCTCCCATTCTAAGTTCACCTCCTTGAAGGAGAAACCAGAAACTCACTCTCCACCCTCCCTTGCACCTGGGTCCCAGACACATGACTTGGCCTCTGCCAAACAGACACACCCACACCAGAGCTTAGTTCAGACATGAGTCATGCAAGGAAGTAGACACAGGCATTGGCAGAGGTGTCCTGCTTAAGGGGCAATAGCACAAAGGCTGTGATGTCCAGTGCCCGTGCCAGGCGTGCAGTATGAGATGCCCTAGCCTAGCAACAGCAGCAGTGGGGTTTCTGCTGGAGTGGTGATCTCACAACAGGCTGCAGGTGTTGTTCCTGGCTGCATTGCCCTTGAGCCTGACTTTTGCTTTCTTGGAGATTCTGTGAGCTTCCTAACAGACTTTAATAAAGTCCTTCTCTGCTTAACTAGAAGAGGTTCTGCTGTTTGCATCTAAGAACGCTAACAGCTTCTAAAGGAAAAAAAAACTATACTTCTCTGATCTATTTTTTATTTTTTTTGAGATGGAGCCTCACTCTGTGGCCCAGCCTGGAGTGCAGTGGCACAATCTCAGCTCACTGCAACCTCCGCCGCCTGGGTTCAAGCAATTCTCCTTTCTCAGCCTCCTGAGTAGCTGGAATTACAGGTGTGCACCACCACACCCAGCTAATCTTTGTATTTTTAGTAGAGACGGGGTTTCCCCATGTTGGCCAAGCTGGTCTCAAACTCCTGACCTCAGGTGATCCACCCGTCTCAGCTTCCCAAAGTGCTGGAATTATAGGCGTGAGCCACCATGGCCCAGCCTGATCTTTTTTTTTTTTTTTTTTTTTGAGATGAGGTCTCACTATGTTGCCCAGGTTTATCTCAAACTCTTGGGCTTAATTGATCTTCCCACCTCAGCCTCCCGATCACACGTTATGAAAACCTACTCACCAAACTGTCCCTCTGTGGTAGCCTTTCCTTCGTGCTGCCTGGTAAGCCTGTGCGTTTCCTTACTGCATCTTTCTCCCACTTTCCCAAACAACTCTGCTCAGCCTTCCAGTGCACCCTCTCCCGTTGTCACTCTCAGCCTATGGCCTTGCTTCCTATTTCAGTGAAAAAATAAAAAAAACTTCCACAAGTTTCCACTGCCCGTCTTATCACCTATCTGCCTTCCCTCTTGTTCTTGAAGATGTCCTGTCAGTGCCTCTGCCAAATGCAGCCAACCCTCCACATGAGCACCTGGGCTAAATCTCACCCCTTCTTACTTTATCAAGGACATTCCTCTAAAGTCTCTATGTTCTCTCCTGACCCATGAATGTTTCTCTCTCCACTGGATGATTCCCACGGCATCTATACATGCTATTATTTCTTCCTATCTTAAAAAATATTTCTGATGGGGCCGGGCATGGTGGCTCATGCCGGTAATCCCAGCACTTTGGGAGGCCGAGGCGGGCGGATCACAAGGTCAAGAGATCGAGACCATCCTGGACAACATGGTGAAACGCCGTCTCTACTAAAAATACAAAAATTAGCTGGGCATGGTGTCGTGAGCCTGTAGTACCAGCTACTCAGGAGGCTGAGGCAGGGGAATTGCTTGACCTGGGAGGCAGAGGTTGCAGTGAGCCGAGATCACGCCATTGCACTCCAGCCTGGCGACAGAGGGAGACTTCTTCTCAAAAAAAAAAAAAAAAAAAAAAAAAAAATTCTGATGACGCCACATCTCCCTAGAGCTATTGCCCACTTCTCTGTTTCCTTGACAGCCAACTCTTTGTATGAGTTGTCTATGTAGGCTGCCTCCAATTCCTGTCTCTTGAATCCACTTGAGTAAGGCTTTTGCCCATACTATTTCCATGGAAACTTTCCTTTAAGACCCCCATGTGCTAAATCCAATGGTCAATTCTCATTCTTCATCTTACTTGATTCCTTAGCAGCATCCAACTGCCCCTTCCTTAAAAAATCCTTTTGACTTGGGTTTCTTTCTTTCTTTCTTTTTTTGAGACGGAGTCTCACTCTGTCACTAGGCTGGAGTGCAGTGGCACAATCCTGGCTCACTGCAACCTCCACCTCCTGGGTTCAAGCAATTCTCCTGCCTCAGCTTCTCGAGTAGCTGGGACTACAGGCATGTACCATCATGCCCAGATAACTTTTGCATTTTTAGTAGAGATGGGGTTTCACCATCCAGGCTGGTCTCGATCTCTCTCTCTCTCTCTCTTTTTTTTTTTTTTTTTTTTTGAGATGGAGTCTCACTCTGTCACCTAGGCTAGAGTGCAGTGGCGCAATCTTGACACATTGCAACCTCCGTCTCCTGGGTTCAAGCAATTCTCTGTCTTGGCCTCCCGAGTAGCTGGGATTACAGGCACACGCCACCACTCCCGGCTAATTTTTGTATTTTTAATAGAGATGGGGTTTCGCTATCTTGGCCGGTCTGCTCTTGAACTCCTGACCTTGTGATCCGCCTGCCTTGGCCTCCCAAGGTCTCAATCTCTTGACCTAGTGATCCACCCGCCTCGGCCTCCCAAAGTGCTAGAATTACAGGCATGAGCCACCGCGCCCAGCCGACGTGGGTTTCAATACACTGGAGACTCCTGGTTTTTCTCCTGTCTTGCTGGCCACTCCTTCTCAGTCTTCCTAGCTAGTACTTCCTCATTCCCACCCACTCCCCACCCTAAATGTCAGAGTACCCAGGGCTGAATCCTCGGACCTATTCTCTATATTCCCTACTTTCACTCATCTCTTAGTGGCCACATCCAGTCTCATGATTTTTAATACCACCTACTTGCTCAGGATTCTCCAATTGATATCTCCCTTCTAAGTCCTTCCTTGGGTTCCAGACTCATATATTCAGCTGCCTACAGGTATATGTCAGGAATCTCAAACTTAATACCTCTAAAACTCAACTCCTGACTCCACTCCTCCCCAGCGTGTTTCTCCCACAGTCTTCCCCACATCAGGAAATAGCCATGTCATCCTTCTAAATTACTCAAGCCAGGACTCCTCTCTTACACCTCCCACACCCAATCTGTCAACAAGTCCTGCAGGTCTACTTTCATCATACATCTGGAATCTGACTACTTTTCTCCACTCTCAGCTACCAACATTTCTGACCTGGGTCATGGCAGTAGCCTCCTAACTAGTCTTCTTGCCTTGATTCTTACCTCTCAACAGTCAATTCTCAACATAGCAGAAAGGGGTCCTTTGAAAACATAAGTCAGCTGGGCGTGGTGGCTCACGCCTATAATCCTAGCATTTTGGGAGGCTGAGGCAAGTGGATCACTTGAGGCCAGGAGTTGAGGCCAAGAGTTGGGGCCAGGACTTCAAGACCAGCCTGGCCAACATGGCAAAACTCCATCTCTACTAAAAATACAAAAAATGGCTGGGCACAGTGGCTCATGCCTATAATCCCAGCACTTTGGGAGGTGGGTGGATCACCTGAGGTCAGGAGTTTGAGACCAGCCTGGTTAACATGGTGAAACCCCGTTTCTACTAAAAATACAAAAAATTAGCCAGGCCTGGTGGCGTGGACCTATAATCATAGCTACTCAGAAGGCTGAGGCAGGAGAATTGCTTGAACCCAGGAGCTGGAGGTTACAGTGAGCCAAG
This sequence comes from Homo sapiens, assembly GCF_000001405.40. Classification (NCBI taxonomy): domain Eukaryota; kingdom Metazoa; phylum Chordata; class Mammalia; order Primates; family Hominidae; genus Homo; species Homo sapiens. The sequence continues at coordinate 12,800,003 of NC_000012.12, read as the reverse complement.
ATGGTGCCACTGCACTCCAGCCTGGGCGACAGAGAGTGAGACTCTATCTAAAAAAAAAAAAAAAAAAAAACACCAAAATAACATAGCGGTCATGCTTCTGCCTCAGAGCCTTTGCACTCTCCGTTTCCTCTGCCTGGAACACTCAGATACCCTCGTGGCTCTCTCCAACACCAACTTCAGCTCTTCACTCAAACATCCCTTGTCATTAAGGACTTCCAGCCCCTCTCCCCCCCAGCACTCCCTCTCCCTTGTCCCTGCTTTGTTTTTCTCCATGGCACTTATCAACATGTGGGAAACAATAACAATGGCCCCCAAGGATGCACATATCCTAATCCCTGGAATGCGTGAACATGTTATCTTACATGGCAATGGGGAATTAGGTTGCAGATAGAGTTAAGGTTGCTAATCATCTGACCTTAAAATAAGGAGATTATTTTGTATTGTCTGAATGGGCCCAATGTAGTCAAAAGGGTCTTGAAAAGTGGAAGAAAAGGCAAAAGAAGATGTCAGAGCGATGCAATGTGAGAAGACTCAACCCATCATTGCAGGCTTTGAAGATGGAGGAAGGGGCCACAAGCCAGGGAATGCAGGAGCCTCTAGAAGGTGGAAAAGGCAAGAAAACACGCTCTCCCTTATCGCCTCTAGGAAAAAGGATAGCCCTGCCGACTGCTGGATTTTAGCCCATTGAGCTACAATTGCATCAGACTTCTGACTGTGAGATAATAAATTATTTGTGTTGTTTTAAGCCACTAAAATTTTGGTAATTTTTTACAGAAGTTATAGGAAAAATATATATACCATCTCACAAACTAGATATCTACTTTTTCTTCTGCTGCTTCTCTTTTTTTTTTTTTTTTTTTTAAGAGATGTGGTCTCACTATGTTGCCCAGGCTGGTCTCGAACTCCTGGCCTCAAGAAATCCTTCCACCTCTGCCTCCCAAAGTGCTGGGATTACAGGTATGAGCCATCATGCTTGGCTGATATTTGCTTCTTCATTTTTTTTTTTTGTCTGCATTCTCTACCATCAATAGATACGAACTCCCTCATGGCAGAGATATTTGACTACTCTATGCTAGGTGCCTAGAAAAATACCTAGCATATAGGTATTGAGTGAGTGCTCAATAAATCTTTTGTTGAATAAATGAATATCTGTGTGTCTGTGGGTGTGTATTGGGAAGGGATGAAGAAAAGGAAAGATGAGGCCACAGTTGTGATGTGGAAAGATCACATGTTTGTGTATAAAAGAAGTAGGACACTAACTTGAGCTTCTAGAGACAGGTTATTACCTTAGGCCAAGATTGCTCATTCTTGGGAAAGAGAAGAGACCCAACAACTTTCTACGTATGAAGCAGGGATGTGAGGACAAGGTCCAACTTGAATGTGAGGACAAGGTCTAACTGTAAATCACCAAACAAAAAATGTCTCCCTTAATAGCTCCTTCACACCACAGGAAATGGTGTCTTCTAGTCCAATCCTCTTCTTTTTATTTATTTATTTTTGAGACAGGGTCTTCCTCTGTTGCCCAGGCTGGAGTGCAGTGGCACAATCACAGCTCACTGCAGCCAAGACATCCTGGGCTGAAGCAATCCTCTCACCTCAGCCTCCCAAGTATCTGGAACCACAGGTGCACACCACCACACCTGGCTTTTTTTCTATTTTTCTGTAGGTCTTGTAGAGTCTATTTTTGTCTTGCTATGTTTCCCAGGCTGGTCTCAAACTCCTAGGCTCAAGTGATCCTCCCCTCTGGCTTCCCAAAGTGTTGGGATTACAAGTGTGAGCCACCGTTTCCAGCCTGTCCTCTTCTGAGAGGTCAGTGTGGATTACCAACTTGATTAGAAAGCTTTTAGAACTGGCCATGCTGGGGAGATGGAACATGGTGCCCCAGATAACTCTGAAGTCTTCCCCTCTTAAGATAACATCATAAAGGAGGTCAGTCTGGTGAGGAAAGCTCTTCTAAGGTCAGGAAGTTCATTGTCACCACCATACATTTTTGATTCAGTTACAAACCCTACAGCATTAACAAGGGAGTTGGGGCCAGCCTAGGGCCGGGCTTGGGTTTCTATGACAACTGCACATGTTGAAGAGCGTTTGGAGGGAAGATATCAGGTTCAATATGCAACTGCCTTTTCTCTGCTCTTGTTTCCCATCATTAAAGGTCGTACAGCCAGTTTGCCTTGGTGGTGTGTGGTGGTCCAAGTCCTCTCTCCAAGTCAGTCAGAAGCACTAGGCCTTCAATTTCATGGAGGAAATTCACCTAGTGATGACGTGACCTGCCGACTCCTGTTTGTCTCTCTCTGCTTTCCCCATTCCTCCCCTCTCGAGGCTTCCCTGCACCACCACCCTGGGACCTTTTCTTCCTGACTCAGCCTGTTTTGAAAGTCACTAGACTACAACATCGTTTTCTCATTAAAAACCACAGAATTAGACCAGGTGCAGTAGCTCACGACTGTAATCCCAGCACTTTGGGAGGCCAAGGCAGGTGGATCACCTGAGGTCAGGTGCTCAAGACCAGCCTGGCCAACATGGTGAAACTCTGTCTCTACTAAAATTACAAAAATTAGCTGGGCATCGTGGCAAGTGCCTATAATCCCAGTTACTCAGGAGGCTGAGGTAGGAAAATTGCTTGAACTCGGGAGGCAAAGGTTACAGTGAGCTGAGATCATGCCACTGAACTCCAGCCTGGGAGAACGAGACTCCATCTCAAAAATAAATAATAAAAATAATAAATAAATAAATATAATAATACTATAAAAATAAGTAATATAAATATAATAAATATAAATAAAAATAAATGAATGAATAAATAACCACAGAATTGAGTTCCTGTTAGCCCTTCATGGTATTATCCGTCACAGCCAAAACCACAGGAACTCAGCAGTTCTCTGGGCTGTGTACTCAAATTCAGAGTCAAGGTTTAGATAAGGTCATGTTCCATTTGATTGGAATATAAAGAAATCTGGGAGTTATGTAAATGAATCAAGGATTGAAGTATGGTGTGAATCTGAGCAGAAAGAAGTTGGAATCAGGAAGAAACAGCTTGAAGGTCATTGCAGGTATTAGGAGGTAAAGCCTAGATGGTTGTGATAGCAGTGGGTTGGATCAAAATGGATGGCAGAGACATTTAATGGGAAGGAAATACTTTGGCAAAAATATATTAGAGTGGCCAGGAGTGTTAGTTCATGCCTATAATCCCAGCACTTTGGGAGGCCAAGGCAGTCGAATTGCTTGAGTTCAGGAGATCGAGACCAGCCTGGGCAACATGGCAAAACCCCGTCTCTACTAAAAATACAAAAATTAGCCGGGCATGGTGGTGAGCACTTATGGTCCCAGTTACTCTGGAGGCTGAGGTGGGAGGATCACAGTGGGAGGTTGAGACTATAGTGAGCCATGGTCGCACCACTGAACTCCAGCCCACGTGAGAGAGGGAGACCCTGTCTCAAAAAAAAAAAAAAGAAAAGAAAAGAAAAGAAAAGTATATCAGAGAAGTAAGAAAGGGGAAGATTTGGAGATGATGATATTTCCGGGTAGGCCACTGGTAGACTGATGTTGCCTTTGGTAGAAGTAGAAGAGTTGTGAAACTGGGCCAGTTTTACAGATAAATTTAGCTTCAGATGTTCTGAGAAGGAATGCCAGCATATCCATGAGGATAAACTGTGCTTGTTCAGTCAATAAATGCTACTGGGCATCTCCTGTGGCGGGAGCTGAAGAGACACTGGGAGATTTAACAATATCTGTGATGTGGTTTCTGTCCTTAAGAGCCTTGGGGTAGGCACATATATATTTAATAAAATGTATCAAGTGATACGTCTGCATAAGAGACACACAGATTGCTCTTAGACATTCAGATTAGAGCAAGACTGCATCTGGCTGGAGTCAGGTATAGAACTTCAATGAGAGGAATGGCATAGTAGGAACGCAGATAGGGCTTTTGTTTTGGTGCACTCTTCCTGCAACCTTTTTCATTCAGACAATGATTTCATTTGTTTTCATTTGACATAATACCCACCAAATTCAACTTGACCCCAAAGAATCCTTTAGAGCTGGTTTCTTTTTTTTTTTTTTTTTTGAGACAGAGTCTTGCTCTGTCACCCAGGCTAAAGTGCAGTGGTGCGATCTCGGCTCACTGCCAGCTCCGTCTCCCAGGTTCACACCATTCTCCTGCCTCAGACTCCTGAGTAGCTGGGACTACAGACACCCGCCACCACGCCCGGCTAATTTTTTGTATTTTTAGTAGAGACAGGGTTTCACCGTTAGCCAGGATGGTCTCGATCTCCTGACCTCGTGATCCACCCGCCTCGGCCTCCCAAAGTGCTGGGATTACAGGCGTGAGCCACCGCGCCCGGCCGTGGAGCTGGTTTCATCCATACCAACATCCAGTCCAGGACGGGTGAGACCCTGGAAACGAACATGCTCAGTGAAGGGCTGTGTGACAAGGTCAGGGGAATGGCAGCCTGGGTCTGAGGCTCAGGGAAACTTGAACCTTAAGACTGGAGGAGAAAAAAAAGCTGTCAAGGAAACTAAATAAGAAAGGCTGGTGTCACAGAATTCAAGAAAAAGGGTGCTTTAAGAATTGGGTATTTGGCTAGGCGCAGTGGCTCACGCCTGTAATCCCAGCACTTTGGGAGGCCGGGGCAGGTGGATCACAAGGTCAAGAGATCGAGACCATCCTGAACAACACGGTGAAACCCCGTCTCTACCAAAAATACAAAATTAGCCGGGCGTGGTGGCACGAGCCTGTAGTCCCGGCTACTTGGGAGGCTGAGGCAGGAGAATCACTTGAACCCGGGAAGTGGGGGTTGCAGTGAGCCGAGATCGCACCACTGCACTCCAGTCTGGTGACAGAGCGAGACTCCGTCTCAAAAAAAAAAAAAAAAAGAAAAGAAAAAGAATTGGGTATTCAGCAAAGTCAAATGCTACAGAGAAGTTAGAAAGAATTAAAATTAAATAACTGTGTTTGCTATGCAAAACCTCAGGGGACAATGTTAAATTCAAATCAACCACAAAGCATTATGATTTTGAATAGTTTATGATACCCAACATCTTATTCCTATTCATACCTATCTACTCACCCACATACCTCCAACACTTTTAGTCCATAAGCTACTAGACTGCAATTGAGTACACACCCCAACAGGAAGAAATTTGACAAGCAGGGTCAGTAGTAGTTTCAATGGAATGACCCCAAGAAGTTTCATTTTTTGAGGTTTTAAAATCAGATCTAGATAGGCCTGTTCGACCAGTAATTCCTTCATTCATGTCTGTGTCATCTCTACTGATAACTTCAGTTCCAGCGCATCTACAGTTAGCAAAAAGTTCTTATAAATCATGTCCTTCCTCTTCAGGTGTTTTGTTCACCAGAATTTTGCCATGTTTGGGAGATTTGGGGGAGCATCACAAAATATTATTCTGTAAATAGGCTTTGTTTTGTTTTGTTTGAGACAGAGTTTTGCTCTGTCGCCTAGGCTGGAGTGCAGTGGCGTGATCTCAGCTCACTGCAACCTCTGTCTTCTGAGTTCAAGCGATTCTCCTGCCTCAGTCTCCCGAGTAGCTGAGATTACAGGTGCCTGCCACCATGCCCAGCTAATTTTTGTATTTTTAGTAGAGACGGGGTTTCACCATGTTGGCCAGGCTAGTCTTGAACTCCTGACCTCAGTTGATCCTCCCACCTCAGCCTCCCAAAGTGCTGGGATTACAGGTGTGAGCCACTGTGCCCAGCCACCATAAAAACCCATACATAGGTTTTTATGATCAGAGCAAAAGTTTTATAACTTTCAAATCACACCCACACTGTTTATTATAAATACTAGTGACTTGCAAAGCTATATTTTATTTTTTTCTTATTGACTAGCCTACTGGCATAAGATTACTCATCCTAGATGAGACTGTTACTGCCAGGAGATGTTTTTATTTTTTTTGAGACAGGTTCTTGCTCTGTTCCCCAGGCTGGCTGGAGTGCAGTGGCCCAATCACGGTTCACTGCAACCTCGACCTCCTGGGCTTAAGTGATCCTCCCACCTCAACCTCCTGAGAAGCTGGGACTATAGGTGTGCAACACCACACTCAGCTCATTTAAAAATTATTTGTACAGATGAGGTCTCACCATGTTGCTCAGGCTGGTCTCTAACTCCTGGACTCAAGCAACCCACCTGCCTCGGCCTCCCAAGGTGCTAGGATTGGCTAGGCGCAGTGGCTCACACCTGTAATCCCAGAACTTTGGGAGGCTGAGATGGGCAGATCACCTGAGGCCAGGAGTTCAAAACCACCCTGGCCAACATGGCAAAACCCTGTCTCTACCAAAAATACAAAAATTAGCCAGGCATGGTGGTGGGCGCCTGTAATCCCAGCTACTCAGGATGCTGAGGTGGGAGAATCGCCTGAACCCGAGAGGCACAGGTTGCAGTGAGCTGAGGTCATGCCACTGTACTCCAGCCTGGGCGAAAAGAGCAAAACTCCGTCTAAAAAAAAAAAATCAGAAAAGCCAAGAGCATTGGATGGGCACAGCGGCTCATGCCTGTAATCCCAGCACTTTGGGAGGCCAAGGTGTGTGGATCACTTGAGGTCAGGAGTTCAAGACTAGCCTGGCCAACATGGTGAAACCCCATCTCTACTAAAAATACACACACACACAAAAATTAGCTGGGCATGGTGGTGGGCGCCTGTAATCCCAGCTACTCAGGAGGCTGAAGCAGGAGAATCGCTTGAACCCAGGAAGCGGAGGTTGCAGTGAGCTGAGATCATGCCACTGGACTCCAGCCTGGGTGACAGAGCAAGACTCCAAAAAAAAAAAAGGAAAAGAATAGCTAAGAGCATAACTCTGGAGTCAGGCTGCCAGAATTCAAATTCTGGGGCACCTCATGCTGGCAATGCAACCTCTCAAATTCCTTACTTTATCTAATAATATAGGGTAATTATAGTGTGCACACCATAAGATTTTTGTAAGGTAAATGAAATGATACAGGTCAAATCGTACTTAGAAGAGTATCTAGTGAGTTCTCAATAAATGTTAGCTATTGTTATTGTTAAATATCCCACATGTATGTTCAATATTATTGAAATGTCATTTTATTTAAGCACTGAAAAAAATATTGTTTTTAAATGATATTTTGAGAGTGCAGTTTTAATAAAAAGTGAGGGCAGAAAGAAATGTCTGCTTATCAACCGGGGAGCGTAGAAAAAGAAGTTTCGCCTAAAAGAAAGACTTTAGACATCACCCCTACCCTTTTTGTGTAGCTTCTCCCAGTTATAATTATTTTGGTGAATTTGGCAACCGTATTCACACAAATGCTGGAGGAGGCCAGGATCTGGCTGCTCCTGTGTGTAAGGGAGGCAGATGCCTTGGCCGTGACCCATGGCTAAAGCTCAGGGGGAATCAGGTCACAGGCCTGCCTGTCCTCCCACCTCTGGGGTTTTAGTGTAAATACAAAATTGGATTAAACATCATTTTCTGCAGATGTAGCTTCATATAGATAATCTCTATGCGTGCAGGCAAAGACCACATTAGAGGGCCTTCTCTCCACAACCCGGTGCTAATGCTAGTCAGGTTTGGGGGTGCTGAGGACCCCTAATGTGCATTCCTGGACGATGGGTCTCGCTTCATCAGCACGATTTCCCCTCTCCTAACAGCTCTCTGGTTGCTAAGAGATTGTTTTCAGATCTAAGGGCTCACTCTTTGTCCTATTCCAGACCACAGCAGGGTTTACTTTCCCTCTTATGAGTTTGCCAGGAGCAAAAAGTAACATCCCAACCTCCTGTCAACTCAACAAGAGATTTATTGCAATTAACTAAAAGGACACTTGTTACTACAGGAATACCATATGCTTCAGCAAAGATAGGATCCCAGCTTGCGGCTGGCCTCTGCAAACAGTCAGGGGCCTGCCAACACAGCCTTTTTTGGTTGTACAGTTATTAACAGTGCAGCCTCCAGACCCAGGAATGTTTCCAAGGTGCAGCTGGCACTGAGATAGTGAGGTCGTCTCCAGAGTAGTCGTCCCCAACTGGCTGCCGCAACCACAATAGGCTTTTTGTTTAAATTGCTGGACCCCCTACTTAATGATCACCCTCCTTTTCTTTCTTACCAAGAGAATCTTAGGTATATTAGGGGCAGCGTTGTTCTCAGCTAAAAATACTACATTTCCCAGCCTGCCTTGCATGGTCAAGATCGGTGGCTTGCAAGGTGAAGTCCCTCAGAGATTTACGGGAAAGTTTTCTTTCCTGATATACATGCTGCCCTTCACCCTCCCTGCCCACCTCTCTTTAGTGTTTGGATGTTGTGAAGGCTAATTTGGCTGATTCTAGGTTTCCTTTCAATTCCTTCCCAGGTTGTAATTATGTTCAAAGGTTTTGAGACTGCTGGAAGTCTGATTTCTAGGCAAAAGGGAATTCCTGTGTATGCATTGATTATTAAAAAAAAATGATTCATATAGTTTGATCTGAATATTCTAAGTGAAAATGATTAAACATCTGCCCTTTTTCAAAGTTACTAATTCATACACAAGGAAACATAGAACTAGGAAATTAATTACAGAAAGATAAAAAAATTTGAGGAATGAGCAATTTATTTCAATAAAGAGAAAGCATTAATTTTGCTACAGTGGGAAAAAATGAACTCAAGAGTTGCTACATTTAACTGTATCCCCATTTATCTCTGCACGATGTCTTTATCTCAGTGTCTCAATTCACACTAAAATATTGAATGAGAAATACACCACGTTGGCTGATTGCTTGACATGTCTGATTTAGGGAGACTTCTACAACCACTCCTCTCTTTTTTCTCCCAGTAAATACTTTTGACTTTGACACCTACCATATTGGAAATGACAGGTGCCCGAGGGCAAGTGCATCAAAGCAGTTAGGATTCGAATGCTTGCTAAGGATTATTTTTTTAATGGAGCAGTTCTATTGAATCCTGAAAATGCAGAACCCAGTGAATCTCCTTTATTGTGAAACAGAACAATTCAAATGATTGCAAGCCCCAGAACCTAACAGAGAAGCACTTAAACATTTAGAACAAACATACCTATTTTTCAAACTTTGGCATTTTTGTGAAGTACACTTATCATCTAAATACCTCTCTCCCGTCTTCTCTTTTACAACATACCATTTCAACCTGTTTGTTTAAAGAATGAAGGCCTTAAGGAAAAGCCTTATTCACATCCCCGTAAAAGAAAGAAATAAATATTTGTTTCTAGAATCAATCTAACTGAACTTGACTAAATCTTGATAGAGGCTCCAATCTTACTCACACATAAGGCGATGGATGATCTTTTGTTGTCAACAAATTCTCATTAAGATAGCTAAACAGTTAATTATAATTATTCAAATGTATTTCTTGAGTTCCTACTATGTGCAAAGTATCGTTCCAAAGTAGACACTCTTCCTTAGAAATAAAGTGGGCCACTGAAATCATAACTTCAAAAGTCTAGAACTTTTGATACACCCAAAATATGAGAGGAAAAGTTTGCTGCTGCTGTTACTGTTGCTGCTTCCAAAAGTGCCCAGTTTAATTCTAGGGAATAGCTTAGGCATTGGAAGAATATAATTTAAACTTAAGCATTAATAAAAGATGGAGTTAGGGAATGGTTGTACCTTTATGCCATAACACAACTAATAATGTGAAGTACATTCTAAAATGATTTAAAATGATTGTGAAACAAAACAATTCATCTAAAATGAATTGTTTGATCTAAAATGCTAGCATCTGGCCAGGCGAGGTGGCTCATGCCTGTAATCCCAGCACTTTGGGAAGCCAAGGTGGGCGGATCACATAAGGCCAGGAGTTCAAGACCAGCCTGGCCAACATGGCGAAACCCTGTCTCTACTAAAAATACAAAAAATTAGCCGGGTGTGCTGGTGCACATCTGTAATCCCAGCTACTCAGGAGGCTGAGGCAGAAGAATTGCTTGAACCCAGGAGTCGGAGGTTGCAGTGAGCCGAGATCAAACCACTGCAACTCCAGCCTAGGTGACAGAGTGAGACTCTGTCTCAAAAAAAAAAAAAAAATGCTAGCATCTGGGTGAAACAGTCTAGGAGATGACACCAGCTTGAAAAGAAACCAATATAAATTTCAAAATAAACCAGCATACAGACCAATTGCAATTTATAGAAAAAATAAAAATGTAGAAACATCACCTCCTCTCCCCGACCCCAGTACTGAAATTATACTTCCTCAGACATACTGCCCCATCACTGGGAAGGGTGCGGACAGATTGGGTACATTTATAGAATATTAAATAATTAAGTAACAGAGGCACCGTTTTTGCATGTATGGTCCCAAAGACTTTTCAACTTATTTTTCAACATTACAGTTGTTAAGAATGGAAATTGAAGGAATTGTACATATTTTCACTGACAGTTTCTTACAGACCCCAAAGTGAAAATGCAACACATCACCACCATAAGACAAGCGATTTTGTCTGTCACCCAGAAGACATAACTTGATAGGACATCAGGCTTGCAAGTTCTAAGTGCTTCCTTCACATACCTCTAAACTTTTTATCTTTCCTGAACTAAATAGATTCCTTTTCCAGGTCAAGTGATACCTTCTGGCAAAATACCTTCAGGATAAATATGCTTCCTCAGTTATATATCCCACAATGCAAGCTTCCATTACAAGCTTAAACTCAGCTCCTGGTCTTGCCATTCAAGACTCTCCACACTTACTTCAAAGGATCACTTAAAACACTAGAGAAAAAGAATCTCCCTGAAGGAGAGAGACAATCAAGGAAAGCAATGCTATTTCCAGCTCATGCCCTGCCTTAGAAACTCAAACTTAATCTCATCTCTTGCAAAGAGCCTCAGCAGTCTCCCATTTAGAAACTTGCTCTTATTATTTTCTAAATGTGGTGATTAAATAAAATTAAATGCAAACACTAAACAATAATTAAAAATTAAATTACAAACTTAAAATAAATAAAAAATACATGGACTGGCACTTTTCAGAGAAGGTAATAATAGACAAAGGTCAGTTTCAGGAACTTCATATTCCTTTCTGTACCAGTTTCTACAACAGGCGGGAAACACTGCCCCCTAATGGGCTTTTAGTGTTACATCCCTTGTTCATACGGTGAGACACTGCCCCAGGGTGCACGTACGCGTGCTCTCTCTCTCTCTCTCTCATTTTGGCTTCTGGGACACAGTCTGTCCTTGGTCATCTGTGAACGACTCTGAAGACCATGGAGTCCCTAGAGAAGCCGTGAGACTTCGTGAAAGCTCATCAAGGGGATTAGAAGTTAGCATTTGTTGCAGTGATTTTCAAACCTTAGTGTGCCGCAGAACCACCCAGAGAAATTGTTTAAACTCAGGTTGCTGGGCCCCACAGCCAGAGTTTCTGATTCCATAAATCAGGAGGGTTGTGTCCAAGAATTTGCCTTTCTAACAAGTTCCTGGGTGATGTTAATTTGCCATTCCAGGGACTACACTATATGAGCCAGCACCATCATGCTAGGCACTTTGGCTCATTTAATATCTCACAACAGGGTGAGATTTTATCATCTTTGTTTTACACAGTCTCAGAGAGATTAGGTGGCTACACTCACACAGTAGTGACAAAGCCTGTCTCAAGCCCAGGACTGTCTAACTCAAAACCCATCACTCTCTTCTGAACACAATGATGTCGGGAAATGAAGTTGGCAGTCGCTCCATCTATCTGGCCCTCAGCTTCATGTGAGGGAGCAGGACTTAGATGACGGCTTCACGGGCTTCCCCTCTGAGTACTTGGAGGACTGGATTGGGAGCCACTCAGGAAAGGCCTACTTCATACCCAGGCCGCATCTGGGAGTAAGTAAGCTGAGGGGAAAGGGAAGAGGAGGAGATATCAGCACCAGGGTCCTCTCTGGGTTCTGAACCATCCTACAACGTTCAGAGAAGGGCTGATTTGCTCTGGATTCTGGAGTTCTTTGTATCAGAAATTCTGGAATAGAGGCAAACGCCTTCCTCACGCACATTTTGAGGACTTCAAAGACTAGTAGGACTTGGAGAGGACCCAGAGGATGGCACTCTCTCCAGTCTCAGGCCAAGCCACCAGGGCAGGGTCAGGGACCCCGAAATAACTTTAAAACAGGAGTGCCTGCCCAGCTGTGTTTAGACAGAAAGTTTTTGATAAAGGAAAAAGAGTTTTTGGGTCACATTTTTCCACTAGGAAGACTGAAAAGTCCGTAGCACTCAAGCCCAGGCAGATGTCACAGTGATGGGAAAAGAAGGGCTTTGGGGACCTGCCCACTTCAAAAACAGTTTTTCTCATCCTTTGCCTTCGGCTCCTAACCCAGCTTGGTGTTTTCCTAAGGGAGCTACAAATTCTGGAGCATCCCATGAGGATGATTTGCTGGCCTCGGTCATTAGGGGGAAAGGATGTTCTCAGAAAAACAGCCCTGCACGCTGGTCAGCAGAGATCTTGAGGTCGTGGCCACGACTGGACTTGGTGCAGAGCTGAACCCGAGACTCCAGCTGCTCGCTGAGTTCGTCCAGAGCCCCGGTGCAGGACTCCAGGCTCTCGGCCAGTTTCTGAATCTTGGCCTTCAGCACGGCCTGGCTAACCTTGGTGTCCCCCTCCGCCCGCCTGGGGATGAGGAAGCCACGTGAGCCAAAGAAGACGATGAAGTAGACAGAATTGTACAGGGCGATGGAGGCGTTCCTCCCGCACTGCAGCAGCTGGCGGTCCCCGCAGCCCTGCCAGCGGCAGAAAAACTCGAGGCAGCTCAGGATCTCTCGCATCTGGTCCTGGCAGGTGGCCGCGATCTCCTGCACCCTCCGCAGCTCCCGGGAGTTGCAGAAGATCAGCGAGAGATCGGACGTGATGGTGACGGCCCCTCCGGCTGTGGCCACCCCCAGCCCCACGGCCGACACCAGCAGCGAGGTCCCCAGGGTGACCGGGCTGAGCGAGAGCCCCACGATGGCGGCGAGGGCGCCCGTTGCGCTCAGCGAGCTGCCGGCCACGTTGGCTACGAGGGAGCGCCTGCGCAGGCGCTCCAGGCGCCGGGCCACCTCGCGCAGGCGCAGCACCTGGCCGTGCAGCCGGCCTCGGCGGTCCAGCAGCAGTCCCTGGAAGCGCCGCAGCGCGTCGGGCCCATGCGGCTCCCGGGCCGCCGGCCTCTCCATTCCCTGCGGGGACATAGACACGCGGTCAGCCTGGAGTCTCCGTGCCAGCCGCCGCTCCCGCCCTGCTGCCCGGACGCCAGCGGGAACTTGGCACGAGTTCAGCGGAGCAGCCACTGCCACGCTAGGGGAACGGGTCTGTTTCCAGTGGATCATGAGACGAGTTCTCAAAGACCTGTTCTGGAATCCGGGGGGAGCCACACAAGTTCTCAGGACCTTATCTCTGCATATGGAAATAGGAATAATGCTATCTTCTGCTTCTCTCCCAGGGAACGTTAACGATGGGCTTCATCAGCTATGTGTTAAATAAGATTTAAACTGGGAGGGGCGTGGTATTAGAAGGCTTCTCCAGTACTGAGGCCTTTGCTCTACTTAAGATAACACTTTGTAAGTGGTGGGTTGTACAGTTTACAAAGCCCTTTCATCATGTGAAAATTGGATCCTAGGAGTTTTGCAACACACTTTTCTCTCTCTCTAATGAATGAAAAAGACTTCACCAAAACCTCAAAAATCGTATTTTCTACCAAGCAGAAGAAACATCTAAGTTAGATGCTTGCCTGAAGCAACTCTTCTGCTTGTGATTCTTCCAGGCTCTTTTCTTAGAATCAAGCCTAAAATGAGATTTGCACTGTTTATTCTAACTAGGGCTCCTTGGATCTTCAGAAACATCAGTCTTTGCTGGGTGCTTGATTTAAACTAAGTCACATTAAATTAATACCATTATGTCTCTTTGTTATGAAAGTTTTCTTTTAAAAATGAGTAATGGTTGAATAAAATAAAGTGGCCAAAATTTTTGTTCAACAACTTCTACCACGTTGAAGCCAACTGAAGATGACTGACAAAGATACGAACAAGTTGTACATCTTGGGGGAAAAGTATATTCATCCTAGTTGCAGATTCCCACCTTCATGTCCACTGTACTCTTCATTATTAGGAACTTCTTAAAAGTGGCAAATGAGCCATAGAAATAGAGCATTTCAAAACTGAGCTATCAGGGCAGAAATCATTCTCATCTGGAAGAATTGCCTGCATCAGACATCAGATTCTAGAAGCAGCTGATTCTTCACAGAGCCCAGTCTAGAATCCTCATCTCCTTATTCACAGGACTTAATTTTACTTCCATGCTTCCATAATCCAACCCACCAGGGATAATTTTCCAGGTGAAAAGAGAAAATGAGAAAAAGTCATCCCGAATATATGCCTCAGGGTTCCCCACTTACCATTCACTTCTGTCTGCCTCCAGGAAAGTAAAATCTGAGGCTGTTTCTGGATGAGTGTGCTTTATAGTTCCAGAGAACCAATGGCTGCCCTGGGAAAGCCTTGTCTCATTCTGAGAATTTGCCATTTCCTGTCATGACCCCTGCTGCCTTCATCTAGAAGGACGTGACATGGTGGAAAATGACCTGCCAGCACAGCACATCCCGTATTTAGGAAACGAACATTGTGTGTTCGCTTTCCCCTGAACGCAGGAAGAGAACCACAGGCTCTTCCCTAACTTGAAACAAGTGTGTTGTCATTCTCCCAGTGGGATACCCTGCCTTTCCTGAGAATAGCTAATGACGCGATAGAGAAGGCCTTCAAACGCACCCCAGGCTGACCAATTATAGTGTTTCTTGAGGCCACCATTACAAAATCATATTTTAAAAGAAAAGGGAGGGGGTGGAAAACCCTCATATCTGACATAGCCGCTCATACTCCACTGCTGTATTTTTAAAAGCGTTGTGAATCTGTGAGTGGCTGGAGCCTGGGATCATTTGGCATGCAGCGGGTACCCTGCAGTCCTAAGAATGCAAGGCCACACCCACAGGAAGTGCTGCGTGCAGTTTTGGGCATCTCCAGCTGTGGAGAAGACATTGGCGGTCTCAGAAAGGGCACACTCCAGGTCACATGCATCAGAAAAATCAGTGGGGTCAGGCTGCATGAGGAGCTAATTGTACACTTTCAACCACAATAGGGCATTGGCTTCCCAGGTTTTCATTTGAAGTAGCAATTGTAGCCCATGTGATAGGGAAATGAGTGGATTCTGTCTACAGGGTCATGAGGCATGGGCTGAAGGGCAATTATTTTGATAATTCAGCACAGAAAAGTGAATGTAGCTTCTGTGGACTTGCTGCAGACCAGACCAGATGGAACATAGATATCTCTGGGGCATTCAGAGGTGGTTGGAGCTCAGCCTAGGAATTCAGTCCTACTACATGTCCCCAAATCCATCCATCGTCCTTCTAACCCTCTCCTCCAGATAAGGAGGGCCAAATTCGTTTCTCACTTGAATAAGGATTATCTCAACTCTCTGGCTTACCTGGAAAGCCTTAACAGCCGTATCATTCTGGAACATGATTAAATCCCCCACCTTTATGACTATACTTTGTATTTATCAACACAGTATAACAACAGTAGCAACAGAAAGGACAACCATAGTCCTTTCAAACTTGATTATTCTAGATTTGGTCCACTTCCAAATATTCTTGTTACAGCTCCTCAAAGGATAGCTGTAACCTCAATCTAGATGCCTCCAGTGTGTCCTTTTGAGGTTAGAAGTGGAAGAATATCCTCCTCTATCTCCATAGACATGGTCACTCCAAATGGGATGTGGGCCAGCGCGAATTGGGGAGGTAGACAAGAGGGAACATACCACTGATTCTTCAGCTGACACATGTTCCTCTAACTTCCCTGGACATCATCCTGTGTGTTTTGGGTTTAGAGGAACACAATTAAATCTTTATTTTATAGATGAGGAATATTGCTGGGATACAGGGTCTTCCTCAGAGCATCAATATCATAGTACAGAGGTGGGATGAAGAACCAGAAGGTAGAGGAAAATAGACAGCGTGTATACTGACCTCAGCCCATATCTTGGAATTTGTTTTTCTCTGTGTTGAAAGCCCATTTTCTTTGTATTTGCCTCTTTATGGAGGCAAAAAAAATTGAGTTAATTGACAGTTTGGGCTAAAGTTTTACTGCCCATAAAAACCTGGTACTTTGGCCAGTCATGGTGGCCCATGCCTATAATCCCAGCACTTTGGGAGGCAGAGGAGGGAGGGTCGCTTGAAGTCAGGAGTTCGAGACCAGCCTGGTTGACATAATGAGACCCCATCTTTACAAAAAATTTAAAAATTGGCCGGGCATAGTGACTCACACCTGTAGTCCTAGCTATTCAGGACGCTGAGGCAGGAGGATCACTTGCACCCAGGAGGTCAAGGCTGCAGTGAGCTATAATGGTACCACTGCAACACAGCCTGGATGATAGAGACCTTGTCTCAAAAAAAAAGCAAAAAAAAAAAAAACAAAAAAAAACCAACTGGGGCCGGGTGCAGTGGCTCACCCCTGTAATCCCAGCACTTTGGGAGGCTAAGGCTGGTGGATCACCTGAGGTCAGGAGTTCGAGACCAGCCTGACCAACATGGTAAGACCCCGTCTCTACTAAAAATACAAAAAAAACAGCTGTGTGTGGTGGCGTGCTCCTGTAGTCCCAGCTACTCAGGAGACTGAGGCAGGAGGATCACTTGAACCTGGGAGGCAGCAGTTGCAGTGAGCCGAGATCACACCGCTGCACTCCAGCCTGGGTAACGGAGTAAAACTCTGTCTCCAAAAACAAACAAACAAACAAACAAAAAACCCAACTGGTACTTCACCTTGTTTATAAGAACTGACACTTGAACTTAGCGATTCAATTCAGCATTTGTTTACTTTTATTTATTTATTTATTTTTGAGACGGCGTCTCAGTCTGTCGCCCAGGCTAGAGTACAGTGGCATGATCTCAGCTCACTGCAATCTCCGCCTCCCAGATTCAAGCAATTCTCCTGCCTCAGCCTCCCGAGAAGCTGGGATTACAGGCGTGCACCACTACACCTGGCTAATTTTTGTATTTTTAGTAGAGACGGGGTTTCGCCATGTTGGACAGGCTGGTCTCGAACTCCTGACCCCGGGTGATCCACCTGCCCCAGCCTCCCAAAGTGCTGGGATTACAGGCATGAGCCACCATGCCCAGCCAGCATTTGTTTAATTTCATATAGTAAAGACACAATAACAAATTTTAGGAACAAATGAAGGCATTTTGTTCAAAAGTTCTGTGTGGTCAGTTTCCACAAAAAAAAATCTGTGGACCACATCCTCAGACTTCTCTTTTAAATTGTTTGTTGGGCACTTCCAACACATCACCCTAGAGAGACTACACTGAAAATGGTAGTTGGCCTTCAAACTAGCCTTCAGATCTGTTCAACTCTTTTTTTGTTTTGTTTTGTTTTGTTGAGGCAGGGTCTCACTCTGTCACTCAAGTGGGAGTGCAATGGCACCATCACGCCTCACCGCAGCCTTGACCTCCTGAGATCAAGCAATCCTCCTGCCTTATTTTTTGACTTTTTGTAGAGACAAGTTGTCACTGTGTTAAACTCTTGATGCAGCTGAACCGCGGCATTAGCTGTACTAGTTTGAATTCTGAGTCCTCGAACCATGAGGAAATTCAGTGTAGGAAGGACGAGAAAGAGCTTTTTAAGCATAGGAATCTTCAGGCCCCAGCCCTGGAGAGTCTAATTCAAGAGGTCTGGAGTGGGATCTGGGAGAATACAGGTGATTCCTACCTGCAGCCAGGTTTGTGAACCACTGCTCTAGGAACTGGTAGTGTTTGTTTGTTTGTTTGTTTGTTTGTTTGTTTGTTTGAGACGGAGTCTTGCTCTGTTGCCCAGGCTGGAGTGCAGTGGTGCGATCTCGGCTCACTGCAGCCTCCGCCTTCCAGGTTCAAACGATTCTCCTGCCTCAGCCTCCCAAGTAGCTGGGATTACAGGCACGCACCACCATGCCCAGCTAATTTTTGTATCTTTAGTATAGATGGGGTTTCACATTGTTGGCCAAACTGGTCTCAAACTCCTGACCTCAGGTGATCTGCCCACCTCGGCCTCCCAAAGTGCTAGGATTACAGGCGTGAGCCACCATGGCCAGCCAGAACTGGTAGTTTTCTGACCACCAGTTACATGGCAGCAGAAACAGTAAGTCTAGCGGAAAGGACTATGTTAGGAGGTGTTTATACAGTTATCAACAACCCATTTGCTTTAGGCCCCTACTTAAAACTATTACATTTTAAAGATAAAGTATGCCGGGCGCGGTGGCTCACGCCTGTAATCCCAGCACTTTGGGAGGCCGAGGCAGGCAGATCATGAGGTCAGGAGGTCGAGACCATTCTGGCTAACATGGTGAAACCCCGTCTCTACCAAAAATACAAAAAATTAGCCGGGCATGGTGGCAGGCGCCTGTAGTCCCAGCTATTCGGGAGGCTGAGGCAGGAGAATGGCGTGAACTCGGGAGGTGGAGCTTGCAGTGAGCAGAGATCATGCCACTGCACTCCAGCCTGGGCGACAGAGCGAGACTCCGTCTCAAAAAAAAAAAAAAAAAAAGATAAAGTGATAATTACGCTCAAGGCCTTTCAGAGGACTGGGCCACCTCCATTTTTTGAGACTCTCAGTTATTTTATTTTTTATTTTTTTGAGACGGAGTTTCGCTCTTGTTGCCTAGGCAATGACGCGATCTCAGCCTACTGCAACCTCCGCCTCCCAGGTTCAAGCAATTCTCCTGTCTCAGCCTCCCAAGTAGCTGGGATTACAAGTGCCTGCCACCACCCCTGGCTAATTTTTTGTATTTTTAGTAGAGACGGGGTTTCATCATGTTGGCCAGGCTGGTCTTGAACTCCTGACCTCAGGTGATCCACACGCCTCGGCCTCCCAAAGTGCTGGAATTATAGGTGTGAGCCACAGTGCCTAGCCTCTCAGTTGATTTTTAAAAATGAAGAAATTCTATAATGGAATATAAAAAATTGTGGCTTATTTCTTTTAATTGCAATGTAATATATCTTATGTCAGTATTTTGCTATTCACAATATAGTCACAGGATTTATAAAATATTAATTCATAGTGCACCAAGTGGAAAAGTGGCACAAGTTTAAAGTTATGTGATGATGACTTTTTCCTTTTAATACTTAACTGTATATCTCAGTGACTAAATATAGGACCTCTTTTGGAGACATCAAAAATATAAAATTCAGGCCGGGCATGGTGACCCTGCAATCCCAGCACTTTGGGAGGCTGAGGTGGAAGAATCACTTGAGCCCAGGAATACAATACCAGCCTGGGCAACATGGCAAAACCCCATCTCTACAAAAACTACAAAAATTAGCTGTGTGTGGTGGCCTGTGCCTGCAGTCCCAGCTACTGGGAAGGTGGAGGTGGGAGGATCGCTTGAGCCCCGGAGGCAGAGGTTGCAGTGAGCCAAGATTGCTCCACTGCACTCCAGCCTGGGTGGCAGAGCCAGACTCTGTATCAAAATAAATAAATAAATAAAATTGAAATAAAAAATAAAATTGAGACAACTTGTAAATGTGAGGTTTAGTCCAAAGGTCTTGCAGACTTTCCTTTGTCATCTGTTCTAATATGTACATTCACCAAAATAAAAATAAATTCGGCCAGGCACAGTGGCTTATGCCTGTAATCCCAGCACTTCGGGAGGCTGAGGCAGGCGCCTCGGTGGTGTGTGCCTGTAGTCCCAGCTACTTGGTACTTGGGAGGCTAAGCTGGGAGGATGGTTTGAGCCTGGGAGGTGAGGCTGCAGTGAGCCGAGATCACACCACTGCACTCCAGCCTGGGCAATAGAGCCAGACATTGTCTCAAAAAAAAAAAAAGCAAATTAAAATAATAACACATATTCACCTGAGGATTTTTGCCCATGATTTCTTTGAATTTCCCCAGAATGTAAGTGCTCTAGAACATAGTCAAGCTCTCATAGTTGCTTGTTGAATTTAACTAAAGAAAAATGCTTTGTTCACTTAAAGAAATATCATTATTTTATAACAATTTTATAAGAATTTAACATAAAATTTTCTCTTGGACTATACAGCTTGGTATAACTTAGAATACTTATTCTGCAGAAGACCTCTAGGATATCTATATTGCATGGAATCTCAAGTATTATTGTCAAAAATTCATGGAACTGCACAGGAAAATAAAGACTCAACAAGTACTGCACTCCAGCCATTTTCATTCCTCCAAATTAGCCTCCAATCTTTGTTAATGTACACACACATCCTTAATCACTAGTGTTTAAACACTAGCCTGTGTTCTTTTTTCTACTTAACGTTCCTGCAGATAGATACACACTTGTCTATGTTGACATAGTCCTCACCTCTGTCATTTTTTAATAGCTATGTAATAATCCCATTGTTTGCTTAGTCATTTCCCTGTTAGACACTTGGATTGCTTCCAGGTTTTTCACTGTTATAACTAGAGTTGCCAGGACATCTGTGTACATTTTTTTTCCTTTGGATTATTTCTTTGAGGAGTATTCACAAACGGGAAAATACCAAGTCAAGGAGAATGACCATCTTCATCGTTTTTGTTATATAGTGCTATATTGCTTTCCAGAAGAACCCATTTATAATGCCACCAGCTTTTGTAAGAATAGAGGCAGAAGGCTTTCAGAATTTGCTTATATTAATGTTTAATTTGTTCGATTTCAGCTCCACTAATGTGTATTGAACACCTACTGTGTGCCAGACATCAGGCTAGAGTCTGGGGACCAAAAGCTAAATAAGATATAGTCCCTGCCCTCCAGGAGACGGCAAATCTATTGGAAGAGAAAAAGACAGAATATATCATTTAAATTTAAGGTGGGGAAGTGCCGGGGTGTGTGCTGGTACCAAGAAAGCACAGGGCAAATACATGCCCAGGAAGTACTAGGGAAGACTTTCTGGGAGCACTGATATTGAGCTGAATCTTGAGAGTCAAACAGAAGTTATTTGGACAAAAATTAGGAGAGAGAGGAGGGCAGTCTGGACAAAGGAACAGAATGGACAAAGGAATGGAGGAGTGTCCAGGGTGTTTAGTGTTGCTGAACATAAAGTGGGAAGCAGGGAAGGCCAAAGGATGAGGCTTAAGGGGTAGGTAGAAGACAAGTCATGACAGCTTTCCAGTGCCATGTGGGAAAGAGGGAGCCATTGAAGGCTTTCATCTGTGGCCTTACAAGGTTAATTTGACATTGTTGTGTGACAGTTGTGTGAAGGATGGTTCTCAGAGGTACACAACTAAAGCCAGGAGACAGTTAGAAGGTTATTGAAGTAGTTGACAGAGATTATCTCAGATTTGGCTAATGTTGGTAGGATGCAATGGAGTGGATAAAGTACAGAATATGTTTTGGAAGCAAAATTGACTAATCATTCCTAAGGCTGCTCAGACAGGGTAGCCATCACATCCACTGGCATTCTATTGGCCAATCAAGTTGTGGCCAACCCAACATTAAAGGGGTAGGAGCTAGGCACACTGGCTGGCTCCTGTAATCCCAGCACTTTGGGGGGCCGAGGCAGGAGGATTGCTTGAGCCCAGGAGTTTGAGATCAGCCTGGGCAACACAGTGAGAACCCATCTCTATAAAAAAAAAAAGAAATTAAAAATTAGCCACACGAGGAGGTGTGCACCTGTAGTTTCAGCTACTTGGGAGGCTGAGGTGGGAGGAGTGCTTGAGCCTAGGAGGGCGAGGCTGCAGTGAGCCATGGTCACACCATTGCACTCCAGCCTGGGCAACAGACTGAGACCCTGTCTCAAAAATGTAAAATAAAATAAGCAAAAAGATAGAGAGGTATATGCCTCCCACAGGGAGAAGCAAGCAGAAGAAATGTAAACCATCAGATCATTGTCAGGATGCTTTCCTGGCCAAGTACAGTGGCTCACACCTGTAATCCCAGCACTTTGGGAGTCCAAGGCTGGCGGACTGCTTGAGCTCAGTTTAAGACCAGCCTGGGGAACATGGCAAAACCTTGTCTCCACAAAAAAATAAAAAATAAAAAAAATAGCCAGGTGTGGTTGTGCACCCCTGTGGTCCCAGCTATTCAGGAGCCTGAGGTGGGAGGATCGCTTCAGCCCCAGGAGGCAGAGGTTGCAGTGAGCCGAGACTGCACCACTGCATTCCAGCCTGGGTGATAGAGTGAGACCCTGTCTCAAAAAACAACAACAACAAAAAAAAAAAAAAAAAAAAAAAAAAAAAAAAAAAACACCTTTCCTTGTAGAGAAGATATTTCCAGGTGAACTGTGACACCATCATCCACCTCCTATACCCTCTTCCTCTTCAGTTTGTTCTTTGGAATTGCCGTCTCCATCTGGATACACAGGTTGAGACGTTGAATTTCCCTAATGCAAAAATCTGAAATCTGAAATGCTGCAGTGAGCATTTCCTTTGAGCGTCACACTGGTGCTCAGTAAGTTTTGGATTTTAGAGTGATGCTCAAAGGAAATGCTCACTGGAACATTTCGGATTTCAGATTTTTTAATTAGGGATGCTCAATTGGTAAACATATAATGCAAATATTCTAAAATCCTGCCAAAATTGAAATCCAAATCACTTCTAGTCCCAAACCTTTTGGTTAAGGAATACTCAACTTGTAGTAAAAATCTCGCTCTGGCTAATATAAGCGAATTATTGCTATGAGACTGAGGGAACACATACTTGAACATGGGAAAGGACCATGGAGTTCTAAAGAACCAAGAAACTGAAAGGACATCAGTCGTTTTGTAATTGGAACAGCCTGTGTGATGAAACTGACCAACCACTCTTTCCTTTTGTCCTTGTATCAGTTTAAGAATCAAAGTTCCAGGAGTGACCACTGGGTTGGCTGAGCTTAGGTCAAGTGCCCATCTACTGTCTGCACTGGGCAGGGAGAAGAGGGGTGAATGGCCTTCAGCTTTCAAGTGGGAGATGGTAAAAGAACTTGACCTTCCCACCCACATTACATATATACTCAGGGAGAAGTTTCACACTAGGAAATTACAATGGGATTGCTATGTCAGGGAAAGGGAAACTGATGGTTAGATAAAACTAAAAAGAAAATATCCACAATAAACATTTTAGCCTAATTTGACCCACCTGGAGTTTATTATATACAGTGCATAGCGGGTGCTAATTCTTCTTCAGATGAATATAATTTTGATCATTTTTTATTTAAAAAATACACTTTTCTATAGATGTGTTATTGCTGGCTAGTCTTATATTGATTTGTTACCATTGTTAATATCTACTTCTAGGAAATCTATTCCACTAAACAGTTTACCTGTTTTTAATTCAATATAATATGATTTTGAATGTTACTGCTTCATAATCCGATTTTTTATTTTTAAAGGGAGACTCAACCTTCATTGCTTTTTGCTGAGGGAAAAAGGCATGTATCTTTGCTAATCTTACTTGCTTTTCTTTTGGACATATCTGATGCTGGGAACTCTTTAACTGTCCCAGGCTTCCTAATGTGTGCAGTTTAAAGTTTGCTCCGCTTCCTCCTCCACAGGTGTGCGCACCTGCACAGAACACCTGGGATCCTGTGGGTGAAACCTACACTATATCATTAATATAGAATCGTTTGCCCCATGGGCCCTATTACGAAATATCTAGTTTACCACATGCCTTTTCTTCTGGTGCCAGAAAGACTGCAGCTGAGTCCACATCCCTCCAGTAGCCATAAAGATTCTCTTATCTTCCAGGATACTGGGAAACAATTACCTTTGTCTGGCCCTTTCTCAGGCTTAGTCATTATCTTCCGAGTTCTCAGACATCTACAACAGTATTGCAGCCTGGATTATAACACCTGCTTGTTTTGTATCTACAGAGGCATCATAAATCTTAAGCTTTCCCTTAGCTTTTAGACTATTTGAATGGTTTAATTTGTAATATGCCTGTTATAGGTGAGAGAATGTTGGATACTTGTTTTCTTTTCTAACTTTGTTTAAAGTCTATTTTTAGTAGAATTCAGTCGGTTCACATTAAGCAATATGATGAAGCAAGGGGTGTATCTTCTAACACCCTGAAAGTTGGTCATTATTATTCTCCTTATTTGCTTTTATTAATTTAGTTTTGTTTGTTTGTTGTGTTTTTTTTTTTTTTTTTTTTTTTGAGACTGGGTCTCACCCTGTCACCCAAGCTGGAGTGCAGTGGCATGATCATAGCTCACTGTAACTTTGAACTCCTAGGCTCAAGCAATCCTCTCACCTCAGCCTCCTGGGTAGCTGGGACTGCAGGTGCACACCCCCACACCCAGCTAATTAAAGAAAGAAAATTTTGTAGTAATGAAGTCTCACTATGTTGCCTAAGCTGGTCATGAACTCCTGGTCTCAAGCAATCCTCTCGCCTTGGTCTCCAAAAGTGCTGGGATTACAGGCATAAGCCATTGTACCCAATCGTTTTTTAAAAAATGTAGTTTCTATGGTGAGTTTTCAACTCTATTTGCTCTTGAATTAGGTAAGAAAATGATTTTATGTAATCTATTTTCCTCTCCAAACTTGCTTTGTTAGACTATTTTTTAGAGCAGTTTTAGATTTGCAACAAAATTGAGTGGAACATACAGAGACACCCCGTGCTCCCTGCCCTCACACATGCATAACTTCTCCCATTATTGCCAGTGCCCACAGAGCAGTACCTATGTTACAATTCATGAACCTACATTGGCCCAAAGTCTGCAGTTTACATTAGGGTTCCTTATTGGTATTGTACGCTCTGTGGGTTTGAAAAATGTTTAATGACATGTATCCACCATTACTGTCTCATACAGAGTAGTTTACCTGCCCTGGAAATCCTCTGCACCTCGCCTGTTCATCCCTCCCTCCCTCCTAACCCCTGGCAACCACTGATCTTTGATCACTGTCTTCATAGTTTTATCTTTTCCAGAATGTCATTAGTTGGAATCACAGCATGTAGCCTTTTCAGATTGGCTTCTTTCATTTACAGACATGCACTTAAATTTCCTCCACATCTTTTCGTGACTTGATAGCTCATCTCTCTTTGGCACTGAATAATGTCCCATTGTCTGGATATGCCACCATTTATTCACTCAGCTACTGAAGAACATCTTGGTTGCTTCTGATGTTTGGCAATCACAAATAAAGCTGTGGTAAGCATCTGTGTGTAGCTTTTTGTGTGGACATAAGTTTTCAATTCCTTTGGGTAAATACCAAGGCACATGACTGCTGGATCTTATGACGAGAGTATGTTTAGTTTTGTAAGAAACTGCCAAACTGTCTTCCAAACTCATCATACCATTTCAAATTCCCACCAGAAATGAAGGAGAGTTTCTGCTGCTCCACATCCTCATCAGGGAATTTAGTATCGTCAGTTCTAGATTTTGGCCATTCTAATCAATATGTAATGGTACCTCATTGCTGTTGTGATTTGCATTCCCTGATGACATATGATTTGGGACGTCTTTTCATATATTTATTTACCACCAATATCTTCTTTGGTGAGGTGCCTGTTAAGGTCATTGGCCCATTTTTTGTTCAGGTTCCTTGTTTTCTTTCTTTTCTTTTCTTTACTTTTCTTTTCTTTCTTTTTTTTTTTTTTTTTTTTTTTTTTTTGGAGTTAGAGTCTCGCTGTGTCACCCAGGCCAGAGTGCAGCAGTGTGATCTTAGCTCACTGCAACCTCTGCCTTCTGGGTTCAAGCCATTCTCCTGCCTCAGCCTCCCGAGTAGCTGGGATTACAAGCACACACCACCATACCCAGATAATTTTTGTAGTTTTTGGTAGAGACGGGGTTTCACCATGTTGGCCAGGCTGGTCTCAAACTCCTGACCCAAAGTGATTCACCCTCTTCGGCCTCCCAAAGTGCTAGGATTACAGGTATGAGCCACCACACCCGTCCAGGTTCTTTTTCTTCTTATTGTTGAGTTTTAAGAGTTCTTTGTATATTTTGGATAACAGTCCTTTATCAAATATGTCTTTTGCAAATATTTTCTTCCAGTCTGTGGCTTGCCTTTTCATTCAATTCACAGTGTCTTTTGCAGAGTAACATTTTTTAATTTTAATAAAGTCCAGTTTACCAATTCTTTCTTTCATGGATTGTGCCTTTGATGTTGTATCTGAAAAGTAATCACCAAGTCCAGGGTCATCTAGATTTTTTTCCTGTTATCTTCTAGGAATTTTATAGTTTTATGTTTTACTCTTAGGTCTGTGACCCATTTTAGGTTGATTTTTGTGAAGAGTGTAAGATCTGTGTCTAGACTCATTTTTTTCTGCATGTGGATGTCAGGTTTCCAGCACCATTTGTTGAAAGACTATCTTTGCGCCATTGTCTTGCTTTTGCTCCTTTGTCAAAGGTCAATTGTCTATATTTATGTGGGTTCACTTTGGGGCTCTCCATTCTATTCTATCGGTCTGTTTTTCTAGTCTTTCACCAATACCACACTGTCTTGATTATTGTAGCTTTATAGGAAGTATTAAGTCGGGAAGAGGTTCATTGATTTTATTAATCATTTCAAAGAACCAGATTTTGATTTCCTATTTTTAATTTCATTGATTTCTCCTCTGATTTTTATAATCTTTTCTCCTACTTTTCATTTATTTATTTAACAGACACGGTCTGTCACCTAGGCTGGAGTACAGTGATGCAATCATAGCTCACTGTAACCTCAAACTCTTGGGTTCAAGTGATTCTCCCACTTCAGCCTCCTAGGTAGCTGGACTACAGGCATACACCATCATGCCTGGTTAATTTTTTAATTTATTTGTAGAGACTAAGTCTCACTATGTTGCCCACCCTGGTTCTTGAACTCCTGGCCTCAAGCAATCTTCCCACTTCACCCTCCCAAAGTGCTGGGATTACAGGTGTGAGACACCATAACTGGCCACTTCTACTTAGTTTAGACTTAATTTGTTCTTCTTTTTCTAGATTCCTAAGGTGGAAGCTTAGATTATTGATTTTTAGATCTTTCTTCTTTTCAAATATACGCATTCAATGCTACAAAAATTTCCCTGTAAGCACTGCTTTTACTGCATCCCACAAATTTGGTAAGTTGTGTTTTTCATATAATTTTTTTTTCTTTTTTAGAGACAGGATATCACTCTGATGCTCAGGCTGGAGTGCAGTGGTGCGATCATAACTTACTATAACCTCGAACTCCTGGGCTCAAGTGATCCTCCCACCTCAGCCTCTCGAGTAGCACTACAGGAGTGCACCACCATGCCTGGCTTTCATTTTCATTTAGTTTAAAATATTTTAATTTTCTCTTGAGAAGAATAAACAAATAAAATTGTATTGTTCAATCTCCAAGTATATTGGGATTTTCCAACTACCTTTCTGTTATTAATATCTAGTTTAATTTCATTGTGGTCTGAGAGTAGACATTACATTATTTTCATTCTTTTAAATGTTGTTAAGTTGTATTTTATAGCCCAGAATGTGGTCTATGTGGGTAAATGTTTTATATGACTTTGAGAAGAACATGTAACCTGCTACTGTTTAATAAAGTCATCTATAGATGTCAATTACATCCAGTTGATTGATGGTGGTGTTGAGTTCAACTATGCCCTACTGATTTTCTGCCTACTGGATCTGTCCGTTCCTGAGAGAGGGATGTTGAAGTCTCCAGTTATAATAGTGGATTCATTTATTTATCCTTCCAGTTCTGTCAGTTTTTGCTTCACAAATTTTGACACTCCGTTGTTAGGTGCATACACTGGGTAAAGGATTGTTATGTCTTCTTGGAGAATTGACCCCTTTATCACTATGTAATGTCCCTCTTTCTTCCCACTTTCCTTGCTCTGAAGTCTGTTCTGTCTGACATAAGCATAGCTAATTCTGCTTTCTTTTGATTAGTGTTGTCAGGGTGTATCTTTCTCTACCCGTTTATATGTGTCTTTATATTTAAAGTGGGTTTCTTATATACAACATATAGTTGGGTCTTGTTTTTTGATCCAGTCTGACAATCTCTTTCTTTTAACTGGTGAATTTAGACCACTGACATTCAAAGTGATTGTTAATACGGTTTGGTTAACATCTACTATATTTTTTATTGTTTTCTATTTGTTGTTCTTGTTCTTTGTTCTTATTTTTATCTTTCACTCTTTTTCTCTTTTGCCTTTTGTTGTTACAATTGAGCGTTTCATATAAATTATTTTTTTCTCATTTTTTAGCATATCAGTTATGCTTCTTTTTTTTCTAACCTTTTTAAATGATTGCCCCAGAGTTTGCAATATACATTTACAATGAATCTGAGTCACTTTTGAATATGCCATACCACTTCACAGTTAGTGTGAGTACCTTATAATAAAGAAATAATCCTAATTTCTCTCTCACATCTTTTGTATCATTGTGGTCATTTGTTTCACTTATACATAAATATACATAGCTATATATATGCAATATATAATCTAGAACATTATTGCTATTATTATTTTGAACAAACTGTTATCTGTTAGGAAGTGCCCAACCCTTGGCTCTTTGAGGAGCCAGAGGAGACAAGAGGCTTGGGTTTCAATGAACTCTGACAATAGCAAGCAGAAAATTATCAAAGAACAGGACACAGGCCTCGATGCCATTTCCTCCATCATAAGTTGCCAAAAACAAATGGGGCAGGAAATTGGGAATGAATTGGATGGACAAAATGAGATAATTAACATCTCTGCCAATTTGCTGGAAAACACAGATGAAAAACTTTGCACTGAAACCAGGCATTTGAACATGGTGGACAGAAAGTCAACCTCTTGTGGGATAATAATGATGATTTTGTTGCTGCTTATGGCTATTGTAGCCATTGCAGTCTGGCCAACAAACTGATGGCCATAAGGGGGCCACCAGGCATGACACCTGCTAATGGTAGATAAAAGCCCAGCACCTTTTTCATACACAAAATCTGCTCTAATAAATTCCCCCAAAGCTCTGAAAAAAAAATGTTATCTGTTAGAGCAATTAAAAATAAGAAAAATAAAGTTTTTAAAATTTTATCTTCACTGACTCGGATGTTCTTTCCTTCTTAATGTATATCTGAGTTTCTGACCTATATACTCTTTCTTTTTTCTAAGGAAATTCTTTTACTATTTCTTGCAAGGCAACAAATTCCCCCAATTTTTGTTTGTCTGAGAAGACCTTTATTTCTGTGCCACTTTTAAAGGATGATTTCACAGCGTACAGAATTCTAGGTTGGTGGGATTTTTTTCTCTCAACACATTAAATATTTGACTCCACTCTCTTCTTGCTTGCATACTGTCTGAGGAGAAGTTGGATGTAATTCTTTTCTTCTCTATAAGATTTTTTAAACCTCTGGTTTCTATATGGATTTTTTCTTTATCTTAAATTTTCTGTAGTGTAAATATGATATACCTAGGTGTAGAGTTTTTTTTTTTTTTAACATGTATTCTTATTGGTGTTCTCTGAGCTTTCTGGATCTGTGATTTGGTGTCTGACACTGGCTTGGGGAAATTCTCAATCACTATTGTTTCAAATATTTATTCTGTATTCTCTTTCTTCTCCTTCTGGTATTCTCATTACACACTTATACCTTTTGTAGTTGTCCTACAGTTCCTGGATATTCTTTTCTGTTGTTGCTTTTTTTTTTTTTTCAGTCTTTTTTTCTCTTTGTTTTTCAGTTTGGGAGGTTTCTCTTGAGATATCCTCAAACAGCGATTTTTTCCTCAGCATGTTTAGTATACTAATAAGCACGTCAAAGACATTTTTCATTTCTATTGCAGTGTTTTTTATCTCTAACATTTTGTTGTTGTTTTTGAGATGAAGTCTCGCTCTGTCACCCAGGCTGTAGTGCAAAGGCACGATTTCGGCTCAGTGCAACCTCTGCCTCCTGGGTTCAAGCGATTCTCTTGCCTCAGCCTCCTGAGTAGCTGGGGTTACAGGCATGTGCCACCATGCCCGGCTAATTTTTGTATTTTTAGTACAGACGAGGTTTCACCATGCTTGTCAGGCTGGTCTTGAACTGACTTCGTGATCTGCCCGCCTCGGCCTCCCAAAGTGCTGGGATTACAGACGTGAGCCACCGCCCCCGGCCTCTCTAACATTTCTTTTGGTTCTTTTTATAGTTTCCATTTCTCTGCTTACATTGCCTACCTGTTCTTGCATGCTGTCTACTTTATCCAGAGCATCTGGTTCTGATGCTTGCTTTGTCTCTTCAAACTATGTTTTTTTGCCTTTTAGTATACTTTGTAATTTTTTCTTGATAGCCAGGCATGATGTTTTGGGCTAAAGAAACTACTGTAAATAGGACTTTAGTAATGTGGTGGCAAGGTGTGGAGGGAAAGGAAGCATTCTACAGTCCGATAATTAGGTCTCAGTCTTTTAGTGAGCCTATGTCTCTGGACTGTGAACTTCACAGGTGCTTCTCAGTCTCCCCCTCTCCTTAGGTGGGACAACATAGCTAGACTAGGCTGGAGTTGGGTATTTCCCTTCCCCCAGATCAGTTAGGCTGTTATAAAACCCCAGCAGGTTAGGCTCCAGTTAAGTAATTTCTCCTGAGGGAAGACCTTGTTCTTAAGAACAGAATGCTCTAGGGCATTTCAAGATGGTTCCTTTTCCTCTCCCCTTGTTGGAAGCATGAGAGGATCGTTTGCAAAATTCACTGTGAGAACCTAGTAGAGCCCCTGGAGGTAAAACTACAAAAGTGTGGGAGCCTCCCAATAAAGTTTTTATCTCACAGACTTGTCCACACCAAGCCTCCAGCAATTTGTCAATTACAGTTCAGGTTTTCCCACTCCAGCACTGATTCCCATGAAGATTTCTGCTCCAGTAATTAAGTTGTGATTATCTGCATTCACCTGTGTTTCCAATTTGGGGTTTACTCTATGACCTCCCATCTCTTATGGATCTAAGAAGAGCTGTTGATTTTTCAGTTTACTCAGCTTTTTACTTGCTAAGATGGAGTGGTGACTTTTTTTTTTTTTTTTTTTTTTTTAGCTGGAGGTCTTGCTCTGTTGCCCAGGCTGTAGTGCAGTGGTATAATCATGGCCCACTGCAGCCTTAATTGCCTAGGCTCAAGTGATCCTTCCACCTCAGCCTCCCAAGTAACTGGGACTACAGGCATGTGCCACCACGACTGGCTAATTTTTGTATAGTTGGTAAAGATGGGGTTTTGCCACGTTGCTCCAGCTGGTCTTGAACTCCTGGGCTCAAGTAATCCTTTTGCCTCAGCCTCCCAAAGTGCTGGGATTGCAGGCATGAGCTACGGTGCCCAGCCAGGAGTAGTGACTTCTGAGCTCCTTACATGCCAGAATGGAAACTAATGTTCCTAATCCACTTTTTTTCCCTGAAAATGTAGCACTTTAAAAGT
Source organism: Homo sapiens (assembly GCF_000001405.40). NCBI lineage: Eukaryota > Metazoa > Chordata > Mammalia > Primates > Hominidae > Homo > Homo sapiens. The sequence continues at coordinate 12,768,852 of NC_000012.12, read as the reverse complement.
CATTTCTGCCTTTACTTTCAATGCTAAAAAAAAAAAAGTAAACTACCTTTGAAAAAGGTAGGAGGCATTTTCTATAAGTTAGGCCTCTGCACATAAAGTGAAAACGAGGAGTTTGAGTCCTAAGTCTGTGGTTTGTGTGTGACTTCAAGCAAGTGACTTGACTTATTGAGACTCAATTGCTTTTTTTTTTTTTTAATTTAAGAGATGAGGTCTTGCTGTGTTGCCCAGGCTGGAGTGCAGTGGCGTGATTAGCGCTTACTGCCACCTTGAATTCCTGGTCTCAAGCAATCTTTCCAACTCAACCTCCTGAGTAGCTGGGACTCCACAGGTGCATGACACCTGGTTGGTTTTTTTGTTTTGTTTTGTTTTGTTTTTAATTTTCTGTAGAGATTGGGACTCCCTAGGTTTCCCAGTCTGGTCTCGAACTCCTGGACTCAAATGATCTTCCTGCCTCAGCCTCCCAAAGTGCTGGGATTACAGGCATGAGCCACTGCACTCAGCCTCAATTGCTTTTACAAGGTTTTATTTATTATATTGGAAAGGGAATATGGAAACCCTGTGAGACCTACACAATGTGGTGCAATTATCAGGTATTCTTACCTTTTTTCAAGCCAGTAACTATTTTTTACATCTAGTTATCTGTGACCTTTTCAATTGTTCAATATTTGTACAGTTGTCCCTCAGCATCCATGGGAGTTTGGTTTGAGGACTCCCCACAGATACCAAAATCCACAGAAGTTCAAGATCCTTGTATAAAATTGCATAGTAGGCCGGGCACGGTGGCTTACACCTGTAATCCCAGCACTTTGGGATGCCGAGGCAGGCAGATCCCGAGGTCAGGAGTTCAAGACCAGCCTGACCAATATGGTGAAACCCCCGTCTCTACTAAAAATAAAAAAATTAGCCAGTCATGGTGGCACGTGCCTGTAGTCCCAGCTACTCGGGAGGCTGAGGCAGAAGAATCACTTGAACCCAGGAGGCGGAGGTTTCAGTGAGCCGAGATCACACCACTACACTCCAGCCCGAGTGACAGAGTGAGACTCCGTCAAAAAAAAAAGGCATAGGATTTGCGTATAACCTACTCACCTCCTTTCATGTACTTTAAATCATCTATAAATTACATATAATACCTAATACAATGTAAGTGCTATGTAAATAGTTGTTATACTAGTTTTGTTTTTGTTTTTGTTTTGTTTTGAGACATAGTCTCCCTCTGTAGCCCAGGCTGGAGTGCAGTGGCACGATCTCACTGCAACCTCCGCCTCCCGGGTTCAAGCAATTCTCATGCTTCAGCTTCACGAGTAGCTGAAATTATAGGCGCGGGCCCCCACACCCATCTAATTTTTCTATTTTTAGTAGAGATGGGTTTTGCCCCATTGGCCAGGCTACTTTCAACCTCTTGACCTCAAGTGACCCACCCACCTCGGCCTCCCAAAGTGCTGGGATTACAGGTGTGAGCCACCGCACCTGGCCAATTTTTTAATGTGTATTATTTTTATTATTGTACGGTTGTTTTTAATTTTTCTGAATAACTCCAATCAGTGGTTGGTTTAATTCACAAATGCAGAACTCACAAATACAGAGGGCCAACTCTTATTTATTTTGTGGAGACGGAATCTTGCTCTGTCACCCAAGCTGGAGTGCACTGGCGTGGTCTTGGCACACTGCAACCTCCACCTCCCAAATTCAAGCAATTCTCCTGCCTCAGCCTCCTGAGTAGCTGGGACTATAGGCATGCACCACCACACCCGGCTGATTTTTGTATTTTTAATAGAGATGAGGTTTCACCATATTTGTTAGGCTGGTCTCGAACTCCTGACCTCCGGTGATCCACCCACCTTGGCCTCCCAAACTGCTGAGATTACAGGCATGAGCCACTGCACCCAGCCCAGGGGGCCAACTCTTATTTATTATTCTGATAGTATATGCCAGCTGATTTACCAGCTAATTCTTTTTTTCTGTTTATTTGTTTTGTTTTGTTGTTTTAGTTTGTTTTGTTGTTTTTTGTTTTTGAGACATAGTTTCACTCTGTCACCCAGGTTGGAGTGTGCTCTTGGCTCACTGCAACCTCCACCTCCCGGGTTCAAGCGATTCTCCTGCCTCAGCCTCCTGAGTAATTGGGATTACAGGCACGTGCCACCACACTCAGCTAATTTTTGTATTTTTAGTAGGGTCAGGGTTTCGCCATGTTGGCCAGGCTGGTCTCAAACTCCTGACCTTAGGTGATCCAGGCAGATAACCTCAGCCTCTCAAAGTGCTGAGATTACAGGTGTCAGTCACCCTGTCTGGCCCCAGCTGATTTTATATCAGTGTTTTACTATTGCCTTTTTATGGCTCTCTCAGAAATCTCTTTTTAAATTTTTTAGCTGTGGGGCAATGCAAAAGTGATTTTTAGCTCATCAATCTATAATATTCTTTGTCCTTTGTGCAACTGTAGTAGGCAGCTTGGGAACTTATGGCCCCCACCTTAACCTGACAACATCTCTTTATCTCCATTTAAAATATTCCAGTATCTTGGTACTATATTACATGATCCTGCCCACTGACTATAGCTAATTGGACTAAAGGTAGACATCCAAACCAAATTTGCCAATCAAATTCTTTCAAGATTTTGGAATATGGACCTAAAGAGAGTTGAGGCAGTCTTCTCAATGACTGGAACTGAAATATGGAACTCAGGATCTGTGAAGCAGCCATATTATTCCCATTATATTCCCCCAAGAGCAGAGAAAGTTTGTTTTGTTTACTGGAGAAAATTAAGAGATAAGGTCCTGAGAGGCAAACAGAGAGTCTTAACTTTTATTTCCTGCCATCATTCCATTTTATGAGCCATTCATATATTCCTATTTTTTCAACTCCCCTTTTATTCCTTGAGTGACTTGATTTCTGATCTTTGCAACAGAGGATCCTAACCAACACTAGAGCACAGAAGATCTACTCTTTGACTTTGACATTTTGTTCTTGTTGTTTTTTGGGTGTTTTTGAGACAGCACCTCACTCTGTTGCTCAGACTGGACGACAGTGGTGCACTCGTGGCTCACTGCAGCCTCAACCTACCAGGCTCAAGAGATCCTAATACCTCAGCCTCCTGAGAAGCTGGGACTATAGGTTTGTGCCACCACACCCAGCTAATTTTTGATTTTTTGTAGAGATGGGGTTTCACCATGTTGCCCAGGCTGGTCTTGAATTCCTGGGCTCAAGCAATCCTCCCACCTTGGCCTCCCAAAGTGCTGGGATTACAGGCCTGAGCCACCATGCCCAGCCTACACTTTGGCTTTAATGTTAACAGAATTAACATAGATTTCTAAAAGTGTTTCCTCTCTGCAGTGCCCTTAAGTGAATTAAATGTTTAATAACCATTTAGGGGTTTTCTTACCTTTGTCTTCGCCTTAAGTGTAACAGTGCTTTCTTTTTATGCAAAATATAGTTTATCTTTATTCATTTAATCACAAAAAATGCATAATTCTTATAACAAATTTCTATAATATAAAAATATATTGAGCCGGGTGTGGTGATATGAGACTGTAGTTCCAGCTACTCAGGAGGCTGGGGTGGGAGGATCACTTGACCCCAGGAGTTCGAGTCCAGCCTGGGCAACATAGCAAGACCTCATCTCTAATTTTTAAAATGAAACTTTCATTCCTTCCTCTCTGGTTCCTCTTCACCTTCCATCATGATTGGAGGCTTCCTGAGCCCTTCATCAGAAGCAGATGCTGGTCTTTGCCTCTTATACAGCCTGCAGAACCAGGAAGACTACATTTCCCAGCACTCCCTTGCATAAAACTCCTCTCCCAGTCTCTCAGGCTCCTTCTCTCTTCCTCTACATGGCTGGAAATGAAGGTTCCAAGATGGCAGATGCACAGGATGGGAGAAGCCCTGATCCCTGAATTTGCTGCTTAGAGAAGAGCTGCTCTGGTGAACTCTCAGGCCAGGAACATCAGCATGAATAAGAAACAAATCTTTATTGCATTAAGCCATTGAGAGTTCAGGGTTTATTTGTTAGCCCAGCAGAGTTTATTCTATCCCCATACCATGCTGTGGCCTTCCTTACTCTTCACTGGCATGGAGAATCACATCCACCTGGGGAAGAACACCATGTGAGATGCACATAAAGGTGTATGAGTGGCAAAGAAGGAACATTCCTACTGTATTGTATATAAGACACTACAGGAAGGGTCCCTTCACACTTGGAAACGCACTCACCGAGAAATCAACCAATAAAGCCCACACCTAGTAGAAATAGAAAATATATTATAAAAATTAAAATATAGAAAGTTAGAAATAAATCCTTCTCCATCTGTTTTCACCCTCTAGAGGTAATACTGAGGTTTATAGTTTGCTATGTGTTCTTACATAATGCTGATGTTTATACAACCATGTGCATTTCACATATGTGGTTGTGGTTTTCTTTTACAAAAATAGCATATTATATATTGCTATGCAACTTTTTTTCCACTTAAAAAACATAACATAAACATCATCAGGGAGAATTGGGGAGATATTGGTCAAAGCATATAAAATTTCATTTAGGGGGAATACATTCAACAGATCTTTTGTACAACATGGTAACTATAGTTAATAATGTACTGTAGCCAGACACGGTGGCTCATGCCTGTAATCCCAGCACTTTGGGAGGCCGAGATGGGTGGATCACCTGAGGCCAGGAGTTCAAGACTACCCTGCCCAACATGGCGAAACCCTGTCACTACTAAAAATACAAAAATTAGCCGGACATGGTGGCAGGCACCTGCAATCCCAGCTACTTGGGAGGCTGAGGCATGAGAACTGTTTGAACCCGGGAGGCAGAGGTTGCAGTGAGCCGAGATCACACCACTGCACTCCAGCCTGGGTGACAGAGTGAAACTCCATCTCAATAAATAAATAAATAAATAAATAAAAATAATGTGCTATATATAGTCAGTCCTCTGGATCCTCAGGTTTTCCATCCATGATTCTACCAATCTCATATCAAAAATATTTGGGAAAAAAAACTTAAAAATAATACAAACTTAAAAAGATAGTATAACAACCATTTATATAACACATATTATATAAGGTATTATAGGTAATCTAGAGATGATTTAAAGTATAGACATCCCCCTCATATAAGTGGGGGATTGGTTCCAGGACCCCCTGTAGATACAGAAATGCGAGGATGCTAAAGTCCCATATAAAATGGTATAGCGTTTGCATATAACCTATGTACATCCTCCCTATCCTTTAAATCATCTCCAGATTACTTATAATACCTGATAGAATGCAAATGCTACATAGTTATTATACTTCATTGCTTTTTATTTGTATTATTTTTTATTGTTGTATTGTTTTCCCCCCCCCCACACACAATATTTTCAATTTCTGGTTGGTTGAATCCACAGATGCAGAACCCACAGATAACAAAAGCCAACTATATATTGGAAGATGTGCATAGGTTATACACAAATACTACACTTTTTTTAATAAGGTACTTGAACATTCCCCAAATTTTGGAATTCACAGGGTGTCCCGGAACCAATTTTTCTTGGATATGGGGGGATAATTGTACTTAGGAATTGTTAAGAGGGTAGTTTTTAAATGTTCTCGCCGCATACAAAAAAAAATGTGAGGTAATGAATATGTTAATTAGCTTGATTTAGCCATCTCACAATGCACACATATATCTAAACATCATGCTGTGCACAATGAGTATATACAACTTTTATTGTCAATTAAAAATAATTTTTTTTCTTGAGACAGGGTCTTGCTCTGTCACCCAGACTAGAGTGAAATCATGACTCACTGCAGCCTCTGCTTCTCAGGCTCAAGCAATCCTCCCATCTCAGCCTCTGGAGTAGCTGGGACTACTACACCCGGCTTTTAAAATTTTTCTTTTAGAGACAGGGTCTTACTATGTTGCCCAGGCTGGTCTTCAACTCCTGAGATCAAGAAATCCTCTTGCCTCAGCCTCCCAAAGTGCTGGGGTTACAGGTGTGAGCTACGGCGCCCAGGCTAATTGATTTCAAAACCAAAAATACCCTCAAAACATCATGCTAGTCATTCTCTATCTTCATGGGCCATATTTGTCCTTTCTCTCTGGCCAGTGGACCACTTTACTCAGGCTCCCATGCCAAATGTTTCCGAGTGGGTTCAGCCAATCAAAGGTCACTGCAGAGGTCTCTGCAGCAAAATATCAGAGAATAAAAGGAAAAAAGTCAGGGTAAGGCTGGGCGTGGTGGCTCACACCTGTAATCCCAGTACTTTGGGAGGCTGAGGTGGATGGATCACGAGGTCAGGAGTTCAAGACCAGCCTAGCTAACATGGTGAAACCCCATCTCTACTAAAAATACAAAAATTAGCTGGGTGTGGTGGTGCGCGTCTATAATCCCAGCTCCTCGAGAGGCTGAGGCAGGAGAATTGCTTGAACCTGGGAGGCAGAGGTTGCAGTGAGCCGAGATAGTGCCATTGCATTCTAGCTCTGAGTGGCAGAGCAAGACTCCATCTCGGAAAAAAATAAAAAATAAATTAATTAATTTTAAAAAGTCAGGGTATTCCTTCCTTGTTTCCTACCTGCATCAGCTCTGTCTTTTGCAGTGGCTGTCTCCATCCTTAGCTATAACTCCCTGGGTGGCCCTGCCTCCATGGTTCCAAATTTCACTGGGCTCCTACTGTGCTATGCCCTCTCCTTTGTACCTGAGGCCTTAGGAATGGGCATCACTTTCCACCATTGCTAGTCTCTAGGCACTTCACCATCCCTTCTTTGTTTGCTTGGCACCTAACCTCTGTAAGTAAACTCTTCCTTAAAAATGTCTTCATTTGCAGCCTGGGCAACATAGCAAGATCCCACCTCTACAAAAAGAAATTCAAAAAATTAGCCAGGCATGGTGGTGGTGCACACCTGTAGTCCCAGCTACTTGGGAGGCTGGGTCAATAGGATTGCTTAAACTCAGGAGTTGAAGGTTGCAGTGAGCTATGATCACACCACTGCACTTAGGCCTGGGTGACAGAGCAAGACTCTCTCTCTCTCTCTCTCTCTCTCTCTCTCTATACATATACATATATGTATATGTTCATGTATATATATATGTTCATTCAAACCATTTGGGGGTGAGTTCTGTTCCCTTCCAGCACCCTCTCATATACAGACATTTTTCCAAGGTGATACATGTGGCTGTCACTCATTTTAGGGACAGGTCATGATTTGCTAATTCATTCCTTTGTTGATAGACATTTATCATATTTTCAACTGAATTATATATTAGAAACAATGGTGCAGTGAACATCCTTGTGTGTGAGTATGTGTGTGTGTATATGCTTATGAGTATTTCTGTAGGGAAGACTCCTCAAATTGAAATTGCTTGAACAAAAGGCATACATATTTTGAATTTGATAAATATTTTCTTTCCCTACTGAGTAGAGATTAAACAATTTCCTCTCCCTGGAACACACTTACAACTAATGAACAACAAACAAGCTATAGCCATGATAAATAAAAAAGTAAGGCTTTAGTCAAATAAGCATGTTTAGACCATTAATCCAAAAGAAATCATGGATATTTTTAAACCTAAAAATAAAGTAAGTCTTTATAAAGGAGTTTCTGAATCCTACAGCTATTCAGACAACATAATCCTTCAATCAGCTTTATTTCAAGGAAAGAGAACAATTTCTAACTGTTTGAACTAATCTGACCAGCAAAAGTTCCAGTAGTTCCCAAGTGTATTAGATTAAGCACATGATTAAAAATACAATTCAAAGAACACTCTGATGCTAAATTTTAGTGTATGTTCACATAATATATAACTTCTATTCAGGACGCAGACACCAAGATGTTTGCTATCACATTCTAGGTTTAGGTTATAAGGTTTAACATCTCAAAAGCACGAATATGTTCCAAAGAGGCAAGACACATCTTCAATGAGCATTGTATGTAATAATAAGTTTTAAATGATCTAACTTTCCACCAGTAGGGGAATGGTTAAACTTTGGTATATCCTACTATGTACCAAGTTTTAAAATGTGCTTTACTGACTATTAGAGAGGTAGAGTAACTTTCATATGTTGGGGAAGGGGGTTGCCCTTTCAGATCCTTATATGTAAATGATCTATTCATATATTTTGCACATATTTCTATTGATTTGCCTTTTTTCTTATCCACATATAGAAGGTTTACTGTGGTATGGACATAAGGGTTTTGTTTGTTTGGTTGTTTGGTTGTTGGTTGTTTTTTTTTTTTTTTTGAGACAGAGTTTCGCTTTTGTCACCCAGGCTGGAGTGCAATGGCACTATCTCGGCTCACTGCAACCTCTGCCTCCCAGTTTCAAGTGATTCTCCTGCCTCAGCCTCCCAAGTAGCTGGGATTATAGGCGCCCAGAACCACGCCCGGCTAATTTTTTGTATTTTTAGTAAAGACGGGGTTTTGACATGTTGGGCAGGCTGGTCTCGAACTCCTGCCCTCAGGTGATCTGCCCACTTCGGCCTCCCAAACTGCTGGGATTACAGGCGTGAGCCACTGCACCCGGCCAAGGTTTTTGTTTGTTTGTTTGTTTGTTGTGAGACCGGGTCTCACTGTGTCACCCAGGCTGGAGTACAGTGGCACGATCATGGCTCACTGCAGCCTCTGCCTCCCAGGCTCAAGTGATCCTCCCATCTCAGCCTCCTGAGTAACTGGGACTGTGGGTGTGGTGGTTAATTTTTGTATCATTTGTAAAGAGGGGGTTTCGTCATGTTGCCCAGGCTGGTCTCGAACTCCTAGGCTCAAGTGATCCGCCTGCCTTGGCTTCCAAAAGTGCTGGGATGACAGGCATGAGCTGGACACAAGTTTTTTGTTATGTATATAACATGTCTACTTCTATTCAGTTGCTTGTCTTAATTTTTTTCATGGTGTTGTATAGTTCCGACATCATGTAATCAAATTATCAATCTATCAATATGGCTTTTTGCCTTTCTGCCTCTTCTAATAATCATAGACTCTTCTAGGGTTTTAATTTCACTTCTATTAATATTTGCCAATGGTAAGAAGTAGAAATTTAGCATCTTCCTCCAAATGGAAGGCCAATTATCCTAATGTCTTTCCTAGAAGTCCCAGTGAATGTCTTCTCATCTCCCGTTGGCTCTGGCCATGCCCATTTATAAACTAGTCACTCCCAACAGGGTAACTGGATATACTGACGTCAAGGCAGCCCGAGCTGCAGACGGGGTCAGTCCCTTCAACACACTTCAATAAGGCTAAATGAATGAAGAGTAATATCTCAAATAAATTTTGTGAAACTGTCCTTGTAGGAAGTGCGATAAATGCCGGCAGCAGCAACAACAACAACAACAAAAACAGATATCTATTGCATAACCTTATGAATTATCCCATTCCTTATTTCCATCAACATATTTGTCTATTCCTAAGTCAATATCACATCCTACCAAAAGTCAGTGATATACTTTATAGCATCTTGTCATACAAGATAGCAAGGAAGCTAACAAAGACAACTACAGTTCTGCCAAGGGGACACAAGAGGCAATTTTGGCCAAGATGGGACAACTTGAGCTTCATTAAGGATAATAATTACGATAGAATGAAACCCTTCAAAGATATTTAAATCCATGTGTTCATAATGGTTTAAAAAAAACAACTATAGCAGCTCCCCTTTCTCTATGGTTTCCCTTTTCGTTGTTTCAGTTACATTCGGTCAACCACAGTCTGAAAATATTAAATGGACAATTCCAGAAATAAACAATTCATAAGTTTTAAATTGCATGCCATTTGAGTAGCGTGATGAAATCTCGTGCCATCCTGCTCCCTCCCGCACAGGATGTGAGTCCTCCTTTTGTCCAGCTGAACCACACTGTAGGCGCTCCCTGCCCATTAGTCACTTAGTAACCTTCTTGGTTATCAGATTGGCTGTGACGATATCACAGTGCTTGTATTCAAGTCACCCTATTTTACTTCCTAATGGCCCCAAAGTACAAGAATAGTGACTCTGGCAATTCATATATGCCAAAGAGAAGCTGTAAAGTGTTCCCTTTAAATGAAAAGGTGAAGGTTCTCAATAAGGAAAGAAAAGAAATCATATGCCGAGATTGCTAAGATCTGTGGTTAAGAATGACTCTATCGGTGACACTGTGAAGAAGGAAAAAGAAATCATGCTAGTTTTGCTGTTGCATCTCAAACTGCAAAAGTTAAGGCCACAATACGTAAGTGCTTAGTTGAAGTGGAAAAGGCATCACATTTACGGATGGATAAATTGAATGTTTCTGTTCATTCAATAGGAAAGGCAGGAAAAATGCTGGCTCTGTCCCTTTGTTTACCGAGTTTTTGTTTTGATTTGTTTTGTTTTGCTTCTGAGACAGTCTTGCTCTGTTGCTGAGGCTGGAGTGCAGTGGTGCAATCTTGGCTCACTGCAACCTCCGCCTCCCAGGTTCAAGCGATTCTCTTGCCTCAGACTCCTTAATAGCCGGGATTACAGGCATGCACCACCAGGCCCAGGTAATTTTTGTATTTTTAGTACGGACAAGGTTTCACCATGTTGACCAGGCTGGTCTCGAACTCCTGACCTCGTGATCCACCTGCCTCGGGCTCCCAAAGTGCTGGGATTACAGGCATGAGCCACTGCACCCGGCACTTTACCAGTTTTTAAGATAATTGAATTAGTTCAGGCGTGGTGGTTCACACCTGTAATCCCAGCACTTTGGGAGGCCAAGGTGGGCAGATCACGAGGTCAGGAGATGGAGAACATCCTGGCTAACACAGTGAAACCCCGTCTCTACTAAAATTAAAAAAAAAAAGAAAAAAAGCCAGGCATCACGGTGGTGGGTGCCTGTAGTCCCAGCTACTTGGGAGGCTGAGGCAGGAGAATCACTTGAACCCGGGAGGCAGAGGTTGCAGTGAGCCAAGATCGCACCTGGCGACAGAGCAAGACTCTGTCTCAAAAAAAAAAAAAAAAAAAAAGATATTGAATTAGTTGCTTTAGTTGCTTTCCATCCTTCAAAAGTGACCAGTTACAGCAGTTCCCCCTTATCTATGAGGCATATGTTCCAAGACCTTCAGTGGGTGCCTGAAACTACAGATACCAGTGGATACAAGGAAATGCTATAAAACTCAGGAGGGTGTTGCACAACTCTGTAAATAAGCCAAAAGCCATTGAATTGTACCCCTTAAATAAGTGAATTGTATGTTACGTGAATTACCTCTCAATAAAATGATTTTTTTTTTAAAGAAAAAAAAGGCAAGAAAGCGGTTACTTTTGGGAGATGGAAGAGGGTTGAAATTGGATGGGACACATAGAGGGGCTTTCGGGGGTGGCTGACAACGTTCTAGTTCTTGATCTGATTGGCAGTCACAAAGATGTTCTCTTTACAATAATTTATCTCATAGTTTTATGAATCTGTGTTTTATGTTTCAGTTTAAAAAGTTAAGTAAAATGAGTTATTACTTTTTAAAGCATGGGCTGGACTGGTTCTTCAATGTGCCTCTCTGAGCCCTGAGCCTGCTGTCCCAGCTGTCATGCGGGGTTAGCTGAACATTGTGGAATGAGATGGGTGGTCTGTTGTGGTTCAGTGGGCCGATACCCCCAGAGGCAGGTCTGTGGTGAACTTGGGCTCACCAAAAGCATTGTGACTGCCTCAGAACTGAGCTTCAGGCTTCTCCTGGAGACACCTGCAAGATCATGGCCTGAAAACATGAGCCTGAGTCCAATCTCTTCAAATCTCTTTGGAGATGATGGTAAGGGCAAGAGTTATTGGATATTTTTTATAGTTCTTGTTTTGGAGAAGTTTTTCTTCAGTTAAAAAGCAGCTGTAGGCCAGGCACAGTGGCTCACACCTGTAATCCTAGCACTTTGGGAGGCTGAGGCGGGTGGATCACCTAAGGTCAGGAGTTTGAGACTAGCCTGGCCAAAATGGCAAAACCCTGTCTCTACTAAAAATACAAAAATTAGCTGGCCCTGGTGGTGGGCGCCTGTAATCCCAGCTACTCTGGAGACAGAGGCAGGAGAATCACTTGAACCCGGTAGGTGGAGGTTGCAGTGAGCCGAGATCGTGCCATTGCACTCCAGCCTGGGCAATAGAGCAAGACTCTATCTCAAAAAAAAAGAAAAAAAGCAGCTATAGAAAGGAAAAATATTATATGGTTCCACTTATATTAGGTACCTAGACTAGACAACTTTATAGAGACAGAAAGTAGAATAGAGGTTTCCAGGGGACAGGGGAGAAGAGAATAGGAACCTAGTGTTTAATGGGTACAAGCTTCTGTTTGGGATTTTTTAAAAGTTCTAGAAATGGATAGTGGTGATGGTTGCACAACAATGAGAAATTGCTTAAAAGTGGTTAAAACAGTAAAATAATAAATTTATGTTATGTTTACCACAATTTTTTAAAATACAAAAAATCCATAGAGGAAGGAAAGGGAATTCACTATACAATTTACCAAACTGAAAGAAAATGCAAAAATTCTTGAAAAGATTAACCAAATTAAAAGAGATTAAGATGGCCTAGAATTATCCTTAAAAGGTGCCAGCGTTCATAAAGAGGCATGCGGAGCAGCAGATCTGAAGGCTGCTGATGAAAACCCAAACGGGTCTAATTCTGTACTCTACAGTAAAGCAGCTATTCTCGAAAAAGAACTCAAAGAGAAATCTGGAAAAATCGATTGCTGGCATTAACAGAAGGTTAAAAACACAACAACATAAACCAAAATCCATGCAGTCACGTGGGCTTTTTCATCTAACAGAGGATTCTTCAATATGATTCTTCACCCACGGGTCTGCCTTCATCTGACAGTGGATCTTTTCACTTCTCTCCACTCAGAGTCTCCCAGTTGCTACCAGACTTCATTCTTCTGACTTGGATTAGTCAGGGTTCTCCAGAGAAACAGAACTAATAGGATATAGACTTATATAGAGAGAGAAAGGTTTAGTTTAAGGAATTGGCTGACACAATTGTGCCAGGAGCAAGTCTGAAATGTCTAGAGCAGGCTGGCAGGCTAGAAACTCAGGGAAGGATTGACGTTGCAGTTTTTTAGGTTTTATGTTTTTTGTTTGTTTATTTTGAGACAGAGTCTCACTCTTTTGCCCTGGTTAGAGCGCAGTGGCGCAATTTCGGCTCACTGCAACCTCCACCTCTTGGCCTCAAGTGATCCTCCCATCTCAGCCTCTGGAGTAGCTGAGACACAGGCATGTGCCACCACGTCCAGCTAATTTTTTGTATTTTTGGTAGAGATGAAGTTTCTCCATGTTGTCCAGGCTGGTCCTGAACTCCTGAGCTTAAGCAATCCACCTGCCTTGGCCTTGGAAAGTGCTGGGATTACAAGGGTGAGCCACCACGCCCAGCTGATGTTGCAGTTTGGAGTTCTTCATATAATCTGGATACTAATTATTGTGGGTTATATTTGTTACCAATATCTTCTTTCAGATTGTAACTTCTCACTTTTTATGATGCCTTTTAATAAGCAGACATTTTTTCATCTTAATATAACTGAAATTATCAATCTTTTCCTTTACGGTTTGGGTATAGGGCTTCCTTTTGCCCTACGCAAGACCATAAAAATATTATCCTTTTTTTTTGCTAAAAATTGCTGTTCATTTTGAATCCTTCTGTGAAATTTGTTTTTGTTATATGAAGTGAGCTAGGGATCTCATTATATATAACGAATTGTCCCAGCACTACTGATAGACTAATGTATCTTTTTCCTACAGGTATGGAGTGTTGATTTTATACAAATAAAGTTTTCATATATGAGTGAGTCTGTTTCTGAGCTCCCTATTCTGTTCCAAATGTCTAATTATCTATTCTTGCACTTATATCACACTGTTTTAATAACAATAACTTCATTTTTTGTTTTTTTGAGAGAGGGCCTCACTCTGTCGCCCAGACTGGAGTGCAGTGGCTGATCATGGCTCACTGCAGCCTTGAACTCCTGGGCTCAAACGATCCTCCCACCTCAGCCTCCCGAGTAGCTAGGACCACAGGTGTGTGCCACCATGCTTGGCTAATTTTTTTTTTTTTTTTTTTTTGAGAGACAAAGGTCTCACTATGTTTCCCAGGCTGGTCTCAAACTGCTGGCCTCAAGCGATGTTCCCTCCTCAGCCTCTCAAAGTCCTGGGATTACAGGTGTGAGCCACCATGTCCAGCCAATAACTTCATATTAAAGATAGATTTCGGCCAGGCATGGTGACTCACGCCTGTAATCCCAGCACTTTGGGGTGCTCAGGTGGGCAGATCACTGGAGGTCAGGAGTTCAAGACCAGCCTGGACAACATGGTAAAACCCCGTCTCTACTAAAAATACAAAAATTAGCCAGGTAGTCACAGCTACTTGGAGGCTGTGGCAGGAGAATCGCTTCAGCCCAGGAGGCAGAGGTTGCAGTGAGCCGAGATTGTGCCACTGCACTCCAGCCTGGGTGACAGAGCAAGACTCCGTCTCTAAATAAATAAATAAAAATAAAGGTAGATGTCTGGTAGGAAAGGCCCTTCTCTTTTTATTATATTTGATTGGGTCTAACAGAATCCTAAATTAAAAGTTATTGTTGGCCAGGTGTGGTGGCTCATGTTTGTAATCCCAGTGCTTTGGGAGGCTGGGACAATCCCACCACTTTGGGAGGCTGAGTTACTGTCTCTCAAAACTACAAACATTTCATTGCTTCATTGCACTGATGTTTTTTTCTTTTTTTCTTTTTCCTTTTTTTTTTGAGACAGAGTCTCACTCTGTCGCCCATGCTGGAGTGCAGTGGCACAATCTCGGCTCACTGCAGCCTCCACCTCTTGGGTTCGAGTGAGCCTCCTGCCTCAGCCTCCCAAGTAGCTGGGATTACAGGCGCCCAGTTAATTTTTGTATTTTTAGTACAGACAAAGTTTCACCATGTTGGCCAGGCTGGTCTCAAACTCCTGACCTCAGGTGATCCGCCCACCTCAGCCTTCCAAAGCGCTGGGATTACAGGCATGAGCCACCACACCTGACTCACACTGATATTTTTTAATACAATATCACTGATAAGAAGTCTGATTTCAATTTGATTCTCCTTCCTTCTGGTTTTTTCCTCTGGAAGATTTTAAGGCTTTTCTCTTTATCTTTTCTATTCACAAATTTCGTGCTATTTGTAGGGACTTTGTAGTTTCTTTCCATCTCAGAAACTAAGCCTGAGATTAAATAATTCTTCGAATTATTTAAATGCACTGCCTCTCTTCCCTACTCATATTTCTTTCTTTCTGGAACTTTTTTGAGGCAGGGTTTCACTCTGTGGCCCTGGCTGGAGTGCAGTGGTGTGATCCACAGCTCACTGCTACCACCTCGACCTCCTGGGCTCAAACGATCCTCCCACCTCAGCCTCTGGAGTAGCTGGGATTACAGGCACACACCACCATGCCTGGCTAAATTTTTTTTATTATTTTTTTGTAGTGACGTAGTCTCGCCATGTTGCCCAGGCTGGTCTCAAACTCCTAGCCTCAAGCTATCCTTCCTTGGCCTCCCAAAGTTTTGGGATTACGGGCATGAGCCATCACACCCAACCCCCTTCTATTAAATTATTTCAACAATCATTCAAATTTCCACAATATCTAATTTATTCTTATACATATGTATATTACCCTTTCACATTTCTTTAATGATACAAGTCATACTTATTGAAAAGACCTAATCTTCTTGCTGTGTTAATTCATTTTCTCAGATGGAAGTTTTATCGTCTATTGAGTTTCTTGTCTCTCTTTCATGTTAGCCTTCTTTAAAGTTCATCCATTCTTGATTTGTCACTCATCTTTACAGAGGCAATGTCCTTTTAGATGTATGTCACATCTATTTTTTTAGCCTATTGTGAGGGAGGATGGGATGTAGCACTGGTCATACCTTGGTGGCTAGTGTTCCAACGTGAGTGCACCCCCCTCCTCCCAGGTATTGCCAGACACTGGGGGTTGGGCACTGCCTTATCTTATCATCACCCTCCTACCCATTTTTCTTGAGTGGAGATAGATACCACTCATCACTATTACCTGGCTAAACAGATAGAGAAGGGATAGCAAGCAGCAATTGAACCATCTAGATAGTCCTACTGTGGTACCTGAATTAGTCAATCTATTAGTTACCTTTGAACTTCCTGTCACTGCTATCCACCACTTTGGGGCAAGGAGTATTCTTAGTGTCCGCTATATTTTGCAGCAATAGTCTACTGTTCTAGTTTTAACTGTGGCTTACCTCCTTCACCTGATCCTATGTCATTTAGGGATTTGTCATAGTTTCTGGTTCCTGGAAATTTCTTGTTTCCAATGCAGTTGTGATTTTTTTTTTAAATTTTCTCCACTACTTATAGAAATTGGGAGCTACAAGAGATTGTATCATTTTTGTTCAATCCATTATCCTCAAAGTCACCATTTTGTCATGCCTGAGTGATGAGCAAAGAGATAAGTCCAAGAAGTGGTCTGTGGAGGTCAAAATATCACTGTATTCTGATTAAAACTACAGGAGAATATAGCTTAACATGAAAGCCAAATGCTAATACTGAACCACAGTTACATGAACTTAATTAGCCACCCAGGTCCAGCAGCACTGAGTGGGGCACATCTCATCATATGGGTAGCATCCTACCCTGCAAGAAGTAGAACTTGTGCTTTCTTGGGCTTGACTGGCTCCCAAAGAACAAAGAGAAGGAGACTAAGCCAATCATGTTCAGTTTATTATTCTAGAATTTACCAGTCAGATTAAATTACCCTGTCCAAAAACACAGGAGATAAAATCAAGTTCCTTCTTATAGAAGGTCTCTTCTTTCCACTGTAAAAAATTACCACAAATATAGATGCTTAGAAAACAAATTTATTCTCAATAGCTCTTGAGGTCAGAAATCCAAAATCCATTTCATTAGGGGTAAAGTCAAGGTGTCAGAGGGACTGGTTCCTTCTGAAGCCTCTGAGGGGAGAATGTTTTCTTGCCTTTTCAGTTTCTACTGGACTGTATTCCTTGACTTACGGCTTCTTCCTCCATCTCCAAAGCTCATCATTCCAATCTGCTTCTGCCGTCACATCACTTTATTTTACTGACTCTTCCTCTGTCCTTCTTATAGAGATCAATGGATTATATTGGACACACAAGGTAACCTCTCTTATCTCAAGATCCTCAACTTAATCACATCTGCAAAGTTCCTTTTGCCATATAACATACTCACAGATTCTGAGAATTAGGATGTGAACATACTTGGGGGCCCATTATTCAGCCTATCACAGAAGGTAATATCGAGGTTGCCTAAGAGTCACTCCTGGGTGGGCGTGCTGGCTCACGCCTATAGTCCTAGCACTTTGGTAGGCCAAGGTGGGTGGATCATTCGAGGCCAGGAGTTTCAGACCAGCCTGGGTAACATAGCAATGCCTTGTCTCTTCTGAAAATTTAAAAATTAGTGGGGCATGGTTGAACGCCCCTGTAGTCCCAGCTATTTGGGAGGCTAAGGCAAGAGGATCCCTTGAGCTCGGGAGGTAGAAGTTGTAGTGAGCCACATTTACACCACTGCACTCTAGCTTGGGTTAACAGAGCAAGACTCTGTCTCAAAACAAAAAAGAATCATTTCCCACTAATATTCTCTCGATGTTTTTTCTCTTAAGACATTGGTTTAACCATTCAGCCTATGCCAGCCAGAGGTGTGGCTGACATCCTCCAGACAGCATCTTGACAGCCTGTGAGGACCATCCTTGCCCCACCTTCATGACGTTACCCTTCCCTCTCATACCACCCTACTTTGTACCTTTCCAGGAACCCTGGTAGGCAATGGCGATTTTGCTCACATAAGGTTCCAAAATAGTTCACTATAACACATTAATATTTCAGGGGCCAGGCGTGGTGGCTCACACCTGTGATCCTGACAATTTGGGAGGCTAAGGCAAGTGGATTGCTTGAGCCCAGGAGTTCAACAACAGCTGGGGCAACATGGTGAAATCCCATCTCTACCAAAAGACAACCAAAAAAAAAAAAAAAATTAGCCAGGTGCAGTAGCCCATGCCTATAGTCCCAGCTACTTGCGAGGCTGAGGTGGGAGGATCGCTTCAGCCCAGGAGGTCAAGGCTGCAGTGAACTGTGATCACGCCATTGCACTCCAGCCTGGGTGACAGAGTAAGACCCTGTCTCAAAACAAACAAAAAAAAAAGGTTCAGTGACATTCTGTATCCAAGGCTTAACTCCATTTTTCTATTACTAATTTTTATTATGTTTATCCATACTGTCCACATATCAGAGGATCAACAATGAGATTACATGACAAAAGTATACTACACTCCAATAATATGCGCAAAAAAAACTCAATAAGAAAATACCAATAATATTGAGAAAAAATATACTTTAACATAAATCTCCTCCCTTTATCAAGTTTCTAGGGAGAAATTAATGTCCAAGAAATGAAATCCATCTCCTTATAAGTCAAAATCATGAGACATTAAAGATAAAAGAAAGTGAAGTTCAAAATAAAATTATCTTACATGTGTGGGTTAAAATTCAAAGAAGTCCAAAATGTATCTTCCCCAATTTCCTTTTTTTTTTTTTTTTTTTTTTGAGACAGAGTCTCACTCTTGTTGACCAGGCTGAAATGCAATGGCCCGATCTTGGTTCACTGCAACCTCCGTCTCCCGGGTTCAAGCGATTCTCCTGCCTCAGCCTCCCAGGTAGCTGGGATTACTGCCATGTGCCACCACACCCAGTTAATTTTGTATTTTTAGTAGAGACAGGGTTTCTCCATGTTGGTCAGGCCGGTCTCGAACTCCCAACCTCAGGTGATCCGCCCGCCTCGGCCTCGCAAAATGCTGGGATTACAGGCGTGAGCCACCGCGCCCGGCCATCTTTCCCAATTTCTTATTATGCTTTGTCTCTACCGGAAGGGATTTCAGTGTGGGGGTACAGTCAGGGATCTTTTGACAAGTACAGCTTAAGCTGTATTTCATTGGAATGGGGGCATTTCCTTCAGGGCCTCCAAGTCAAAAAATAATGATAATATTGTTACTAGTAGAGGGTCTTGACTGCAAGTTGTCCAAGTTCTTGGCGTTTTGAACAAATAATTGGACAAAATGCCCAGCAAAACAAAGAAAGAATGAAGCAACTAAAGAATGAAAGCAGGGATTTATTGAAAACGAAAGTACACTCCACAGTGTGGGAGCGGCCTGAGCAGCGGCTCAAAAACCCGGGTTACAGAATTCTGTTGGGTCCAAATACCCCCTACAGGTTTCCCATGGGCCACTTGGTGGTCACCTCATGTAAATAAAGTGGTGGTCCGCAGTTGCTCTGATTGGTGGCGGAAAGCCACCAATTAGAGGCTGAAGTTACCAACGTCACACTCCTGTGCAAACAACTAATTGGCTGCAAAAAGCAACCAATCAGAGGTTAAGGTGAAGTTACAAAGTTGCACTTCTATGGAAACTAAGACTCTGCCTGCAATCAGTCTGATTGGTTGCTGACAGCCAATTGCCCATCTGCTGGGCAGAAAAGGTGGGGGTTTGCAAAGGGAGTAGCCTCTGGTCCTTTTGTTACTTAGGCGTGGAATGTTAGGGTTTTTCTTTAAATTTAGTTCTAGAAAGTTAGCGTGAAATGACCTTAGGTTCCCTGTTTCCAGACCCTATTCTCCTGCCTCAATATCAGCCTAGTCTGGGATGTACTTTTTTCTAAAGAATCTATAGATTTAACAGAACATGTAAAATGATCATAGCACTGGCTCTATCCCAGCCATCTTCATAAAATAAGCCAATTCCTAGCAGGTAGCTCAAGCAGAATCGCATACCCAGAATCAGTGCTTTGGGTGCCCAAAGACTGTTGCAGAGACTGCAGCCTCACCAAAATGCCACTTGATCAATGCCAAGAGTACAGACCCCATGGCCTGTGAATTTAAACCCAGTTAGTAGAAATCTCCTGGTCACAGGTTAATTTCAGCACTGTGCACCTCACACTTACCACATCTGGGAAGATCCCCCTCTGAGTACTTTCTCCTGTCTCAGAGTATTTGAGAGGATGCTGCCTTCTTGTAAAGTTTAGAAATATGAAATGGCAATATCTTCAGTCATCACATCTTATTTGAGAGGAGCTGTTCTTTCTTACCCAGATATTCAAAGCCTTTATATTTCCACGTCCCCTTTGATCTTTAGGTGCCTGCACTGCAGTGCTGCAATGGAAGTGAACTTCTGCCTAGTAAGAGGGCTCCCACAATACCAAGTAAACATTTTTTTCCTGTGCCACAGTGGCTTTTCCCATTATCTTTTTCTGTGGAATTCCTTAGGCCTAAAAAAAAAAACCCATAATTATATATTTCAAAATAGCTAGAAGAAAGATTTGGAATGTTCCCAAAAAAATGATAAGTGTTTGAGGTGGTGCTGATCATCACACATTGTATGCATGTATCAAAATATCACATGCATCCCAGAAATATCCACAAGCATTATGTATCGGTTTTAAAAATTCACAAAAAAATATTGTTTGATACTTTATCATGCTAAGAAAGAAAGAGAAAATCTAAGCAACCAGTTTCTAGCAACCTTGAGAACAAGTAGAGGGACTGATTCTTGAGCCACATGAAGTCAAACTTAGCCCCTCCACCTTGCCCTCTCTTGCCCTTAAGGATAGTGCAAAACAACATAAAAGAGGAATTAAAACTTGGACTGTTTGTTTACATTACCTCGTGCTAACACATTGGAAGCCAATCTCTCACTAATGCTCCGTGGTCCATAGAGAACCCAGCTGCTCCATGGTTTAAAAACAGCAGATATTTTTTTCACTCTCTTAATATCTAAAAGGATAGTATATGAAAAGATTGTTTCTTTCCTCCTATAATTGAATCCTTGCATCAGCTGTGACTGCTTATTAACGCTCTTCAGCCTGCCAGTCCCCACTTAGGCCCTCTGACAGCCCCATGCCCTTGTCAAGGCCCTGCTACAGCCTCTGAATGACTTTTCCAAAGTTTTCCCCAGGCCATGGCTTTTAAGCACTAATGCACCACCACAAAAACCTACCTAGCCCAATATAAGCCTATACAAACTGCCAAGATTAACATGTCCGGCACACATACCAAGAACAAGACCCAGCGCCAAGGCCAATCCCTCACCACTCCAGAAGCCTCAATCACTCCATGTGTGTTCACTTGCTTCTCCCTAATTGTGCTCCTTCCTTTTTTCTTACATTTCAATTTTTTAGCCAATGAACCAAATGTTGCAAGAAGGGCCCAATAAAAAGCACCCCTCCTCCTTTTTAAATTTTACAGCCAACTAAGAAATAAGATAAAGGAATGGAGGGAGAGGATCAAATTATTAGTTTATTCCTGATAGGACTGGGTTGCAGGATGCAGTTTAAATCTGAGAGTCAGAAGAGCTTCCCAATACCAAGCTGCGGAATGAGATCTAGCAGTTCTGGTCCAAAGTAGACTTGCCTCCCTGGCGACCAGAGTGTCAGCCTGCCCCTACAGCAGGCCTCATGCTGGCTGGATTCCAAAGGGGAAAGTGGACAGGATAAGCTGAGCATGCTCACTTTATTTTCCCCAAATTTGCCAATTAAATCACAGCTCAGGAGCAGAGTTAGGAAAAGGCAGAGAAAAGCCAGGTGTTACACTAAAGCAACTCCCTTCACCTGGAATGACAGGTTTTGTTTTTTGTTTTTTTAACTAGTAAGAGACGTGGGCTAGACACGGTAGTTCACACAGTAATCCCAGTGCTTTAGGAGGCCGATGTGGGAGGATTGCTTGAGTCCAAGAATTCGAAGCTACAGTGAGCTATAATGGCACCACTGCACTCCAGCCTGGGTGACAAAGCGAGACTGTCTCTAGAAAAAAATATATATGTATTATTACATGGGTAATTAAATAACTTAAAAAGTAAGGCGGAAGTCGCTACCTGGTTCCATGATTATAATCTAGAAGTCTGAAGATTTATCTGGCATTATCAATTAACATTAGAGAATATGCAGCCATAAAAAAGAATGAAATCATGTCATTTGCAGCAACATTGGTGTAGCTGGGGACCATTAACCTAAGCAAATTAACGCAGGAACAGAAAACCAAATGCCACATATTCTCACTTATAAGCGAGTGCTAAACATTGGGTACACACAGACATAAAAATAAGAATAGACACTGGGCACTCCAGAAGGAGGGAAGGGGGAAGAAGAAGAGAGAAGGGCTGAAAAGCTACCTATCAGGTACTACGTTCACTACTTGGGCAATAGGATCATCCAGAAACCCAAGCCTCAGCATCATGCAATATACCCATGTACAACCTGTGCATGTACCTCCCTGAATATGAAATTTAAAAAAAATTAGAGCATGTTTTCCCATGTTTTCCAATAGTTTTTTAAAATTCTTTATGAAGACATCAGAGTTCATACACGTAGTCATGCACATGTTCACCATTTGGAGCAATATGTATGTATGTATTTATGTATTTATTTATTTATTTATTTGAGATGGAGTTTCACTCTTGTTGCCCAGGCTGGAGTGCAGTGGTGCGATCTCGGCTCACTGCAACCTCCGTCTCCCAGGTTCAAGCGATTCTCCTGCCTCAGCCTCCTGAGTAGCTGGGATTACAGGCATCTGCCACCACACGCAGCTAATGTTTGTATTTTATGTAGAGACAGGGTTTCACCATGTTGGCCAGGTTGGTCTCGAACTCCTGACCTCAGGTGACCCACCCGCCTCGGCTTCCCGAAGTGCTGGGATTACAGGCGTGAGCCACTGCACCCGGCCTGGAACAGGATTTAAGTAAAACCTTTTCTCAACTACAGAGACATACGTTTTAAGCCTTCTTGGATTCCCACCACCCTTCCTTTTGTTCTCTCTTGGTCACTCCTCACTTCCAGACTCGGATGAAATAGCCACACTGCAAGGCGTAAAATTAATTTCCTGAGTGATCACGGAGCTGCCAGATGACACCACATGGCATTCAGGGGATTTAGCTCTGCTAAGTAGTGTGAACCTCAGCCACAAAAAATGGAGACAGGAGGGAGCTGGCAGATAAATGCCCTCTTCCTGATCCCTTTCTCAGACTACTCTGGAGTGCAGCTTCTTCTTGCAACCTTTCTAGAGAATTCCAAGTACAGAGCAAGCATGCGGGCTGAAAGATCTGCTGTAGGCAAGACCACTTGGCATTTTCCTTGCCTTTTGCTTCCCTTTTTCCTCCCCCTTCCCACCTGAAACTATTTGTGCTATTCTGAGTCATCCTGCCCTTGCCTTGAGGCCAATCTCAGCACTTAATACACCTAATCTACCACAAATTCAACGTGTACTGGATGCTTAGAGAGGCAAAGAGAATGTTACACTACACGCAATATAGGAAGCTTTCCATTAAAATATTCTTTGGGTTTCTTTCTTTGCTCAAAAATTGTACAGCTCACTTATGTCTCCTTCCTCTTCTCTTCAGTCTTTTCTTTTCTGAGACAGTCTCGCTCTATTGCATAGGCTGGAGCGCAGTGGCACGATATTGGCCCACCGCAACTTCCACCTCCCTGATTCAACCGATTCTCCAGCCTCAGCCTCCAGAGTAGCTAGGATTACAAGCACCTGCCACCAGGCCCAGCTAGTTTTTGTATTTTTAGTAGAGTTTAGTGGCCAGGCTGGTCACGAACTCCTGACCTCAGGTGATCCACCCGCCTCAACTTCCCAAAGTACTGGGATTACAGGCGTGTGCCACCTCGCCCGGCCTTCTTCAGTCTTCTCCTTGTAAAATTCTCTTTCAAATATCTCCTCATTTTGTGTTGGGTAGAGCAATTTGGTCTTCTCTCTGCCTTTTAATTCTCCTCACAGCCAATCACCCTGCTTAATTCAACAAAGGCCCTCTAGGGAGATGAGTACACAAAGCATTCACTTTTTTTAGACAGGAAGGGAGGTATTGCCAGTACATTATTTTAATACATTTTTCCCTCTAACACACAGGCATAAAACAATAAATTCAAAGCAGGCCAGAAGTAGAGAGAAGAAAAAGCTTTGTCAGGGTGAAGCAAGTATGGGATCCAGGTAGGCACAAGTTCATAGTGATATTTGGTGAAGGGAAAGCAGATCGTGGCACAGGGATCTTGTTCTGTGATCTGCCCCATGAAGTCGGGCAGACAGACACTCTACATAAAACAGGTTCAGAATGAGGCCAAATCACCTGGCAAGAGGAGGCCAGGAGCCAGACAGACACTGAGCACAGGCAACAGGAAAGCAGCTTAATAGGCAATAAACCAAGTTCTAAGGCAGAGCACCCCGGAAATTTATAGTCAGGATCAGAACTGATCCCAGCGGCAGTGTCCAATTCCCATCTCTTAAGTGGACAAATAAATCACCTGCCTAGAGTTGAGAGCTGAGAAATCAGAAACCAAGCAGTTCTTTGTTTTTTGATATGGAGTGCAGTGGTGCGATCTCTGTTCACTGCAACCTCCGCCTCCCAGGTTCAAGCGATTCTCCTGCCTCAGCCTCCTGAGTAGCTGGGATTACAGGTGTGCACCACCAGGCCCAGTTAATTTTTGTAATTTTAGTAGAGATGGGGTTTCACCATGTTAGCCAGGCTGGTCTCGAACTCCTGACCTCAGGTGATCTGCCCACCTCAGCCGCCCACAGTGCTGGGATTACAGACCTGAGCCACCACAGCCAGCCATTTTTTTTTTTTTTTTTTAAGCAGGGTCTGGCTCTATTGCCCAGGCTGGAGTACAGTGGTGCCATCATAGCTCACTGCAGCCTTGATCTCCTAGGCTCAAGTGATCCTCCTGCCTCAGCCTCCCGAGTAGCTGGGACTACAGGTGCACACCGTTCCTTGCTAATTTTTTATTAGTAGAAACGCAGTCTTGCTATGTTCCCCAGGCTGGTCTCAAACTCCTGACCTCAAGTGATCCACCAGCCTCAGCCTCCCAAAGTGTTGGGATTACAGGCATGAGCCACCACGCCCAGCCATCATCAATTTAATATCTTGCAGTACTGTGTGCTAGAAGTCTAACATGGGTCTCACTGGGCTAAAAGCAAGGTGCCAGCAAGGCTGCATTTGTTTCTGGAGGCTCTGGGGGAGAATCCTTTACCTTGCCTCTTCCAGCTTCTGGAGGCTGCTGCATTCCTGGGCTCCTAGCCCCTTTCCTCCATCCTCGAAGCCAGCAACAGCAAGCTAAGCCCTCACGTCACACCACTCTGAATCCCTCTTCTGCTTTCCTCTTCCAAGATTCAGGACCCTTGTGATTACATTGGGTCCACCTGGATAATCCAAGATACTCTCCCAATTTTATAGTCAGCAAATCAGCAAACAATTCCATTTGCAACCTTAATCCCCCCTTTGCCATATAACATACCATATTAATAGGCTCTGGGGATTAGGATGTGTATCTCTTTGGAGGGGGGCATTCTTGTGCCTCCCACAGAGTGAGAAGTGCTGTGGAGAAAACAAAGCAGGGACAAGGGAAAGGGAGCAACCACTCTTCCATAGTCACCTATTCCTCTGACCACAGATGGAAAGGCCCTCTGCTTTTGCTTTTAAGGATTTATTTTGTTAGATTGGGCTCACCTGGATAATCCAAACCGCTCTCCTCATCTCAAGGTGCTTAACATTAATCACACCTGTTTTTTTTTTTAAAGATGGGGTCTCACTATGTTGCCCACGCTGGCATCAGTGATTGACTGGGCTCAAGAGATTCTCCATCTCAGCCTCGTTAGTAGCTAGGAATACAAGTGTGTGACACCATACTGGGCTCCAAAGGAGTTCTTTGATTGCACAAATAAAATGACCTTTTAATGAGATCCCTCACTCAATACATTAGCAAACAACACTTGGCTCTTATCTACCTACACCTACCTCCAAAGTAAGCTGGGTCTCCCCTTTCAGGCAAATGATATAGGAAGTGGGAAACCAGCTCAACCAAGATTAACGAAGATAAAGCTTTTGACCATGGCGGGGCGCGGTGGCTCACGCCTGTAATCCCAACACTTTGGGAGGCCAAGGCGGGAGGATCACTTGAGCCCAAGAGTTTGAGACCAGGGCAGCATGCCAAAACCTTATCTCTACAAAAAATTAGCCAGGGTGGTGTCACATGCCTGTAGTTCCAGCTACTCAGAAGGCTGACGTGAGAGGATCATTTGAGCCCTGGATGTCAAGGCTGCAGTAAGCCGAGATCATGCCACTGCACTCCAGCCTGGGTGACAGAGTGAGACCCTGACCAGGGCCTTTTTTTTTTTTTTTAGATGGAGTCTTGCTCTGTCGCCCAGGCTGGAGTGCAGTGGCGCGATCTCAGCTCACTGGAACCTCCGCCTCCCAGGTTCAAGCAATTCTCTGCCTCAGCCTCCTGAGTAGCTGGGATCACAGGCACCTGCCACCACACCCAGCTAATTTTTGAATTTTTAGTAGAGATAGGGTTTCACCATCTTGGCCAGGCTGGTCTTGAACTCCTGACCTTGTGATCCACCCACCTCGGCCTCCCAAAGTGCTGGGATTACAGGCGTGAGCCACCGTGCCCGGCCGACCAGGGCCCTCTTATCTACCTTGGAAGAAGGTGGCCTTTGAGAAATGCCTGAATCGATATGGAGGTGAGCATCAAAGGAGGCTTAGAGGCAAAGCTCATTTTAAAACTTTTCCCTTGGGCCTTCCGTGCTTTTCTTACCATGGACATCTTTTGTCCTTTGCAAGGGGGCTTCTCGACCCTAAAATGTCCTTTGACAGTTGCAACCTGCCATAAAAAGTGGCTCCTAGTCCTAATAAAGTAATATCCATTGTTCCTTTTTTTTTGCCAAAGCAACCTCGTAATTTTGTTCTTTCCATCTTGCCTCAGGAGAGACTAAGGTGCAGAGAAGTAGAAAGATGTTCTTAGAGCCATTCCGGACATAGCTGGGGCTCTGTTCTTGTTTTTAATGAAACAATTATTAGAGATATTGTGGTATTATTTTTCAATAAATGGCAAGACATTGCTGGCCAGAAATATTTAATTACCATATGGTCTTTTAATCGGGCAGAAAGTGAAAGAGAATAATTTAGGATCGAGTGTCACACTGAGCCTGCTGGCCTTCTTCCTGTTGAGATTATTTATAAGAATGACAGGACAGCCCCAAGGCCTGAATTTGAGCCCAGACTCAGCTGCCTTGTGTGATGTTGAGCTACAGCTCCAAGGCTCAGTTTCCTTATCATTACAGCTACTTCTCAGAATTTATTTAATCTCAGGATTAAAGGAAACAATGTAGATGAGTGGCTTAGCACACACTGAGTGCTCCACAAATGTTAGCTATTGTTATTATATAACTGTACAGAGAGAACATCTCTCTGCGTATCAGACTGTGTGTCTTGTTTTGTTTTGTTTTTCTTGTGTGCAGACTGTAGCAAAATGCAACCCAGGAACTTCAGGGAGCTATAACTCAAAACCTAAAATTGGGAATCATTTTTTATACTTTTTCACACTATAAACTGTAGACAATCCACGTTGCAATAAAAACTGGGTTGGGGCCGGGCACAATGGCTCATGCCTGTAATTCAGCACTTTGGGAGGCTGAGGCAGGAGTACTGCTTGAGGTCAGGAGTTCAAGACCAGCCTAGACAACATAACAATACCTTGTCTCTACAAAAAAAGAAAAATGTTCTAAATTAGCTGGGTGTGGTGGCACATGCCTGTAGCCTCAGCTACTCAGGAGGCTGAAATGGGAGGATCACTTGAGCCCAGGAGTTTGAGACTGTAGTGACCTATGATGGTGCCACTGCCCTCCAGCCAGGGCGACAGAGCAAGACCCTATCTCTAAAATGTTTCAAGTTCGTAAAAAAAGTATGACAGTTTGCAACAGATAGTCCAGGTTACAACCTGATGTTCAGTCTCTTGCATTCTAGGGTACTTTTTCCAAATGGGGAGGGAAAGGTAGGGAGATACAATTTTTTTTTTCTTGGTAAGAGGTACAAAAAAGTTACAAAAGGTACAAGGACTTTGAGAGACATAATTAATGGGTTTGTTTTTTTCCCAGGTAACCTCTGCTAAATTCCTGTTTCATCATGGCTATTTAAATACATGGTTATTGAGTAATTGGCATTCTGATTTCCAGGTAATACTGAATAGCCTCCTGCCTCAGCCTCCCAAAGTGCTGGGATTACAGGCGTGAGCCACCGTGCCCAGCCGCAACTCAATTTTAATAGTAATATATGGATTGTCTCCAGTCTGTAGTGGGAAAATTATAAAAAAAGATTCCAAATATTACGTTTTGAGGCAAAACCTAGTAAGAATTTTCAGGTAATACTGGGCACATTCCTTTCCATGTGTAGAGGGAAGGCTGAAAGTCACTGCCTGGAGGGACCTTGAAATTTGTCATTGCATTAAGGCTTATAATTATCTGTCCAACCAGGTTTGAAAGGAACTTTAGAATTGCCAACCCATTTTTAGGGAAACAGAGAGATTGGGATATTAGGTTCACCTAGTTCAGAAGACAGTCAACTACTGGGGTTCAGATTTCCTAAAGGTTAGGACAATGCAGAAAAGGAAGGTAAAAATGTTGAATGGGGCAGCTGGGACCTCAGGGCTGAAGCAAAGTAGGGTGTCCATAGAAAATAAGATCTGAGGGCCGGGTACAGTGGCTCATGCCTGTAATCCCAGCACCTTGGGAGGCCAAGGCCAGCAGATCACCTGAGGTCAGGAGTTCAAGACCAGCCTGGCCAATATGGTGAAACCCCGTCTCTGCTAAAAATACAAAAATTAGGCTGGGTGTGGTGGCTCACACCTGTAATCCCAGCACTTTGGGAGGCTGAGGCAGGCGGATCACGAGGTCAGGAGATCAAGACCATCCTGGCTAACACGGTGAAACCCCATCTCTACTAAACATACAAAAAATTAGCCAGGCGTAGTGGCACGCACCTGTAGTCCCAACTACTCAGGAGGCTGATGCAGGAGAATCGCTTGAACCTGGGAGGCAGAGGTTGCAGTGACCTGAGATCACACCACTGTACTCTGGCCTGGGCAACAGAGTGAGTCTCCATCCCAAAAAAAAAAAAAAAATTAGCCGGATGTGGCAGTGCACACCTGTAGTCCCAGCTACACAGGAGGCTGAGGCTGGAGAACTGCTTGAACCTGGGAGGCAGAGGTTACAGTAAGCCAAGATAGCACCACTGCACTCCAGCCTAGGTGACAGAGTGAGACTCTGTCTCAAAAAAAAAAAAAAAAAAGTAGGATCTGGTAGGATCTGAGAAATATACTCCTTAATGAAAGATGAAACATAAAGTACCCAAGCTTATAATATTCAGTTATGGCTATAGGATCATATTTTTAAGACCCATGTAATTAAAGGTATAAAATTACCTGCCCAACCTAAAATGAAAAGTTCACTAGGAAAAAAATAGCCATTACTCAATGTGATTATATGAACATTAAAGTTAATAAAAAAGGTTTTTCTCCTTTTAGAAATTTTAGCATATGAAATTATCTTTACTCTGCAAGTCACTCTGAGATATATTTTTTAAATATTGTTTACAGTTGCTATCCAGTAAAGGATACATTTCAAATGTATCTTGATTAGACAATCACCTGTAACAAACATTCCTTTCCTTGAAAATGCTTGCAGGAGTTCAGAAAACATAGTAACTTCACTTCACTGTAACACTGATACTCTTTCCCGTTCCAGCTTTTGCCTGCTTCTTTTTAAAGCACAAAGAACACTCATCTTCTCGATCTCCCTGGCTTTCAGGCCACTTGACGATAGCAGAATACAAATTCCTCAATAACCACATATTTAAATAACCACGGTAAAAATAGGAGTTTAGCAGAGGTGTCCTGGGAAAAAGAAACAAAATTCAGTGACCTGTGCAAGATGTGTATTCTCCGCATTCAGTCTCCCCTACTATCTGTCCCCACCTACCAAGCCAACTTTATCTCTTAGGATTCTCCAGAACACCCCCCTCCCCAAATCTGTCCCTTGCAGAGCCACCAGTTTTACAGTCAGTTCCTTGCTCAAAAATCCTCAAGGACTTCTGTATCTGTTAAGATTTGCATTTGGCAGCTAGTAACAGAGCCCAGAAATCATAGTGGCTTAAACAAGATAAAAGTGTACTTTTCTTTTCTGTACAGGAATTCTGGAGATAAGTGGCACAGAGTTGGTGTGGCATCGCCTATAGTTCCTGTATCTTTCTACTCCACAATGCACCTTCTATCCTCAGGAACAAAGGATGCCTCCTCAAATTGCAGCCATCTTACACACCTCATAGGCAGCCAAAAGGGGACAGACAGGCAGATGTCAAACTTCTTTTCAAATGCTGTCAGAACCTAGCACAGTCCAGCATACTTCATAAGCACTCATTAAATTTCAGATACAAGAATCAATTAATTCTATGGCACTACTGAAGTAGGGAAATTTATCATTCACAAAACTTTAAATATCAACAGTATACCCAGTGCACCATATTAGAAACTATAAAGCATCATTTGAAATTCTTAAAAGGACACCGTTTTAAGATAGTAGATATGTAAATATCTATGTAATTAACCAGGCACAGTGGTTCATGCTTCTCATCCCAATGATTTGGGAGGCTAAGTTGGGAGGACTGCTTGAGCAAAGGAGTTCAAGACCAGCCAGGGCAACATAGTGAGACCCCATCTCTAAAAAATTTAAAATTAGCCAGGTGTGGTGGCATACACCTGCAGTCCCAGCTACTCAGGAGGCTGAGGCAGGAGGACTGCCTGAGCCCAAGAGGTCGAGGCTGCAGTGAGCCATGATCATGCCACTGCACTGCAGCCTGGGCAATAGAGCAAGACTCCATGTGTCTTAAAAAAAAAAAAAAAAAAAAGGACTTGCTTGCTCTGGTGAGTATGGGGAGAGCCTCTCCTCATGTGTAGGAGTGGCAGCATATTCCAGAGTAAAAACATAATAATAAAATAGTGAACACATGCATAGCTACTACTTTATGCAGGCCTTGTTGTAAGTTCTTTACATATATTCAATGTTTTTCTCATAGAAAGACATTCTTAAGACTGTGAAGAGAGAAGAAAAGCAGGAAACAGAATTAAGGTATTTAAGGTACTTAGTCCAGGGCCTGGCACATAGTAGGCACTCATTATTGTTGTTGCCAACAAAAGGTCTCAAGAGAACATTCAGTCCCCTTCCTCCCCCTAGATAACGACCCTCCATATTCTGAAGCATTCACTGAATCTTGCTCCACTATCGTGCAGCCACATTCCCACGGTTGAACAAATCCCACGGAAGACATCAGTAGGAACTACAGCTCTACTCAGGTAGTTAACACCAACCCTGGGCCCCCCAGCTTGGATCCTCAGCTGAGGATATGCCAAAGATAAGCGCCCAGCTCCCTCCTTCTCACTTTCTATCAGTACTCTCTCTTGAGTGTAGATTTGTTTTATTTTGTTTTACTGGAGAAGGGGAGGAGGAGAGGTGGAGGCAAAAAAGGGGAAAGGAAACAGAGAAGGTAAGATGCAGGAATTATTTCAGGTCTCAGTTTGGCAGGGGCTCATATGTAAAGCTATTATGTTCGAGAAATATAAAAGACTAATACTTTTCCTAAAGATTGAAACAGAAACAGTGGTGATTGGACTGGGAATTATACCTCACTTCAATGAACTCCAAAAGAACTTGAGTTGATTGCTGAAGAAGTGAACAAATAGTGATCAATTTGCTGACAACTGTAAAAGCGTATGGGGTGGGTCACAGCCATTATAGCTTCCTGTGGAGTCAGTGGCCAACTCTAGGTTGTTACCCCACTGTAGCCAGCAGAGGTCTCTCTTTTATTAATCTTCAATTTAAAAAAAAAACCTCTGGGTTGTTTATTTCTATTATCCTTTTGAAGTCTCTTTCTAAAGCCAAATAAATAATGAATCATTTGGCCAAAACATCTTCGAATACTGAATCTAGTCACTTAGTAAAAATGAAAGACAAAAATGCTGAGCTACTTGAAGCAAAAGATTCAGTATTCACCTCTAAGCTATTCATTTGCTTAGAAGATTCACGCCAATCGCACAGCCAAAGAGCAAAACATGGGCCAGACTCTAAAACAGCAATGAGCAACTGGCTGAGTATGACAAAGAAAAGGGAGCTCCAGCTAAGACTGGTAGCGGGGTGGAGCAGGAGGCTGGCGAGGTCCACTTCTTCGGATCTCTGGTTCAGTAGCTGACACCAAGCAGGGCTCTTCCTTGAATGCACTCCTTCAAAAGCCTCAGATATACCACTTGTGACCACATCCCCTCTAACGGCCCAAGCACTACACATTACACCCTCCTTACTTAATGAAATCAAGAGTTTTGGTTTTTGAAAACTCGATTGTTTATGTTAAGCAGCATCATGGAGAACTATCAAGGCGAAAGCTTGAACTTTCTTTCCCACGTCCTATTGGGATAACCCCAACATAAGACTAAGGATTTCAATTAATATTAGATAAAGTGAGGAAACAATAAAATTTATTTGAAGCTGCTCAAGTCACTCTCTTATTTTATTTTATTTATTTATTCTTTTGAGACAGGGTCTCAGTCTGTCACCCAGGCTGGAGTGCAGTGGCGTGATCATGGCTCACTATAGCCTTGACCTCCCAGGCTCAGGTGATTCTCCCACCTCAGCCTCCCAAGTAGCTGGGACTACAGGTGCACACCACCATGCCCAGCTAGTTTTTTTGTTTTGTTTTGTTTTTTTTGAGACAGACTCTCACTCTTATTGCCCAGGCTGGAGTGCAGTGGCGTGATCTTGGCTCACCGCAACCTCCTCCTCCTGGGTTCAAGCAGTTCTCCTGCCTCAGCCTCTCGAGTAGCTGGGATTACAGGCACACACCACCACGCTCAC
This sequence comes from Homo sapiens, assembly GCF_000001405.40. Taxonomy (NCBI): domain Eukaryota; kingdom Metazoa; phylum Chordata; class Mammalia; order Primates; family Hominidae; genus Homo; species Homo sapiens. Next base: position 12,736,205 of record NC_000012.12, on the reverse strand, counting down.
CTAATTTTTTGTATTTTTAGTAGAGACGGGGTTTCACCAGGCTGGCCAGGCCAGTCTTGAACTCCTGAGTGATCCACCCGCCTCAGCCTCCCAAAATGCTGGGATTACAGGCATGAACCACTGCTCCCAGCCTAGTTGTTTGTATTTTTAGTAGAGATGGGGTTTTGCCATGGTACCCAGGCTGGGTTCAAGTGATCCACCTGCCTCAGCTTCTCAAAGTGCTGACATTACAGGTGTGAGCTTATTTTATTTTAGTTTAGAGACAAGATCTCACTCTGTCACCCAGGCCTGAGTGGCAGTGGTGGATTATAGCTCACTAAAACTGTGAATTCCTGGGCCCAAGCGATCCTCCTGCTTCAGCTTCCCAAGTAGGTATGACTACAGGTGCTCACCACCATGCCTGGCTTATTTATTTATTTATTTATTTATTGTAGAAATGAGGCCTCACATTGTCCAGGCAGGTCTTCGATGCCTAACCTCGAATGATCCTCTTCGGCCTCCCAAGCAATCCACTTTGGCCTCCCAAAGCACTGAGATTGCAGGCATCAGCCACTGTGCCTGCCAAGTCACCTTTAAATTATCCAGTGGCTTCCCATTGCACTTAAAGTCCAAAATTCCTAATGTGGCTTAAAAAGCCCATCACTCCAGCCACAGCACTCATTCCTTCTGCCATTGGCTCACTGCCCCCCAGCCACAAGCACATTCTTTCAAAGCTCTTCTCTGACTTGCAGCCTTGGACTGTGTTCTGCTTGGCTCACTCTCCTTCCTTTCCTCCTTTCAACTGGTTAACTCATGCTCAGCTTCCAGGTCTCAACTTGAAAGTCATTTCTTTAGGAGGGATTCTCTAACCCTCGCTCTAGGTCAGGGCCCCTGTTTCAAACTCTTACAGCATCCTACAGGCAGCCACTGGAACATAGGGGAAGGCACTGCAGGTGAGGGGGATGGAATGGCATTTTTTATTTTGTTTGTTTGTTTGTTTTAGAGATGGGGTCTTGTTCTGTTGCTCAGGTGGACTGGAACTCCTGGGCTCAAGGGATCCTTCCACCTCAAACTCCCGAGTAGCTGGGACTATAAGTGGCTGCTCAGCTAAAGGGAGTGTTGGTGGATTTTTAAAGGCCCTTTTCTTTTCAGTAAACACAGGCTGGCTTGGGGAAAGAGTTTCGATTTTAGCCCCTGCTTGCTTCCTCAGTTAGTCACCTTGTCTGGGATCCAAACTGCTACAGCATGAAGCAGAAGCTCTGAGGTCCCTTCATGGCACTCATCCTTCACAACACTCACCTAAATTCCATGGAATAATTACAGCTGTGACGCCTTGTGGAGCTCCAGGAGGCCAGCGCTCCTGTTTGTGACCTTGAAGCCCACAGAGCCTGGCCTTAGTAAAGGCTCCCAGAGACTGCACGCGACAATGCAGCAATATCTGGCACTACTAAGCAACCATTAGGTTACACATTCACGTGCTTTTTTTCTAGTGAGATTATAAACGTTTATTGTTCAGCCTACGCTATTATAAGATCATCTTCTTTTGATTCTGAATATGTGGTTTGTGGCCAAAAATCAGGACTCTAGCTTCCCTGAAAAATAACCTGATCCACAGGGATGGAATGTGTGATCTTGACTAGGAAACAAGAATCACAGAGCTGTAAGCCAGAAGGAATCTATAAATCATCTTCGTTTAACTTCCCCACTTTACAGGAAATCAAGAATTAGAATATTCTCATCTGCAAAATGGAAAGAATCGATACAGTGGTCTCCCATAGCCAATATTCTGAGATTCTAAGATTTGCCCCAGGTCAGTCACATGGAGAGGGACAGCCAAAGATTAGTCGGCTAACTTGAAATGTAAAACTATTTTCCCAGCACTATGTCCTAAGTAACTAATCTAAGGCAGGGAGTTGATCTGGTGAATTCCCAGGCGGATTCCCTGAGTGTGCCAAGTGCCAAAGATCAAGGAATGTGAGTTTTGGGATCATGTTACCAGTAAAATCCCATATGGCAAAAAGATGGAATAACCTCAATTTTCCATGGTTTGTTAAGATATCCTTGAGTTAATGGGGATAATATTTATACCTCATTTATGTGCCCCAGAAGCCAAACCATGTACACAAACATGCATACACTCCTCATAACTCATGTACAGATTTAATGGCATCTGAAGTTAGATAGAAAAATGGAGGAAAAATTATTAAAGAAATGCCTTGTGCTCTGCTAATGTCCGAAAAGAATGAGACCGTATGTGAGACATAAAAACTCTGATTCCATGTTCAAGAAATTGTAAAAATAATTATTTCAAATTTGAAATACCGGCTGGGCGCGGTGGCTCACGCCTGTAATCCCAACACTTTGGGGGACAGAGGAGGGCAGATCACCTGAGGTCAGGAGTTTGAGATCAACCTGGCCAACATGGAGAAACCCTGTCTCTACTAAAAATACAAAAAATTAGCTGGGTGTGGTGGCACTCATCTGTAATCCCAGCTACTCAGGAGGCTGAGGCAGGAGAATTGCTTGAACCCAGGAGGCGAAGGTTGCAGTGAGCCGAGATCGTGCCACTGCACTCTAGCCTCGGCAACAGAGCGAAACTCTGTCTCAAAAAAAAAGAAAAAAAATTGAAATACCTTCATGGTTTTTTCCTTGTTAAAATCTACTGTTAAAAATGCAAACAGTACATAAATGTTTAAGGGAAAGTCTCTTCATAATCCTGCCCTCAGAAATAGGAACTACAGATGTTAATGTGGTGGGTAACCTTCAATTGTATGCCTATATACATGTGAATTTTTAAATTTTTCACAAAAATACATTCATACCATAGATACTGTTCTGTGCCTGCTTTTGGTCTTAATGTGCTATGGAAACTTTAACATTAAGCCATATAACTTTTTTTTTTTTGAGACAGTCTTGTTCTGCCACCCAGGCTGGAGTGCAGTGGCGTGATCACAGCTCACTGCAGTCTAGACCTCCTTTCTTAGGTGATCCTCCTACCTCAACCTTCTGAGTAGCTGTGACTACAGGCCTGTGCCACCATATCCAGCTAATTTTTTTTTTTTTTTTGGTGTTTTTTGTAGAGATGGAGTTTCACCACGTTGCCCAGGCTGGTCTCAAACTCCTGGGCTTTATCCATCTGCCTCTCTCGGTCTCCCAAAGTGCTGGGATTACAGGCATGAGCCACCCTGCCCAGCCAAGATATATAACTGTTAATACATATAAAGCTACCCAGGGTGTTTTAATGGCTATAATTTGTACCCTTCTTGCATATACTATGGTTAGTTCAATCAAATAATCAATTCTGTAACCCTACATCTAAAGGGTTTTTATTTGGTTGTTTACTCTTTTGTTCTTTTTAAAATCTAATATTTAACATTATAGTGATTACTTTGATAAATATATCTTTAGTCATACGTCTGATTATTTCTCAAAATTAAATTCGTAGAAAAGTACATGCTTTTTCTTTTTCTTTTTTCTTTTCTTTTTTTTTTTTTTTTGAGACAGAGTCTCACTCTGTTGCCTAGGCTGGAGTGGAGTGCAGTAGTGTAATCTCTGCTCACTTCAACCTCCGCCTCCCAGGTTTAAGCGATTCTCCTGCCTCAGCCTCCCAAGTAGATGGGATCACAGGCATGCACCACCACACCTGGCTAATTTTTGTACTTTTAGTAGAGACGGGGTTTCGCCATGTTGGCCAGGCTGGTCTCAAACTCCTGACCTCAAGTGATCCTCTCGCCTCAGCCTCCCAAAGTCCTGGGATTACAGGTGTAAAGTTTCCATAACACATTAAGACCAAACCATTTTAACTGTTTTTGCATATTTGAATCTCTTTATTAAATGCCAATTTAAAATATTTATTTTTCTTAACGGTAATAACAGCAGTAATTAACAATCACGGCGCCCAGCTGAAAAGTACATACATTTTAAATGCGCAGTATATAAAATGTGTGTGTATGTAAGGGAGATTTAATATTTTTCTCCAAACGGTTAGCTGTAACCTAACACCATTTATTGCATAGCATAGTTTCTCTCTACTAATTAGACAATTTATGTTTATCATGTAATCAACTCTTCATGAGGCTTTTAAAAGAGAATAGAGAGCTTGAACGAAAAGCCAGAATAAGGTGATGGTTTTGGAGAGACTGGTATCACCAGCAACGTACAGGCATTAAACTTAAAAGCAGGAATGGATGGGGATGTGTTGAGAGCATCAGCCTCTTACATACTTATAGTTGTGCTGGCCTTAAGAGGCTGATTCGGGGGATTTCTATGTACAAAGTAAGGAGATGCCACTAAGCTAAAGATAACATTATTTGGATGGGAGGGATTTTACACTGAACCTGAAAGACGGTCGTGGCTTCCACGCATGCAAACTCTTTGCTTCTTTGGTCACCAATGAAGCTGGAAAAATATCACTAACCCTTAGGTAGAAAGGAGGGAAGCAAGGATTAAACTGTCAAGAAAGAATAATGGCCGTCTTTGTATCTGAGTGCCTCAATTTCCCTATATTTATATATTCTGTATATGGTTTATATCCCAATAGTCTACAATTGAGCATGTTTTCATTTATTAAAAGCCTTTCATATTTTCTTTTCCGATAACTGTGTTCATATCCTTTGCTTATTTTTCTACTGGTTTGTGTTTTCTTCATGGATTTGTAGAAACTCTTTATTTATTGGGGAAATTAACCCTGTGATATGTGGGTTGCAAACATTTTTCCCAATTTGTCATTGCATATGTATGTGGGTGTATGTGCTACTGATTTATTACCACAAATAAATCTATACCAAGTCCTTTCAGAAATCATTGGAAGTGACACTAAATTCAACAAGTGCCTTAAAAAGATTTTATTGTGGTAAAAATACATAAAATTTACCATTTTAACTGTTTTTGCATATCTAATTCTCTTTATTAAATGCCAATTTAAAATATTTGTTTTTCTTAATGGTAGTATCAGCAGTAATTAAAAATAATAAGACATATTGACAAGGTTAACATAGTACTGGCTGTGGTTACTGGGAGAAGACAAAATAAAAACTGGATATCCCCATTAATTTGATTTTTTGTTTGTTTGTTTGTTTGTTTTTTTGAGATGGCGTCTTGCTCTGTCGCCCAGGCTGGAGTGCAGTGGTGCGATCTCGGCCCACTGCAAGCTCCGCCTCCCGGGTTCACGCCATTCTCCTGCCTCAGCCTCCCGAGTAGCTGGGACTACAGGCGCCCGCCACCACGCCCGGCTAATTTTTTTTATTTTTAGTAGAGACGGGGTTTCACCGTGTTAGCCAAGATGGTCTCGATCTCCTGACCTTGTGATCCGCCTGCCTCGGCCTCCCAAAGTGCTGGGATTACAGGCGTGAGCCACTGTGCCTGGCCAATTTGATTGTTTACAAATATGTAATGGTCATTATTATATACCATGTATTGGGCTAAATACAACACATACATTATTCCATCGAATACTTTTAATACCCTATGAGAGTTATAAGCATCCTCATTATATAGACAAAAAAAAAAAAAACTTTTTTCTTTCTTTCTTTTTTTTTTTTTTTTTTAGAGGAAGTCTCAATCTCGTCCCCCAGGCTGGAGCACAATGGCATGATCTCAGCTCACTGCAACCTCTGCCTCCCAGGTTCAAGCGATTCTCCTGCCTCAGCCTCTCCAGTAGCTGGGATTACAGGTGCCTGCCACCACGCCCGGCTAATTTTTGTATTTTTAGTAGAGATGGGGTTTCACCATGTTGTCCAGACTGGTCTCCAATTCCTGACCTCAAGTGATCTGCCCGCCCTGGCCTCCCAAAGTGCTGGCATTACAGGTGTGAGCCACCATGCCTGGCCGAAATAAAATCTTTAAAAGGTGAAGTAACTTGCAAATGGCAGTTCAGTAACTGGACTCAAACCCAGGCAGTAGGATTCCAGAGCCTGAAATTGAACCACTACAGCATCTCACAAATAATATGGCCCAGTACACTGTGTGAGATTCTTTTAGACATACCATGGATGAACTTTAAATTTTTCCAGTGAGCCAGGCATGATGGCTCATGCCTGTAATTTCAGCACTTTGGGAGGCTAAGGCAGGAAGATCACTTGAGACTAGGAGTTCAATACCAGCCTGGACAACATAGCAAGAACCTGTCTGTCTCTCTCTCTCTCTCTCTCACACACACACACACACACACACACACACACACACACACACACACACACACAAAGTTAGCTGGGCATGGTGGTGTGCACCTACAGCCCTAGCTACTTGGGAGGCTAAGGCAGGGGGATCACTTGAGCCCAGGAGGTCGAGGCTGCAATGAGTCATTGCACTCCAGCCTAGGTAACAGAGTGAGACCTGGTCTCAAAAAAAAATGTCCCAGTAGTTGTATATTCTTTTTTATTGTGGTTAAATACAAGTAAGATACAAATTACCATTTAAACCATTGCTTTTTAAATTATTTTTATATTATTATTATTATTATTTTATTTTTTTAGAGCTGCCAGGCTGGAGTGCAGTAGTAAAATCATAGCTCACTGTAGCCTGAGCTGCGGCCCTGAACTCCTGGGATAGAGCAATCCCCTTGCCTCAGCCTCCAGAATAGCTTAACTATTTATTTTTATTTTTTAGAAACAGGTCTTGCTACGTTGTCCAAGCTGGTCTTAAAATCCTGGCCGCAAGAGCTCCTCCCAGCTGAGCACAGTGGCTCACAACTGTAATCTCAACACTTTTGGAGACCAAGGCAGGAGTATCACTTGAGGCCAGGCGTTCAAGACCAGCCTAGGCAACGTAGAGAGATCCTGTCTCTACCAAAAAGAAAAAAAAATTACATCTTATGAATTCTATGTTTATTGTCGTACTCAGAAAGTCTTTCCCCAACTCTGAGATTTTTTTAAAAATCCTTTGAGGTTTCTCCTTGCATGTCTATGGTTTCATTTCTTTCTACTTCATCCTCTTTAATTCTTCAGGAATTTATCCTGATGTGTGAGATAAGAATCCCACTTTATTTTTTTTTTTAATGCCGACAGAATTATATTTAAAACTAGACAAATTCATTTTAAATCCACATGGGGAAAATGGCAAGCAAAAGAAAACAGGAACATTCTGGGGGAAAAAAAGGAGTAAAGGGACCCATCGAGATGTGGAGGACTCGGCCCACCAGCAATTCAAACATATTCCAAATTTACAGTAATTATATTATGGTCCTGAGTGGACAGACTGCTACAACAAAGGAACGAAACAGGATGATCAGAACCTATTATCAGAATTTAGTGTAAAGAGGTGCAGATGAATTAGGGAGGACTGCCATCTTTGTCATGTTGGGTGTTCCCATCCAAGAATATGGTATACTTTTTCATTGTGCAGGCTTCTGCTAGAGACCCAATCTTAGAATGAGCATACTGCTCTGTCTCCCCACTTTCTTCCTATCTCCTGAAGAGTCGCAGTGAGGCTCTGCCTGTGCAGGTTTTGTGTGGGGTCTAAATAGTTTTTTTTGGCAGAGTCACAACTAACATATTGGAGTTTCCAATCTTTCTCTTTCTTTCTTTTCTTTCTCTCTCTTTTTTTTTTTTTTTTTTTTTTTTTTGAGACAGGGTCTCACTGTTGCCCAGGCCAGCATGCAGTGGCATGATCTCGGCTCACTGCAACCTCAGCCTTCCAGGCTCAAGCAATCCTCCCACCTCAGCTTCCTGAGTAGCTGGGACTACAGGCAGCACCACCACACCTGGTTAAATTTTTTTTTGTTTTTTGTAGAAACGGGGTTTCACCATGTTGCCCAGGCTGGTCCAGAACTCCTGAGTTCAAGCGATCTGCCCGCCTCAGCCTCCCAAAGTGTGCGGATTACAGGTGTAAGCCAATGTGTCCGGCCTCCAGTCTTCCTATTGCCATAATGTGAAAAGCTGTGGTGACCAAGTCTGAGTTCATCAGACATATCTATACTATATTCCCATAGTCTGGGCTTGAACCCTACATTAAGTATTAAACAGGCTGGGCTCAGTGGCTCACACCTGTAATCCCACCACTTTGGGAGGCCAAGGTGTGAGGATTCCTTGAAGTCAGGCATTCAATACCAGCCTGGTCAACATAGCAAGACCCCATCTCTACAAAAGTAAAAAAAAAACTGCTGGATGTGGTGGCACACATCTGTAGTCCAGCTACATGGGAGGCTGAAGTAGAGGATCTCCTGAGCCCAGGAGCTTGAGGCTGCAGTGAGCCATGCTCATGCCCACTGCACTCCAGCCTGTGTGACAGAGTGAGACCTGTCTTTAAAAGAAAAATTAATTAATTAATTAATTAAAGATTAAACAGTAGGTGTTAGATGTTGGCAGAATTCTATTTAAAGGTTTCAGAGATGCTAGGTATGGTGGCTCATGCCTGTCATCTCAGCACTTTGGGAGGCCAAGGCAGGAGAATCATTTGAGGCCAGAAGTTCAAGACCAGCCTGGGCAACGCAGCAAGACTCTCTACAAAGTTAAAAAAAAAAAAAAAAAAGGTTTCAGAGCACACATGTAATTGCAGTGATTCTGGAGGCTGAGTTGGGAGGATTGCATGAGCCCAGGAGTTGGAGGTTGCAGTGAGACATGACCACACCACTGCACTCCAGCCTGGATGACAGGGAGACTCTATCTTTTAAAAAAAATAAGAAGAAGAATAAATAAATAAATAAATAATAAAGCTTTCAGAGGCTGAGTTTGGGTCTCACTTTAATTTGAGAAGTTAGGATGGCAGCTAGAAGTTACCACCTACTCCTCAGTATTAATAGTCACCACTTTTAAAGATGGGGCCTCAAGTTACCACAGGTGATAGTCTTGAACAGTAATGTCCAATAGAAATATAATTTGAGACACATCTGTAAATTGTCTAGTAACTCCACTAAAAAAGTAAAATGGAATAGATGAAATTCATTTTAATAATATATTTTATTTAGCCCAATATGACAAAATATTATTTCAATAGGTAATCAATATTAAAATTATTAATGAAATATTTAACATTTTCTCTTCATACTAATTCTTGGAAACGTGGTGTTTATCTCATATAGCACATCTCAATTTGGACTAGCCACATTCAAGCGCTCAAATAGCCACACAGCTCTACAAGATGCTAATGAGCAAGGAAAGTGGCTTAATTTAGTGGAAATCCAGAAATGCCAAGGTTGGAAATACAGTTTCACAGGGGTCTGGAATAGACTTTGAAATCACTAGTCCAAATACTATTTGATATTTGAATCTTGTCTACAACGTTCCTATCAAGGGGTCATCCAAGACTAGTGCTTGACTCACACTCCAGGGATGGTGAGCTCACTGCTTCCTGAGGCTAGCGTGTCTTCAACTCAAAAAAGTTCTCATTCCATTAAAACACATGTTTTCTTATAGTGTCCACCCTGGTTAGGTGGGTTCCTGGAGGTCAGGAGTGACTAGCGGACTTTTATGATATGGGATTAGAGATTAAGTGAACACAGCCTTGCTAAAGGCATAATCAGGTTGGTTTATGGTCTTTCATGGACCTTAATTAAGAGGTTTGTTAGGCTAAGAAGGATTGGGGGAGTTAAGAACTAAAAAATGTCACCACTGAGTTAGAAACTGTTAGAAGGCTAGTGCTGGATATCTGGTTAAACTCGTCCGATACACTGCAGCAAGACTAAAAGACAAAAAGAAAAAGGTGTGTATCTATGCAAATTTCGCTAATATGGAGATAGAATTTCACTAATACGGACATAGGGACTGAGAGAATCATTTGACTTATTATAAACTTTAAAACATAATTGGGTTCTAATTCATAAAGAATGTCATTTCCATTAGACCTGTATTACAAAAAAGAAAAAAAAAGTCATCCTAAATCTTAACGTACACACGCTTTATCAAAAGAATTTCCGTACCCAGAAATCAAAGGCACTTCAAAAGTCTCATTTCGTATCTTGAGTTTGTTTTAACATATTCCTCCCGCAAAAACGCTCTGGAAATCAAAGAAAACTTTTTTAAAATTTAATTCAATAAAAATGACACCGACTGGCTGAATTATGATGGGTTCTGAGTGGCGGTTGAAATAACACATTTTTCCTCTATTTCCTCTTTTTTTTTTTTTTTTTTTTTTTTGGTTGCGAAGAGGTGTTCTTTTCCGGGCCACCTCCACCCTCCCGCACTCCCCAGTTCTACCTTTCCAAGGCAGGGGAAGGTGCATCCTCGCCAGGCTCCTGCCCGCGCCTTCCGAGTACCCCTGGCCCGCAGCCGGTGACACGGCGCGCGGAACATCCGTGAACGAGTTGGGTTACATCTCTGTCCCCGCGAAGCTGCAGATCGCTGACCGCCCCGCGCACCCCCGCCTGCCTGCACACTGTCAACCGCACTTAGGGGAAATTTTTGGAACAGAAGCTCCGCCCATCCTGCTCCCACTGCCTCCACTAACCGACTCAAAACCCCCACCTCGGGCCGCCGAAGCAGGTTTCGTCACACGATCTGGGGGACTGTATTTTTTACAAGAAAACAAGCATCAAAAAAAAAAAAAAATTCAAACTGCACGCGCCGGCCAATGGGGAAGAAGTGGGAGGTGGGCGGAGGCCGCGCGCGGCGCGCGAGGCGGGGAGGGGCCCCGGGCGGGCGCGGGGGCTGGGGCCGCGGGAGATTCGGCAAACGCGGCGGGCGCCCGGTTCGGGGCTTTTTTTTTTTTTTTTCTCTTCCCAAAACCGACTAGAGCGCGAGACTCCGCCTGAAGCTGCAGCTTCTCGGATCCACCTTAAATCTTCAGCGGACTCAGCGTCGGGGTCAGTGGGCGCAGCCAATGCCAATCAAGTTTACAACCAGCAGCACGGGAGGGAAAAAAAAAATCATCTGCAAGTTCTCCCTACACACAAATACGCGCGCGCACACACGCACACACGTACGCACACACACACAGAAAGAAGGAGGGGGTGGGGGCGGGCGCTCGGGAGAGGGCGAGAATGTTTGTGAAATGCGCGTCCGAGGCTCCGGGGCCGCGGCCGGAGCGCGGGGCAGGCGCGCGGGGAGCGCAGCCCGGCGCGAGCGCCATGATGGTCGCCGCGGTTCGGGGCCCGTTTTCTGGAGGGGGAGCCGCAATGATGCAATCCCCCGGCCGCGCGCCCTGCTCCCTGCCTTTTCTCAACGTTCCTTTAGAGGCGCGTCGAGGTTTCGCGCCCAACGCCTTGATTTCTTTTTGTACTGCTCGCTCCGATGCCTGCTGCTCAGTGTCCCCACGCGTGACAGGCCGGGCGCGCGGGCGGCCGCAGAGGGGCTGGGCCTTACGTGTCAACTCGGCACTTTCGGTTCTGCGGGGTCGGCCTGAGGCGGACCCCACCCCATCCCACCCCAGTCCCCAGGCCAGCCCGGATCCGGGAGGTGGCCGCTGAGGTTTTCCAGCGGGACTGTGGGCCCCTTCCCCACCCCCAGCTGGGCCCGCAGGATTTTTTACCTCCCTTTTGGCTGAGAGGGGGTGGGTGGGCGTAGGGTGTGGCCCAGGTGAAAGACACAGCAAGTTTTAAAAAGAAATTCATACTCTGAACACCAGACAGGAGATCCTAGAGGAGATTTAGAATCACTTTTTCTGTGCAAAGAGCTTGAGAGAAGAGCAAGTGTGGGCGCTGTGATGATGAAGATGAAATGGCGAAGGCAGCGTCCCCCGGCCTCCGGGAAAGTCGCTCCCTGAGGCCGGGGCGGTGGGCGCACCCCGGCCTGAGAGGCCTCTCGCCCCGCTCCTCGCCTGTGAAGCCCACGCTCCCGGAGTCCCCCAAACACGCCCCCAAACCCACATTTCCCCAGTTCTTCCCCGTCCCAGGCCCCCGCGCCGGGCGGCCGGGGTTGCGATGGGGGCACGTTGCCGAGCGGGGGTGAGGGCAGAGGGGACCCACGCGGGCGGCCGTGGTGCGGGGCCCGGGCTGCGCGCCGCCGTGGCCCTCCCCAGGCGCCGGCGAGCCGGGCGGGCTTTCGAAATGCGCGGGGCTGCGGATCATTGGAGCCCAGGGTAGGGGTGGGAGCGGGCTGCAGCGCCGGAGGGTCGGCGAACTCGGGAAGGCTCTCCCCTTAGCTCCGATATCCCCACGGCCGGGGAGGCGGCCGGTTACTCAGGTGGAGAGTCCGTTTGCGGAGAGGAGTGGGAGCTTTCGCTGCTTTCTCAGCGCAGAGGAGAGGAGGAGGGAGGAAAGTTTCTGAGAAACCGCCCAGCCCGGCTGCGCGGCGGAGGCGCGGCCGCCCGGGCGCGGGAACTGCGCGCGACGACGGCGACAGTGCGGGGGGCTGCACGTTACAGATGAGGGAGCAACACTTGATGGCCTTCTCGTCCCGAGGCACCAGCCAGCCCGACCCCGCAACTGCCGCGGCGGGCGGGCGCGGAACTGCGGGGCAGTTTGGGGAGACGACGGCGCAGTGGCTTGGGTAGTGGGGCAAGGGGTGGCGGGCGACGGCGGCCGCAACCCCGCAAAGGGACGTTCACGGCGAAGGACGAGCTGAACTGCGGGTCATTTTGGGAGGCTTGACACAGGCGGGTAAAGGACGAAGGACACGGTGACTCGGGGCTGCGTTCCTGTGGACGTGCCTGGCGCGGCGAGCATCCACTTCTCCCTGGCCCGCATAACTAAAACGCAATCTCTCAAAATTCTGTTTAAAGAGACCTCTTTAGGAAAGGAGACTGGGGTGCCTGCAGCAATCCAGGCGATATTTTTTATTCTGTTAGAGACACTTTCTGAATTATCTTTTTTTACTCAGAGGAACTTTAATTTCATTATTTTCTGACCCTCCTCTCCTTCCTATTTCGAATTGTTTTTCTTGCTCCTTCAGTCTGTTTTCGAAAAACACTCTTGGATGCGAGTTTCAAACAAAATCACAAAACACCTCTAGTCTTTCATTAAAATAATACCTACTTGAAAGATGTAGCCCAGCCACTAAAGGACCTATTTTTCCCTTCCAGGAAGCCGAAGAGTCCAACCTGCTCAAAAAAAAAAAAAAAAAAAAAAAATCTTCGGGTCAAAAACTGTTCAAACTACTCTTTGAGAGCTCCTTTTGGGGTACGATAAAGGAAATGTAGGTATTTGAGCGAAAAAATTTAACCCAAATTTAGATTTTTACGATTTACCCACTTACTAGAATAAGTCCTATAAGAATTTACTATTACACCTTAAACACATTTTTTCTTGAGAATGTGGAATTACAGGAATCATTTTAGTAATCTGACTTTAAAATGTCTTGTCTTATACTTTTTTCCTTAGGTAAAAACTGTATATCTGCTGTATGGCTATGGAGACTCAAAATCCTCAGATTTGGTTACTTACATTAGCCAGTTTTTGGTTGTGTAGATTATAACAAGGAAATACCCCGTTTCTAAATATAGAAATTGAAAGAATTTTTGTATGACCAGTTAAATTTCAAAAATAGCTACGTAGAGTGCACACCAATTTCTTAAGGGCCCATATGTTTGAATATTTTAAACAAGATTTATACATTAGATGGTCCAAACAATTGCTTTAATTCCTCACACTTCTCATGTGTAAATACAGAATTTAGAGAAGTCACCATGTTACTTTCATTTTCAATCCTGCAAATGTGTCAGTGTACACTTATGTAAGGATTCTTTGGTTTTGACACATTCATATCCTAGAAGACATAAATATTTTTACTAATGCAGACTTTTGACAACCTTATTCATATGAAAATGTAGCTTTTCCATTTTCACCTTCTAAAGTTTTGTCCTCCCACACAGAGCTAAGTGGAAAACAGTAACTGCTAACTACATTCGGACTACATAAAACATCATCTGAGTTGTGGGCCTGAATTACCTAGGTATTTGCCACTTCACATTTACATTTGTGTAAATATGACTAGAATGCCAGGTCAAATACCTTGTTTGGTAAAGCACATTACAATTTGACTCAATGAATAGCTATGGAAGTTTTCTTTATTGATTACTTAATGTGTAACAATAATTGGCATCTTTTTCACACATTACAAAAAATTATACTTGGCTCAGTATGCAACCTTTTAAGCATAGCCATATTATTTAACAAAAGAGGGGAAAACCTATTCTACCCAACACAGCATTTACAAATGCACAAAACATGCCACTTTGGCTTGTATATTGTCTAGATTAAAAAAAATCTTTTAACATAAATAAGTTAGTATAATTTTTCAGTGTTTTTACAGAGTTATGTACACAGGTACACTTCAAATGGTTTTTCCATACACAGGCAATGAAATACTGTTTAAAGATGTAGTATCCATTTCACTTATCCTACAAGTGTGCTTTTCTCTACATGAACCTTCCTTGAAAAATAACACTTTCCTGTGGATAAATGGACAGAGTAAGCTTTAAATTAAAAAATATTTCATTTTTTAATGTGAAGTTACTTACAGATCTTTAAAAATATCGAGGGATTTAGAATTATTTTGACTGTGTTTACACAGCCCGAAGTGAAAAGAAAATGAGAAAATTTTGTCAACAAATTTAATAAAAGCAGATGGTCAATTCTTAACATTCAAAACTCCCAAGCACCTCGGATTTTTGCCCCAAACTACCTGGAGTGATCACCATTCTGCTGAGTAATTAACTGGTAAATTCCAACTTTAAGAGAGACTGGGGAGGGCAGTGAGGATAGGTTTCTGTTGCTTTTTTAAAAAAGCCACATGCAGCTATCTAACAAACTTTAGATAGCTTGGGAGATCACCAGATCTCCCAAATGAGAATAAACTTCTTGTAAAAATAAATAGCAATTATCTTTAGCCAGTGTTCAAATTTTTGTGATTTTTTTAAATGAAGTATCAGCTGTCTCTGAAAGGGACATTACATCTTTAAAGAAAACAATTCAAACCCTTCCCCAAAATTGCTTCTCTTCATGCAAGTCAAATATTTATCTACTTGCTGTAAATCAAAGCAAGCTCTTCATACCCCGCTCCACGTCAGTTCCTCAGCCCCACCCTGCCCTCCCTTCCCCAAAGTTTATGTGCTACATAAAAGGTAAAAACTATATACACAGGTAGTACAATGAAGCAAATAAGGAAAAACCTAATTGCATAATGCTACATCCAACGCTTTTAGAGGCAGATCATTTAAGAGTGCCTAAAATTTTAGTGTTATTGTGTTGTTGTTTTTCAGTGCTTATACAGGATGTCCATTCCATGAAGTCAGCGATATGTATTTTTAAAATTTTCATGTATATCTTCCTTGCTTCATCAAGCAGTGATGTATCTGATAAACAAGGAAACATATTCTTAATTCTGCAAAAGAAAACAAAACGGAAGAATTAAAGGAAGAGCACTAGATTAACGTTACCAGTAGAGTACAGGAATTATTTTGTCACTATGTTAGCTTGGAAATACTTGATGGGGAAAAAAGTTTGATGACTATAGTCATCTCCACCTAACATTCTCTTAACTGGATTTTTTTTTCCTTTCCTCTGTGCTGTGTTCTTTGGTCTAGAGCAGTAGTTCTTAACAGTAGGCAATGTTGCCCCCGCCCCACAGGGAACATTTGGCAATGTCTGGAGACATTTTAGGTTGTCACACTGGGGGAGGAGGATACTGCTGGCATCTAGTGTGAGAGGCCAGGGATAATTCCAAACAATCTAAAACACACAGGACAGCCTCCTACAACAGAATTATTCGGCCCAAAATGTCATTAGTGCAGAGGCTGAGAAACCCTACTCTAAATAATCTAGGTCAAAGGCAAGTGGGAAATAAATAGGATAATTAGGAAACTGTAATACTTACGGGTAAAAATTTTCTAAATTTTTGAAAATTTTTAATTTTTTTTCTCCTGTGACAGATTAAACTTTCTAAATTTGAAAAATGATTGGGAATAAAAATTATAAAGGCCTTCCAGAGGAAAATTTTATTAACATCATTTTCAAAATATTCTAATTCCTGATTCATATGCAGAAAATACTCATGAATACTTTTGAATAGGTTCTTACTAATATTTCTAGTATTCTTTGAACTAGCAATATTACTAAATCCTACAAATGCCTCATTGCATGTCAGAACAGGGCCAGATCAAAATCCAGGTCTGATTCTCGTGGCTCATCTGATGAGCTAGGCCACAAGTCACAAACCAACAAGGGCTGCGCATGTTAAGGTTGCTTCAGGAAAATTTTCACCTAATTTTCCCACTTCATATGGTGCTGTAAAATGGAGGTTCTATAGTGCCGTTTTGTATAAGCGCTGAAAAAGATATGTGAAGTCACATATACAATTTAAAGACACAACAAACCTGAATCTCACCTTAATCCCTGTTATTTTAAAATTTTTATAACTGGGGATTTAAAAAGTTAACATCAATATTTTATCGCCTCATATGCTAAACTACGTGTGTGCTTTAGAAAATAAAGAGGTCACAGTCTTGGTCTAAAGGAAGCTAATAAACTATTAAAATATGTAGTTTATTATGAATAACCAACCCATGTTGGTTATCTGGGGACTGAATTATTCAAATTAGCTATTTACAGTGATCAGATTCTTGTGCATGGAAAAATCTCCACTTCCTTTGTGCTGGGCTGACCTACGGTCACCAGTCTTGATATTTACTACCCATTTCCCCTACAAATATCCAAATCACCCTGTTACGGCACAATTAGCATACACTGGCTGACGTGTTCCTGGATTGCTTACTGACAAGAGTTAATTTAACTTCTGCTTTGCAACTTCAGTGTTACCAGAAATTCTGTAGAAACTTTAGTAACTTTTTTATCTTTCCATTTGGTTTTTGCAAATACTGGTTCCTTCTCTCTCCAAACTTAGGAGACAACAGGGAAAGTGACAGTTTATTAAAATGTCAAAGAACACAACATACCATCCTATTCACATCTCTAATCCCTTGCATAACCAAAGATGAGCAATTTCTACCAAACATTCCCCCTCAAAATTGAAACTTAATCATGTATTTGCCATTTTTCCATGTATGGCTCAAAATCTGTTACCGACTCAAGCTGAACCTCTAGGAAATTAATTCTCATTAATTCGGACTGAGGGAGTACCCTAGTTCTTGTTCGGATGGGCAAAGAACCTATTGCTCCCAACACGTTTTAGTGGGACTCACAGGGAAACGACCTTCCTACCCGATGGGGCCTGGGTTACAAGTAGCTGCTCTGGTCAACAGTTTGAAGAGAAAGTATCTCTGGGCATAGAAACTCTGAGGAATTACCGTATCCCCAGCCTTCCCCATTGCTACTTTTTTGACCTCACGAAGTATAAACAAAACAAAACCCCATAAGCTTTTAATTTGCCAGCAACCAGTAAGATCAGGTATCGTGAGGTCTGAAGGCCCCGGGTTCCAGTGCGTGCTCCTTTAGTGATCAACCCACCGAGCTGTTTACGTTTGACGTCTTCTGAGGCCAGGCTTCTTGGGCGTCTGCTCCACAGAACCGGCATTTGGGGAACCGTCTGAAACATTTTCTTCTGTTCTGTTGGCTCTTTTGTTTTGAGTAGAAGAATCTAAGCGCAGGGGAAATTTTTAAAAAGAACACACAATCTTTATTAGAAAAAACAATGGCTGGCAGAAGTTGGCCCCATAGTCAGGGGATGAAAAACCCACTACCTCCACCCACAATCCTGGATCCGTCATCCCCAGTGGCTTTTAAGGGCACAAAATGAGGTTGTTTTCAAAAAACAGAAAGTGCATTCTCCGCCCCAGAGCTCTTTCCCTAGCCAGGAGGCGGACCGTTGATAAACATCCCAACTTTGTCACATACCTAGGAGTTGCTAGTGAGAGGGACCGCGATGTATTAAGTTAGGGAAATTATCGGATCTTACCATCTCCAGTTTCTGACTTAAAAGTCACAAACAGACAAGCAGTGGGCCAGGTAGCACTGAACACCTAAGACCAATAAAGTTAGCTCTCCCAAAGCTAAATCAGAATACGCCGAAAAGCAAGCTAAGGTTAACACCCTCCAGCAGGCAAAGCGGGGCCCCAAACACATTCTATGGTTGGGAAAGGGTCATTACCGTCGGTTGCAGGTCGCTTCCTTATTCCTGCGCATTGCTCCGCTAACCCCGTCTGGCTGTCCGACGGATCAGTCTTTGGGTCCACCAAATGCGTGTCCTCAGAGTTAGCCGGAGCCCCAATTAAAGGCGCCGCCGGGCGGCTCCCGCTGACATCCTGGCTCTCCTGCGCCGGCACCTTGCAGGCACCTTTGGGGGGCCGCGGGGGTCTGTAGTAGAACTCGGGCAAGCTGCCCTTCTCCACCTCTTGCCACTCGTACTTGCCCTCTAGGGGTTTGTGATTCTGAAAATCGAAATTCCACTTGCGCTGGCTCGCCTCTTCCATGTCTCTGCAGTGCTTCTCCAAGTCCCGGGTTAACTCTTCGTGGTCCACCGGGCCGAAGAGGTTCCTGCAGGCCGAGGGCTTGGGGTGCTCCGCCTGCCTGGCGTCCATCCGCTCCAGGCTAGGGCTCCCGTTAGACACTCGCACGTTTGACATCTTTCTCCCGGGTCTGCACGACCGCCTCTCTCGCACTCTCAAAAAAACAAAACCGAACAAAACAAAGCGCCCCTACGCAGCCCGAACCCCTCTCGGAAGCCCAGCGACTGCCCTCGGAGCCAAAAGACACAGACCCCGACGAGCCACGGCCCGAGCTCTAGGAGCGCGCAGGGGCTGCGGGGAAGCCCCGGCCCGGCCGCCGAGTCTCCGCTGATCAAATGGACTGGCGAGCGGGAGGGCGGAGAGGAGAGGGGACCAGGCAAGCGGAGAGGGTGGCAAAGCCCGTCCGAGTCTGGGCGGGTGCAAGCCCGCGGGTCCCGCGAACCCAGCCGCTCTCCAAACCTTGCCGGCGTCGGAGTCGCAGAGCCGTGAGCAAGCGGGGACAGGGGAGGGGGAGAAAAACACCCCGAAAAGACGAGCCCCCTTTTTTTAGTGGCCCAATATGGCGGTGGAAGGGAGGCTGACGAAGAAGAAAATGATTGACACGGCGAGTCTATTTAAACAGAGGAGGAGATCCATTGGTTGCGGCGGCGGGAGCCGCCCCGCCGAGGCTGGCGAGCGCGGCCTTAAGGTGGCCCCGGCGCGGTTCCGCCACCTCCCCTCGTTCCCGAGCGCGCCGCCTCCCCGAGCGCCGCCGGGAGATTGGCTGGTCGCGTGACTGCTGGAGGGGTACTGCTGCCAACAAACCTGCTCTGGCTGGCCTCGGAGAAATTAAAATTAAGACAAACAAACTAGCCAAACGGCCGGGAACCTGGGGCGGGGCCTGAGGTTCGGGGCCCGGCGCTGCGTTGGCGGGTTCGCCGCGGCGCCTAAGCCCCGACCTCCCTCCCGCTCCTCGCCCGGGAAGCCGGGACCTGGACCAGAGGACCGCGAAGGTCGCCGGCAGCTCGCTAGGAGCCGGGGTGGCGAGCTGCCCCCAGCTCGGCCCTCCCCAGCGGCCCCCACCTCGTGGTCTGCGGGGGAGGCCGCGGAGCGTTTGCTGGGGGGGCTGGGCGCCCCCCCGCCGGCGTGCCTTTGCTGGGGGCTGGTGGAGGCAGTGGGCAATGGTTCGCTCAGCCTTAACCCAGAAGTTTCTGCCATCCCTGGGGAGGCTGGGGGCCTAGGGAAGAAGCCAAAGCGAACGTCTTTCTTTTAGAAATTAGCCAGGAGTAGACGCGGCACTTATCATGAACTCAAGCTCTCCCTCAATGAAAATAAGAAAGGAACTCAAGATTAAAAAAAAAAAACAAAAAACTCTAGTCTCTCAAGTCCCTTAATAAACTTTGTAGCTGTCTCAGACACGTTTAGTTTTGAAAAACGAGGGTACACCCCTGGCCCAGGATCTTCCTTCCCAAGCACAGTTAAGGCCATGGACATTGGCTGCGTGTGGGAACTCGTCCCTTTCTACTTTTCTGTTCTTTCCCGGGATTGTAGCAGTTTCCTCTACCTGAGTCCAGCCGCCAAATACAACAGCTCCTTCCTTCCTCCACCCTTCTCTCTCACCAGATTTCACTGCTCCAACAAACTCAGAACAATATTCAGATGCTAGTGAATGCTTTCAGAGGGCTGAAGGGTGAAAATACTCCCCTCGGGGTCAAACTCCAGATGATGAAATGATTTTTAAAACACCACAACCATGTCCTAACGTCCGATACTAGTATTCCAGCGTTTCTCTTCTCCCTTTTGCAGCTGGAAATTTCTCTCTCAGTGTGGGCTTGAGCACCGTGGTGGAAGGTAAAGTAGGACGATGAGCAGGGCTGCCCTGAGACAAAGCTCAGTGGATCTTCAACTGCCTCCCCACCCCCATGCCCGGTACCCATCATCTTGGTTTGAGCCAAAGTTAATGCATTTTACTGGAAACCAACCTTCCGTTCTAATATTACACAGCAGCAAAGTTTTCTTAAGCACCTATGCTACAGATGAGCTTGATGTGTAGCTTGTTTTCTTAGCCACATCTTGTCCACTTTGTGTGCCTACCTCATCTCATACGCTCCAGAATGTGACAGCTGGAAGGGACCCTCGGGACCCTGTGGTTTAACCCTCTCCTTTTTACCACGGAGGAAATCGAGACTCAGAGAGGTTTCCTGTCCAGGGACATGCATTCGGTTGGTACCGGAGTCAGGACTAGATGCAAGTCTCCTAACACTCAGGTTGGTTCATTTTCTGTTCCTTTCCTTCCTAATGGTTCTCACTGGTTCAGGGTTTTGTCTGAGTTTGATTGTGCTGTAGTCTGCAGGTCCTGCTGTCTTACAAGTGACTGAAAATGGCTCCTTCCCAGGCCCTGGGTTGCCTGCAGATGTTTCCTTGATGTGGCCTGTGGTCACTGATATTTAAATGCAGCTGTCTTGAGCCTGTGGTATCACCATCCACTAGTTCAACTAAAATTGAAGGACAGGGGTTGATACCCAGAGAACAGTAAAGGGGGCAGTGCCCAGAACTAGTTTTCAAGTCAGGACTTCCTACCTAACTGACAGAAAAGAATTCACCTAGGATCAAGCAAGAGGTCTCATCCTCTTTAGTTTTTCTACTTTTAAGGCTGTCAATTTATTGGACTGCAGACTGGGGGAAAAGGAACAGGAAAATTAGGGTAGGCCTCCCTACCATAATTTATACCTTACCCTAGAAATTAGATAATTGTCCAAATTTTAAAACAATTGCTAGACAACACAGGAACTCTATATATGTGCATCTATCCATATGCATAAACACCCAAACTACCACATGTATGTAAATGGAGACATTCTAGAGTAGTTCACCTTGCCACAGAAGTTTGATTTTACTCATGGAATTCATGTCTTATATGGAAGTGGAAAATAAACACTTCGATCCCCTTCACATGCTGAATCTTTCAACTAATATGTAGGAGCACCATTTTGTCGCTTTGTTGTTGTTGATCTCGAAAAGTAAGCAAGTCACAGTCACACCACCTTAAGAAGTCTGGCTGCCAGCAGAAAGGCTGTGCTTACATCGACCTCACAATGATCTAAAGTGTTTTGTTTACAGTCAAGGCACCGGAGATCTGTACAGCAAATAATGAGAACGCAGGCGTCTGCTGTAGTAGCGACGACGCGTGAAAAAAAATACTATGGAGTCCCTGAAGGAACAGGGAGCGTAGAGATCAGAGCGCCATCCTTCTGCAAAGTGGGCAGCTGCAAGCGAGTAAGCCAGGGGGAAAATTTTCAGATAAACAGTGTTAAAGGTGGACCCTGGTAAAAGACGGAAAGCTCTACACTGCACTGCTCTAAAGTGAGCTGTTTCCCCAAAACCCCCAGTCCTGCGTGATGTTTTGGTTGCCATTTTCACTGCTGTTTTCCTACTTAGGGCTGAGAAGCGTCCCATAAGCCATCCCAGATTTCTGTAATCTTCACAACCTGAGGAGAGAGGCAAAGACCAAAATAACTTAAGAGAAAACACCTGTGTCATAGACAAGTGTTCAGATGGGGTGAATGAGCAAGCCGCCAGCGTCGCCAGCTCCCAGATGCAGCGCTCTCACCCAAGTTCTGCAGCCCCAAATGTTTCTGCGAAGGTTCACGGTTCCTTGCCCAGCTGCCCCTCCCACCGCAAGCACACAGTTTCAGTCCTTCCTCGAGGATGTTTATAATGAGGCAGCACTCAACTCCACCATTCTTCTAAGCTCACATATTTTTAGACTTTGGGAATTTCACAGTCATCTCCTTCTGACACTTTTAATTCAATTTCACAAATATTTACGGAGCACCTTCTATTAATTTGCTTATTCCTTCTTTCTTTCAACAAATATTTATTGAGTGCCTCCTCTATGCCAGACATTATCCTTAGGCTCTGGGAACACAGAAGTAAACAAACAGATTTAAACTAGAATGATGCTGACATTCCAAAAAGGGGAGAGGAGACAGAAAATGAACACAGCACATGAAAGAAGTACATACTATGTAAGGAGGTGAAAAATGCTATGGAGAAACAATAAGCGGAGAGGGAAAAGGAAGTGTTTCAAGGATCACAATGTGAATAAGTGGTCAGGGAAGGCCTCATGGAGAAAGTGGCCTTTGAGGCCAGGTGCAGTGGCTCACACCTGTAATCCCAGCACTTTGGGAGGCAGAGGCAGGTGGATCACTTGATGTCAGGAGTTCAAGACCAGCCTGGCCAACATGATGAAACTCATCTCTACTACAAATACAAACATTAGCTGGGCATGGTAGTGCAGGCCTGTAATCCCAGCTACTCAGGAGGCTGAGGCAGGATAATGACTTGAACACAGGAGGCGGAGGTTGCAGTGAGCCAAGATCTTGCCACTGCACACCAGCCTGGAAGACAGAGTGAGACTCCATCTCACACACACAAAAAAGGTGGCCTTTGAGAGAAGCCCTGAAGACATGAGAGAGCAGCCATACAGCTATCTGGGGAAAGAGCAAATGAAGTGTCTCTGAGGTGGGATCTTGCCTAATGTGTTCAAGGAACAGCAGGGGGGCCCATGGTGGATAGGGCGGAGCAAGTGGGGAGTGGTAACAGGAGCATCAGGGCTGGGCACGGTGCTCACGCCTATAATCCTAGCACTTTGGAAGGCCAAGGTGGGTGGATCACTTGAGGTCAGGAGTTCAAGACCAGCCTGGCCAACATGGTGAAACCCTGTCTCTACTAATAATACAAAAATTAGCTGGACATGGTGGCACACGCCTGTGATCCCAGCTAGTCGGAAGGCTGAGGCAGGAGAATTGCTTGAACCTGGGAGGCGGAGGTTATAGTGAGCCAAGATCGTGCCACTGCACTCCAGCCCGGGAGAGACAGAGTGAGACTCTGTCTTAAAAAAAAAAAAAAAAAAAAAAAGCGCATCAGATCAGATAGGACCAGGTAGGCATAGGTAGGGCTTTTATTATTGGCCTGGCGATATGGAAAGCCATTGGGGCATTAGGAGGTTTTAAGCAGTGATCAATACCATGTGTAAGGTATTGTCCAAGGCATTATTCTCAGCAATGTGGGAAGTGAAGAAATATTTGTCAGAGTCCTTGCCTGTGGGGAGTATATACCATGTGCACAAAAACTAGAGGTTGGAACCAGGCCTGGTGGCCTGCACCTGTAGCCCCAGCAACTCAGAAAGCAGAGGTGGGAGGATCACTTGAGCCCAGGTCGAGGCTGCAGTGAGCTATGATCATGCCATTGCACTCCAGCCTGGGTGATAGAGCAAGACATTGTCTCAAATAAATAAACTAGAGGTAGAAAGCAATACATAGAAAAACATGATGCTATGAAGTACAAAGCAAGGAGAAAGAGGAAGGCCTCATGGAAGAAGTGATATATGAGTCAGATCTTGAAGAATAAGAAAATGTCAAGATGATTATGAGGATGAATTGGTAGGGGTGGTAAGTGGGGATGGGATCAGACAGTGGTTGGCCATGGATGGCATGCTAAAAAATCTGTTGCTCCGTAAGTACTGCGAACTGATGGAGCTTTAAGTGAAGAGAATGATCAGCGTCCAAACTTGTCTCCTGAACAAAAGCAAGCCTGGGCCCTGGGCCTGGGTTGGAGCTCTGGAGTTTGGATTTGTGAGATGGGGCTGAGGGTGATATGACAGACAGTGTCTAGGGACAGGGCTAAATGAAAAGCTGGGCAGACAGTCCCACTGTGGTGTTCATCCAGTGGGATGTGGGGAGATGGGCAGAGTTCAAGTGTGAGACAGAGAACCCTGAGCCCAGGAGGACAGGGCTTGGCAGAGAAAGGAGGCAGTCTGCCATAATCTCCTGAGCCGCAAAGGTGTAGCTGCAGATGCTTTTTATATGGTGCTTCCAGCCTTGACTGTGAGTGGGGAGGTGCCTGTTAATGGGCCCAGGCTGTCTTGGACAAGCAGATCTTTGTGTTTGGAAGTAGTGTCTGACGGCAGAGTAAAGGATGGGTGTGATGAGCCTGGAGAGACTGACACGGAGGTAATTTTGGAGGATGATGAGTTATTCAATCAACAGATACAATGGATTTAAGTCATGCTATAGAGGAAATGGAAAGCAAGGAACAAATGCAGGGTGGTTACTTAGGTAGCTGGAACATATAAGAGGATTGAGAGAGATGGAGAAAGGGAGGACGAATTTAAGGACTCAAGCTTGGGTATTTGAGAGAATAATGCCATTAACTAAGAGAGGTAACAGAAAAGGAGAATGTAGGAGAGACTATAACCTTGAACTCTTGGGCTCAAGTTATCCTCCTGCCTCAGTCTCTCAAGCGACTGATGGATCCAGTCCATCAAAATCCATTGTTGCCTTCTTTCCCAGTAGCAGAATTATAACTGAGCATACAACTGCCCAGCAACATGAAATTCCCCTGTCTCCTTTGCAATTAGGTGTGGCTTTATGATGAAGTATTTTCCAATAGAATGTAAGCAAAGGTGGTATGTGTCTTCCAGGCCTAGTGCATAGAACCTGTCATGTGACCCCCTCAGAATCCGCCACTCTCTTTCCCCTTTCTCATGGGCTGGAAAGGTGAATACTAGAGCAACCTTGGAAGCCACATGTTGAAGATGACAGAGCCACCTTCAACTTGGGTCCCTGACCTGATTTGGGAGAAGAAATAAGTTTTCATTTTGGGGTCTTTTTTTTTTTTTTTTTTGATGGAGTCTCATTCTGTCGCCAGGCTGGAGTGCAATGGCGTGATCTCAGCTCACTGCAACCTCCACCTCCCAGGTTCAAGTAATTCTCCTGCCTCAGCCTCCCGAGTAGCTGGGATTGCAGGCACGTGCCACCACACCCAGCTAATGTTTGTATTTTCAGTAGAGACGAGGTTTCACCATGTTGGCCAGGATGGTCTCAATATCCTGATCTGCCTGCCTCAGCCTCCCAAAGTGCTGGGATTACAGGCATGAGCTACCACACCGGCCCACTTTTTATAGCATTTTACAGTCACTCCTAACTAATGCATATGGAACAGTTTGGGAGATAGGGAATAGGGAAGGTGAAGAATTTGGTTTATCACTCAATGGTCAGTATGAGCATTGAAATTAACTTAATCCCCAGGGAAAAGAAAGAATGAAAAGGTATGTCCCTTAAGAGGGCTACAGAAGGCCAGGCACAGTGGCTCATGTTTGTAATCCCCTCACTTTGGTAGGTTGAGTCAGGAGGATTACTTGAGGCCAGGAATTCAAGACCAGCCTGGCCTACATAGCAAGACCCTGTCTCTACAAAAAAATTTTTTAAAAAACAGCTGGGCACAGTGTTGTGCACTTGTAGTCCCAGCTACTTGGGGGGCTGAGACAGAAGGACCATTTGAGCCCAGGAGTTCAATGTTATAGTGTACCACTGCACTCCAGCCTGGGCAACAGAGGGAGACTCTGTCTGTAACGAAAATAAAAAGAGGGCAAAAGAGACAATACTGGAGACAAGCATCTGACACAAAATGTGAAGGGATGTTATGATTGGTGGGGCTCTCTGACACCTATCCATATTTACAAATGTGCCATTAATCATATGGCCAGGTTGGATCCTGAGTAGATTAACAGTTACACGGGTACAGGAATAAGGATGCATGTGGTATTTTTTTTTTTTTTTTGGAGATGGAGCTCCATTCTTGTTGCCCAAGCTGGAGTGTAATGGCACGATCTTGGCTCACTGCAACCTCCACCTCCCAGGTTCAAACGATTCTCCTGCCTCAGCCTCCCAAGTAGCTGGGATTAGAGGTGCGCGCCACCAGGCCCAGCTAATTTTTTGTATTTTTAGTAGAAACGAGGTTTCACCATGTTAGCCAGGCTGGTCTCGAACTCCTGACCTCAGGTGATCCACCCACCTCGGCCTCCCCAGTTGCTGGGATTACAGGTGTGAGCCACCGCACCTGGCTGCATGTGGTATTCTTAATTCTTTCACATCACACTTGAGGTGTGCAACACTCATTGTTTCTCTGTTGTCCTGTACTCCCTTCTCAGACTCTGTTCCCATAACCTCTGCTGGGGGGACAGCAGATTATGAAACCCTGTTCCCATTCCCTTACCGAAGTTGATCAGACAAGGGGAGAGGAGGTGGTTGTTTGACCTAAACTTGGCTAGCCAAATTTTTTCTCCCGAAAATTTGGAATCAAGTCTGAGAAACTTCAATTAGTAAATTGTAAGGCAGAGACTAATGAGGTAATGTAGACTTGAGATTGAAAGTACCCTTTTAAGAACACTGTCTTCAGTGGGGTACGGTGGCTCATGCCCATAATCCCAACACTTTGGGAGGTTGAGGTGGGAGGACTGCTTGATCCTAGAGTTCAAGACCAGC